>NC_000008.11:56552265-57177265 GCF_000001405.40 Homo sapiens | reverse complement strand
GAAGACAGCTATAGATGTGTGGCTTTATTTCTGGGTTCTCTGTTCTGTTCCATTGCTCTATTTGTTTTTGTACCGGTATCATGCTGTTTTGCTTACCGTATCCTTATAGTATAGTATGAAGTCAGGTAATGTTATGCCCCTGATTTTGTTCATTTTGCTTAGGATCGCTTTAGCTACTCAGGCTCTTTTTTGGTTCCATATATGTTTTAGCATAGTTTTTCCAATTCTGTGAAAAATGACATCAGTAGTTTGACAGGAACAGTGTTGAATCTGTAGATTGCTTTGAGTAGTATTGCCATTTTAATGATATTGACTCGTCCAATCCATAAGCTGAGAGGTTTTCCATTGGTTTGTGACATCTATGATTTATTTTAGTAGTATTTTGTAGTTCTCCTTGTAGAGTTCTTTCACCTCCTTGGTTAGGTATATTCATAGGTATGTTTTGTCTGTGTGGCTATTATAAATGAGATTACATTCTTGATTTGGCTCTCAGCTTGAACATTATTGGTTTATAGAAATGCTGTTTTTTTATACATTGGTATTATATCCTGAAATCTTGCTAAAATCATTTATCAATTTTAATAGCCTTTTGGCAGAGTCCTTAGATTTCCTAAGTATACAATCATGCCATCAGCAAAGAACAACATTTTGACTTCTTCTTTTCCTATTTGGATGCTTTTTCTTTCTTTCTCTTGGCTAACTGCTGTGGCTAGCACTTCCAGCACTACGTTTAATAGGAGTGATGAGAGTGTGCATCCTTGTCCTGTTCTCAAGGGGAATACTTTCAGTTTCTGCCCATTCAATATAGTGTTGGTTGTGGGTTTGCCATAGATGGTTCTTAGTATTTTGAGGTATGTTCCTTTGATACCTTGTTTCTTGAGGGTTTTTATCATGAAGAAATGTTAGATTTCATTGAAAGCTTCTGCCACATCTATTGAAATAATCACATAATTTTCATTTTAATTCTACTTATGTGGTGAATCATATCTACTGATTTGCATAAATCAAACCATCTTTGCAAATCTGAGGAATAAAGCCTACTTGATCATGATGAATTAACTTTTTGATGTGCTGTTGAAATTTGGTTTGCTAGTATTTTGTTGAGCACTTTTGTGTCTATGTTTATCAGGAATCCTGGCCTGTAGTTTTCTTTTTTCGGTGTCTTTACCAGGTTTTGGTATCAGAGTGATGATGGCTTCATAGAATGAGTTAGGGAGAGATCCCTCCTCCTCAACTTTTTTGAATAGTGTCTGGAGAATATTGGTACCAGTTCTTCTTTACACCTTGGGTAGAATTCGGCTGTGAATCCATCTGGTCCAGGGATGTTTTGTTGTTTGGCAGGTTTTTCATTACAGACTCAATTCTGGAACTCAATAATGGCTGTTGAGTGTTTCAGTTTCTTCCTGATTCAATCTTGGGAGACTGTATTTCCAGGAATTTATCCATTTCCTGTAGATGTTCTAGTTTGCATGCATAGAGGCATTCATAATAGTCACAGAAGATCTTTCTGTATTTCTATGGAATAGGTTGTAATGTCACCTTTATTGGTTCTAATTGTGCTTATTTGATTTTCTCTCTTTTTTTTTTTTTGTTACTATAGCTAGCAATCTATCGATTCACTTTATCCTTTCAATAAACAAACTTTTGGTTGTGTTGAGTCTTTGCCAGGGTTTGGGGGTCTTACCTTCATTCTGGTCAGCTCCGGTTTTGTTATTTCTTTCCTTCTGCTAGCTTTGGGGTTAGTTCGTTCTTGTTTTTCTAGTTCTTCTAACTGTGATGTTAGAACGTTAATTTGAGATCTAACTTTTTCAGGGAGGTGTTTAGTGCTATATACTTTCCTCTCAACACTGTTTTTGCTGTACCTCAGAGATTTTGATGTGTTGTGTCTCTGCTGTCACGTATTTCAAAGAATTTTTATGTTTCTGCCATGATTTCCCTGTTTGCCCGAAAGTCATTCAGAAGCAAATTGTTTAGTTTCCATGTAATTGCGTGGTTTTCAGAGATATTCTTGATATTGGTATCTATTTTTATTCCACTGTGGTCCAAGAGAATGGCTGGTATGAGTTTTGGCTTTCTGAATTTATTGTGACTTGCTTTATGGTTGAGTGTGCAGTTGATCTTGGAGTATGTTCCATGTGCAGATGAGAAGAATGTATATTCTGTGGTTGATAAGTGGAGTATTCTGTAGATGTCCATTAAGTCCAACTAGTCAAGTGCTGAGTATAAGTCCAGCATTTCTTTGTTAGTTTTCTGCCTCAATCTGTCTAATGCTTTCAGTGGGCATAGAGTCCCCTGCTACTACTGTGTGGCTAAGCCTTTTTGTAAGTCTAGAAGTACTCATTTTATGAATCTGGGTACTCCAAAGTTGCGTGCGTATATATTTAAGATACTTAAATTTTCTGTTGAATTGAACCCTTTATCATTATGTAATGCCCTTCTCGGTCCTTTTTTACTGTTGCTGATTTACAATCCATTTTATCTTACCTAAGAATAGTGACCCCCTGCTCTTTTTTGTTTTCTGTTTACATGGTAGATCCTTCTCTAGCCATTTACTTTGAGCCTATGGGTATCATTATTTGTGAGATGGGTTTCTGGAAGACAGGAGATGGACAGGTCTTGTTTTTTAGTTCGACTTGCCATTCTGTGCCTTTCAAGCGGGCTATTTAGGCCATTTACATTCAAGATTAATATTGATATGTGAGATTTTGATCCTATCCTGAAGTTGTTAGCTGGCTGATTTACAGTTTCTATTGTGTGGTTGCTTTGTAGAGTCTGCAGGCTATGCACTTATGTGTGTTTTTGTGGTAGCAGATATTGTTCTTTTGTTTCTACGTTTAGAACTCTCTTAAGGATCTTTTGCAAAGCTCCTCTTGTGGTAATGACTTCTCTTAGTGCTTGTTTGTCTAGAAAAGATTGTCTTTTTCCTTCACTTATTAAGCTTAGTCTGGTGGGATATGAAATTCCTGGCTGGAACTTCTTTTAAGAATGCTGAAAATAGGCCCCTAAACTGTCCTGGCTTCTGAGGTTTCCTGATGTGGTTTCCTTTGTATGTGACTTGCCCTTTTTCTCAAGCTGCCTTTATGAGTTTTTCATTGATTGACCTGGGACAGTCTGGTGATAATATGCCTTGGTGGTGTTCATTTTGTGTAGTATCTTGCAAATGTCTTCTGGATTTCTTGTATCTGGACACTTACATCTAGCAAGATTAGGGAAATTTCCTTAAATTATTCCCTCAAATATAGTCTCCACGTTGTCTGCTTTTTCTCCTTCTCTTGCAGGAATGCCAGTAATTCGTAAGTTTGCTCACTTTACATAATCCCATATTTCTTGAAGATTTTGTTAATTTATCAAAATTCTTTTTCATTTTTGTCTCACTGGGTTAGTTAAAAAAAATTGGTCTTTAAGTTCTGAAATTTTTCCTTCTGTTAGGTCCAGTCTATTAATAAAAATTTCAATTATATTTTGAAATTCACTGAGTGAGGTTTTCAATTTCAGAAGGTCTGACTAATATCTTTTTTTGTTTGTTTGTTGAGATGGAGTCTCACTCTGTCGCCAGCCTAGAGTGCCGTGGCATGATCTCAGCTCACTGCAACCTCTGCCTCCTGGGTTCAAGTAATACTCCTGCCTCAGCTTCCCGAGTAGCTGGGATTACAAGTGCCCAACACCACGCCCAGCTAATTTTTGTATTTTTAGTAGAGACGGGATTTCACCATGTTGGCCAGGATTGTCTCCATCTCCTGACCTCGGGATCCACCTGCATCAGCCTCCCAAAGTGCTGGGATAATAGGCATGAGCTCTAATATCTTTTTAAGATATTTATCTCTTCCTTCATTTCCTGGATTGCTTTAGAAATTTCTTTGTGTTGATTTTCAACTTTGTGTTGATCTCACTGAGCTTCTTTGCAACCCACGCTTTGAATTCTTTATCTGTCATTTCTGAGTTTCCATTTTGCTATTTAAAAACCTTGTTTCAAATATCTCTTCTTTTTCTTCCAAATAGCTCTTAATTAACAAAAATTCACTGAGCATCTACTATGGGCAAACACGGGAAATCTAAACATGCACAACTCTCAATCATAGCTTAGGATGACTCAAGAATATAACAGAAAACACAAGCATATACAGAAGAAACTCAACCCAACATTACAACGCCTTTTTAAAGGTTATGCAGAAAGTCCTTGGAGACACCACAAAGGGCCGGGTGCAGTGGCTCACGCCTGTAATCCCAACATTTTGGGAGACCGAGGCAGGCAGATTACTTGAGGTCAGGAGTTCGAGACCAGCCTGGCCAAAATAGCGAAACCTTATCTCTACTAATAATACAAAAATTAGCTTGGCATTGTGGCACATGCCTGTAATCCCAGCTACTCGGGAGGCTGAGGCATAAGAATCACTTGAACCTGGGAGGCGGAGGTTGCAATTAGCCGAGGTCGCGCCACCGTACTCTAGCCTGGGCAACTGAGGGAAACCATGTCTCACAAAGGAATGCCTGAAGGAGTGCATGGCGAGCACACTGGGTCAGAGCAGCAGATTCCACTCCAGTTGATCTCCGTAACCACTGAGATGCTCTCCCTCCCACTATCAATTTCTATATATTTTTACACTACAAAACACAGTGTAATTACTTAGAAGCATTCTAGGACAACGTATCTGTAGAATTTTATAAAATTTTTGTAATCACCTCTTTCAACATTGCCATCTTTCAGATAAAATGAGAACAGGCCTCAACCCAGATACTGAATCAAAATCTTTGGGGGAATAGGACCGAAAGTATATATTAAAAAATAAAACACAAGTTCCCATAATCCTCAAGGTGTGAGAACCACTGTGTTGGACAATAAGGGAAAGAGCATTCTAATGAAGAAAACAACGTGAAGGAAGCACTTGGACATGAAAGCTCAAATGAGCACAGAGTGGAAAGGGATCTTGAAAGATGAAGCTGGAAGGTGGATGGTTCAGAAGTGAGGGGCTTTGTATACCATGCCAAGGCATTTGAGCCCTTAGTGATGACAAAACCATTGAAGATTTTTAAAATAAGAAAGTGATGTGACTGGCCCTCTGCTTCCACAAAGGAAGGAACGGGACACTGAGTGTGCAGGAGCAGCAGGTCAGGAGGCTGCCATTCCAGTCCCCGTGAGAAAGGAAGGCCTGGAGCTGCTGGAGGATGGAAGAGAGGACAAATTCAAAGAGTACTTGGGACTGGATCTGTCAGGACCAGTCACCAGATGAGGGGGGATTAAAAAATGGGAACGTTCATGGATGATGACAACATTAATCGAGATTGGGAAATGCAGAGAGGAAGAGTAGTTCCAGGGGAAGAATGAATTCCACCTCGGATATGCTTAGTTTGAGACCACCCAGGGGACACGTGTGCACACTCCACATGTGGTTTGGGAAGACTGGTCTGGAGTCATCAAGACAAATGTGAATCTGGAAGTGATGGACACAGCTGAAGTAAAGCTACAGAAAGACAAGACATAAGGCAGAATCCTAAAGACCTGCAAAGGACACATCCAAGGCCAAGTACCAAGAGTGGCAGAGGATCAATCTTTTAAGAAGCATAAGAATGAGTAGACCTGGAGGGTCAAGAAGCAGTGGTCACTGTCTAATGTCATAGGACACAAAGTCCAAACCCAGCCATCTGATTTGGCAACTGCAACTTTATTGACGACATCAGTGAAAGTCAAGAGGCAGAAAGCCACATTTTAAAGCTGAGGAGACTAGGTCTCAGTGCTTAAGTGACCTATCTAAAGTCATGAAGCTTAAGTCACACATTTATCCAGTAACTGCCAGGATAACTGTACAGGAGATACAAAGACGTGGTTCTGAAAGAACAAGGGGACGAAGTCACAGACACAAAGCTGGAGTATAACTTATTAAATGCTAGCCAAGCAAAGACCTAGGAGCAACCCAGAGGAAGTAGCAGTCAATTCCCTGACAGGAAGCGGGTCGGCAGGGAGCAAGGGAGCCTCCCAAAAGCATACCTGGTACTGGGCCTTGTAACTGAGCTAGGAAGGACAAGGACAGCCAGACCATGGCAGGGGCTCTAGGAAGAGGGAGCAGCATCATTCATATCAAGAAAAAAATCTATAGGACATTCAGATGAAGAAGTCAAGACTGTTACTTCACTAGAAAAGATGAGAAGAAATACAAACCCAGACATTCAAATAACTTCTGAAAGGTCTTCAATGTAAAACTTTCCCAAACAAAAGTATCTTAATCATCCTTTTATGGGTGGGGCAGGACTGGGGAGGCAAATGCATGCAGGAGAGAGAGACAGACAGTGAGAGAGAACACAGGAAAGTGGACCTCCAAAAATCGAAAGGGAAGCTTTTTGCCCTGAAGACTAACACACAGCTACGGTTTATATATATATAATATTATATAAAATTTATAATAGACAAATGTTATTACCTTTCATGAAATCTAAGTTAACCTCAATGCTCATGTGAGATCAGTGCTATTTCCACTTTAAAAGGAAACAGCAAGGATGGCAGATTTGAGACCTCAACCTCTGTGCTCTCCATCTTACACAGCTTTCCTTTTAGCTCCAAAGTTGAACCTGATCTTACTATTTTCTTATTTTTACTAAAGGTGCTTACACTTTAATTAAAGTGTGGCTGAGAAAATATAAAAATGTTATTCCCAAATTCACATTCTGTCTCTACAATAGATTGTATATTTTCTCTATCTTTTTAGGCTTTAAATTTCCTCCCTCTTACTTGAGAAGGGAGTTTCTGGCATGTTCAAAATCCATATCAAACCACCCACTTATACTTAGCTGAGCAATTTTCTGAGCACATTGAAAGCGTATCACTGTTCAATATGATAGCCTCTAGCCACATGCCCAACAACTTTCACATATGCCCAACAAAAGCTTGCTAATTACCTCTACATCAGAATTAAGCATTCTACAATAAGCCAAAAATTAACATAATAGACTAAAAAGACTTTAAATTTCAAGATAGCTCAAAGTGATTACAATCTTCAACAAATCAATAAAAGCAGCCAAAAAAAATCAATTGTTACATCCACATCCCTACTGATGGAATGCAAAATGTGGTTAATGTTATTTTTTTAACAACATAAATGGATTTTGGATAACATACATTCTTAACCAGTCCCTCCCAAGGTGAATGGCCAGTCTTTGTGAGACCCTGCTTTGATGGGAAGGGGAGTGGGGAGGCATGAAGTATACAACCTGATGCCAAAGATCAAATTGCATATCAAAAGTCCAAAATGCACACCAAACTAAACACTGATCATTGAGCAATTTTCTAAACAGATCTGTACTATTCAATATAATAGCCACTAGCCACACGGGGCCATGAGCACTTGTATGTGGCTATTACAAATTCAGGTGTGTTTTAAATGCTAAATACATGACAGACTTGGAAAAAATAGTATAGATAGACAGAACAACCATCAGTTTCAAGGGCCCTGTGCTGGAATCTATCTAAGTCTAGCTGTTTAATAATCACTCAGACAGCTAATTAGAAATAGATTATTGGATACTAGCTCCAAAACTTTTTATTCTCCAAGTTTGAAATGGGAGTCTGAATTATTTTTAAATTTCCCAGGCAAAACTCTTGTGTAACTATGTTTAGAAAACAAGTGTCCTCATCAACAAAGCTCTTGCCCACAAACCAACCTCAAAGTCAACAAGAGATGATAGGACCCAAAGGCAAAGGAATGAACCACTTTTTAAATCTTTATAATACAAATATACAAATTAAACAGAAATAAGACACCATTATACACCCACCAGATTGTCCAAATTTTAAAGTCTCACAATACCAAGATACACTATGATGCAGAGCAATGGGATTTCTCACACATGGCCAAAAATTACTTTAGAAAAAAGCTCAGCATTTTCTTACAGGATTGAAAATAGTGACCAACCACTCCAATACCCACATGTTTAACATGGGGTAGGAGATACATGTACAAGAATATTCAACACGATGTTGTTCATCATAGCCAAATGCAAAAAGAAAAAAAAAACATTAACAGCAAAATGGCTAAATATATTGTGGTATATCCACACAATGGGAAACTACACAGAAAAATGAAAGCGAAAGAACTATAACTCCTTATAAAAATATGAACTGACTTCAACACATAATGTTGTGCAGAAGAAACCATACATCCATTGAATCAATTCAGAATACATTGTAACATATAAACCTATTTCACAGAAGTTCCGAAAAGCAAGTAATAAACCATTTGTCTAGGAATGCTTACAAAATTCATAAAATTATAAAGAAGAACATGAAAGTGATTATCACTGAAGTCACTAAAGTATTACCTATGAAAGGAGAGAACAGGTTACAATAGTGACAGACAAACAGGGAAATTTTGTGGGCTGGTAATACTCTACTTTTTGCCCAGGGTGGTTACACAAATATTGGCTTTTTAGTTTTTTGTTAAATCTTATGTATTAGACTCAAATATAGGTAATGGCTATAATGAAACAGAGGTTCACATAACTGTCCAAAGCAGGTACCCCTGCTCAAAGAGCTTCACTTGAATAAAGGGAAAAAGCACACCATTCTTGGACAGGAAGACTCAGAATCATAAAGATGTTCATTTCTCCTTATGTTAATCATTAAATATAAGTCCATACAATAAAAATGTCAATAGGCTTTTTTAAAAACAAAAGTCAATTTAAAAATTAATAGAGAAATATAAACATGTGAGATAGCCAAGAAATTTGTAATGACGGTGGATTGACTGCACTTTCAGAGACTAGAACAAATCTTTTTAAAAGCTAGAATGATGAGCAAATAAGCAGATAGATCAATAAAATATAACTGGAATTCCCGAGATAGAGTCAAACACATAACAGGTATTCAGAATATGATAAAGGTAATATCTGAAATGTTTTGAGTGTAACACAAAATTTGGAAGCAATTTTTAAAATTAGTACAATTCCATTACATAAATATAAAAATATCCCTCATGGCAAAACACGGTAAGCAAAGTCAAAGGACAAACAACAAACTTAAAAGCAACAGTATGTCACATCGCCAAGAGCTTATTTCCTTAATATATCTAAAGTTCCTACATATCAATAATAAAACAGTAACCATATAACAGAAAAATAGGTAGAGTATAGGCACAGTCAGCTCTGAGAAAAAGAATTACAAATGACTCATTCATATGAAAAGATGCCCAAACTCTATAATAAGAGAAATGGAAGTTAAAAATCAGAATAAAATAACATTTTCACCTATCAGATAAACTTTAGTAGCACTCTGCACTGGTGAGGGTATAAGGAAACAGGCACACTAAAACATTGTTGGTAAAAGTATATATCGATATAATATTAATGGAGAACAATTTAGAAATGTGAGAGATGATGTATTTACATTTATGCATATGTATTTCAGCACTGATATAATAGGAAAAGTGGAAAAGATGGGGACTACTAAAGCATGTTACATTCAGTCGATGGAATGAACGCTCTACAGCCAACACAAAGAATGAGGCAGTCCCGTAAGTACTAACATGAAATGGTCTTTTAGATATCCATAGCAGCAGATCTTTTTCCTTGTTGGCTTCACTACTGGTAGAGTCAACTTTGGTAAGGTAATGCAGAACATCTGATTCAAGAACTATGACTTCCCCATAAATACTGAAGATGAATTCAAAGCTACCAATTGGGGAAAGAGCTTTTTATAAACCAGCATAAAAATCTACAAATTACCTAGAAAAAAAAATAACATTCTGCAGAAAAATCAAACTAAAATCACCCAAAACTGAATTCTTACTGCACTTGCACCCTAACCTGTCTCCTCATCCTATCAAATCTGCCTCCTTTCCTCCTGGATCTCCTATTTTACTTAATGGGGTCACTTCTACCCAGCTCCTCAAGCTAGAAACAAGAGCCTTTATTCATATTTTCTGGGCTCCCAAAATACTTTTAAAATAATTTCTGTAAGTGCTTATATTAAATTGTCACTGGCCTATAAGGTTGACTTTCCATTTAGACTGTGAGCTTCTTAAGGCTTGGGAACAATTTTATTCATCTTTGCATTCCTACCAATCCCTGAGTGGAAGGCCTGGCTCCATTTGTGCTTTTCATTCACTGAAAGAAAAAATGAGGGAGGGGGAGAATCATGCTTCAAGAGTTTGCTTAAAGTCAAGGGGAGCAGACTAATAAACAGTTCATATTTACCTTCCATCTTTCCTAAAGGGCTTAAAGATGTTAATATTAATTCCTACAATTAGAAACTCTATAACTACAAATGTAAAATAAATACAAGAAGCATAAAGACACCTTATTCAACATTCAGTAAGTACTTCTTGTATAAGTATAATGGATGAACACAGACATGGTTGTCCCTGCACTCACAAAACTTACAGGCTAGTAAAAGGACAATTAAATGAACAATACAAATGATGATCACTAAGTCTTTTATTACATAGAGAACAAGCATCATGAGTACACAAAGTAGAGAGATTTATTTGACATTCCTCTCAAGGCTCTTTCTTGTCTCCTGAATTATATGGCCACTGTGCATTCTAATCCCACATAAACCAAACACACCCAGTTCAGCCAGTGAGAGGCCCTATTCTGCCAGGACAGGCCTGTAGATATCAGACACAACATCCTCTCTTCCTCCCCAGACAACCCCAGACAACAGCACAGAGAACTGCCAGGCTAAAGCCCAAACATCCTTAAACTCCATGGTAAACTGATGATGTTAAAAACAGCCAGAGAGTAATTAACTCACAAATCCCCAAGTGTATTCTCAGATCATCCACATGAACCAAAAAGCAGTGAACTTTTCCAAATGCACAAAAACAGAAGCAGAAAGCAAGTGATTTAATCAAGACAACACAGAGATTAAAGGTAGGCATCTACCTACCACCTGAATGAGTGTTTGTCTCTTTTTGATCTGTGTCTTAACCAACTATACAAAATTCCTATGAACTGAGAAAAAAATTTACTTATACTCCCTTGTGAAATTAAAGGTACTAGATTAACTGCATTCACAACTGCTAAACTATGAAGCCCAAGTAAAGGCTAAACTATGAAGCTTCAGTTTTATTTCAGGTGACCTCCTGAACTAAACACAATCCAGATAAAAAATAAAGCTCAACAACATACACACATCCCCAAAAATCACACAGAACACAGACACATAGAAAGGGTGGGCCTGCTTCCTATCCACAACACTGTCAAGCTTGCTCTGGTAAATGAAAGCCAGGAAGCTCATCCCTGAACAGGATGAAGGGGGATAAATACAACAAGGAAGCCCTTCTATAAAGACAGTTCGGAGTGTGTCTCTGTGTGTATATATACTCACACATTTAGTCTCTTAGGTGTGTGAAAGGAAAATAAATACTGGGGCCCCTAAATCACCAAGCTAAAGGGAAAAGTCAAGCTGGGAACTGCTTAAGGCCAACCTGCCTCTCCTTCTATTCAAAGTCACCCCTCTATTCACTAAGATAGATGCATATCTGACTGCCTCCTTTGGAAAGGTTAATCAAAAACTCAGAGAATGCAACCATTCCTCTCTCACCTATCTGTGACCTAGAAGTTCCTTCCCAGCTTCAAGTCTTCCTGTGTTTGCTTCAAGTTGTCCTGCCTTTCCGGACCCAACCAATGTACTTCTTACATATGTTGACTGATGTCTCACGTCTCCCTAAAATGTATAAAACTAAGCTGTGTCCCAGCCACCCTGGGCACATGTCGTCGGGACTTCCTGAGGCTGTATCAGGGGCATGCATCCTCAACCTTGGCAAAATAAGCTTTCTAAATTAACTGAGACCTGTCTCAAATTTTCTAGACTCACAGGTGGTTACAAATAATGCCAGCAAATCAGAAGACCTGCTGAAGGGAAAAAGAAGGTAGTCTAACCTCATTATGACTCCAAAAATGAATCTGGTATATCCATACAATAGGATATTACTTAATGAATTAAAAAAATGAACTACTGACACACAAACAGCATGGATAAATCTCAAAATAATTATGTTGAGTGAAAGAAGCCAGAATAAAAGAAGATTACCCACCGCATGATTCTATTTATATAATATATAAATTAGAAAATGCAAACTAATCTACAGTTATAAAAACCTTATCAGTGACTGGCTGTGGATCAGAGGCAGGAGGGAGACAGTACTGAAGGGTAAGAGGAAACTGTCGGGGTGACAAATATGTCTATTATCTTCAGTGGTGATAGCTTTATGGGTGGATACCTATGTCAAAACATCAAACTTTACACTTCTAATATGTGCAGCTTGGGTGTCACTTACTCCTCAATAAAGCTGTTTAAAATTTTTTTAATAAAAATAAGTTCACATTGACCAGCATTTGGGTTTAACTGAAAATTTACAATACGAAGGAGATTATTTTCACTTTCAGAAGGATATTTTATCACAGTTACATACCATGTTTTGTGGACAAGCAATTTCAGAATGAATACAGATGTGGAATATTTAAATGTCTGTATTTCTTCCCATTCATCCTTTTCATGATTTAAAAGAAGCTAAAGCATTTTACAGAAAATTCCCATCAATTTCAAGTTTCTTACAGAGACTCTCTAAAATTCAATAAACATCTCACTTTTTGGAAAAGATGGGACCTTAAAGACCATCCTGGGGAGGAGCCAAGATGGCTGAATAGGAACAGCTCCAGTCTACAGCTCCCAGTGTGAGCGACGCAGAAGACGGGTGATTTCTGCATTTCCATCTGAGGTACCAGGTTCATCTCACTAGGGATCGCCAGACAGCGGGCGCAGGTCAGTGGGTGTGCGCACCATGCACACTGAAGCAGGGCGAGGCATTGCCTCACTCGGGAAGCGCAAGGGGTCAGGAAGTTCCCTTTCCTAGTCAAAGAAAGGGGTGACAGACGGCACCTGGAAAATCGGGTCACTCCCACCCGAATACTGTGCTTTTCCGACGGGCTTAAAAAACGGCGCATCAGGAGATTATATCCCGCACGTGGCTTGGAGGGTCCTACGCCCACGGAGTCTCGCTGATTGCTAGCACAACAGTCTGAGATCAAACTGCAAGGCAGCAGCGAGGCTGGGGGAGGGGCGCCCGCCATTGCCCAGGCTTGCTTAGGTAAACAAAGCAGCTGGGAAGCTCCCACTGGGTGGACCCCACCACAGCTCAAGGAGGCCTGCCTGCCTCTGTAGGCTCCACCTCTGGGGGCAGGGCGCAGACAAACAAAAAGACAGCAGTAACCTCTGCTGACTTAAATGTCCCTGTCTGACAGCTTTGAAGAGAGCAGTGGTTCTCCCAGAATGCAGCTGGAGATCTGAGAACGGGCAGACTGCCTCCTCAAGTGGGTCCCTGACCCCTGACCCCCAAGCAGCCTAACTGGGAGGCACCCCCCCAGCAGGGGCAGACTGACACCTCACACAGCCGGGTACTCCAACAGACCTGCAGCTGAGGGTCCTGTCTGTTAGAAGGAAAACTAACAAACAGAAAGGACATCCACACCAAAAACCCATCTGTACATCACCATCGTCAAAGACCAAAAGTAGATAAAACCACAAAGATGGGGAAAAACAGAGCAGAAAAACTGGAAACTCTGAAAAGCAGAGCGACTCTCCTCCTCCAAAGGAACGCAGTTCCTCACCAGCAACGGAACAAAGCTGGACGGAGAATGACTTTGACGAGCTGAGAGAAGAAGGCTTCAGACGATCAAATTACTCCGAGCTATGGGAGGACATTTAAACCAAAGGCAAAGAAGTTGAAAACTTTGAAAAAAATTTAGAAGAATGTATAACTAGAATAACCAATACAGAGAAGTGCTTAAAGGAGCTGATGCAGCTGAAAACCAAGGCTAGAGAACTACATGAAGAATGCAGAAGCCTCAGGAGCCAATGCGATCAACTGGAAGAAAGGGTATCAGCGATGGAAGATGAAATGAATGAAATGAAGCGAGAAGGGAAGTTTAGAGAAAAAAGAATAAAAAGAAACGAGCAAAGCCTCCAAGAAATATGGGACTATGTGAAAAGACCAAATCTACGTCTGACTGGTGTACCTGAAAGTGACGGGGAGAATGGAACCAAGTTGGAAAACACTCTGCAGGATATTATCCAGGAGAACTTCCCCAATCTAGCAAGGCAGGCCAACATTCAGATCAGGAAATACAGAGAACACCACAAAGATACTCCTCGAGAAGAGCAACTCCAAGACACGTAATTGTCAGATTCACCAAAGTTGAAATGAAGGAAAAAATGTTAAGGGCAGCCAGAGAGAAAGGTCGGCTTACCCTCAAAGGGAAGCCCATCAGACTAACAGTGGATCTCTCGGCAGAAACTCTACAGGCCAGAAGAGAGTGGGGGCCAATATTCAACATTCTTAAAGAAAAGAATTTTCAACCCAGAATTTCATATCCAGCCAAACTAAGCTTCATAAGTGAAGGAGAAATAAAATACTTTAGAGACAAGCAAATGCTGAGAGATTTTGTCACCACCAGGCCTGCCCTAAAAGAGCTCCTAAAGGAAGCGCTAAACATGGAAAGGAACAAGCGGTACCAGCCGCTGCAAAATCATGCCAAAATGTAAAGACCATCGAGACTAGGAAGAAACTGCATCAACTAATGAGCAAAATAACCAGCTAACATCATAATGACAGGATCATATTCACACATAAGAGTATTAACTTTAAATGTAAATGGACTAAATGCTCCAATTAAAAGACACAGACTGGCAAATTGGATAAAGAGTCAAGACCCATCAGTGTGCTGTATTCAGGAAACCCATCTCACATGCAGAGACACACATATGCTCAAAATAAAAGGATGGAGGAAGATCTACCAAGCAAATGGAAAACAAAAAAAGGCAGGGGTTAAAATCCTAGTCTCTGATAAAACAGACTTTAAACCAACAAAGATCAAAAGAGACAAAGAAGGCCATTACATAATGGTAAAGTGATCAATTCAACAAGAAGAGCTAACTATCCTAAATATATATGCATCTAATACAGGAGCACCCAGATTCATAAAGCAAGTCCTGAGTGACCTACAAAGAGACTTAGACTCCCACACATTAATAATGGGAGACTTTAACACCCCACTGTCAACATTAGACAGATCAACGAGACAGAAAGTCAACAAAGATACCCAGGAATTGAACTCAGCTCTGCACCAAGCGGACCTAATAGACATCTACAGAACTCTCCACCCCAAATCAACAGAATATACATTTTTTTAGCACCACACCACACCTATTCCAAAATTGACCACATACTTGGAAGTAAAGCTCTCCTCAGCAAATGTAAAAGAACAGAAATTATAACAAACTATCTCTTAGACCACAGTGCAATCAAACCAGAACTCAGGATTAAGAATCTCACTCAAAACCGCTCAACTACATGGAAACTGAACAACCTGCTCCTGAATGACTACTGGGTACATAACGAAATGAAGGCAGAAATAAACATGTTCTTTGAAACCAATGAGAACAAAGACACAACATACCAGAATCTCTGGGATGCATTCAAAGCAGTGTGTAGAGGGAAATTTATAGCACTAAATGCCCACAAGAGAAAGCGGGAAAGATCCAAAATTGACACCCTAACATCACAATTAAAGGAACTAGAAAAGCAAGAGCAAACACATTCAGAAGCTAGCAGAAGGCAAGAAATAACTAAAATCAGAGCAGAACTGAAGGAAATAGAGACACAAAAAACCCTTCAAAAAATTAATGAATCCAGGAGCTGGTTTTTTGAAAGGATCAACAAAATTGATAGACCGCTAGCAACACTAATAAAGAAAAAAAGAGAGAAGAATCAAATAGATGCAATAAAAAATGATAAAGGAGATATCACCACTGATCCCACAGAAATACAAACTACCATCAGAGAATACTACAAACACCTCTACGCAAATAAACTAGAAAATCTAGAAGAAATGGATAAATTTCTGGACACATACACTCTCCCAAGACTAAACCAGGAAGAAGTTGAATCTCTGAATAGACCAATAACAGGAGCTGAAATTGTGGCAATAATCAATAGCTTACCAACCAAAAAGAGTCCAGGACCAGATGGATTCACAGCCGAAGTCTACCAGAGGTACAAGGAGGAACTGGTACCATTCCTTCTGAAACTATTCCAATCAATAGAAAAAGAGGGAATCCTCCCTAACTCATTTTATGAGGCCAGCATCATCCTGATACCAAAGCCTGGCAGAGACACAACAAAAAAAGGGAATTTTAGACCAATATCCTTGATGAACATTGATGCAAACATCCTCAATAAAATACTGGCAAACCAAATCCAGCAGCACATCAAAAAGCTTATCCACCATGATCAAGTGGGCTTCATCCCTGGGATGCAAGGCTGGTTCAATATACGCAAATCTATAAGTGTAATCCAGCATATAAACAGAACCAAAGACAAAAACTACATGATTATCTCAATAGGTGCAGAAAAGGCCTTTGACAAAATTCAACAAGACTTCATGCTAAAAACTCTCAATAAATTAGGTATTGATGGGACGTATTTCAAAATAATAAGAGCTATCTATGACAAACCCACAGCCAATATCATACTGAATGGGCAAAAACTGGAAGCATTCCCTTTGAAAACTGGCACAAGACAGGGATGCCCTCTCTCACCACTCCTATTCAACATAGTGTTGGAAGTTCTGGCCAGGGCAATTAGGCAGGAGAAGGAAATAAAGGGTATTCAATTAGGAAAAGAGGAAGTCAAATTGTCCCTGTTTGCAGACGACATGACTGTATATCTAGAAAACCCCATTGTCTCAGCCCAAAATCTCCTTAAGCTGATAAGCAACTTCAGCAAAGTCTCAGGATACAAAATCAATGTACAAAAATCACAAGCATTCATATACACCAACAACAGACAAACAGACAGCCAAATCATGAGTGAACTCCCATTCACAATAGCTTCAAAGAGAATAAAATACCTAGGAATCCAACGTACAAGGGATGTGAAGGACCTCTTCAAGGAGAACTATAAACCACTGCTCAAGGAAATAAAAGAGGATACAAACAAATGGAATAACATTCCATGCTCATGGGTAGGAAGAATCAATATCGTGAAAATGGCCATACTGCCCAAGATAATTTACAGATTCAATGGCATCCCAATCAAGCTACCAATGACTTTCTTCACAGAATTGGAAAAAACTACTTTAAAGTTCATATGGAACCAAAAAAGAGCCCGCATCGCCAAGTCAATCCTAAGGCAAAAGAACAAAGCTGGAGGCATCACACTACCTGACTTCAAACTATACTACAAGGCTACAGTAACCAAAACAGCATGGTACTGGTACCAAAACAGAGATATAGATCAATGGAACAGAACAGAGCCCTCAGAAATAACGCCGCATATCTACAACTATCTGATCTTTGACAAACCTGAGAAAAACAAGCAATGGGGAAAGGATTCCCTATTTAATAAATGGTGCTGGGAAAACTGGCTAGCCATATGTAGAAAGCTGCAACTGGATCCCTTCCTGACACCTTATACAAAAATCAATTCAAGATGGATTAAAGACTTAAATGTTAGACCTAAAACCATAAAAACCCTAGAAGAAAACCTAGGCATTACCATTCAGGACATAGGCATGGGCAAAGACTTCATGTCTAAAACACCAAAAGCAATGGCAACAAAAGCCAAAATTGACAAATGGGATCTAATTAAACTAAAGAGCTTCTGCACAGCAAAAGAAACTACCATCAGAGTGAACAGGCAACCTACAAAATGGGAGAAAATTTTCGCAACCTACTCATCTGACAAAGGGCTAATATCCAGAATCTACAATGAACTCCAACAAATTTACAAGAAAAAAACAAACAACCCCATCAAAAAGTGGGCAAAGGACATGAACAGACACTTCTCAAAAGAAGACATTTATGCAGCCAAAAAACACATGAAAAAATGCTCACCATCACTGGCCATCAGAGAAATGCAAATCAAAACCACTATGAGATATCATCTCACACCAGTTAGAATGGCAATCATTAAAAAGGAAACAACAGGTGCTGGAGAGGATGTGGAGAAATAGGAACACTTTTACACTGTTGGTGGGACTGTAAACTAGTTCCACCATTGTGGAAGTCAGTGTGGCGATTCCTCGAGGATCTAGAACTAGAAATACCATTTGACCCAGCCATCCCATTACTGGGTATATACCCAAAGGACTATAAATCATGCTGCTATAAAGACACATGCACACGTATGTTTATTGCGGCATTATTCACAATAGCAAAGACTTGGAACCAACCCAGATGTCCAACAATGATAGACTGGATTAAGAAAATGTGGCACATATACACCATGGAATACTATGCAGCCATAAAAAATGATGAGTTCATGTCCTTTGTAGGGACATGGATGAAATTGGAAATCATCATTCTCAGTAAACTATCGCAAGAACAAAAAACCAAACACCGCATATTCTCACTCATAGGTGGGAATTGAACAATGAGAACACATGGACACAGGAAGGGGAACATCACACTCTGGGGAGTGTTGTGGGGTGGGGGGAGGGGGGAGGGATAGCATTGGGAGATATACCTAATGCTAGATGATGAGTTAGTGGGTGCAGCGCACCAGCATGGCACATGTATACATACGTAACTAACCTGCACATTGTGCACATGTACCCTAAAAGTATAATAATAATAAATTAATTAATTAAAAAATAATAAAATAAAATTAAAATAAAATAAAATAAAATAAAATGAATTAATGCAGGAAAAAAAAAAAAGTCCATCCTGTCCAACTTTCTCAATTTAAGGAAGTAAACTGAAGAGCCCATCCCCTTAGGGAGTTCATCCAGTCTTATGGCTTTGAAGTCAGCTCTACTTTGCTGACACCTACCTTTGTCATTTTAGTCGATGTCGCCACTGAACTACACACATTTATTCAACTGCCCACTAAGCTACCTCACTTGACTATCTAATAAGTATCTAAAATCTATTGTGTCCGAAAGGGATCTTCTGATTCCCCTCACCACCAACTTCTCCTCCAATTTTCCCCATCTCAGTAACTGAACCATCACACGTTCAGTTGCTCAACCAAAACTTAGAAATCAACTCTTGACTACTCATCTCCTGCCTTCCACATAGAATCCACACTTAAGTTCTTTAGCTCTGTCTGCAAAGTACATTGCCAAAGCTGACCCAGGCTCCATCTAGATGGCTGCTATGGCTTCTTACCCAGACAACAGCTCAGAAAGGTCCCCATTTCCTCTTCTGCCTCTATGCAGTAGCCACAGTCATGAGGCCATCAATCCCCAGACCTAGAACACTCTACAGACTTAATGCCACGATTAAAGTGAAATCCTAACTCTTTATGCTGTCCTAAAAGATCAAGGCCGCTTCTACCTCTCTAGCCTGACATCTACCACTATCTCTTTTCTGGCTACATTTCAACATTTCATACTGACTGTCTCCAACACACTAAACTCATTTCCACCCCTAAGCCAATGCTTCCCCACCTCCATACCTGGAATGCACACAGATACTTCACCATTCACATCTCAACTCAAATAACATCTTCAAAAGCTTCCCAGACCTCACAATCTACAGAAGCATCCCCTGATGAGAAGCTGGTGGTGAGGGGAATCAGGAGTTCCCTTTTGGCCACAATAAGTTTAGATATTTACTAGGTATTCAAGTGAATAGCTAATTCGCTTATCATAGACCCCATTTTACTGACTCTACAGTACTTATCACTAACTAAAATTATCTTGTAAAGTTTTTTACTTATTTATTATATATGCTAATAAGATTCATTCATTCATTTATTCATTCATTCATTCCTGCTGTGCCTATCAGAAGCATTAGCCCAAATAAGAATTGTGATCCTTTCTTATTTCACTTGAAAGCATTCATCTCCAGGTGCCTGGTACTACTGGGTAAAAAGTACCCAAATCCATTTAAAAAAAAAAGGTCTATTTTGATCCTTTTGTAATTCCTAAGTGTGATGATAACTTATGTGACAACATGTGATGATAAATATCACATGTGATAACTCACATGTGAGTGTGGAAACCCAAACTTTTTTACAATATCAGCACATTACTGTGTGATGTTTAAAAATAAAGGTCAATTTCAACTGTCCTATTAATTTTACAAGATTCCAAATCTTCTTCCTCAACCTTTTTACATCAGCACATTACCTGTCTGATGTTTAAAAATAAAAGTCAATTTCAACGGTCCTATTAATTTTACAAGTCTTCAAATTATGCTTCTAAAGAACTGAAAAATTCAAATACTGACCTGCCTCATTATCATGAAATTTCTATTTGATACAACATCAACTTATCAATTTAGAGGTATGATGTTGATTTTGAGATTGCACTGCCTCTCACTAAAATAATACACTTTTCAATAAGGATCAGGTCAATATAAAAAGTGTTAACTTTTAATGATTAGATTGGGATCTGTAATACCTTGTCTTTGGGGTACTTAGCCAATAATTACTTACATAATATACTAGCTAAATGCACCAATTTAAACATTTTTAATTCCTTACTTTTCTTTTTTAGAATTTTAAAGTGTTCAGACACTGCTACCAAAAAAAAATCACAATAGTTTTTTTATCTGGATGTTACACATTATAAATGATCTCACAGTAAATCATTAATCACTGGGATGTACATTTTATAAGGACAGAGATTTTTATCCATTTTGTTTATTGTATCCCCCAGCACCTATCCCTGGCACATTATCAGCTTTACAAAAATCTGTTGTTAAATACCTGCAAGCTCCTGTTTTATCTTACGGAGATCACCACATTATCCCAAGTTTAGAAGGTGCTGCCAATATGTGTAATCTCTTCTTGCTATTGCTTGATGTCATTAAAATATTAAGCATGAGCTGAACAGCAATTCTAAATCACAAGTTCTTGACTTTCAAGCTATATAGTGATATGTGGCAAATCAGCGGCAAGAGATCAACATAGATTTTTGCATAATGTGTGATCAACATAGATTCTCTTATGTTGTGCTGAGAAGGCAAGACTCAATATGGAGTCTGGATACATGGACTGCTCTAGGGCTAGGGAGAAAGCCACCGATGGAAGACCATCTATGCATCTCTGAATACAGACTGCCAGAGTATCAAATTTTATACTGACTTCAAGGTGAATGTTAAATAGCCCTACAGGGCTGATAACAAAAGTCGGCATAATAAAGTAGTCAGAAGCAACAATTGTGAATCACAGAAAAGCAGCTCAGTTTTGGTGTGCTGCAAGTAATTAATACTAATGAAAATTAAAAGTCAAGTTTATGAACAATTTAATAAAGATTATTCCTAAAACATTACTCTTGCCCTCACATTTCTAGGAAAAAAACAGTAGAGATACAACTAGTTTGCTGGGAACTACATATAACACAGTGAACACAAGTGAGAATGTGTGTCATATGAATGCCACCTATCATATCAAAGTAGGCTGACACTGCAGATCTGAAGCAAGCAGCTCTCTAACACCTAATAAATCCTAAATACAAATCCCTGTTCCTACCTCAACCAAGTAACCTCTGGTATTTACAACTTCTTTCTTAATATGAAAATAAGAATAATCCCTGTCAAGGTTTGTAAATAATGAAATTTATAAAGAAAAAGAAAAACAAACAAACATACACTTCTGATCCTTTGATCAACATGGTCTGCTTACCTGGACAACTGGATGAGGTGGAGCAGATTCAGAACCCACTGGGAGAACTCCAATACAAGGCAAGAAGACAAGTAAACAGGCCATTATTTAATGTAAAGAAACTGGAACCATCACACATTGATGGTGAGAATGTAAAATGGTACAGTCACTTTGAAAACAGCTCCTCAAAATGTTAGGCACAGTTATCCTATGACCCAGCAATTCCACTACCAGGTATACACACAAAAGAACTGAAAACTTAAGCTTCTACACAAATGTTCACAGTGGCATTATTCATAATTGCGAAAATGTGAAAACAACCCAAATGTCCATCAACAGACAGACAAATAAAATGTGGTATATCCATATAATGGAATGTTTGGCAATAATAAGAAATGCATGATGATATGCAAAGATAGACAAACCTTGAAAACATGCTAATGAAAGAAGTCAGACACAAAAGACCGCATGTCGTATGATTCCCACTCATACAAAATGTCTGAAATAGGCAAATCTATAGAGACAGAAAGTAGATGAGTGGTTGCTTAAGGCTGAGGGGCTTGGGAAAAATGGGGAGTGACTGCTAATAGGTGCAAAGTTTCTTTTGGTGATGGAAATGTTACAGATTAGACAGTGGTGATAGCTGCACAACTGTGAATACATTAAAACCATTGAACTGTACACTTTAAATGGGTAAGTCCTATGGTATGTGAATTATATCTTGATAAAGCTATTAAAATCTATTGTGTATTATCTTAAAATAATTACAGCTTTCAACCATCAAATGATATGTCTTATCAAGATGAAGTATGGATATGTTGTCACCCCAACAGCTACAATCCATGTAGTTCACGAAGTCCTGTCACAGCGCCCAGTCCCCATGACCAAGAGTCTTCCCCAGGGCATTTCTTCCCAGAGAAGATGCTCTCTCTTCCTAGGATCACAGGTGGAGCTGGTTTCAATTGGGGCTGCTTCTGTTACAAGAAAGAATGGGCCAACACTCAAAGAAAAGCAGAATGAGAGAGGGAATGGGGCAGTGGGATAAGGAGGGAGGGGGAAAGAGGAAGGGGAGAAAGGAGGAGACACAGAGAAGAAGAGCACAGTATTTATTGTTGGAGCATCTGCATCCAGCCATGCCGGCTAGTTTAAAGTGGGTTTCTGTAATTTGCCTTTAGGGGAGTCTTAATATGTTATTTCACAACAAACTCTTTCCTCATTTAACTGATGAACTTTCTAAGGATCTATACACAAGTAAAACGAAATCCTGGGCCTTTTTTGTTTAACAATAAGACATATGAAACATTGGAAAGAGCACATATAGCTTAGTGGTTAAATGAAGTCAGACAGACTTAGATTCAAATGTGAGTCCTAGGCTTACCTAAGTGACCTTGGGTACACACTATCTAACTTCCCCAAAACTTAGTTGCCTCTTCTATAAAATGGGAGCCCTAGGTTTGGTTTCCTTACACACAGGCCACTGTCCGGATTAAATGAGATAACCCATGGCAGGCTCTAAATACAGTACCTGGCATATGAAAACACAAATATATGACCCACCATTATTAGTGGTAAACTCATGATTTATCACAGATATATTTAGAACATAGAAAAGTTTTGTTTTAAAGCAAAGATAATATGAATAAGACTAGTAGTTAAGACCTGGAGAAAGCTGTACCATGCTTCACAAAAAATACTTCTCATTCATTTGAAGATCATTATTTTTAAGATATGTTAAAAACTAAACTTAGCAATGGTAAATACAACAGCCAGAACCAAAAATGCTAATTCATAAAATCAATTCCGGTTCTCATCTAACCTTGTCCAATACATACTTTAGTCAGAGTTACTTCTGCTTAGCCTTCAGTCTGCAATCACTTTTGAAAACCACTCCCCACTTGCAAATAAGACAGCTTTAGATAACTATTTAGATTGCTAAGCTTTGTGTTCTTCTATGACACTGAATTTTATTGCATCCACATGAGAGAATTCCCTCCATTCATTTACTGCCTGTAGATATCAATAACTTGGCTCAGACATAAGTTTTCCCCAAAAGTGACCCTGTGATCACCCAGCTGAGTTTATTCATTCATTCAACAAAGATTTAGTGAGACCCTACTATGTGCCAGGTCCTGTACTAGGTACTAGAGATGCAGAGAATAAAACAGATACCTCTTCTCTCTGTTCTCATGAGGACCTGTTGCCTCCTCATCAGAACATTAACCACACTGATTTCTGATTTCCTAATTACTTCTCTGTAACCCCTGCAGAGACTCTAAGCAAACCTGAGGTCAGGGACCATAGCAAATCTGATTTTTATTGTATCACATTATTTTGAATAATAAGTCATGGAAAAAAATTGAAATAGAATGAGTTGTCTGCACAGTATAGCCACAATATAGCTATTTGCATGGTCAGAGACTCATGCAGAGCAAACTAGGAAGTGTGTAGAGAGACATAGGCTTTACAGGTCACTGAGACTCCCATCAGTGCTGAATATAGCCTGCCACTGATGTCCTGGCTACATTTAGAGTTTGATCCAAATTATATGATACAGGCCGGGCGCGGTGGCTCACGCCTGTAATCCCAGTACTTTGGGAGGCTGAAGTGGGCGGATCACAAGGTCAGGAGATCGAGACCATCCTGGCTAACACGGTGAAACCCCGTCTCTACTAAAAAAATACAAAAAATTAGCCAGGTGCGGTGGCGGGTGCCTGTAGTCCCAGCTACTCAGAAGGCTGAGGCAGGAGAATGGCGTGAACCTGGGAGGCGGAGTTTGCAGTGAACTGAGATCGCACCACCGCACTCCAGCCTGGGCGATAGAGTGAGACTCCGTCTCAAAAAAAAAAAAAAAAGAAAAAAAACAAGTTATATGATATAGATGTAAAATTATATGATATAGATATAAAATATACATTTATTTTTATAAATACATAAATCAGATTATCTTTTCATTGAAAATATGTCTATATAAGGTAAGGAAGAATAAAACTCCCCATAGATTAGCTAATATAGAATTTCTTAGGTGAAACGCACCAATTCCAGAAAAAGCGTGAACTACTACAACTCACCGAATATGAATTTAAATAGCCCTATGACTAACTGTTAAGAAAACTGAATTTGTAATTTAGAATCTCATGGAAAACAATCTTTAGGCCAGCCGGGCGCAGTGGCTCACACCTGCAATCCCAGCACTTTGGGAGGCTGAGGCAGGTGGATCACTTGAGGTCCAGAGTTCGAGACCAGCCTGACCAACATAGTGAAACCCCGTCTCTACTCAAAAGACAAAAAATTAGCTGGGTGTGGTGACACACACCTGTAATCCCAGCTACTGAGGCTGAGGCAGGAGAATCACTTGAACCCAGGAGGCAGAGGTTGCAGTGAGCCAAAGTTGTGCCATTGCACTCCAGCCTGGGCAACAAGAGCAAAACTCCACCTCAAAAAAAAAAAAAAAAAAAAAATCGCTAGGACCAGATAGTTTTACTGGAGAATTCTATCAAATGTTTAAAAAAGAATTAACACTGGTTTTATACAATCCTTCCCAGAAAACAGAAGAGGAAAGAATACAGCTCACTTCAATAAAGGGAGTGTTCTAGACTTAAAGAGACTAAAGAGACATGAGAACTAAATGCAACCTGTAATTCTGAACTAGATCCTGTTGCTAAACAGAATTTGATGAGATAACTGGTAAAACTTGAATAAAGTCAAAGATGTGATTATGGAAATGTATTAATTTTCTCATTTTGATGGTCATTTTGATATTACACAGCAGAATGTCCTTTTTGTAGGAAAATACCACAAAATATTCAGAAGCGATGGGTCACCAAGTCAGCAACTTACTCTCAAATGGTTCAGGAAAAAGCAAATGTTCTCGGAATTGTACTCATAACCTTCCTGTAAATTTAATATTGTTTTAAAACAAAAAAAATTACTTCTTAAAAATATAGAAGGCTATCTTTATGATCTCAGGATATAGAAGAATTTCCTAACCTAGGTATAAAAATATTGCAAATCATGAATGTTATAAATTCAGTAACATGAAAATTAAGAACTTTATAAATGGAACATTATTCAGCTGTTCAAAAGGAAAGAAATTCTGGTTTTTATGAGTCACATAACATACATCATATGTGGCAACATGGGTGAACCCTTAAGACATATACTAACTCAAATATGCCTCTCACAAAAAGACAAACACTGTACATTTCCACTTATATGAGGTATCTAGAACAGTCAAATTCATAGAAACAAAAGGCCAGCGGCTGGGCCTGGGGGAAAATAGGGAGTTGTTTAATTAATATATGGTTTCAGTTCTGTAAGATGAAAAAGTCCTGGAGATCTACTACTCAACATTGTGAATACACTTATCACTACTGAACTGTGCACTTAAAGATGGTTAAGATGGTAAATTTCATGTTTATTACCACATACATATATATATTTGTTGACAACACTATGAAGAAAGAAAGGAAATAACACAATCTAGCAGAAGTCACTCCTCTCTGGGATGGGATCTAAAAAGGGCACACAGGGAACTTAAAAAATTATTTTCCTTAAGTTTGAGTACAAGTGGCTTACATCATCCTCTAAAAGGATACCTCTTGCAAATCTAATTTTTAAAATCAACTCCCCAGGAAAGGGAAGATGTACCAGTACAAAGAGCTCTAAAAATAAATAAAGAACTAAAAGAGAGGGAAGGGAAAAGGAAAGAACCAGGAATTCTCCCAATATTATTAACTTTAAAGTCTATTTTCTAAATAATAAAGGATCAATTTCTGTACAACAACTTAAAGTTATAAGTGGTACTGATCAAATTAGACGTAATTTTACATAAACTACCAAATATCTTTTTAAAATATGGAGCCAAATAATATCAAACCCTCAGCCTCCCTATATTACTCACCAAAACAGGAGGAGTCAGACAGGACAGCGGCAGTTCTCGGTGGTCTGACCGAGGGGAAGCAGAAAGATGTGCTGAGGGCCAGCGTTCTGCCTGGAGAAAGATGGAAGCTGGCGGCTACACAAAATACAGCTTGTTCAGAGGCCTCCCACTCCTGACTGCTTTCCCTCTAAGAAAAAAAAATGGTAAGGCTCAAAAATATATGCACATAGTTCCTTAGGGGGAAAAAATTAAATGTCTAATTTTTCTTCTCAATAGCTTTAAGACATGCAAATCAAATTCTGAATTTTCTGCTATTCAACTGGCTATATCAGCTGGGACTCAGGTCAGATACAGATGGGTCACTGATGCTGATTGAAAATCACCTATATTTTACTGTTATCTTTATTCACAATGCTTTCAGGAAAAAAACAAGTTTGATTTAAATTTTTCTCATCATTCTACTCAAATGACCACAGGCTCTTTATTCTATCAAACGAAATTCTTACTCTGAAAAATACAACAGAATCCTTTAAAGATAAAATGTGCAACCTCCAAATAGAATCTTGAGTCCTGCCCCATACCCTGAACTCCAGACTCACATTTTCAATGGTCTCCACATTTCTACTTCAGAGTATAGCAAGCATCTGAAACTTAACACAGTCGAAAGGAAAATCTTTCATATTCACCCTTTCCCATATTCCACAGCCACTTCTCTTCCAGGCAGGTGCAAAAAGGCTGTCACATTTACCTTCCACTAAGCTGTTAACATTTAAACTGTCCATGGATGGCAAAGCTAAAAGAGCACTGACTGTAACACTCCTTCTGGGGCCACGGGGCCCACACAGAGTTTTGCTCCTGCCGGCACCCAAAAGCACTCAACCCGGCTCCTATGCTCACTTACCTGTGTGTTCCCTCCCACGGGGGGTTGAGCACAGGGGGTTCCAGTTAGTGGGGTCTGCCCCTACCAGCACCTAAGTGGCCGGCTACTTCCGGCACCCACATCTCAGTTCCCACCAGCAAAGGGGTCAGGGAAATTATCCTGCTTCACTACCTCAGCCAGGTGACCAAATTAACATCAACAATGATCAGTCACACTGAAAGCACATACCCTTTGTATGATGTGATGAAAACGACACTTCATCTTTGTGGTCTTCCTCCCAAACACCCATAAGACCAGACACATCATAAGAAATACATTTGATAAATCCCACTTGAGGGACATTCTACAAAATGCATGACCAGTAGTCCTCAAAGCTGACAAGGTTAACAAAAAAGAAAGGAAAGTCTGAGAAACTGCCACAGTCTAAAGGAAGCTAAGGAGACACAACGACTAAATGTAATATGGTAACCTACATAAGATACAGGAACACAAAAAGGACCTTGTTATAAACTGCATGTTTGTGGCCCGCCCAGAATCTTCATATGTTGAAGCTTTAACCCCGAATGTAATGGTATTTGGAGATAGGGCATTTGGGAGGTAATCAGGATTCAATAAAGTCCTGAGGGCAGGGCCTTGGCCTGAAGGGATTAGTGCCCTTATAAAGAGACACAGAGACCTTGTTCTTTCTCTCTTTCAGCAAGAACACACCTAGGAAAGGGGACTGTGCCCCTCTGCAAGCCAGGAAGAGAGTCCTCACTGGAACCCAATCATGCTGGCACCCAGATCTCAGAGTTCCAGCCTCCAGATCTGTGAAAAAATAAATTTCTGTTGTTTAATCCACACAGTCTATGGTATTTTGTTACGGCAGCTAACTAATACAGACCTTAAGTAAAAACTAAAGAAATCAATCAAGTATAGAATTTAGTCAATAATAATGTATCACAAGTTGCGACAAATGACAATACTAATATAACACGTTAACAACAGCAAAAACTGGATGTAAGTTATTTGGGAAGTCTCTCTACTATTTTCACAACTTTCTGTAAATTTAAAACTTTTCTAAAATACAACGTGTATTTCTAAAAATCCGATGGCTTCCTATGATATTTTTATTATAACCAAAGGCCTCCCAATCTCTTTCACTCATCATCTAATACTTACACCTTGCTCACTCTGGTCTACTATGTTCACCTTTACAAGGGTTACAAAGTGTGAGTTACGCAAGTGTACACATTTGTCAAAATTGATCAAACTACACACTTCAGGTCTATGCATTTCACCATATATGTTATAATTCAATTACAATTATTTTAAAATATATGATTGCAAAATGAATACTCTGATGACCTAAGAAATACCCTTGAATTTGGTGGCCGCAAACACTAACATTTCTTTTGCTCTGGAATCTGCAATTTGGCATGGTTCAGCATGGATAACTCATTGCTTCTCTATTTGCCATCAGCCAGGGACTGGTATTATCTAAAGGCTCACTAACTCATATATCAGATGATGGATGCTGGCTGTCACCTGAGACTTTGGTGGGGCCTGGAGGTTCAAACACCTATACAAGGCATCTTTTTATGCCCTGAGGTTCCTCACAATATGGTGGCTGTATTACAGAAACTTTATATTCAGTGTGACTCTAATTTTGTTTCAATATACACACGCATTCTAAAAAAATTAACAAAAGTTTTCTCTGGAGTGAAGGAAAATGAGTGATTTTTAAACTTTCAGTTATATGTTTTTATTTCATAAATTTTATACAATAAAATGTATTACCTTCTCAATCAGATGAAAAAAATTCAGTTCCCTATTAGGGTACATAATACATTAGTGAAAACACAAATGAAATTGGAAATGCAGAAGTATCAAATACATTTATATGTTATAAAAAAAAAGAATCCACTCATAAACAGTAAAAACATTATGAAATACTTCACTCCACCTTACTTTTTTTTTTTTTTTTTCCTGAGACGGAGTTTCACTATTGTTGCCCAGGCTGGAGTGCAATGGCATGATCTCAGCTCACTGCAACCTCCGCTTCCCGGGTTCAGGCGATTCTCCTGCCTCAGCCTCCTGAGTAGCTGGGATTACAGGCGTGTGCCACCACGCCCAGTAAATTTTTGCAATTTTAGTAGAGACAGGGTTTCACCATGTCGGTCAGGTTGGTCTTGAACTCTTGACCTCAGGTGATCCTCCTGCCCCAGCCTCCCAAAGTGCTGGGATTATAGGCATGAGCCATTGCGCCCAACCCACCTTACTTTTTAAGTTACAGATGAACTGAACATCAGCACATCAGAAACTAATAAAAAATACAAATATGTTCAATGATACTGGTGTCTTCTAAATTGCATATCTGGCCCTTTTTCATGGCACAGGTCTCCCTTAGTCCAATTCCTTCCTCAAAACCTTCTCTCCATATATTCCTTTAATCATAACCACCTACTAAACATTACCCTAGAAATAAAATCATCTGGAAAGCAAGGCCTACAAAGGCAAACCTCAGATGCTAGATACTTCCTATCTTAAAGCATGGTGTAACCTCACTTAATAATAGATTCTATATTTTTCTTAAGATTTAAGGCCTAATGAACAAATACTATGGCTACCTCAAGGTCACTCTGGACTTCTCAGTAATGATTAAACAATCCAGGAGTCTATGGCAAGATCTTTTGCTCCTTTTCCTTCCCCGGCCTCAGGCTTATTGCAAAACACTCCCTCCTTTCTGCTACCTGGCCCTGCAAGGCATATTCTTACATTCCACACAGACCATTAATTTCTATCATCTCATAAATTCTACACTTACTCTAGTAAAAAGTTAACTGTTTTTCTTACACTAAAGTTCTTTTCTTCATCTGACATCAAATAACTACTTTTATAATTTCCTAATTTTTCAAAACACTGTTAATTTGCTCATACCAAATTAATAAACTGATGTTATATTTTTGCACTTTTCATTTCCTGATGTGTCTTTTTCCTGTTAACTCACACTATCTGATTACAACAAATTCATAAGCTTTCTCTCAACCTGGACTATTTACATTATAAAAATGTTCTATGTTCTATAAAATGCTCAACTTTAAAATGATAGCTAAATGATTTTATTCATCCAATTTTACAATGTGAGTTTTCAGTTATTCCAAGAACTTCATCAACTAGAAAGTCAATTCTTAGGTGCGTCAAAGAAACAATTTATTATCGGTATGAAAAGTTAAGGCTTGAGTGGTATTAATCAAATATTCCCAAGACTTGCTCAAATAGAAAACAACTGAAAATATACTCATGTGTTGCTTAATGATGGGGATACATTCTTAAAAATGCATCATTAGGCAATTCCGTTTCTGTGTGGACATCACAGTGTACTTACGTAAATCTGGACAATCTAGCCTACGACACACGCAGGCTAGATGGTACACATGCAGGCTAGATGGTACAGTCTGTTACTCCTAGGTTACAGACGTATACAGCAGCTTACTGTACTGAATACTGTAGTAACTAACACAATAGTATGTGTGTATCTAAACTTGGAAAAGGTACAGTAAAGATACAGCATAAAAGATAAAAAATAGCATAGCTATACAGGGCACTCACCATGAATGAAGACTGCAGGACTAAAAGTTGTTCTGGGTGAGTGAGTGGTGAGTGAGTGCTAAGGTCTAAGACATTAGTGTACACTACTGTAGACTTTATAAACACTCTACATTTAGGCTACACTAAATTTATTTTTAAAAAGTTCTTCTTTCTTCAGTAATAAATTAACCTTGGCTTACTGTAGTTTTTTTACTTTATAAACATTTTAACTCTTCTGTAATTGCACTTAGCTTAAAACACATATTGTACAGCTGTACAAAAGTATTCTTTCTTTATATCCTAATTCTATAAGCTGTTTTCTATTTACTTTTAATTTTAAAACTTTTTGTTAAAAACTAAGACACAAACAGGCCGGGCATGGTGGCTCACACCTGTAATCCCAGCACTTTGGGAGGCCGAGGCACGCAGATTGCCTGATGTCAGGAGTTTGAGACCAGTCTGGCCAACATGGTGAAACCCCGCCTTTATTAAAAACACACAAAAAATTAGCTGGATGTGGTGGCGTGTGCCTGTAATCCCAGCTAGTCGGGAGGCTGAGGCAGGGGAGTTGCTTGAACCAAGAAGGTGAAGGTTGCAGTGAGCCGAGATCTGTGCCACTGCACTCCAGCCTGGGCGACAGAGAGAGACTCTCATCTCAAAAAAAAAAAACCTAAGACACAAACACACCCATTAGCCTAGGCCTACACAGGGTCCAGATCATTTATATCACTATCTTCCACCTCTAATCTTGTCCCACTGAAAGGTTTTCAGGGGCTATAACATGCATGTAGCTGTCATCTGCTATTATGACAGTGCCATCTTCTGGAATATTTCCTGAATATTGTAGTGTAATTGCACTTAGCCTGCCTCAGGCTGTTCCATAGTTAACTTTTCTTTAGTCAACAGGAGCACGCTCTAAAACAATGATAAAATGTATAGAAACTACACAAACCAGTAATGTATTTAACATTATCAAGTATTATGTACTGTACATAATTGTATATGTTAGACTTTTACAGGACTGGTTGCACAGTAGGTTTGTTTACACCAGCATCACCACAAAAACATGAGTAATGTGTTGCCCTAAGACACTATGAATACTGCAGCTTCACTAGGCAACGGGAATTTTTCAGTTCCCTTATAATCTATGGGACCAGCATCATATATGGGGTCTAATGACCTCACTGGCACTATGCAGTACATGACTGTACTACACAAATTAGGGCTATACGTGGCTGTACAAATTTATAGTAGTCCCAAGGTACCAACTCAAGACCTTTGACTAAATAAAGAAGGATGTCAAAAATTTTTAAGTCCTGTCTCCTTCTCTTGATTCTCCTGCTTATTTCAGTACTGAAAAAGAACTTTCTCTGGTTGCTGATATGTTTAAATGAGTTCATTACTATCAAATCACTTTTAAAAACTTATACACATTATATAAATTAAAAGGTGTTATTAGCACAGTCAAGAAAATATTTCGGCATGGGACGGAGGGTAAGCCTATGGCAGACGTGGGGTTGGGAGAAGGGAAAGTAAGAGGGGGAAGAGAAAGACAGAATGTGAATATATGCTTGTCTCCCTAAAAGAAATGTAAATATATACGCCTATCTCCCTTGCCCCTCATCAGCAAAATGTTTGCATTTGCTGATACATTGTCAGCAGCCTATTTAATCAGGAGTGTGATATGCTAAAAGGTCATACACTGCATGTCAGTGTGGAAAACAAAGAGGATCCTCCACAGTGCTGAGAAGATGAAAAACTCTAAATTCTGATCAATTTATTAATAAACAGAGAATAGTGTTTTCTTCAAATACACGATTAATTTCATTACCAATACTTTATTTGCATGATACACATTATAACTGCTGTTGAAGGTAGGTGGGGATAGGTACTTTACTATTTAACTGGAAGTTATGACAGCAATATGAGATTTCAACAGAAGGCAGAATTATTTTACACTCCTTCCACATACTTTATTTTATTTTAAACAGTAAAGCACACGGCAACCTGTACCCTAATGTCAGGTTTCCAGCTTGCTGCTAGGAAAAGTCGTCTGGACAAGGGGGAATCCTATATTATAAATGAAATCCCTGAAGATTAAACAACAGGAGCACATTCTAGCTAAGGACCTTGAACCAGTATCCCGTGTAAAGTGCAAGTATGCTTGAAATAATTGTAAGCAAAATTTCCAAAGTCAACTAGCTTTAGCCTGAGGCTACAGCAATCACCTAACTCTACCCCCACACACCCCATCAACAACTTCCTTAAATCTTATCCTCAGTTCTCACAATAAAATACTTCCAAACTTTCTTTGCTGAATAAAAATGGCGCTGCTTTTCCCATCACAATACTGTTGATTTCTCAGTAACCGTTAGGCCCTTTCACCATCAGACTCGTTGGCCTCATTTAAATGCCACCCTTCCATAGACACTGCCAAGTGCTTTTTTGAGGGTTGGGCCAGGAGGTAAAAGTGGCTGCTTCTATCTACAAGGATGCAACTTTCTCAGCTAGAATCCTGGGAATAAATCCCTCTGACTTTTCTTCATAACCTCTCTGCCCTCCTCGAAACTGTTGCCTCTGTGTCCCTTAAACCACACTCCAATGCAAACTGTCCCCAAAGTGCAGCAGCACTTAGGCCTCTCTGTGCCCCCTCGCACCCATCAACGCCATCGCTAATGCACCGTTCTCACCTAGACCCATGCATCAGCCTCTCCAGTGGTCGCTCAGAGCCACGCTCCGGGCAGGCACCACCACGCAGGCCTCCGCGAAGCACAGCCTTCCGCGCCCCGTCTACACCCCAGCCCGTGCGCGCCCGTGCGCACCAAAGGCAGCTCCGGGACCCGACTGCTGAGTCCCAGCCCCGCTGCGGCGGAGGGCAGGGACCAGCACGCACACCCTCAAGTCTGTATGAAGACCTTCCCCGGGGGCTGTCGCCGGCACCAACGCCCGGCCCACCCCGGCCCCGGCGGCGGATGAAGGTCTTGGGGCGCAAGCCGCAGAAGGAGGGAGGAGGCACTTCCGAGCGAGGGCTCTCCCGGGAAAAAACAAAGTTGTCTTCGCCTCCCTGTTCAACTCTCAGTGAACAGTATTTTTACCCAAATTACAAACTGCCAAACCCTTAAGTCTTGAGCTTTCAAGGAGAGTTAGGAACCCTCCTATGGCATTGTCTTCTAAAAATCTGCTGCACAAAGTTGATGTCTGCATCAACTTTGGAGCTCAAATGGATTACTTTTATGAAGTTTGGGGCAAATGGATTATATACACATAGGAACCCCTCCCCCAACACACAGAAGGTACGTGGACACGCAGAATTCCCGGCGGCGGGAGGAGGGCACCGAGAGACCGGCCCCAATCCCCACACCTCTCCCAGGCCCCCCTGCTCTGGCAGTACCGCGGCCGCAAAGGGCGGCGAAGGCGCGATGACCGACGCCCGGGTGCCTCGGCCTACCTACCTGGTCGAGTGGCAGGTGCACTGGGTTGCTGAGGGGCCGCAGCAAGGTGGAGCCCGTGGTACTGATGATACTGGAAGGCGACTGAAAGGCTCAGACTAGAGACTGCTCTCAACTTTGCGCCCTGGCCGCCGCCCGGCTCGCCGCGAGTGACAGCTCCCCTGCCTCTGACTGCCAGCAACTTCTAACGCCCGCTCCGCACCTGGCGCTCGCTGGCGGCAGACGGTCTTAGGGAACAATTGTGGCGTGGATCGCCGACGCGGCAGCCAATCAGAGAGCGCCGGCCGCACCGCGCCCCTCCCCCCTGCCGAGGATGCGGCACGAGGAGGAAGCGCGGTGAGGGCTGTAGCCAGAGGGGGCCTCGCGGGCGTGGTGGGACGCGTTCTGAAGATGGGAGATTAGTAGGGCGTCTTTGCCCTCCTCGCCCCTCCATTTCTCCTCCCTGAAATGTCGCGGCAATCCACCTCTGTCTAGGAGGGACGGAAGACAACCTAGAGGCGCGGGGTGGTCCCCCCAAGAAAGGGGAGAACTAAGGGACGTCCCAAGCATCGCTGGGGACATTGGGGAACAAGCTTGGGCCTGGGAAGAGGAGGGCGGCAAACCAAACCTAGCTGAAAAGCCCCTTTGTCTTTGAAACTGCTGTGTAAAAGCCCAAAGTTGAGAACAGTCACATGGTCTGACCCTTTCAGTCGCCCTCCAGTCACACCTGGGCCTTCCAGGCGGTGGGAGGTGGGCCTGGGTTGGACGCCTGTGGTCTCAGGGAGACCGACTCACCTTTTCTGTGTTAAAGTTTAGTTCTTTGGTAGCCAGCCACCCTCATTGAAGGTCCCGCCTTCCTCCTAGGAGAAAAAGGCAGTTTTTGTTTGTTTGTTTTGAGACGGAGTCTCGCTCTGTTCCCCAGGCTGGAGTGCAGTGGGAAGATCTCGGCTCACTGCAACCTCCGCCTCACGGGTTCAAGCAATTATCTGCCACAGCCTTCCGAGTAGCTGGGATTACAAGCGCCCACCACCACGCCCGGCTAATTTTTGTATTTTTAGTAGAGACGGGGTTTCACCATCTTGGCCAGGCTGAGTCTTGAACTGCTGACCTCGTGATCCACCCGCTTCGGCCTCCCAAAGTGCTGGGATTACAGGTGTGAGCCACCGGGCCCGGCCAGAAACGGCAGTTTCCTAAGCATCCCTTTACCCCTTGAGCACAGCCACCCTCAGACTTTTGAATTCTGCGTGTCCACATACTTTCTGTGTGTTGGGGGAGGGCTTCCTATGTATATATAATCCATTTGCCCCAAACTTCATTAAAGTAATCCATTTGAGCTCCAAAGTTGATGCAAACATCAACTTTGTGCAGCAGATTTTTAGAAGACAATGCCATAGGAGGGTTCCTAACTCTCCTTGAAAGCTCAAGACTTAAGGGTTTCGCAATTTGTAATTTGGGTAAAAATACTGTTCACTGAGAGTTTAACTGCATGTTATAATACTTTTGGTAGAATAGCTCACTTAATCCTCACAATTACAGTGTGAGATAGATACTATTACACACCCTCTTTCAAAGAAATTGAGGCACAGAAAAGTTATGTAATTTGCCTAAGAACACAAACTAAGTTGATCGGAATCCAAGTAATCTACCTCCAGAGCTGACCTTACCACTAGGCCTTTGTCTTCCTCACACTTAAATCCATTCCAGAAATTCCCATCAGCTAGCAGTTATACCATTTGCTTTATGACTAGTCTGGAATCTTGAAAAATAAGACAGCACGGATAAGAATACACCCTCTTTGCTAAATCGGCCCGTGAGCTTTCGTTTCTCTGAAAAGGAGGCAGTTGAGCTAATCAGTGCAGTCCCTTCCTGCCTAAAATTGATTGGTCACTGTAATCTTAGATTCTCAACTGAAACTGAATAGAGGTTGGAAAGAAGAATTAGAAAAAAAACCTGGACCTTCATTCAACCTGGAGAAGTGTTCCAGTGGGAATTATAATCAATTAGAGAGCAACCCGTTCTGTTCAACTCGGTGTTTATTAAAGAATATTAATCCAAAAATCTAGATTTCTCTATTAATACAATATTAGAAAAAAAAAATTTCCTTTCCTTCACTTTGGAAACTTGCAGAGGAAACATACAGGTGGCTGAGCATACAAACTGATGGAAAAATTGAAATACCATTTTAAAACCATTAAAATATGTTGGGAACATACTGCAACCTAGAGTAAGCAGCATGGAGATACAATCCCTGCGCACCACCACGCCCGGCTAACTTTTGTACTTTTTGTAGAACAAATAATGTCTACAAAAGGAGTTTCCTTAGGCTGAATTTTTATTTTAGTCAGACATGACAGAACATAGCCTATTATTTGGGCCTACTTCACCTAAAAGCATTAACAGAGTTTTGCATTTACAGAAATAAATAGGATAACAACTAGTTTTGAACTTTTCCTTCTTAAATGCTGAAATATACCGTGGTTAGATTATTTTACTTTTAGCTGTCAGTATCTATTTTGAGCTTTTACAAACTACATAGTAGGAAAGGATTTCAAAAGTACAAGCAGTAATTATATAAAGATTTCATGGGTGAAAGTTAAGCAAATGAATGCATAACTTATTTGGAATACAGTATTACTTTGTAGCACATTTAAAATTATTACTCTGACAATTTTGAAAATGTTGCTTATTATTTCTTCAGTTTTACTCAAATATATGATAAAGTCAATAGTCTATTACACACGCACAGCATCTTTGCACATGGACAAATTACGCATACTCTACAGATACAAATAAGCTGAATAAGAATGACAAGTGTAGAAAGGGAAATATGCAGCCTTTTCAATCTTGTATTTGTAAAAAACATAGTCACTATGTTCCTAAATGATAATTCTTAATGTATGTAACATGGATAGACATTAGAAGAAAAATAAGAGATATAAATAAGAGACGTCAGCAAACACCCTCCTTTTTATATTGCTGTTAACAGCCCATGCCCCACTGTGAGCTTGCAGGGCCCTGGCTGACCCTGTAACACACCATCATGGTCTCTGCCTTCTCCAACTTTGCAGAAACTGACCCAGCACCCTTGCCAGTCTATCCAGAGAAGATGCCCTCACTTATCTCAGCTCATGGTTGGAGGAGAGGAGCCTCCACTTCCTCAGTTCACAGAACCATTTTCATCTTGGTTCCATTGCTGCCTCTTAATCACCTTTTTGCCAATTATACTGCACTCCCTTCTTTCTCTTCAGTTCATCCACTGGACTTAGCTCTCAGGGAAGATGAGGGCCGAGGCAAGAGTGATGACTGATGCAGAAAGATAAATATTCCTCAAGGGAGAACACCTGCATGAGCACAGGAATGAGTTGGAGGAGTCTATGCAAATATTTTCTTTTCAGCATAATATTTAAATTTAGGTATCACATGTTCTCATTCATATGTAGGAACTCAGAAAGTAAATCTCATGGAGACAGAGAGTAAAACGTGGTTACCTAAGGTTGGGAAGGGAAGAGGGGGATGAAGAGAAGTTGGTTAAGGGGCACAAAAATACAGAAGGAATAAGTTTTAGTCTTCAATAGTGCAGTAGGGAAATTATAGTTAACAATAATTTATTTTGTATTTCAAAATAGCTAAAAAAGAAGAATTATAATATTAATATTCCACACACACATAAAAGATAAATGTTTGAGGTGATGGATATTCCCGTTACCCTGATTTCTTCATTATACCTCCTATATAGCTATCAAAATATCACATGTACCCCCAAAATATGTACAGATATTTGATAATAAAATCTTTTTTTAAAAATTAAATTTAGGTGTTATAAATAAACTTGAGTCTAACCACTGATTATTAAGAAACAACATAAATTTAGTATCTATAAATATGTAGTTAAATAATATTTTACTAAATTTTCTACAACTACTTCTATTTTAATGGCAGTGATTTCAGAGTTAGAAATAGTAACCAGGACTCTTATGACTCATATCTGCATTCTACCGTAGTATCTACTCTAAACAGCATATACTGAGAAAGAATACCATCTATCTGGAAGTGTATTACTAGCAATTCATAATCCTTAAGAAGGCAGATATTAGTTAAGAACCATAAAGTCTTTCTCTCTCTTGAGAATAGTTGAGTTTGATCTCTTAGACCAGTGTCGATTACATTTATAACAATTTCATTGCCAGAGAGATGGCTCCATCTTCTTTAATATTTGAAGTGAAAAATGATCACCAGTGAAATGAACAATTGTATAAATGTGCTCATAACCTGCAAAAGAATTTTTTTTAAATTCCTCTTATAGCTTTCAAAAAGTGAAAGTGTAAGCAATATTACATGCTAAAGGATCTCATTTTTTTGCCTCCTACTATGTCATACTGTAAAAATGTGACTAATAGTATTAATAAACAGCATCTGTTTAAATAAACTTTATACCGGAAGCAACGTTGTTATATATATACTGCATGTACTAAGAAAATCTGAGATGTCACTAGCTTTAAAGAGTGCTCTAACTTAGCTGACCGGCAAATGTCCATCTATATATTCAACTAAAAGAAGTAATAACACAATTACATTAATAGTAAATTTAGTTAACAGTTTTTGAAAAATACTAATTAGATAATTGACCCTTAGTGAAGATATTTTAATTAAAAGTAATTTAAATTTTACCACTAAAAATAAATGACTCATTTGCTGTAATGATTTAAACTTACAAATAGTATTTTTCTCCTTATTTCAATGCCCATTTTGTACTATTTAAACATAAAGGTATCTGCTGCCCTTTGAAAGGAAAAAGATCATAATGAGCACAGGGTTTACATATACTAGAGAACATTGACCAACATACATTTAGGATCTCACCAGCAGATTTCTGTGCACATCCAGAGACAGTGGTGTTTGTTCTGATATCTGCTTATACCAGTTATGCTTTTGATAATAGTTATGTAAACTTAAAAATTAGCACATAATCCATGAATTATGAGGATGAAAAGAGAGATGTTTCTAATGAAACTGAATGCATTGGAAAGACTGAATGAATGCAAGACATTTAAAAACATGTTTATTTGGTGTGGACAAGATCATTCTCTAAGTTTGGAGAAAAAAATATGAAAAACAAAAAACATTCTCTTCTAAATACAGGTTATTTGAAAAAAATTAGCTAGTTATTTATCTTAAAAAAATGGAGACTGGAAATCATAGAATTTAGTTGCATAAAAGAGAAACCTAAGCCACTACAAAAAGATGATGGGGAACTAAAATCTGCCTAATCTAAGTAATGGCTGTGGCTATGCATCCCAAGATTGTAAATAAATATATTTTCTATGTATAAAATTAAAATAAAATGTTTAAGATGTATGTGTGTGTTTACTTTTAATTTTTCCCTTCAGCCTGATTTTTCTGTTAATTAACTATCCACCCTTAACACACAGTTTCTACCATAACATAAACATGCCTACAGTTTGATAACAAAACTGTACATTTCTGGGTTTTTCTCATCATCATACCACAGGAGAGTAATAGTACAGGTCTTATTCTGCAAAAAAGAGAAAAAAAGTCATATCAGAGAGACAATATGATGTGCAAAAATAGGATGTGCATGAAGTTCTTAGGTAACTGTGGATAGTGAAATGCGGTTAGAATAAATATGTGAAAAGCTACAGGAGAAGAAGTTCTATGAGTGAATAAGAACTTTATTATATAGAATTTGATTGTTGGCACAGAGATTTTTTTTGTAGACAAAATAAGCAACTAATTATTTTTTGAGTATGTGGCAAAGAGAGGAAGAGGGGTTGGAGAAAGAGCTATAGAGTTGTACTGTGTACAAATTGTGTATTAGGAAGTTGGACTGACAGTGGAAATTAAAGTGGTGTGGAACGTACATATCTAAGTCAGGCAGGTCAGTTAGGAGGATATTTCAGTGAATGGCCAGCATGAGGTGAAGCTGGCATTAGGAGTAGCAATGCTGCTGGTAAGGCAAGAAAAATGAAGACTGAGCAGTACCCACTGGGTTTAATGTAGCTGTCAGGAAACTAAGAACAGAGAGGTACTCAGTGACTGAGTAGAGATCATTGCAGGGAATGGAAAGAACAGATGGAGTTAGATTTTGAGAAGGAAAAAAAGTCAAGCTTTGCTGAATTGCTGGATGTTGAAACTTTGAGGAAAAAAAAAAGATGTTAAATATTTGTGATTAGGGAATGAAGATATCACGGAAGATCAAGATAGGTTTGGCAAGGAAACCTAAGAGGTAGCAAAACTGACGTTGGGGTTGGATGCTAAGAGATCAAATAATACGAGGACTCAAAATCACCCTTTGCTTTTGGTAATGTGAAAATATGGATTGAAGAATGAATGAAATCAGAGGAAATGGAAAAATCAAGTGTCAACAACTTACTTTAAAAGTTTGGCTATAAAGGAAATAGATACAGCAGTAAGTGGGGAGAAACATGGGGTCCAGGGAGAATTTTATATCAGAGCATGTTGAATTTTTATAGGAAGACTCAAGTTGAGAACAAGAAACTAAGGTACAAACTAGAAAGGATTACAGATGAATGGAGCCCCTGAGAGTTGATGGAATGGAACCCAGAGCTGGTGTCGAAGGACTGGCCTATGGAAAAAGGGATATTTTCTGCATTATCAGGAGGGTAGAAGGAGAGAATGGGAACATGGAGGTAGATTTGTTGACATGGCACTGGAAAATGAGGAGAATGCCATTTGAAAGCTTCTGTTTTCTCAATGAAGTAAAGGATATTGCCACCTCTGAAGAGTAGCGGGGGGAAGTATTGGAGATTTGGAGAAGGTAGGAAGGATTTACATATATGAATACCTAGGGTTGCAAGAGTGAGATCCCAAATGGAGCTAGTGAACACTAATTTTTAGTACTATCAAGATGATTGGAAGATTTTCTCCAGCAACCCTCTGCTGACTGGATACAGGTAATAGGAATGTGTGTGGTTGAGTGCATTCAAGGTTAGAGTTTTATGGGTAGGTGGGGAAAAAAAGCAGAGGAAGTCAATAGAGGTGATGATATTTGCAAAAGGGTGATCGCGATAGGGAATTATAGAAAGTAAATCAGTCAAAGAATGATAACAAGGGGCAGGGGGCTAGTAAATAGAACATTGTGGGGTTAATGGATCAGAATTCATAATGAGGGTGAAAAATTGTTGCTGCAACAGTACTCAACATGTGAGCTGAAATGATAGGAAGCTGTGATTTTAATGGTTTTAAAATCATCATTTTTTAATAGTTTTAATTCAGGATTTCAGAGATGGTTTTTTAATGGTTTAATAATGTTTTTTTAATGGTTTAATAATGGTTTTTTAATGGTTTTAATTCAGGATTTCAGAGATGGTGCCATTTCTAGTGATGACACAGCCCAAGACTTGACTATGGGAGATGGGTGGATATAGTACAATTGTAAAGAGGAAAATTGAAAATGAGGTGGTCTAGGAATGGAGAGACAAAAATGTTAAGGCATCTTCATGGTTGTTGAAGTCATCTGAAATGATGGCAAGAGTTTGGGTGGGAAAAGAAGGCTGCACTCTGGGGATACCTAGATTGTTGACAAAGGGATCAATGAATAAAGGCATGTCCACAGAATTTTGATTGTTAAAGGGGAGAAGAAGCTTATACAAATGAATGTGTAAGTTTCACAAAAGCAAGGTTCATTTTATTTTTTAAATTCCATTTTATTTTGTTATTTTTTCATTTCAAGGGAAAAGGGATACCTAGTATCTGACAATAACAGTTGGGGATGAGAACTTGGGGAGGGGGGTAACATCTAAGACAAGTGGGATATGAGAAAAAGAACACAAGCCAATCTTCAGAAGACCTCAGGGGAAATGTTCTTAGAAACAATCTGGCTTTCAGGCAAGAAGATGGTGAGAAGTTTCATTGAAGAAGAAGAAGATGCTGAAGATTTTAAGGATGTAGGGACAGTTACTCATTGAAGAGTAAGAGTTACTTGCTCAAGACGAGAGAGCTAGTAAGCAGATTGGTCAGAATTTAAACTCAAGTGTGTGTGACTCCCAAGCTGGAGCATGTTGCTTACCAGAGAGAGAAAATTCACCCAGATAAGTGAATTGGATATTGAATGTGAGGAAACACATTTTCAAAATGATTTCATTCATCTCTTTTATCCTTGACAATTTCAAGGACATTAGGACTGTCATATTGGCATTAGATCAGAAAATGTAACAGAGAACAGAGAATAACTATGCAGTTTCAGAAAAGAGTTTTTAGAAACTCCACTTAACTCCAAAAACCCAATGTAACTATAACAACTCAGGTGAGCCTTGTTGAGCTGGCAGAAATGTTGTATCTATTGAGACTGAAATGCTATTTTAGAGCTTATGAAGCACTTTTGCCAGCAGATATAAATCCTGTTACCCTCTGATCCATAATCTACTTTTCTTAGTGATCCACATTGTCTTTGTTCTCCTAAAGTAACATCTAAGAAAAGCATTTTCCCTGGCTTTCCAAGCATGTGGCTGCCTATTGTTTTATCTGCTCAGTACCTTCATGGCTTTTTCTTGAAACTCCACTGCTCTTAGGCCAGGCGCAGTGGCTCACGCCTGTAATCCCAGCACTTTGAGAGGCTGAGGTGGGTGAATCACGAGGTCAGGAGTTCGAGACCATCCTGCCAACATGGTGAAACTCCGTCTCTACTAAAATACAAAAAGCTAGCCGATGTGGTGGTGCACGCCTGTAGTCCGAGCTACTCAGGAGGCTGAGGCAGGGGAGTCACTTGAACCTGGGAGACAGAGGTTGCAGTGAGCCGAGATCACACCACTGCACTCCAGCCTGGCAACAGAGCAAGACGCTGTCTCAAAAAAAAAAAAAAAAAAAAAAACAAAACAAAAAACTCCTCTGCTCCTAATCATATAATGTGTGAAGCAGAAAGAGCCACAAGAAAATGTAACCCTGGCCACCTTTGATTGATTCAGGGCTGGACACCTGACCTAAGTTGAACCAGTTGGAGCCCTCCAGGGATTTCAGAACTGCTTGGATGCTGGATCTAATATGTAAAGCTTGGACACTGTCACTATCATCTCTTCTGCCATGGGAGACCAAAGAAGTGAAGGAAGGTGATCTGCAGGACAAGAAAGGTAAAAAATATACATAAATGTGTTTCAGTGATGCTGCTGCTATTTAGAAAGCAGAGACAAACATGTAGAATAAAACCATTATGTCTTCCTATGCCAATTGTTCCTAACATCCATCTGCATAGGAATGCAGAGTTCTGTGAGACACTCCAGTATCTTTGTATCTTTTTTTTTTTTTTTTTTTTTTTGAGACGGAGTCTCGCTCTGTCGCCCAGGCTGGAATGCAGTGGCACAATCTCAGCTCACCGCAAGCTCCGCCTCCCGGGTTCAAGCCATTCTCCTGCCTCAGCCTCCCGAGTAGCTGGGACTACAGGCGCCCGCCACCACGCCCAGCTAATTTTTTGTATTTTTAGTAGAGACGGGGTTTCACTGTGTTAGCCAGGATGGTCTCGATCTCCTGATCTCGTGATCCACCCGCCTCTGCCTCCCAAAGTGCTGAGATTACAGGCGTGAGCCACCGTGCCCGGCCAGTATCTTTGTATCTTTATACCAACTCTGCCTTCCCTAATTCACCACAGCAACTCTACCTTGGAATTTTCTATCTAAGCAAACAAACAAAATACTAGGTATTCAAGAAGTTGTTACAGCTATAAGTTATTTAAGAAGCACTTCTGAATAATTTTTGATGCTGAAAGCATTTCTGTCTGAGCAGATACTGTGAAAGTACCTGTCCCAACTGCTACCTTTTGAGTAACAATAATCATAGTGTTTTTTGTAAGGTAATGAAGTTCTAAGCACTAGGCTATGTATATTACAGGCATCGAATTCAGTCTTCAAACAGTATTTATAAGAAAACTGAAGCTCACGGAAGTCAAGTGGGATGGATAGATATTCCCCTACCTGGGTCCACCGTCAAGAAAGGACTCACCCCAGCTTCAGAGGGAATTTGTCAGCAAGCGATGTTCAGCTGTGGGTCCCTTCAGAAATAGCCTCAGATGCAGGCCAGGCATGGTGGCTCATGCCTGTAATCCCAGGACTTTGGGAGGCCGAGGTGGGCAGATCACTTGAGGTCAGGAGTTTGAGACCAGCCTGACCAATATGCTGAAACCCCGTCTCTACTAAAAATACAAAAATTAGCCTGGTGTGGGCACCTGTAATCCCAGCTGCTCAGGAGGCAAAGGCATGAGAATCACTTGAACCCAGGAGCCAGAGGTTGCATTGAGCCGAGATTGTGCCACTGCATTCCAGCCTGGGTGACAGAGCAAGACCCTGTCTCCAAAAAAAAAAGAAAGAAAAAAGAAAAAAGAAATAGCCTCAGGTGCAAAAAGCTGCCTTCCTGAGGTCACACCCTCCCAGTTTGTATCCTGCACCCAGTAACTGACTAAGAGGTATAAAGGTCCAACATAGGATAAATCTGCGGGAACGTTGTAGCTCCAGAGCTGCAGTGGGGTAGTTGAGGCTATCAGGTACATCTCAGCTGAATTGCTCCTCTGCCCAATCCTGTTTCCTTCCCCTCCCTTCCACAGCTGCTCATCCCAACGTGCTCCCTAATAAACGCCTGAACACTAACATCTGTCTTAGAGTCTGTGTCCTGGGAAACCCAACCTACAATACCAATTGAATTATTCAAGTTCCTCCAGCCAGGAAGGACATAACTGGAACATAGATTCGTCTTTCTGACCCTACGTAAATATATTTTTCCATTGTGCTAGCCATAGTATATATAATACATCTGTACAAAATTATTGAGAAACTGAGTCATAACTATTTCATTCACAATGTCACAATGCTTGCTTTGTCAATGGAAATGCCATCTTTTTCTCAGTTATCCCAGAAAGCGAGCTCTTTGAGATTTGTAAAAAAAAACAGGCCGGGCGCAGTGGCTCACGCCTGTAATCCCAGTACTTTGGGAGGCTGAGGCGGGCAGATCACGAGGTCAGGAGATCGAGACCATCCTGGCTAACACGGTGAAACCCCGTCTCTAGTAAAAATACAAAACAAATTAGCCGGGCGTGGTGGCGGGCGCCTGTAGTCCCAGCTACTCGGGAAGCTGAGGCAGGAGAATGGCGTGAACCCGGGAGGCGGAGTTTGCAGTGAGTCGAAGTCTGGCCACTGCATTCCAGCCTGGGGACAGAGCGAGACTCTGTCTCAAAAAAAAAAAAAAAAGGATATTTGTAAAAAAAAAATTTTCCTTACTGAAAATACTCTTCTAAATATATAAAATCCAAAACTGGAAAATGAAAGACTTATTCTGTAATGATTCCCATGGACTGCAAAGACAGATTAATTCATTTGTGAAAAGAAATGGTGTTCTACATTTCCATTATTGCTGCAAAATATACCTATATATGATATAGTACATTTTAATCTCAATTCCAAATAAAAATTATACTAACAGCTTCCCACAAGTTATTGCTTTATTAATGCTGAAAAATTCAGACCCTAAAACTGATGGGAAAAAAGCAGGAAAAACCACCAACCCAGACCGTCTTCAACCCTTAGGGCTACTTAGAAATGACCTCTCTGTGTACAAAGATTACAGAAAACCCTTTACCAAGAATTCGACCTAGCTAGAAAATGAAACGAAATAATTTGAAAAACTCTTCTGGGATTTTTCCCACAAAGTGATAGACATTAAAGGTTAATGGATAGGACACTTTTAATGAATCCCATTTTTTATTGTCTAATAGACCTGTAGGCAACGGAGAGCTGGCAGAAGAACCAAGGTGAATGAGCCCCGCTCTGAGTCAGGGATCCCTCCCTCATTGTGGAGGAGGCCATCCTGGCAGATTTCATCCCAATTAGAGAAAGGTTTTGCTTCCTTCATGTGGATTAGTCCACACTGCCCACTGAGAAGCACAGCTTGTCTTTAGATGTGAGTGTGTTGTTTAATTGATACGTACCTCCTAGGTGACCCTGAAGAATGAAGAGATGCATCTTCTTCAAAGGATCCTGAACTGGATTGTAAAAGCCTCCTGGGAGCTTTGCACTGACTTAAAACTGTGTTGCTGAAGCCCACTTGGAAGCATTCTGCTGAAGGCCTTCCCTTCCCACTCCCCACCAAGCAGCACTCTAATCTAGTCTCTCATTTCCTCCTCTCCCCACAGGGGTCTCTGAATAGGATCTTGTCAGAATGACCCAGACATGGGGAAATCCACAGCAGGATTCTCACCTCACTTTGCTTGCTGAGGGAGGGGAAGGAGCAGGGAAGATGGGATCTGTGGAAGAAAGGAGAGGCTTCCCTGAGTGGGAGTCCCACCATCAAGTTCTGGACGAGAGCACCCGCTGAGGATACAGCAGATGAAATAGCAAGCCATTCCATGGTGCATTTCACTGTCTTGCATTTGCTCTTTGAACTATGAAGGCATTCATACAAGTGTATAGTTTATAAAAATATGTACATAAATAAGCCGGGCGCGGTGGCTCATGTCTGTAATCCCAGCACTTTGAGAGGCCAAGGTGGGTGGATCACGAGGTTAAGCATTCGAGACCAGCCTGACCAACATGGTGAAACCTCACCTCTACTAAAAATACAAAAATTAGCCAGGCATGATGGCACGTGCCTGTAATCCCAGCTACTCAGGAGGCTGAGGCAGGAGAATCTCTTGAACCTGGGAGGCAGAGGTTGCAGTGAGCCGAGATCATGCCATTGCACTCCAGCCTGGGCAACAGAGTGTGACTCCGTCTCAAAAAAAAAAATATATATATATATACATATATATATATGTGTGAACATAAATATATAGTTTATAAAAAGAACAAAATCTTTCTAAATTCTAATCCCTTTAGTCCATCACCTCTCTCCAGTACAATTGGGTGTCACGTACCTGGGTGGTAACAATGAGGAGAGTCAAGGAAGGGAAAGTGAGGTTGTGGTGGCCTCATAGTTGCCCTGGGGCTGCAGCATCCTCTCAAGGTGGCTGATAGCCAACAGCTCCGGACAGTGGTTCCTAGTGGACAAGTGAGGATAAAGTGAGAAAAGAAATAGCTGGAAACACCTTGAAGCAGATATGAGACCATCTTCCTTTCACAAACAGATTAGAAGCCGACCCTTCCAGGGTGAGGAAGTTGGCTGCTTCTCACAGCTCCTTCTTGGGATGGACTGTTCAGCACCTGGGCCAGCATGTCAAACGTTGTACTCCTGTTGGATTTTATTTCATGGCTGGGATATCGTGTTTTGGAGTCAGTTTGTGTTTTTAAAAATTGTAATTAGTTGCTGATATTGGAAAATCATGAGGTTTCAATGGAAATTGAGATTTCTGGCTTTTATAAACCTATTAATGACAATATCAAGCCCAAATTCTAGAATGACAGCACTCAGCCAGACACCAGTAGCCACTGCTGCTGTAGAGGAGGGATCACCCTTCACAGTCCCACCTGGCCCTTCTGGTGTGTGCGCACCCCCTGACCCAGATGAAGCATGGGAGGGCACCCTGCTCTGTCACCTGAGGGAAAAGTGAGTAAATCATGCCAACTGGTTCATTTTTCCATTTTGCTTTTTTTTTTTTTCCTATTCACTTCTGTGATTTAAGGGAAAGGACTTTGCTATATGACTAAATGGGAATGTCTGGCTTGGAGCTAACACCACAGATTTCAAATACTCAGTCTCAAAACACCATACACACACACACACACACACACACACACACACATATTGCTTACAATGTAAACTAATGCAACTTTTGAGTTGCAAAATTGGCAAAAGCAGTGAGAAATTGGGAATGCAATTTCCAACACACTGAGCATCAGAGTCTAAGGGCTTTGAGATTAATATCTTAGAGCATCATCCCTCAAGTAATAAATGTACTTATTTATAAACATAGGGAGAGAAAAAGAAAAAACTATTCCCTGGTATTATTCTCCTACACATCGCTTTTCTGGTTAAGGCAAGATATCAGCAAGTTAAGTTACACAATCCAGAACAGACCCATTTCATCTTGCCAGACTTTTCTCAGTACTTTGGGGCTATACATAGTAACAAATTGAAATAAAATTGTATTGCACATGTCCCCATGAACTGCAGAATCTAAACTGTACAAATCCATGGTTTACATTCTGTGGCTATAACATATTTACAAAAATATGTGAACTTTTTCGTTATATCTATAAACAGATTTTAGAAAAGTATCTTCAGAGAGTATATTTCCTAAATGTTTTGTTTCGAATGCTTTCAAAGTGACATTTCTTTTCTTCTGTCCCCACTTCTTTGGTTAATATGTGAAATGAATTACATTTTAATTGTGTTGGTCTTTTCAGTGACATCACGTAGAACTGCTTCGCAAATATCTTCCCAGTTTTGGTCTACCTAGTAGTCAGTAGCAGAGAAGGTAGGTATTTAGAGAATAATCTGCCCTAAGTAAGTCATTGTTATTTGAAGAATTCTATATAATAAAAACAAGCACGTATATGCTGATCTTATTTAGCTTTCTAGCTTCTTGGGGCATTTCCTTAACTATTTCACTCACAATCTAGAAGCTCAGCAAACAAATTCAGAAAGGGGGAGCTGGCAGGGTGGATGACCCCAGACCAAGGGGTTAACCTAGCTCCATTTTGCAGCTGAGGGTCACCATACATATGCTGCTAGCATAGGACATAATCAGAAACAAAAAGCAGCCAGGTCAACCTCTAAAAGAAGTGACTCAGATACATGGTAAAGAGACACCCAGCAAAAGTCACCTGCCCACAGTGTCATCCCCTTAGTCCTTCTCCCCAAGCCAGAGCACCAGACCCTTGACTTCACTTTCTGCTTTTCTGGAAACAGCAATGGGCTCAGACTCAGAACACTGAATTTTAATCCAGATCCACCACCTGTTTTATGACTTTGTCTGTATTTCCAGTCTCCAGTTTTGCTGTCTGTTCAATGAGGATAAAAATGATAATCCTGAAAAAATATTGTAATAATCCATTTATTCACTGAACAGATATTATTGAATTCTTACTGAGTGCCAGGGACTGTTCCAGGTGCTGGAAATACAGCAATGGGGAAAAAACTAAGTTCTTGTGCTCCTGTTGCTTATTTTCTAGGAAAGAGATTATAGTAACACAGTATAACATAATGTGATGTTGTTGTACAAGAAATGTAATAAGGTAGTGATAACCAATAGGAAGAAAAAGACAAAGTAGAGGAAAAGGACAGAGATTGACAAACAGGTGATTTTTAGAGATGACTGATCAAAGACAAAACTGCATGTGTGAGAAGAGAATGCCAGGAGCCCAGCTGTGAGCCTGATGCTGGGGAGGCTTGCTGCATGAAAAGTAATTCTTCTATATGTGGCTCACCCTACTGTTAAAAGGAAAAGCCTCACCAAGTTAGAAATACTTAGTTAGAGGAATTCAGACTTTTCATTGAAGCCCCAAAAAGTTCACATAATAAGGACAAGTTCACTATTTTATAGCTGTAGTTCAAATACATAATAGAAAACACTAGTGCAAAGATATAGAATCAACCTAAGTACCCATTGACCAAAGAGTCAATAAAAAAAATGTGGTATATATACACCGTGGAATACTACTCACCATTAAAAAAAAATGATATAATGTCTTTTGCAGCAACTTTGATGGAGCTGGAAGCCATTATTCTAAGTGAAGTAACTCAGGAATGCAAAGTCAAATATCATATGTTCTCACTTATAAGTGGGAGCTAAGCTATGAGGACGCAAAGGCATAAGAATGACATAATGGACTTTAGGGACTCAGGGAGGAAGGTTGGAAGAAGAGTGAGGGATAAAAGACCACATATTGGGTACAATGTACACTGCTCGGGTGATGGCTGCAATAAAATCTCAGAAATCACCACTAAAGAACTTACCTGTGTGACCAAAAACCACCTGTACCCAAACAACGATTTAAATTTAAAAAGATTTTTTAAATCCTTCAAATCTAAAAACAAACAAAAAAAGGGAAAACACCTGTGCTAATTAATCCCAGGACTAATTAAGGACCAAAACCTTAAAACTAAGGACAAAACTGGAATAGACTAACCTTAGCAAAGCTTAAAACAAGTTTTGAAATAATCAAAGTGAGGTGCCAGGAATTTTTAAAAACTTTTTACTTTTAAATAATTCTAGATTTATAGAAAAGTCACAGACATAGTACAAAGAGTTCTCATAGTCTACCATACCACTCTGAACACACCTGATCTTGTCTGATCTCGGAACCTACGCAGGGTTTGGTCTGGTTAGCACTTGGATGAAAGAGTTCTCATATACACTTCACCCAACTTCCCTAATACTAGCATCTTGCATAATCACAGCACAGTTAATGAAATCAGAAAATTAACATTAATATAATGCTATTAACTAAACTTCAAGCCAGACTTTGTTCAAACTTCACCAGTTTTTTGCTAATCTTCTTTTCTGTTCCCACAGTGTATTCAGTTATATCTTTTTAGTCCCCTCCAATTGGCAATACCTCCTCCAATCCTCATTCTTTCCTTGTTTGCTATGACCTTAATACTTTTGATAATTGCTGATCAGTTATTTCATAGAATGGTCCTTACTTTAGATTTCTCATGATTAGACTGAGATTGATTAGACTGAGATTATGCATTTTATGTGAGAATGGCACAGAAGTGATGTTGTGCCTTTCTTAGTGCAGTATATCAGGTCATACATGCTGTCAATGTGCCTTATTACTGATATTTCTAACCTTGAACACTTGATTAAGACAGTGTGTGCAGTTTCTCCACTGTAAAATTACTATTTTTCTTTTATAATTCACCAATATTTTGTGAGAAATAATTTGAGACTACATATGCTGTTTCTCCCCAACATTAATTTTAGTATCCATTGGTGAATCTTGCCTACAGCAATTATTCTTGTGGTATTTGCCTAATAGTAATTTTGTATTTCCTCCATATCTTCTTCATATATTAATTAGAATTATTCTGTAAGGGAAAGCCTTCTCTTTTCACCCATATATGTATTTATTCAATCACTTATTTATATCCACATGGGGTCATGGATACCTGTTTTATTCTATAAGTTATAATCCACACTATTATTGAGATGGGGGAATTCCCTGATATTCCATGCAGGACATGTGGCAGAGGTGTGGCTACTGTGTTCAGCCACCGTGTGCTCAAACCCCCTATGGGAGGGGGAGCAAGCAGATGGGCAGGTGCAGGAGCCGGGGCACGTGCTGTGGGGCTCCGGTCCCATGGTAGCATCTAGGAGTGGGTGGCTGCCCAAGTGGTGTGATGTGTGTTACAGTGTGCTCTTTCAGCTTTGTCTAAAATAAAATAAAGTAAAATAAAATAAAATATAAATATACCCATGGCTAGTATTCTACAGTGACAAAGGGAATAAACCAAAAGCTTACTTTTAGAAATGCCATTAGTTCTGTGGCTTAGTGTACCTTTTAAATCAATAAAATCATATAAGAGAATCATATATTTCATATCCTCTTCAGCTTATAGGAAAAGTGGCATACTCCTTTCCTTGGCCCTTTACCTGACATCTTCAGAATGCCAGAAGTATAACTTAAGTTCTTGTTTGGCACTCATTTATGCTTCCTCTGAGCAAAGAACTCAGAGATCAGCATTTCCATAATAATTTGTCAAAGACAAAAAAAAATTAGCACCTTGACTTCAAGCGTAATTCTAAGAAAGCTTAATCTTTGCACCCCAGGGAGGAGTTGATCCTGGCACACTGGGGCTTCACCATCTCAATCTGGACATTTCACATTGCCCAAGACCTCAGTTGCACATGGAAGTCACAAAAATACTTAGGAATGTTATTGCTGTTTAGGAATGTTAAAATCTGGACTAATGGAAGGGAAAAAAGTCCAGTCCTGGGTACCATTGTGCTTGATCCAAGTAGTTGTTCCTACCCTGCATTCACAGTAGCAACAGGTATGCAGCTATAATTTACCTGGTAGTCAAGGGACAAATACATCTCTGCTAGACTGGAATGAAGTAGTTATGGAAAACACTATTACAAGTTATAACAATACAATAACAACTGCCACCACCGTTGAATGATTTCTGTGTGCTGGAGACTGTTTTAATTTTTAAAATTAATTCATCTCAATTATCACTGAGAGATAATAACAACTGCAAACACTTTGCATAGTCACTTATCTGCCAGGGGCAATTATTTGTTAACTCATTTAATTGCCACAGGAACTCTCTGGAGGCACTATACATATTCCTGTGTAAAGCATGAGGAGCATGAAGCACAGCGTGAATAAGTAATTGCCTGCAGTCTAACAATTGTTAAGTGGAGGAGCAGGCTTTGATCCCAGGCTGGTCCCAGAGTCCACACCCTCCAGTATGATGCCATCCACCTCTATGTCCATTTCAATATCACAGATTTACAAACCTGAAGCTTCCAGAGGACACGATTAAGGCCCAGAGAGAGTGGCTTGCCCAAGATCCCACAGTGAAGGTGCTGCAATTTGAGCCTGGGGTTGACAGAGCCAAAACCTGTAATCTTCATGGCTGTTGGGAAAACATCCAGGCAGACAGCTGCTGCTCTACTATCTGGGGGTGGCCCTTGAGGGTTGTCCAGAATCCACAGTTTGTCACGCAGATAGAAATATCCATTCTCTAATCACGTACAACATATGGTTAAAGACCACTGCCATCTGGCAGAATCAGAAGTCTGGTGCAGAGTATATGTGATGGTCCTTCTTTTCTTCTGTTCAGAGCAGATGCAGTAGTGAAGGTGATGGTCTTTCATGTGAATGGCTAATGGACAGTGACGGGGAGCACTCATGGGACACTCATGGGTCCTGGGCACATAGGCTGATACAGGATAGCTGGCTAATGCTTTTTTCTGTTTCCTCTACTTTAGCCCACTATGTGCAAATGTGAGAGATGGATTGATTTGCTGAAGGATAATTCAGTTCCCATAGTGAAATGGAAGAAAATATCATTGTGGGCATTTACAAGTTGCATGCATCATGCCATGTTTTGGAAGCCAAATCCAAGCTGTTTTGAATGTATTGCCCTATTATAGTCCAAGCAATATAATTAAAAGCTATGGCTAGTATGTAATTGCTAATTGTACAATAACCAGCAGTTTCTTCTGGATTTTAATATTTATTCATAATTTCCCTCACTAAATCAAATTAACCATTTTGGATAGCCAGGGGCTAATTCTGTTGTCATTATTTTTGTCCTACAAATAGACTTCTTACATTCCAGCTGGCCAACTGATATTTGAAGACAGAACTGACTCAATCGTGTTCATTTTATGCTTAGTTAAATAAAAGACACGCAACTTGGGGTTAAATATTGAGTAACTAGATCTATCAAGCCAGCCCAGCATTTCATATTCAATAAACAATGGATGAATCTATGAAGATTGATATATTCTTCATGGGATCCAAACCAGTGAGTAAGTTAGGTGAAATCCTTCTGGAATCAGTTGGACAAGATAGTAATAGAGATAGGGATAATGATTACTTACAGCTATACCTATTTTAATGGCATTCTTCCTCCATAAGATGCTGAATTTCTTAAAGACAATGTTCTTCTTTAGTTACTAATCTTCCTGAGCCAAGCACAGTGCCTAGGGAATAGGGAGTGCTTAATAAATGCTTGTTGAATGAATGAATAAATGAGGTATGTGTGATATATGTGTGTCAAATAGAGGTCGCTAATTAGCTAGAAGTGTTAGCTGTTACAGGAGACAAACTCAGACAGCAAGAAATCTTTTGAGATTTATTCTGAAAAGTATAAGATGGAAATTACATAAAATTTACTAACCATTAACTTCTCCATGTATATGTAGTTATTCATTTTTTTTCACAGAGATATTTACATGCAATAATATAACAACTTACACATAGCGTTCAGCAAGGTTTCAGTGTTGACTTGCAATGTCTTCTTATTAAAGAGGTGGGGAGAACCCTGTGCTAACTGTGACTGTTGTCTATGCTCTGATTCTATCTGAGCCCTCATCAGCCTGTGTCATTACTGATATTCTGCTATACTCTCTGCTACTCCGAGGGCTATGCCTATCCTTATTTGAAAGGATGCTTCCATTTTTATATTTACACTAATTGGAAAAACATTTCAAAAGTTATTTTGAAAACTGGACCAGATTTATCCCTGATCTCACTGACTCATTTCTCTTGTTCTAGTTAATTTGCTGCTTCACAGAGGTGTCTTTCCTTTTCAAAGTATTCTCTGCAAAATAACTGCCCTCCCTCCACTATTTTTCTTTCTCTCTTTTCCTCTTCCTCTTAATGAAAACCTTCTATGCTTTGATGCTGTGAAGATATTAAGTAGATTTTCTTGGATTTTAGTGGGAACACAATAGTTTCCCAAGAAAAATGTCTACCCCATTGCATGTAAGCATTGAGTTTATGAAAAGTGATTTGTGTCATTCAGACTTTCTACTCAGTATAGCAGTCTGTGCTTTTACTGTTGTTTTACTCTTTCCCATTCACCAAGCACAGGCTATATATACACACAATCAAAATACTATAGGTAAAATGTTAATCATTTTTGTAGTCCTCCACAATAAAATTATTTCTGATTATTTGCCTGATTTGCTTCCCTATAAAGTCCATCTTGGAAACCAAGCCCAGGATTGCTATGTGAACTGCCTTGGATTACCTTATCAGTAAGTGACAGGGCTTATTGTCTCCAAGTCAAGATTGTATTTTATTCTTCTAAAGTTTTTGTAAAATAGTTAAAAAGATTTCTCCCAGTTTAACATCAACACCTACTGATGGCAGGATTTTCTAGTGATTCCATCAAATAACTTCTCAATGGGACTTGGATTTTCTACACTTAGCCTGCATCTCTCACTAACAGGTGACCCTCAGCCATCATATGGGAAGTTTCACTCTCTGTAGAATGATGCAGAGGACATCTAAAGCATTCTTGTCCCAGAAGCCTGTGTTTGCAATCGTTTCTGTTGCTCTCCAAGCACGCTTCAATCTTTGAAATGTCTTCTTACAAGGGAGTGATCCACATACCACCATACAGTTTTAAAATTGTTCGGAAGACTGATTGCTTATTTGTGTATAGAGAGTCATTCTTTGTTTTTTGTTTTTTTGTTTGTTTCATTCCAGTCAGCTTTCAATGATCCCAGGGCTGCTCCTCAAGTTTGTGGATTATCCAGGCCACTGGTTCTGTCCTTTCCATCTTCTGTTTGAAGTATTTTGCAATTTCAGTGCATGTGACTTTGTTTGCAGTGTACCAGGGTAGAAAGGAAATAAAATAAAATGAGCCCAGTTTGCTACTTTACATAGTTCTAATATATATTTTATTTAATTCCTTGTTTATTTAGTTTTGTTGTTGAAGTTTTGTAGGGTGAAGAAGGCAGGGTAGAAGATTTGAAAATATTGATTAAAATTGTTTTGCTACTTTCTGTTATGTAAAATTATATATATTCATTGTAATTAGATACAAGAAAAGCCTAATCTCTTTTAGGTTAACCGTTTTAGTTATTTTATTTTATATGTTATAGTTGTTTTTTAGGATAAATTGGAATATGGATATTATTATCTTTTGGATAATGATACAATTTTCTATGTTAAATTCCATTAGTTACCACTTGCTGAGAATATCCAACATGCTAAACTGACTGCCCCTAGTGGTTTTACATTTTATTATTAAGCTGAGAATTAAAGCAAAGCTCAAAGACATCCTGAACAGGTGCATGGCTCCACCATACAGCTGAGCTCATGTGCTGGTTTTCACCATTATTTCTAGCATGGAATGAAGAGTTTAATGGCGAGAAGTCTCTCATTTATAATGACTAAAGCAGATGAAGAGGAAAGATGCCAGTGCCACCAGTGTTTGCTCCTCTGCAGTTCTCTTAGAAGAGCAGCCCACTTTGAATATTATATCTAGAAGACAATTTTTTAACCTAACAAATTAGGAAATATTTTAAAATCAACAATAGCATCAGAGAGGAATAAACAAAAATTTATTTTATACAAGCAGAAGTATAAACTTCGTAAACTTTTTGGCTTACCAAGCAGATGAAGAACCTTAAAAATGTTCCTCTCAGTCTTTGATCCAGTATTCCACTTTGAGGAATAATATTGGAAAAAATTAGAGATGCAACAAAATCCAAGATGATCCAGAGAGCATTATTTATAACGGTAAAGAACAAAATTGAAATAACCTGAATATTTAGCAGGAAAAAGGAAAACTATTTTGTAATTAAAGGAATCATACCATAGAATTTTAGGCCGTCATTTAACATAATGTTTTTGAAAAACTGCTAGAAACATAGGAACCTATTGAGAGGACAGAATTGAATGAGTAAAGAAGAAAATAAAATGTGTAAGAAATACGATAGCAATCACATCTAATATAAATTAGATATATGCATAGAGAGAATAGTTAGAAAATGTACTGAAAGAAAATATACTAACATATTGAACAGCATAATGAATTATTTTTGTTTTCTTCTTTGTACTTTTCTACCATTAAAAAATGTTTTAACATGAACGTATTGTCTTCATAGTAGCAGTATAACATATATAAATGCAAGTATGGATTTTAGTCAACAGAGGCTCAAAAGAAAGGTTTTGGTGTGAGAATTACTTGAGTTTGTGTCCTGCTACTACCACTTACAAGATGGGGAAACTAATCTTTTTAAGACTCAATAAAGAGATTGAGTTAGTAATCAGAAAACTTCCCACAAAGAAAAGCCTAGGATGAAGTGGCTTTACCTGTGAATTGTACCAAAATAAACCTAATAAAGAATTAACATCAATTTGTCACAGATTCTTCCAAACTATAGTAGTGAAGGGAACACTTCTTAACTCAACTTATAAGGCCAATATTTGCTTGATACCAAAACTAAAGACATCACAAGGAAAAAACTATGGACCAATTTTTTTTATTAATATAGATGTCAAAATCCTTACCTAAATACTAGGAGAGGCCAGCAGCATATAAAAAGGATTTTGCACTGCAACCAAGTGGGATTTATCCCAGAAATGCAAGCGTGTTTCAACCTATGAAAATCAATCAATTATATTAATAAAATAAAGGAAAAAACCATGATCATTTCAACAGATAGAGAAAAATCATTTGACAAAATCCAGTGCCTTTTCATGATAAAAAACATCATAAAACCAGGAATAAAGAGGAACATCCTTAATATGATAAAGGGCATTTAAGACAAACCAATAGCAATAGTGAAAGGAAACTTAAAAATTTAATAGTGAAAAGAAAGCTTCCGTCTTCCTTAAGACCAAGAACAAGAAAAGAATGTTCACTTTTTCCCGTTCTATTCAACACTGTGGTAGAGGTTCTATCCACACAATTAGGCAAGAAAATGAAAAAAAGTCATAAAGTTTGGAAAGGAAGAAGTAAAACTACTACCTCTATTTACAGATGATATGATTATATGTGGAATACCCCAAAGAACACACACACACACAAAAGAGTTAATAAACAAATTCACCAAGGATGCAAAATGCATGTCAATATACAAAAATCAACTGTATTACTATACATTAGCAATGATAATCTGAAAATAAAATTAACGAAATACTTTTATTTGTAATAGTATCAAAAATAATGAAATATTGAGGGATGAATGTAACTAAAGAAGTGAAATGCTTATACACTGAAAACTATAAAACATTGTTGAGAAAAATAAAAGAATCATAAACAGAAATATATTCCTTGTTTATGAATTAAAAAAGGAATACTGTTAAGAAGGCAAGATTTTTCAAAATTGAGATACAGATTCAATGGAAAACCTAACAATATTTCAATTACCCTTTTTTACAAAAACGGAAGGGTTGATCATAAAATTGATATGAATAAAAGGGACTCAGAATAGCAAAGATAATCTTGAAGAAGAAAAATAAAGTTGAAAGATTCACACTTCTTAATTTCAAAACTTACTACAAAGCTACACTAGTCAATCAAGTGTGGTAATGGCATAAAGATAGACATGTAGACAAATGGAATGGAATTGAGAGTTTAGAAATAAACTCATACATCTCTAGTCAACCAATTTTCAACAATGATGTAAAGACCATTCAATGGGAAAATGATAGTACTTTCAACAAATGATTCTAGGACAACTGGATATCCACAGGTAAAGAAGAATTTTTACCACTATCTCACATCATATGATGAAATTAATTTAAAAGGGATCAAATCAGGGTATTTCATGTATCCCATAATATGTACACCTACTATGTACCCACAAAAATTAAAAAAAATAGACTAAAAAATGGATCAAAAACCTAAAGGTCAGTGATAAAACTATGAAATTCTTGGAAGGAAATACAGGAGTAAGTCTTCATGATCTTGCATTAGGCAGTAGTTTCTTATACGTGACATTAAAAGCACAAGTGACTGAAGAAAAACATATTAATAAAATTTCATTAAAGTTGAAAACATTTGTTTGTCTAAGGGTACTATCAAGAAAATGAAGAAGGGCTGGGCACAGTGATGCCTGTAATCTTAGGACTTTGGGAGACCAAGGCAGGAGGATGTCTTGAGGCCAGGAGTTGAAAACAGCCTGGGCAACAAAGCAAGACCCTGTCTCTACCAAAATAAAATAAAAATAAGTTAGCTGGGCATCATGGCTCATGCCTGTAGTCCCACTTACTGGAAAGGTTGAGGCAGGAGTATCAGTTGAGCCCAGGAGTTCAAGGCTGCAGTGAGGTATGATTGTGCCACTGCACTCCAACCTGGGTGACAGAGTGGGGGATCTTGTCTCCAATAAATAAATAAGTGAATAAGAAATTGAAGAGACAATCTCCAGAATGGAAGAAAATACTTGTAATCATATATCTGATACTTTACAGCCACTAGGATGGCTATAATCAAAGAAACAGAAAATAGCATGTGTTGGTGAGGATGTGGAGACATTGGAACCCTCATACACTACTGGTGGGAATCTAAAATGATGCAGGCACTGTAGAAAATAGCTTGGAAGTTTCTCAAAATGTTAAATATAGAGTTCATATACTGCTGAACAATTCTACTCTTGGTATATATTCAAGAGAATTTAAAACATATCTACATTAAAAAAAACGTGTGCATGAATTTTCATAGCAGCATTATTTTAATGATATTATTCATGATAATCAAGAACTGGAAGCAACTCAAATGTCTAATAACTGATAAATGTATAAACAAAACGTGGTATAACCACACAATGGAATACTATCCAGTCATATAAAGGAATAAAGTATTGATACATACTACTACAACATACTGTGAAAATACTGTGCTAAATGAAAGAAGCCAATCACAAAAAGTCACCTGTTATTGATTCCCTTTATATGAAATATTCAGAACAGGCAAATCCAAAGACAGAAAGTAGGTTACTGGTTTCAAGGACTAAGTGAGTGGGAATGACTGTTAATGGATACAGGGCAGGGCTTCTTTTGGGGGTGATGAAAATGTTATGGAATTAGATAGTGGTGATGGTTGCTTAACCTTATTAATATAATTTAAAAAGCACTAAAGTTTACACATTCAAGTGGTGATTTTATGATATAAGAGTTATAACTCAATTTTTCAAAGTATTTAAAAAAACACCCAAGTCCAGAGAGCTCAGCTGCTAGATGGCCACAACAGAACTAGTCAACCCCAACTCTCCTGTTTCCCCTACCACTTCTCACCCTACCTTGCTCTATTCCTAAAGGGGCCAGAGTCCCTTGCAGCTAGATGAAAGAGAAATGATAGAAGCACAGTGTGGAAAATGAGGAAAGACATTGATTAAGTGCATTCTTCCAGATTGCAACAGGATCAAGCTGAGGGAGAGGGAGAAGACTCAATTTTAAATCAAGATTAAAATTTGATTCTTTCATGGGCTGGGCATTTAATTCTCTAATTAAAACTATCTTTTATGACTTGAAATGCGATATTTATTTCCTAAGGGGTACAGAAAAGTTAGGATATCTACTGGACTTCCCTTGTAGAGACAGGGAAAGAGCCGCACAGAGTATTTCAAAGTACAATGGGAGGCAAAGCTGAATGTGCTACTGATTTCATTCTAAGAATCATGCTTGTTCAATGTGTAAACCAAAAATAAACTTCTAAGCCTCCTGACTGACTGAACGGGCCCCCCTCTTGGCCAAGGGGACCCAAAGAAACCTGAAAACTAGTTAAAGTCATGATGGAATGAGGGTGTCAGACATGCCTCATTATACTCTTCTTTTGGAGTACAGACCCAATTGTCCAGCATATACATGAAAACAGAGATCTGCAAAAAGATATCAAATTCCAGACTGACTCTAGCAAAACATCACATGAAAAATAATGAAGGAAATCAAAAATATTTTACCCCAAAATATGTTTCTTTGCCAAATTTTAAAATGGCCTTGCAAAACCATCTTTTGTGGGGGAAAATTTACATCTGTAAAGAATCTCTATTAACATAATTAGATCTTCCACCTTTCAGGCCCTCCTAATCTTGAAGAGATTAAGAGTCTAGCACCGTTTAAAGGTCTAAATAGGAAATATTTGCCATCTATTGTCTCTAAAGACAGCCAACTATGAGACTTTATCTACATAATTAGAACCTTAGTCTCCACAACCCTTTTTCTCAACCCAGATACTCCCTTGTATTCCAGGTATTTAAATAATAACCTAACTCTTTCAATCAATTGCCAATCAGAAAAATCTTTGAGTCCACTTATGACCTGCAAGCACCCCCTCCCCCACTTCATGTTGTCTGGCACTCCAGACCAAACCAACGTATACCTCATATGTATTGACGGATGTCTTCTGTCTCCCTGAAACATACAGGAACAAGCTGTATCTCAACAAACTTTGGCACATGTTCTCAAGACCTCTTGAAACTGTGCTTTGGGACATGGTCACTCATATGTGGCTCAGGGTAAACCTCTTTAAATATCATATAGAGTTCAGCTTTTTTGTCAACAAATGTAAGAGTTACAAGTGATTAAACAGCAGTTCTTAGAGATTGTAGAGAGATCTAGAACTCCTCATGTAAAGCTAGAAAGGAATAGGGTAATATTTAATGAAGTAAAAAACCTGATGATCCAGCCGGTTCACTTCTGGGTATATATCATAGGAGCTTCTCTGTAAGGGGCTTATGCTCCACAACTGAAGATCCCTTGAGACACTTACAGTAATTTATTTCTACATTTAAACAGTAAAGATCATATATATATTTGTATATATTTGATTTTTAATTATATTTGATGTATGTATATATGTATCTCACCAAGTGGAGACTTGAGAACAGAGTTGGAAGTCAAACATAAAAGAGGATGTCACCTCTCTCCCTGGTGTGAGTGTGAAGGTCATCAATGATGGTTGTACTTTTCACTGCGCTTGGATTCAGACTCAGAATCCTTCTCAACACAAATCTCCTCCAGGTAGCCATTAACAAATGAACATCACTGAGTACAAGATAAAACTTTTCTTGCAGCCCCTGGCTTATAATTTAGTTAAGAAAACAGAACATGCATATGTTAAAAATGCAAGGCAGAATAGTTATACGTCCAATTTGGTAATACAGACTAGCATTGATTCTGGGAGAAGGCCAAGCTGAAGGCCTGAGCAGGAGAGGAAATTGTGTAAGAAAGAACAGCACTGCTCTGGGTGGATTTGTAGGAGACAAAGACAGTAGAGAGCAATACTTTCAGCAGAAATAGCTGGAGCTGTGACGAAGCTACATTTTGGGATCAGCAAGAAGATTGTTTATGAAAGGTGGAAATGGATTGAGTTTCTTTGTTCCCTTGTCTTCGAGACACTGTGGTAGACATAGAGACCTGCCCCCAGACTTCTTTCCAAAGAAAGAGTTGCTGTGGCTCCTTCACAGTTAGCCTCAGCTGTAGAAAGCCCCTTGGCCAGGCAGGAGCATAAAGGTCCAGCCATTTGGGCCTAACTTGGGACATGAGTTGGGTTATCCTCTATTTAGAGCTCCTTGCTGGAGTAGGTGAGGCTTTCTTGGTCCTATATCTGTCAGTGGGCTTCTCCTTCTGCCCAATCCTGCATCATCTCATTTCCTCTCTTCGTATGTATTGATCCCTAACAAACATCTTGCACTCCAAATTCCCTCAGTGCTTGTGTCTAGAGAACTGACCTACAATCCCCACTTTCCCGCATGACTTCCACACCAAATGGGAAGCACACTGAGAAAATGACAGGGAAACTTCTGTTGCACCATCTGAACCAGGAATTACATACTTTCTTCCCTTCATTTTTATACCTCCTATAAGATTTTGCAACATAAGAGAATATTTGCAGTGTTACTTTGTTATCAGAGAATTTTGAATTTGGATGGGGGCGGGGGGGGCAAATGTTTGGATTTCGTTTTAACTATAAATAAATAAATTACGAGGTATACAGACTGTATTTTCACAAGGCTGTTACAACTAGAATAACAGGGCATTAAAGTTCATCTATCAAACCTTTTATCTCATAGCTTCAGAAAGAAAAGGTGGGAGAGAAGACACACTGATTGAAAGTTTACCATGTAACAGCAGTGTTCTTATATTACTCATACACTACTTTAAAAATACATTTGGGGTGAAGCTGCCACTACCGAGGAACAGCAGCGGCTCTCTGGAATGACATAGTCTAATGTGGTCAACATATACAAACACATTCTGTGCACAGCTTCCATCAACCCCCTCACTGTCAGCATTGCCTCCACCCAGGAGACTGCTGGGTCTGCAGCAAATGTTTAAAGCTGAAGTAGTCCAGGCCGGGCGCGGTGGCTCATGCCTGTAATCCCGCACTTTGGGAGGCTGAGGCGGGCGGATCACCTGAGGTCAGGAGTTCGAGACCAACCTCAACATGGAGAAACAACGTCTGTACTAAAAATACAAAATTAGCCGGGCGTGGTGGTGCATGCCTGTAATCCCAGCTACTCGGGAGGCTGAGGCAGAAGAATTGCTTGAACCTGGGAGGCGGAGGTTGTGGTGACCCGAGATCGCGCCATTGCACTCCAGCCTGGGCAACAAGAGGGAAATTCCGTCTCAAAAAATAAATAAATAAATAAAGCACGCTGAAGTAGTCCTAGCAAAGAGTTATAGCCTGTAGCCACCACTCTTTGCCACAAGGGGTCAGCCTTTGCATCTACTGTAATTAAGTAAAAGCTTCCAAGAAAAAATAGAACCCTCCATTTTATGTTTATGAGTTTACTGCAATGTCTTGGTCAAATAAAGATCCATGGAACTGAAAAAACAATAAAAACAAAACAAAAACAAAAAGCACTTACCTTCCACATTTCCTAAAAATTGGTTTACTCTTATGAAATCAAATCATGAATTCTGAGAATGTTAGAACTAGAAGGGATGTTAGAGATTTGAAGAGCACCAGCTGCTTGATTTTCTGCTTTCTTTGTGATGAGCGCAACAGGAACCAAATCACATAGAACATCTCAATGATCCTTTCACAACCAGTTGAGCCAGGTATTGCCACTCCCATATTCCAGATTAGGTAACTGAGCCTTGGAGAGACTAAGTAACTCCCACTAACAAGTATTTATTAAACACAAAAGACATGTCAGCAAGTCAGTGGGCAAGCTGGCTTGACATTGAGGTCTGTCTGATGCGAAAGTTTGTGTTTGTCTGTATATGACCCTGCAGTTCTTTCTTTTACAATATCTGAGAGGCTGAATAAATTGTCCAAAGGAAGAAAGCTCCTTGAAGACTAGAAGATAGAAGTTACCACTTTGCTCTTCAACCACATCAACACCTCCTCAAATGAGTACTAAATAGAGGTGATTACCATCCTTAGTGACAGAAGGTAAGCTATATGGAGTTTATTACAAAACCAGCTTTTAAAAAAATTGAGATGTATCAAAAGAGATACAGATTTCATGGAATGTCTAATTTTCATAAAGTCAACAAGAAAGCTAAAAATTCTGAATAAATTATTTTAGTTAATGTCATTAAAATTTTCATTTCACTGCAGTTTTCCCTCAGAAATGTAACAATATTATTCTGTTGTCTTCTGACCTCTATTATTGCTGTTGAGAAGATTAATGTAAATCTAGTCATTGTATCATCATTTATCTTTAGTTGCTTCCAAGATGTTATCTATGTCATTGATATTTTGCAACCACATTACACTGTGCTGGGTGTCATTGTATTTTTTTATGTATTCTGCTCAGGAGACATTTCATATTTCACTTTATGAATCTGAACCATATAGAACATTTCAGTCATTACTTTTTGACTATAGTTTCTCCTCCATTCCTTCTATTTTCCCCTTCCAGCATTTCTGATGTATACGGGTTCTTCTCATTCTATCACCCATGTCTCTTAACATCACTTTTACAGTTTTCATTTATTACCCCTTGATACTAAAAGCTGTATAATTTTCACGTACTTATCTTTAAGCTTTAATTTTTTGCCATCTCTAATTTGCCATTTAATTGATCCATTTGTTTTCTTAATTTCAAAGACTACGTTTTTAGTTTCTACAAATTCTTTCATTGCTAAATTTATGCCTATTTGTTTTTCATAGTATGTTAATCTTTTCTTAATATACCAGTGCCTTCATTTACATCTTAACCATTTTAAACATGCTTATATTATGTTCTACTTCCGATTGCTATTCTAATTTTTTAATTTCTCAAAGTTCTAATAATGCTCTCATTCATGGTAGATCATTCCCTCATTTGTTGTATATTTTGTAAATTGAGATATGAAAATTAGTAAGGCTATATTTTTCTGTGAGAACCCACTGTGGTTTGTGTTGTGGAATCAACCCCCGTATTAGTCTGCTGGGGCTGCCATTACAAGGTACCACAGAGCAGGTGGCTTAAACACAGACGTCTATGTCTTATAATCTGAGGGCCAGAGTCTGAAATTAAGGTGTTGGCAGAGTTGTTTTCTTCTGAGGCCTCTCTCCTTGGCTTGTAGATGGCGGTCTTCTCCCTGTGCCTTCATACAATCTTTTCTCTATGTGTTGTCTGTGTCCAAATATCCTCTTACAAGGACACCAGTCATGTTGAATTAGAGCCCATCCTAACGACCTCATTTTAATTGAGCTACCTCTATAAAGACCTGATCTCCAAATAAGGTCTCATTCTGAGGTACTGGGGAGTATATGACTTCAACATATGCATTTCGATTGAGGACATAATTCTGCCTATTAACAACCTCCAAAAGCAGTTTTGCTTGTAAATCTGGGCATATCACCAGCCCAAGTGAAATCTGTATGATAGTTTCTTGGCTTGCTTGTTTCTGAATCCACAGGCAGTATAAATAACAATCCTCAAATTCCTGGAGAAGCAAGCCAATAGTTTCTGATTCCAAAGAGGGGGGCCCCCATATCCCTACCCCCTCCATTCACACATCTAGAGCTCAGAAAAAAACCTTAATGCATTCTTTTCACTTCGCTTTTTCACTGGGTGAAAGTTTTTCCTACATCATTTGGAGGTGCATATATCCACGGTCTCTTACTTTGTGTGAATAATTTTACCCCCAAAAAACTATTGGCTTTTTATACTCAGTCGTTTCTTTACTAAGTTTCATATTACATTCCATGTCTTAATTACTAAACAATTATTTTTATCATTACGTGGTTTGTAAGTTTAGACTCCTAAAACTCTGGAAAAACCCCAGCAAAGCCATTTTCTGTGGCATAATAATGTGGAAGTAAAGCAGAACTTGAGGACATACAAAAAAGGCAATTTTAATCAAATAAAAAATAGTGATCCTGTGTAAATTCTAATTACAGGATTAACTGTGACAGACTCAGTTTTGAAGTTAAAAAGCCCAAATAAATATTTCATCGATGACATTTGTAGCTAACTCAAATCTATAAATCTTAGTTCTGAAGAAGGCAGTATAATTTTATCCTCCTAACCAAGAGTGACTACTTCTAGAATAATCTTTTTCCTGATTTTTTTTAAAAAATCAAAAACGATCATGCTGGTGTTCTCTCAAGATACTGAAGTTCAGTGTGACTATGTTATCTTTTTTTTTTATACATTTAATTTTATATTCCAGGATACATGTGTAGAATGTGCAGGTTTGTTAACTAGGTAAATATGTGCCATGGTGGTTTGCTGCATCTATCAACCCATCACCTAGGTATTAAGCCCCTCATGCATTAGCTATTTATCCTGATGATCTCCCTGACAGGCCCCAGTGTGTGTTGTTCCCCTCCCTGTGACCATGGGTTCTCAATGTTCACCTCCCGCTTAGGAGTGAGAACATGCTATGTTTGGTTTTCTGTTCCTGTGTTAGTTTGCTGAGGGTAATGACTTCCAGCTTCATCCATGTTCCTGCAAAGGACATGATCTCATTCCTTTTTATAGCTGCACAGTATTCCATGGTGTATATATAGCATGTTTTCTTTATCTACCCTATCCTTGATGGCCATTTGGGTTGATTCCATGTCTTTGCTATTGTGAATAGTGCTGCAGTAAACATATGTGTGCATGTATCTTTATAATGGAATGATTTATATTCTCTTGGGTATATACCTAGTAAAGGGATTGCTGGGTCAAATGGTATTTTTGGTTCTAGATCCTTGAGGAATCACCACACTGTCTTCCAGAATGGTTGAATGAATTTACATTCCCACCAACAGTGTAAAAGTGTTCCTATTTCTCCATAGCCTCACCAGCTTCTGTGGTTTCTTGACTTTTTAATAATGGCCATTCTGACTGGCGTGAGATGGTATCTCATTGTGGTTTTGATTTACATTTCTCTAAGAGTCAGTGATGTTGAGCTTTTTTCATATGTTTGTTAGTTGCATGAATGTCTTCTTTTGAGAAGTGTCTGTTTATATCCTTTGCCCACTTTTTGATGGGGTTGTTTTTTCTTGTAAATTTGTTTAAATTCCTTGTAGATTCTGGATATTAGACCTCTGTGAGGCAGATCGATTGCAAAAATTTTTTCCCGTTCCATAGGTTTTCTGTTCACTCTGATGACAGTTTCTTTTGCTGTGCAGAAGCTCTTTAGTTTAATTAGATCCCATTTGTCAATTTTTGCTTTTCTTGCAATTGCTTTTGATGTTTTAGTCAAGAAATCTTTTCCCATGCTTATGTCCTGAATGGTATTGCCTAGATTTTCTTCTAGGGTTTTTCATGCTTTTGGGTTTTACATTTAAGTCTTTAATCCATCTCGAGTTAATTTTTGTATAAGGTGTAAGGAAGAGGTCCAGTTTCAATTTTCTGCATATGGCTAGCCATTCATTAACTAGGGAATCCTTTTCCCATTGCTTGTTTGCACCAGGTTTGTGGAAGATCAGTTGGTTGTAGATGTGCGGTCTTATTTCTGAGAGCTCTATTCTGTTCCATTTGTCTATGTGTCTGTTTTTGTACCAGCACCATGCTGTTTTGGTTACTGTAGCCTTGTAGTACAGTTTGAAGTGGGATAACAGTATGCCTTCAGCTTTGTTCTTTTTGCTTAGGATTGTCTTGGCTATACAGGCTCTTTTTTGTTCTATATGAATTTTAAAGTAGTTTTTTCTAATTCTGTGAAGAATGTCAATGGTAGTTTTACGGGAATAGCATTGAACGTATAAATTACTTTAGGCAATATGGCCATTTTTACTATATTGAGTCTTCCTATCCATGAGCATGGAACGTTTTTCCATTTGTCTGAGTCTTCTCTTATTTCCTCGAGCAGTGTTTGTAGTTCCATTTGCAGAGGTCCTTCATGTCCTCTTTGTTAGCTGTATTCCTAGGCATTTTATTCTCTTTGTAGCAATTGTGAATGGGAGTTCATTCATGATTTGGCTCTCTGCTTGTCTATTGTTGGTGTATAGGAAGGATTGTGATTTTTGCACATGGATTTTGTGTCCTGAGACTTTGCTGAAGTTGCTTATCAGTTTAAGGAGCTTTCGGACTGAGATGAGGGGGTTTTCTAGATATAAGACCGTGTTGCCTGCAAACAGAAACAATTTGACTTCCTCTCTTCCTATTTGAATACCTTTTATTTCTTTCTGTAGCCTGATTTCCCTGGCCAGAACTTGCAATACCATGTTGTGCAATACTATGTTGTGCAATACTATAGTATTGTGCCGGTTTTCAGAGGGAATGTTTCCTGCTTAACTATCTTATTTTTCTTTTGTGCACTTTACATGTGCATGAAGAGCTGAAGAGTACTTTGAAGAACGATCAATGTCTATAGTAAGAAGCATGCATGCAAAAAAAAAATTATTCTATGTGCAGCTAACCCTGCTGTTAACAGGAAAAGTAGATGTTATCTTGGAAAATCCTGGGCTGAGGAAAGAGGACACATGTTCAAACCCCATCTCTCACATTGACTAACTTGCTGCATGGCCTTTGATAAGTCACTCCCTCTGAGATTTGATTTCCTCCTCTTAAATAAAACCAGTCTCAGATGGTGGTGGATTTAAAATCAAATCATATATAGCGAATGTCTAAGAGTATATCTGGTGTACAGATTTTTCTCCTCTAGCTCAGCTCTTTAAACTTTACTCAAAATGAAAATTTTGCTCCTGATGGTTGCATATCAAATCAGTCAGTCTGGTAATTCCAGCGTCTATAGCCACCAGTCAACTAACACTGAGAATGCTGTGGCCGTTTCAGATTAAATGTAGTTTATCAGCAAAAAGCACAGATCTTCTTTGAGAATCACAGCCTAAGATCACTTTGAAGATTGCCTTTTTTCTGAAGATGTCTCACTGGCCCTGGCCACATGACTGTAGTGGGCAGAATTCCAAGATGTGTGCCTGTCTTGCACATGTACTGAGAATCCCCTCGCCTTGAGTGTGGAATGGACTATATTGGAGTATCAGTATTATGATTTAACCAATAATCAATTAGCTTTGAGTTCAAAAGCAGTATAATCCTGGATAACACTGGCATAATGAAAGGAGCCTTTGAGAGAAGGTGAAGCATCCAAGACACACTCTCCTGGGGGCCTCAGAGAAGAAAGCAAACAGCCATGGTATAAACCACCTATGGAGAGGGGCTTTGTCTAGGCTGAAAGCCTCAATTGTATCACCACAAAGAACTTAAGTCCACCAACATGAAAATGAGCTTGGAGGAAGACCCCACACTCTAGGCAAGGACGACAGTGCAGCTGACACCTTCACTGCAGCTTTGGGAGACCCTGAGCAGATGACCCAATCAAGCCAGGCCCATTCCTGACCCATAGAAACAGGAAATTAAATGAGTGTTTTTATAAGCACTGAATTTATGACAATTAGTTATTCACAATAGCAAACCACTACAGTGCCCTACCTGTGGGATCCACATGCTGCCCTCAGTGGTAACAAAGGCTCATAACACCTGCACTGTATTGGTTTCTAACGTCTGCGTGAAAGTTGCATATACCAGGATGGAATCCCTTTCATCAGATCCAGAAAATATAGGTCTGGGAAGGCCCAAAAGAGGGAAGACTCATGTTTATGTGTCTGAAATGTGAACCAAGGACTTTCTAAAAACTCTTTCATGTCCTTCATGCATATTTTGTTTGGATAAGCTTTATCACTAGACATTAGAACTGCAGTATTCAGATAAGATTTTCTTAGAACACTTGCCCAGTAAGGGCATCTCCGCCAATGAACTGACAACCAGTCTGGCTTTGAACCTCTGGAACCAATGGACTCTGATTCTAAGCAGCTTAGTAAATCTCTTTTTAGCTGGTGAAAGGTCCCCATACAACCCTCTCACTGAATGGACTGGTGGCTTGCCATTTCGTGCATTTCAGATTATAATCCTTATTTTTACTTCTGAGTAAACCCAACATAGTTAGAGATAATTGTCCCTAGTGTAATTTTTAGATTGTCATTTGTTTATATGGGAGCACAGCAGAACCACTGAGCTGCCCAGGAAGAAGAGCCCTATAGTCCCTTTCAACTCCATACTGTCAAAAAAATATTAAGTTGCGCCGAGTGTTGATTTGGTGCTATGGTTAAATATGCATAAATAGTCTTATATAGAAAAAGGAAAGTAATATTTACTGAATAGATCTAATGAGTCTTCATTTCACATACACTAATTGCTTGTAATCTTCACAAAACCCTCTAAGACAACTTTTACTTTCCCTATGGTTCAAATGAGGTCATTAAACCTCAGAAAGTTTAAATAACTTACCCTATCATATAACTAGTAGGTAATCGAGCCAGTATTCAAATACTGAGATCCCCTGGACAGAATATCCTATGTTTTTTGGTCTATTTTATCAATAGTATGCTACAGGAATGCAGCTGCCAAACAACAGTCCTTAGAACACTTTTGGTCTAAGTTTAAAGAAGGTCTCAAAATTCAAGCAGTTAAAAACTGCTGCATGACCAGTTAAAAGTGCATTCAAGCTTATCTGCCTTCCTTGAATGCTTTCTCATTAATGCCAGGAGTACATTACATTAGGGCATGACAAGATGATGTGTTAGCTTAGTGGATATTTCCTGTTAACATATTCATTACAGTTAATTACAACATCTTTATTTCTTGGCAGATTTTCTGGAAGCCAAAACAGATGGATTGTTTTTTAAAAGAATATGAAAAGCATGTCATGACAATGATTCCTGTGGTGCATTTTTTTCTTTTTAATTTTCCTAAACATAAAATAAAAATATAGATTTCACAGAGGAACACTTTCAGTGCAATACAACTTCCTTTGAACTTCACATAATAGCTTACACTTATTATCACCTAACCAGCCATCTTTGACTTTATGCAATGGGCAGTGTCCATAAGAGTTCATTAAGTGCATCAATTAAGAGACAAGAAAGAAAAATATACTTTGATATATGAATTTATGTGCACTGATGCTGACACTCTTGCTACCTCTTTGTCATTTACAGTTGACCTTGCATACTTGTAGGGAGCATAGGGCATGTCCCATTTGTACCTTTAGAGTTTCAAGAAGTACTGTATCATTAAAATTATTTAAATGATGAGCCAAGAGATCAGTGAAAGAACTGTATTGTACATTTTTAAATGGTAGTATCATTATTGTAATTGTGAAATTTATTCACAATTATTTTCTTTAAAAAATTTTTAAATTATTTTTAAAATGTTTTGTGGGCACATAGTAGACGTATATATTTATGGGGTACATAAGATGTTCTGATACAGGGATATAATGTGAAGAATGGGGTATCCATTTCCTCAAGCCTTTGTCCTTTGAGTTACAAACAATTTAATTACCTTCTTGAAATTATTTAAAAATATACAATTGAGTTATTGTTGACTATAGTCACCCATTGTGCTATCATATAGTAAGTCTTACTCATTCTTTCTATTTTTTATGTATCCATTAACCATCCCCACCTCTCCCTTAGTCCTCTACTACCCTTCCCAGCCTCTGGTAATTTCTTGCTACTCTCTATGTTCATGAGTTCAGTTTATTTGATTTATAGATCCCACAAATAAGTGAGAACATGCAATGTTCTTGTGCCTGGCTAATTTCACTTAACATAATGATCTCCAGTTCCATCCATGTTGTTACAAATGACTGGATCTCATTCTTTTTCTGTTTTTTTTTTTTGAGATGAAGTCTCGCTCTGTTGCCAAGCTGGAGTGCAGCGGTGCAATCTTGGCTCACTGCAACCTCCGCCTCCCAGGTTCAAGCCATTCTCCTGCCTCAGCCTCCCAAGTAGCTGGGACTACAGGGTGTGCCACCACGCCCAGCTAATCTCTGTATTTTTAGTAGAGACAGGGTTTCATCATGTTGGCCAGGATGGTCTCAATCTCTTGACCTCGTGATCCACCCACCTTGGCCTCCCAAAGTGCTGGGATTATAGGCATGAGCCACCATGCCGGTCTGGATCTCATTCTTTTTTATGGCTGAATAGCACTCCATTGTGTATAAGTACCACATTTTCTTTATCCATTCATCTGTTGATGGGCACTTAGGTGTCTACCGAATCTTAGCTATGGTAAACAGTGCTGCAACAAACATAGGAGTGCACATATTTCTTAAATATATTTATTTCCTTTCTTTTGGGGGTATTCCCAGCAGTGGGATCACTGGGTCATATGGTAGCTCTATTTTCAGTTTTTTTAGGAACCTCCAAACTGTTCTCTATAGTGGTTATGCTAATTTGTATTCCCACCAACTGTGTATGAGGGTTCCCTTTGCTCCACATCCTTGCCAGCATGTGTTATTGCCTGTCTTTTGGATATAATCCATTTTAACTGGAGTGAGATGATACCTCATTTTAGTTTTAATTTGCATTTCTCTGATGATCAATGATGTTCAGCAGCTTTTCATTTGCCTCTTTGCCATTTGTATGTCTTCCTTTGAGAAATGTCTCTTCAAATATTTTGCACATTTTTTTGTTTGGTTTATTAGGTTTCTTCTGTAGAGTTGTTTGAGCTTCTTATATATTCTGCTTATTATTCCCTTGTCAACAGCTTGGTTTGCAAACATTTTCTCCCATTCTGTGGGTTGTCTCTCCCTTTTGTTGATTTTATCCTTCACTGTGCAGAAGCTTTTTAACTTGATGTGATCCCATTTGTCCATGTTTGCTTTGGTTGCTTTGGTGCTTGTGGGGTATTGCTCAACAAATCTTTGCCCAGACCAATGTCCTGGGGATTTTCCCTAATGTTACCTTGTAGTAGTTTCATAGTTTGAGGCCTTAGATTTAAGCTTTTAATCTCTTTTGATTTGATTATGGCGAGAGATGGGGTTCTAGTTTCATTCTTTTGTATATGGATATCCAACTTTCCCAGCACCATTTATTGAAGAGGCTATTTTTTCTCCATAGTATGTTCTTGGCACCTTTTTAAAAAATGAGTTCACTGTAGCTATGTGGATTTGTTTCCAGGTTCTCTATTTTGTTACATTGGCCTATGTGTCTGTTTTTATGGCAGCACGATGCTGTTTTGGTTAATATTGCTGTATAGTATAATTTGAAATCAGGTGATGTGATTCCTCCAGTTTTGTTCTTTTTGCTTAGGACAGCTTCGGCTATTCTGGGTCCTTTGTGGTTACATTTAAATTTTAGGATTTTAAAAAATTTCTGTGAAGAATTTCATTGGCATTTTGATAGGGATTGCATTTGATCTGTAGATTGTTTTGGGTATTATGGATGTTTAAACAATATTGATTCTTCCAATTCATGAATTTTTCCATTTTTTGGTGTCCTCTTCAATTTCCTTTATCAGTTATTATAGTTTTCATTATAGAGATCTTTCATTTCTTTGACTGAATTAATTCCCAGGTATTTAATTTTACATGTGCCTATTGTAAATAGGATTACTTTTTAATTTCTTTTTCCACATTATTCACTGTTGTCATACAAAAATGCTATTGATTTTTGTATGTTGATTTTGTATCCTGCAACTTTGCTGAATTTGCTTATCAGTTCTAATTTCTTGTGGAGTCTAGGTTTTTTTTTCCAAATAAAAGATCATATCATCAGCAAACAAGGATAATTTGACTTCTTCCTTTTCTATTTGGATGTCCTTTATATCTTTCTTTTGTCTGATTGCTCTAGTTAGGACTTGCAATACTATGTTGAATAACAGTGGTGACAGTGGACATCTATGACATGTTCCATGTCTCAAAGGAAAGGTGTTCAGTTTTTCCCATTCAGTAAGTTATTAACTGTGGGTCTGTTGTATATGACTTTTATTATGTTGAGGTATGTTCCTATTATGCCCAGTTTTTTGAGGATTTTTATCATAAAGGGATGTTGAATTTTATCAAATGCCTTTTCGGTGTCAACTGAAATGGTCATATGGTTTTTATCCTTCATTCTGTTGATTGTATCACATTGATTGATTTGCATAGGTTGAACCATCCTTGCATCCCAGGAATAAATCCCACTTGGTCATGATGAATGATCTTTTTAATGTATTGTTGAATTCAGTTTCTTAGTATTTTTGCTAGTTGAGGATTTTTGCATCAGTATTCATTGGAGATATTGGCCTGTAGTTTTTCTTGTTTGTTTTTGTTTTTGTTTTGATGTGTCTTTGTCTGGTTTTGGTATCAGGGTAATACTGGCCTTGTAGAATAAGTTTGGAAGTGCTCCCTCCCCCTGGTATTTGAAGTAGTTTAAGTAGGATCGGTATTAGTTCTTAAATGTTTGGTAGAATTCAGCAGTGAAGGCATCGGGTCCTAGACTTTTCTTTACTGGAAGACTTTTTATTCTGGCTTCAATCTCATTACTTGTGATTGGTCTGTGTTGAGTTTGGATTTCTTCCTGGTTCAGTCTTGGAAGGTTGTATGTGTCTAGGAATTTGGCCATTTCTTCTAGATTTCCAAAGTTATTGGCATATAGTTTCTCATAGTAGCCACTAAAGATCCTTTAAATGTTGGCCGTATCAGTTATAATGTCTGCTTTTTCATTTTTGATTTTATTTATTTGGATCTGCTCTCTCTTTTTTCTTAGTCTGACTAAACATTTTTCAATTTTGTTTAACTTTTCAAAAAACCAACTTTTTGTTTCATTGATCTTTTGTATTGTTTTCTTCATTTTAATTTCATTTATTTCTGCTCTGATCTTTATTATTTATTTTATTCTCTCTAATTCTGGGTTTAATTTGCTCTCACTTTCCTAGTTCCTTAAGATGCATTGTTAGAATCAGCAAGAAAACAAAGAATCTCATCAAAAAGTGGGCTAAGGACATGAATTCTCAAAAGAAAATATACAAATGGCCAATAAACATATGAAAAAATGCTCAACATCACTAATGATCAGGGAAATGCAAAACAAAACCACAATTTGATACCACCTTACTGCTGCAAGAATGGCCATAATCAAAAAATCAAAAAATAATAGATATTGACATGGATGTGGTGATCAGGAAAAACGTTTACACCGCTGGTGGGAATGTAAACTAGTACAGCCACTATGGAAAACAGTGTAGAGATTCCTTAAACAACTAAAAGTAGAACTACCATTTGATCCAGCAATCCACTACTGGGTGAGGTAGAAGAAGTCATTATATGAAAAAGATACTTGTGCACGCATGTTTATAGTAGCACAATTCACAACTGCAAAAATATGGAAACAGCCAAAAGGCCCATCAATCAGAGAGTGAATAAATAAATTGTGATATATATATATGTATATGTATATATACATATATGTGTGTATATATAAAATGGAATACTACTCAGTCATAAAAATGAATGAAATAATGGTATTTTCAGTGACCTGGATGGGACTGGAGACCATTATTCTAAGTGAAGTAACTCAGAAACGGAAAACCAAACATTGTATGTTCTCACTGATATGTGGGAGCTAAGCTATGAGGATGCAAAGGCATAAGAATGATACAAAGAACTTTGGGGACCTGGGGGAAAGAGCGGGAGTGGGTGAGGGATAAAAGACTACACACTGCATATAGTGTATAGTGTGATGGGTGATGGGTGCACCAAAATCTCAGAAATCACCACTAAAGAACTCATTAGGTGTAACCAAGCACCACCTGTTCCCCCAAAACCTATTGAAAATTTTTTTAAAAGATGCATTGTTAGATTATTTAATTGAAGTTTTTCCAGTTTTGTGATGTTGGCACTTACAGCTATAAACTTTCTACTTAATACTGCTTTTGCTGTATCCCGTAAGTTTTGGTATGTTGTGTTTCCATTATCATTTGTTTCAATAAATTTTTCAATTTCCTTCTTAATTTTTTCACTGACCCACTGGTCATTAGAGCATATTGTTTAATTTCCATGTATGTGTACAGGTTCCAAAATTCCTCGTTATTAATTTCCAGTTTTATTCCACTGTGGTCAGAGAAGATGCTTGATATTATTTATATTTTTTTAATGTTTTAAAACTTTTTATGTGACCTAATATATGGTCTATCCTTGAGAATGATCCATGCATTGAGGAAAAGAATGCATATTTTGCAGCTCTTGAATGAAATGTTCTATAAATATCTGTTAGATCCATTTGATCTATAGTGCAGATTAAATCTGAAGTTTCTTTGTTGATTTTCTGTTTGGAAGATCTGTCCAATGCTGAAAGTAGGGTGTCGAAGTCTCCAGCTATTATGGTATTGGGACCTATCTCTGCTGTTATCTCTAATAATATCTTTTTTATATATCTGGTGCTCCTGTATTGGGTGCAGGTATATTTAAAATTGTTATATCTTCTTGCTGAATTGACCCCTTTATTATTATACAGTGACCTTCTTTATCTCTTCTTATAGTTTTTGTCTTGAAATCTACTTTGTCTAATATAAGTATAGTGACTCCTGCTCTTTCCTGTCAAAACTAGAAGGAGAGTGTCATGAAGAATTTCAAAGTATTGTGATGGAGTCTGGGAGAAAATGTATGATTAATAAATATGGGGAGGGGCTTGGCCTTAAGCCAGGAGACTTGGGTTGTATCTGATGAGTGATAGGAACATACAAAATAAAGAATATAAGAAAGATTTATTTGGAAAGGTGCATATAATGGCCTGGATGACCCAGAAGAGAAAGTTTAGTTAAAACACTGTTGTGGGCTCAGCAGCTTCTAGCTTGAAAGCATGTCTTTCATACTTAATCCGTATAACCTCTGCACAAAACCTGGAGTAACATGCAAATGCTTACATATTTACTGAGTGACTTAATATTTATTGGTAGACTTAAATGATAGCCATTGAAAAAGAACAATTTCATGCTGGGAAATCAGTTGAATTTGACAAAAGCCTGGATAAGGGTTAGGAAGTTCAGAGAAGTCACATAAGGCTATATGTTCGAAGCTCTGAAATTGGAAATCAGGAAAAACATGAGCCATTGAATAAATGAGTGAAATGGCTGTATGAATAGTAAAGGTAATGCTACCTGCTATAATGAAAACTCCCAGAACTCAAAAATATAACAATAAAAATTTAAGTGTCAACAAATGTTAACAAAATAACATCCAATAAGGATTATATGGGGAGGGGCAGTTAGAAAATGTCCAGTTCCCATGAAGCTATCCAGTGACTCAGACTGGCAGAGATTCTTCTATCTTCCACGTGTGGCTGCCAAGATCATCCTCAGCCTCCATGCAGCAGAGATCAAGAATCATGTGGGAGGTCTGATTGGCCATGCATATACCACTAACATTCTACTATTTTATCTAACACATGCAAAAGAGGCTGGCAAGGGGAATCTAGCTGAGTGGCCGGGAGGAAAAGGAAATGGTTTGTGGAACAGCCCATTCTTCTCTGTCAGGCTGGCTAAACAGGCCAGCAGATTTTCCCTACAAGAAATGCTAACAGGAGTTCTTCAGGCTGAAATGAAAGAACACCAGCAGGAACTCAAAGCCATTAGAGGAAATAAAGAACACCGGTAAAAGTAACCACATATAAGAGCCACTATTATTGCACTTTTGGTTTGCACTTTTTTCCTATATGATTTAAAGTGCAAATGCATAAAACAATAATTATAAATCCATGTTAATGAGTAGCCAATATATAACGACATAATCTGTGACAATAACAATATAGAGGGGAGGAAAGGAGATGGGGCTGGGCACAGTGGCTCATGCCTGTAATCCCAGCACTTTGGGAGGCCAAGGTGGACGGATCACGAAATCAGGAGTTCAAGACCAGCTGGCCAACATGGTGAAACGACATCTCTACTAAAAATACAAAACTTAGCCTGGGGTGATGGTGGGTGCCTGTAATCCCAGCTACTCGGGAGACTGAGGCAGGAGAATCACTTGAACCCAGGAGGCAGAGGTTGCAATGAGCTGAGATCGTGCCACTGCATTCCAGCCTGGCCAACAGAGCAAGACTCTGTCAAAAAAAAGAAGAAGAAAAAAGAAAGAAAGAAAGAAAGAAAGAGAGAGAGAGAGAGAGAGAGAGAGAAAGAAAGAAAGAAAGAAAGAAAGAAAGAAAGAAAGAAAGAAAGAAAGAAAAAAATGGATAGAAGAAGAATGTTTCTATACTATTGAAACTAAGTTGGTTATAAATTGATTTATTATTAAAACTAGGTTCTACAAGTTTTGCTACTTATGAGGCAGAAATTGGCAGAATGATCAAAAAAAAGATCCATCTACATATTGTTTGCAAAAGAGTCATTTCAAATACAAAAACATGAAAATTTTGAATGAAAACAATGGACAAATATATTTCATGCAAATTGCATCCAAAAGAGAGTTGGGTGGCTAAATTACTATCATACAAAATAGAATTCAAATCAAAAAGTTTACAAGAGTCAAATAAAGACATTATATATTGATAAAAAGTGCCCTACCTCAAGAAAATATAACAATTACATACGCATCTAATGACAACACCCCCTAAACATAAGAATTGAAAATTGACAAAATTGAAGGGATAGTTTTACAATAATATCTGGAGACTTCATTACTCCATTTTCAATAGTGAATAGGATAACCAGACAGAAGATTAATAAGGGTACAGGACTTAAACAACACATAGACCAATTGTATCTAAAACTCGGGAGAGCACTTCACTCAACAGTAGCAGAGTATACGTTTTTCTCAAATGCACATGGAACATTCTTTAAGATAGATCGTATGTTAGTCCACAAAACAACTAAATAAATTTAAAAAGATTGAAATCATACAAAGTTTTTTTCTGACTGCTGTGCAATGAAACTACCATCAATAACAGAAAGAAAACTTTTGAAAAACTCACAAATATGTGGAAATTTAAAAAACACACTCTTAACATTAGATCAGAGAAGAAATCACAATGGAAATGAGAAATAAATTAAGGTAGAAACGAACCATAAACCACCATAACCTACTCAGGAAGAATAGGGTATATGAATAGACCTAAAGTAAATAAAGAGATTTAATCAATGACCAAAAACCTCTTAACAAAGAAAAACTCAAGACCAGAAGGTTTTATTGGTGAATTGTACCAAACAATTAAAGAAGAGTTAACACCAATCCTCAAACGTTTCCAAAAATAGAAGAGGAGGAAACACATCCTAACTCCTTCTGTGAAAATAGCACTATCCTAATACAGACAAAGCCTTAACAAGAAAAGAAAACTACAGACCATTATTCCTATGAATATAGATGCAAAAGTCCTCAAAATAATAAACTGAATTCACAGATTATTGAAAGGATTATACACTATGACCAATTGGGATTTTTCTCAAATAATATTTGCAGTCAGAGCAAATATGCAGGAAAGAGAAGTAAAAATATCCAAATTGGAAGTCAATCTTATATGTAAAAAACTGTAAAGAATACACACATATGTACATACATACACACAAAGCTGTCAAAACCAATACATGAACACATAAAATTTCAAGATATTAAATTATTACACAACTAATTTAGTCGGATTCCTATATACAATAAATTGAATGGAGATAAAAAATGATTGCACTCACAATAACCTAATAAAAATAAAATACTTAGGAATACATTTAACAAAGGAGGCATAAGACTTGTATACTGAAAACTATAAACCATTGTTGAAAGATATTAAAGAAGGCTTAAATAATTGGAAGACTGAAACCTGATTCATGAATCAGAATCATATATCATGATTTTGTTCATATATCTGAAAAGGGGTTAATATCCAGAATATATATAAACTCCTACAGCTTAATAATGTGAAGATGACAATATTACTCAAATAATTGACAGATTTAATGCAATCCCTATCTAAATTCCAACAGCATTTTTGGTAGAAATAAAGAAACCCATTCTAAAATTTATATAGAATTTCAAGGGACCCTGAACAGCTAAAACAATTTTGTAATAGAACAAAATAGGAGGTCTCAAATTTTCTGATTTCAAAACTTAATATAAAGCTATAACTTAAAAAAGCAATGTGGTACTGGCATAGGGATGGACCCATAAACCAATGGAATAGAATTGAGGGCCCAGAAATAAACCCTCAAATCCATGGCCAATTGATTTGTGACAATGATGCCAAGATCCTACAGAACAGTCTTTTCAACAAATGGTGCTGAGACAACTGAATCTTTACACGCAAGAAAATAAAGTTGGACTCTTACCTTATACCATACACAGATACTAATTCAATATGGATCAGAGACCTATATTTGAGAGCACAAATTATTAACTCAGAAGAAAACTGGGGCAAATCGTCATGATCATGGATTTAGCAATGTTTTTAAAATATGATATTAAAAACAGGCAACAACAACAAAAAAGATAAATTAAATTTCATCAAAATTAAAAAATTTTATCTATGGAAAGACACTATAAAGATAGTGAAGTACAATCCACACAATGGGAGAAAATAATTGCATGTCACATATCTGATAAGGGGTTAATATCCAAAATACATATGAACTGTAAGTCAACCACAAAATACAAAAAAAGTAAAAAATGGCAAATAACTTGATACAAATGGCTAAGGAGCGGCCGGGCGCGGTGGCTCACGCCTGTAATCCCAGCACTTTGGGAGGCCGAGGCGGGCAGATCACGAGGTCAGGAGATCGAGACCATCCTGGCTAATAAGCTGAAATCCCGTCTCTACTAAAAAAATACAAAAAATTAGCCAGGCGAGGTGGCGGGCTCCTGTAGTCCCAGCTACTCGGGAGGCTGAGGCAGGAGAATGGCATGAACCCGGGGGGGCGGAGCCTTCAGTGAGCCGATATGTCGCCACTGCACTCCAGCCTGGGCGACAGCGAGACTCCTTCTCAAAAAAAAAAAAAAAAATGGCTAAGGAGCACATTGAAGGATGCTCAAAATCGTTAGTCATTAGGGAAATGAAAATCAAAACCACAATGAGGTATCACTTCATACCAACATGTATGGTTATAATAAAAACCATAGAAAGAACTAGTGTTGGTGAGGATGTGGAGAACTTGGAACCTTTGTATACTGCTGGTAGTAATGCAAAATTGTGTGGCCACTGTGGAAGACAATTTGCTGGTTTCTAAAACTGTTAAATATAGAATTACTGTATAAGCCAATAATCCACTCCTTGATACATACCCAACAAAATTGTAAACAAGGACTCAAGCAGTTACTTGTATGCCAGTGTTCCTAATGGGATTATTCACAATAGCCAAAAGGTAGAAATATCACATGTCCATCAACAGATACATGAATAACCAAAGTGCACTCTATATGGAGTATTATTCGGCAATAAAAAGAATGAAGTTCTGACATGCAACAATATGGATGAACCCTGAAAAATTACATTAAATGAAATAAGCCAGATGCAAAATGACAAATATTATATGACTCCATTTATATTAAATACCTAGAATAGGCAAATTCATGAGAAAGAAAGTAGATCAGAAGTTGCCAGTGGCTGAAGAAAAGGGAAAATGGGGAGTCAGTGGGTGGAGAATTTCTATTTGAGACAATGAAAATATTCTGTAAATAGAAGGTGGTAATAGTTGTATAACATTGTAAGCATTCTTAATGTCACTGAATTGTACTCTAAGAAATTGTTAAAATGATACATTTTATATATATTTTCCCACAAGCTTTTTTAAAAAGACACACAAAATGCAAGCATTTTTTTTATTATTCAATTCAACAATCACAAATGTTTCTAACACTAACTCATTATGGATCAGTGACCATTATGGATCAGTTAGTGACAGTTCACTAACCAGCATCATTTTTGGGACCACTTTGAGTAGCACCGATCTGGAGCAAGATATTTCATCTCAATAAGCCTCAGTTTCCTCACATATAAATAATAAATAATTATACTGTTTACCTCCTCTGGTTTTCATGGAATTAGATAATGCATGGAAATGACTCAGTCCTGTGCCTGGTACAATGATCATTAGCTTTTATTTGATGATGTTTGTGCCTACTTGTATGTTGCATTCTAAGTTTTAGGGAATTGATATATATTTTTGCTGATTTTTCAGATTTGTAGGCTCAAAAACTGCTTCAGCCATTCTATTTAATATTTGCACTGTACCCTGCATTTTATAGTACATACTATACTGCATGGTACTTATTTTATATACATATATGTGTGTGTGTGTATATATATATATGTGTACATACAGACTACACATTTATTGAAAGCAAGGATTGTGCTACCCCATGGGTAATTACCAATGCTCAGCAAAGTTTCTGCCATGGAATAGCCCTCAGTGAATGCTTACTAGACACAGTTCATGAGCCCCGCCTCCTCATCTGCACTCAATAGTACTGAAAACAATCTTCTACTCTGAAGAGGCCCCCAAATACACATGGATAATCTAACCATAACCTCGATTTAGAATGGTTGTCATCTTTCTACAACAGTTTGGTATTATCTAAAGTGTGGCATTAAAGATCAGTCATTTAGAATTTGAGTCATCCATGAAAAAATGCCTGGTAGCATATTACACTGAAGCTCCTTTCATTCCCATTACCAAATAGCAGAGAACATTAGCCACCTATGCTTAACTTCCCACCACAGTAAGCATGGCACAGCCTTCTACATGTCTCCTGAAGATTACTATGGACAATAGCAAAGTTAAACTAAGCAATACCACTATGTGGTTTGGAAGTTGCTTATTCATGGAGCCTGAAGACTAAAAAAAATTCTGCCAAAAAAAAAAAAAAAAGATTTTATCTACCCCCATTCACAGTTCAACCTTGTACCTCACAAAAATATAAAATAAATTCAGCAATAATAATAAATCATACACAGACCCTAGAAAAATTAGTCTCAGGGAATATAGATAATGCAGGTGGGATTAAACTCAACAAAGTTAATTTGCGTATATAGAATATTGACAGAAGTGAATGATTCATGAAATCAAATATGGCAAATTATTAATATTTAATGAAAAAAAACTAAACTAGATGTCCTTAAAACAAATCAATAAAACTCTTCCTTTAATCCTCCAGTGGAAGATAGATAAGGCGAATTGTCACCTTTTAAAACTATAAACATTTGGAAATCAGAAAGAAAAAAACAAATTTCCTCTTTGTTATTTTTTTTTTTTTTTTTGAGACAGAGTCTTATACTGTCACCCAGGCTGGAGTGCAGTGGTACAATCTTAGCTTACTGCAACTTCTGCCTCCTGAATAGCTGGGATTACGGGCACGTACCACCATGCCCGGCTAATTTTTGCATTTTTAGTGAGACAGGGTTTCACCATGTTGGTCAGGCTGGTCTCGAACTCCTGACCTCGTGATCCAACTACCTCAGCCTCCCAAAGTGCTGAGATTACAGGCGTGAGCCACTGCGATTTTTTTTTACCAACAAGTACTATTTAAATATAAATAAGAAAATTATTTAGCAGGTTTCCAATAGTATCTTCATCAAAGCGAGGCTATAGAAAATTTTAGCTGGATGTAATAATTTTCAAAAACTGAGAAGTCTTTACACCTTCTGCATATAAGTGCCATGCAAACATCCCACCCAATAGCTAGTGGGGAAAATGAATTAATTGACTCTGCCTAACTGTTAACAGTTCTTATTTACCCTTCTCCTACCAGCGGACTTGTCAGCCATTCTGAAGTAATCTCATTTGGGCTGAGTATACCAGTGGCTAAAGAGAAAGTTTTGAGTCACATAAATGAAACAACATGAGGGATATGCATTACTCCACTTACTCTAACTCATGTTAAACTTTGGACTTTTATGGGGTATGAGTCTCCTTTGCAAATAAGTCTTTATTTTGTGTCAACATATATTTTAACTCAAAGAAATGTTATAGTTGCTTCCTTCTGATGATTCCTAAGACACACACACGTGCATGCACACACACACACACACACACACACAAAGAAACTGACACCATTTTCTTTCCTCACCCTTCTTTACTGGTTCCTCCAAATACTTAATATTTAGTCATAACTTACTTTCCCTATAACATGCTTCATTTTTCTAGATACCATGCCCAGAGACAATTAAATATAAAATGATAATACACTGTAAAATATCTAATAAAAATATTGCCTCAAAATTCTGAGTCTACAAATATTCTGGGCATAGCTGGATAAAGAATCTGAAAAAGAACATGTTTTTAATGTAAAAGATCAAATACTTCAACCAAATATATTAAAGCTACAAATAGTGTATAAAACCTGAAAGATTTCAGCTGTGTCTGGCATTCTTTTTCTGCTATACGAAAAAAAAAAGAAAAACGTGTTTTATTATTCTTTGCTAAGGTTATTAATTTCACATCAGTGTATCAACGAAGTTTTAAGAATGTATAGGGGAAACCTCATAAATAGGACCAGAGAATAAAGAACGCTCTCCTGTTTTTCTTTCTTTTTCTTTTTTTGGAGACATAGTCTCACTCTGTCGCCCAGGCTGGAGTACAGTGGCATGATCTCAGCTCACTGCAACCTTCACCTCCCAGGTTCAAGCGATTCTCCTGCCTCAGCCTCCCTATTAGCTGGGATTACAGGTGCTCGCCTCCACTCCTGGCTAATTTTTGTATTTTTAGTAGAGATGGGGTTTTATCTTGTTGGCCAGGCTGGTCTTGAACTCCTAACCTCAGGTGATCTGCCTGCCTCAGCTTCCCAAAGTGCTGGGATTACAGGCGTGAGCCACTGCACCTGGCCCCTGTTTTTCAAAACATAACAATCAGACTTTGAGACTTTATCATCACTTCATCTGCTCACTCACCTGGAGACTGAAAGAGAACTGTCTCTGCCATGTCCTTGGTCACCAGTGGCCACCTGCTGACCCTGGTCACTGACAAGCAGCACTGGGAGGCTGAAGGAAACTTTGACCCCTACATGACCGTCTGATGCCCCAGCACCCTCCAACTCACACAACTTATTTGTCCAGATGGAAGCATTGTATTAATTGTCTCTTATTTTCTGTACTTTGTGATGTTTTGACATCTTAAAAGTTTTGTTGGCTGCGGAGAGACTGCCCTTCTCAGGGCTTCCGATTCTGAGAGAAAGTAAAGGGCTTGGCCTGGAGCACATCGTTTGTGTACAAACCACCCAATGTTGGGTCCATATCCCCAACCATCTCCTTATCTAACTCTTATACACCAAACCTGCTCCGAGTCCTCCCAGGGCCAGCTATCAGGCAATTGGAGACCACCCCTATAGCCCAGAGCCCACTGGAACTATCCACACTAGCCAGCCCTGAGCTAGGTACACTGCCGCCCTGCCTTGCCTAAACTACAGGAACCCAATAAAGGCTCTGGCTAGACTTCACCATCACTCCTGCTTCTGCATCCAAACAAAAACAAACACAAATCTGGCTTTGTTTGTTTGTTTGTTTTTGAGACGGAGTCTCACTCTGTCGCCCAGGCTGGAGTGTAGTGGCGCGATCGCGGCTCACTACAAGCTCCGCCTCCCGGGTTCACGCCATTCTCCTGCCTCAGCCTCCCGAGTAGCTGCGACTACAGGCGGCCGACACCACGCCCGGTTAATTTTTGTATTTTTAGTAGAGATGGGGTTTCACCATATTAGCCAGGATGGTCGCGATCTCCTGACCTCGTGATCCACCCGCCTCGGCCTCCCAAAGTGCTGGGATTACAGTCGTAAGCCACCCTGCCCGGCCCAAATCTGGCATTTTTATCCATGACCATGCATGGTGTAGTATGTCCCTTTCTCTTGGGAACTGTAAGTGATACATTCTTCTTTCAATGCCATTGACCTTCCCACGTGTCATCAGTCAGTCACCTCCATAAATTAGAATCCTGTGGGTACACATGAGACAAGTATCAAAGGAATGTATATGGAAACATATTATTCAGGACTCTTCAGCTTTAGCATTTTGTTGGGAGATGAGCTGCACATGAAAATTAATTAGGAAAGGAGAAATACATGTATAGATTTGTTCAGAAAAAAAATTAGAGCCTGTTAGCTTTGCTTTGCTTTTGAACTTGAGAAAGCACTTCATTAGCCATCAATGTTATTTCAAGGGCCTTTCCCTAAAACTTGTCTGAGTTGCCAGATCAAATGGCTTTCAAAATGAAGAACTACAGCTTCTCAGTGAAATTACTGTACTAGCCAGCTGTTTAGGATTAGGCTCCATTGAGTGGCTCCTGCACCCTTCCTGATTGGAATGTAGCACAGGCCTGGCAGCCCTCCTCTACAGTAGGAGGCTTTTAAATCTTTTATGCATCTTTAGGCTTTTTTGTAAGACATAGCAGGCCCTCTGCTAGCAGCAATCATTGGTTGTATTGTAGTATAGGATATATCCTTTACCAAACAGAGATATTGCCTATCGCAGTGGTTCTTAACCTTTACTGTGCAACAGAATCCTCTAGGAAGCTTTCTGGAAATACTAATGTCTATGTTTCACTGCAAAAGTTCAAACACTGAAATTTTTAAAAATTCCTTTGAATTTATTCTGAAAATTCTAAAGTTCAACCGCAATTGACAACAATTGTATATATTATCATTCTCTAGTCCTGAGACCCTGCATGGGCATTACAGAATCTGGAATCCTGTCCCATTTAGCTAGATGGATTTCACAAAAGCATGTACATCTATTAGTAGAATATTTTCTGAGAGAAAAAAAATATATTCCAAGAACATATATCCCAAGTTGCTTTGTTCTGCTGATTTGTAAGACACACACACCCACACATATAAAGAAAACTGATACCATTTTCTTTTCTCACCTTTCTTTACTAGTTCCTCCAAATATTTAGTATTTACTCATACATTACTTTCCCTATAACATGCTTCATTTTTCTAGGTATCATGCCCAGAGGCAATTAAATATAAAATGATAATACACTGTAAAATATTTTATAAAATGTTGCCTCAAGATTCTGAGTTTACAAATATTCTGGGCATAGCTGGACACAGAATCTGAAAAAGAACATGTTTTTAATATCAAGGATCAAGTAGTTCAAATATGTTAAAACTACAAATAGTGTAGCTACGTACAGTGTGGTTTAGTGAGCAGAGCACTGGAGTAGCATTAGGAATATTGACTGACAGCTACCATCTACCTCCTAAGACACCTTGGATAAGTCACTGCAATCATCCATCTGCATGAGGCTCACTTCTTCGGGTCCATTTTGTGGAGCTACCAAATGATCAGGCTTCAAAATAAAGGAGACTGGGAATAAAAAAGAAAAGTATAGATGGGGTGGTATTAATTAAGGGAGAGTAAGTCTTTGTTACTAGCCAAATAAAGTTTAGTGCTCTGTTAAAATTTTTTGTTTAGAATTAGAGAAAACACCATGGACAAATCCACTCTTGTTTATGGACAAAAGAAACAGAATCATGATGCATAACTGCATCTTCATTTGCTCACAATTGGTTGAAACTTTGTGTTGGCTCTTTGACCACATATGTGGCAACTAAAGGAGCTATTTTGAGAGAAATATGGCATCATAATCACAAATAAAACTGTCCTTATCATTCCATCTTGTGTTTTATTTTATGTATGTATTTATTTATTCTTACATAAAGCATTTGTATTTCAGAACATTTTCTTAAGACATATTTCTATGCAGATCAAAACCACAATGAGATACCATCTCACACAAGAATGGCAAATATTAAAGAGTCAAGAAGCAACAGATGCTGGCGAGGCTGTGGAGAAATAGGAATGCTTTTACACTGTTGGTGGGAATGTAAATTAGTTCAATCATTGTGGAAGACAGTGTGGCAATTCCTCAAAGATCTAGAACCAGAAATACCATTTGACCCAGCAATCCCATTACTGGGTATATACCCAAAGGAATATGAATCATTTTGTTATAAAGATACATGCACACGTATATTCGTTGCAGCACTATTGACAATGGCAAAGACATGGAATCAACCCAAATGCCTATCACTATTGCTTCACAATAGCAAAAACATGGAATCAACCCAAATGCCCACCAATGATAGACTGGATAAAGAAAATGTGGTACATATACACATGGGATACTATGCAGCCACAAAAAGGAACAAGATCACTTTCTTTGCAGGGACACAGATGGAGCTGGAAGCCATCATCCTCAGCAAACTAATGCAGGAACAGAAAATCAAACACCACATGTTACCACTTATAAGTGAGAACTGAACAATAAGAACACATGAACACAGGGTCAGCGGGGGGAGCAACATACCCTGGGGCCTGTTGGAGGGGTGGGGGGAGGGAGAGCATCTGGAAAAATAGCTAATTCATGTATGATGGACTTAATACCCAGGTGACATGTTGATCTGTGCAGCAAACCACCATGGCACATGTTTACCTATGTAATGAACCTGCACACCCTGCACATGTACCCTGGAACTTAAAAGTTGAAGGAAAATAAAGAGATATTTCTAGACATTTAATGATCTGGTCAAGGGTGTGAGCATTTTAATATTTGGTCTATTTCGCTATTTACCATAACATTGCTTTTAGTAATATCCAGCTCCAATAGACAACATTGAATAGACAAAATGACATCTAATTTATTTTTTAAAATTTCGATGATTTATTTTGCTTGAACATTTTTCGAATGAACATTGTCAAATAAATACATTGAACATTTTATCATGTTATTTTACTAATTGTATGTCACTTTTTGTGACTTTTCATATTTTTGCCTATTTATTGAGCAGTGAATTAATTAATGTTTTGCCCATCAAATATTCTTATATTGTTTTTAATTTTTAATTTTTGTGGGTTCATAGTAGTTATATATATATGTATGGGGTACATGAGATATTTTTATACAGGCATTCAATGCATAATAATCATATCGGGGTAAATGGGGTATCCATCACCTCAAGCATTTATCCTTTCTTTGTGTTACAAACAATCCAGTGTATACTCTTTCAGTTATTTTTAAATGCACAAGAAACTGTAGTCACCTTATTATGCTATCAGATACTAGATCTTATTCTAACTACATTTTTGTACCCATTAGCCATCCACCCTCACCCTCCTTGACTACACTTCCCAGCCTCTTGTAACCATCATTCTATTCTCTATCTCCATGGGTTCAGTTGTTTTAATTATTTTTAGCTCAACAAATAAGTGAGAACATGTGAAGTTTGTCTTTCTGTGACTGGTTTATTTCTCTTAACTTATTGAATTTCAGTTCCATTCCTGTTATTGCAAATGAAAGGATCTCATTGTTTTGTACGGCTGAATAAGACTCCATTGTGCATATGTATCACATTTTCTTTATCCATTCATCTGTTGATAGACACTTAAGTTGCTTCCAAATCTTGGCCATTGTGAATAGTGCTGCAATAATAAACATGGAGTGCAGATATCTCTTTGATATACTGATTTCCTTTCTTTTAGGTATATACCTAATAGTGGGATTACTAGATCATTTATTTGTTCTATTTTTATTTTTTTGAGAAAGATCCAAACCGTTCTCCACAGTGGTTGAATTAATTTACATTCCTATCAACAGTGTACAAGGGTTCCCTTTTTTCCACATCCTCACCAACATTTGTTAATGCCTGTTTTTAGGATAAAAGCAATTTTAACTGGGGTGAGATGGTATCTCACTGTAGTTTTGACTTGCATTTTCCTGATGATCAGTGATGTTGAGCAGATTTTCATGCCTGTTTGCCATTTGTATGTCTTTGTCTGAGACATGTCTATTCAGATCTTTTGCCCATTGCTTAATCAGATTATTGGATTTTTTCCTGTTGAATTGTTTGAGCTTCTTATATATTCTGATTATTAATCCCTTGTCAGATGGATAGTTTGAAAATGTTTTCTCCATTTTGTGGGTTTTCTCTTCACTTTGTTGATTGTTTTCTTTGCTGTGTGGAAGCTTTCTAACTTGAAATGATCCCATTTGTCCATTTTTTTCTTTGGTTGCCTGTGCTTGTGGGATATTACTCAACAAATCTTTGCCCAGTCCAATGCCCTGGACATATTTCTCCAATGTTTTCTTGTAGTAGCTTCATAATTTGAGGTCTTAGATTTAAGTCTTTGATCCATTTTGATTTGATTGTTTTATATATGTTAAGAGATAGGGGCCTAGTTTCATCCTTCTGCATATGGATATCCAGCTTTCCCAGAATCGTTTCTTGAATAGACTGTCCTTTCCCCGGTGTGTGTTCTTGGCACCTTTGTAGATGAGCTCAGTGTAAATGTATAGATTTATTTCTGGGATCTCTATTGTGTTCCATTGGTCTATGTGTCTGTTTTTATGCCAGTACCATGCTGTTTTGGTTACTATAGTTCTGTAGTATAATTTGAAGTCAGGTAATATGACTCCTCCAGCTTTGTTCCTTTTGTTCAGGATAGCTTTGGCTCTTCTGGGTCTTTTGTGGTCCTATATAAATTTTAGTATTGTTTTTTCTATTTCTGTAAAGAATGTCATTGGTATTTTGGTAGAGATTGCATTGAATCTGTAGATTGTGTGAAAGGAAGATATCTTGGGCCCCCAAAATTATTAAGGAAAACTCAAGCTGGAAACTTCTTAAGGCAAACCTGCCTCTCATTGTATTCAAAGTTATCCCTCTGCTCACTGAGATAGATGCATATCTGATTGCCTCCTTTGGAAAGGCTAATCAGAAACTCAAAAGAATGTTAACCATTTGTCTCTCACCTGTCTGTGACCTGGAAGCTCCCTCCCCACATCAAGTCTTCCTGCCTTTGCTTTAAGTTGTTCCACCTTTCCAGACCGAACCAATGTACTTCTTATATGTATTGACTGATGTCTCAGGTCTCCCTAAAATGTATAAAACCAAGCCATGCCCAACCATTTTGGGCACATGTTGTCAGGACTTCCTGTGGCTGTGTCATGGGCATGTCCTCAACCTTGGCAAAAATAAACTTTCTAAATTACCTGAGCTCTGTCTCAGATTTTCTGGGTTCACAATTGCTTTGGGCAGTATGGACATTTTAACAATATTAATTCTTCCAATCCATGAACATTTAATTTTTTTCCATCTTTTGGTGTCCTCTTCAATTTCTTTCTCTGTGTTTTATAGTTTTGTTTGTAGAGATATTTTACTTCTTTGGTTAAGCTTATTCATAGGTATTTAATTTTATTTGTAGCTATTTTATATGGGATTACTTTCTTGATTCTTTTTCAGATTGTTTGCAGTTGGCATAGAGAAATGTTACTGATTTTTGTATGTTGATTTTTTTATCCTGCAACTTTACTGAATTTGTTTATTGGGTCTAATAGTTTTTTGGTGGAGTCTTTAGCTTTTTCCAAATATCAGATCATATCATTTGAAAACAAGGATAATTTAACTTCTTCCTTTCCAGTGTGGATGCTTTCTTTCTTTCTTTCTTTCTTTCTTTCTTTCTTTCTTTCTTTCTTTCTTTCTTTCTTTCTCTTGTCTTATTGCTCTAGCTAGGACTTCCTCCATCTTTTGCTTTAAATCAAGTTAATTTAAAATGATTTGGGATTCTTTTGTAGAATTTTTGTTCATAAAAAAAAAGAGAATGATTCTTTAGATAGTAAATGTGTCTATTCTTTACTTTTCCTGGTAGAATATTTGACTTCTCTAATCTACTAGTATCACTTTATTATCCTCCAACTTTTTTTTAGAATAGTTACTAATTGAATAACATAGAAATTTGACAAACTGATTACCCTTTCCTCAGATCATCAATAAAGATGTTAACTAAAAGCCAACAATGAAATCTTTCTTTAAAATTAATAAACCTTTATTTTTTTAATTTTATTTTTCCATAAGTTATTGGGGTACAGGTGGTATCTGGTTACATGAGTAAGTTCTTTAATGGTGATTTGTGAGATTTTGGCGCACCCATCACCCATGCAGTATACACTGCACTGTATTTGTAGTTTTTTATCAATTGCCCCCCTCCCACTCTTCCCCCCAAGTCCCCAAAGTCCATTGTATCATTATCATGCCTTTGCGTCCTCGTAGCTTAGCTCTCACATATCAGTGAGAACATACAATGTTTGGTTTTCCATTCCTGAGTTGCTTCACTTAGAATAATAGTCTCCAATCTCATCCAAGTCACTGTAAATGCTGTTAATTCATTCCTTCTTATGGCTGAGTAGTATTCCACTGTGTGTGTGTATGTGTGTGTGTGTGTGTGTGTATATATATATATCTCACAATTACTTTATCCACTCATTGATTGATGGGCATTTGGGTTGGTTCCACGATTTTGCAATTGTGAATTGTGCTGCTATAAATATGCATGTACAAGTATCTTTTTCACATGATGATGACTTATTTTCCTCTGGTTAGATACCCAGTAGTGGAATTGCTGGATCAAATGATTGTTCTACTTTTAGTTCTTTAAGGAATCTCCACACTATTTCCCACAGTGGAAAATAGTACTAGTTTTCATTCCAACCAGCAGTATAGAAGTGTTCCCTGATCACTGCATCCACACCAACACCAACATCTACTGTTTTTTGATTTTTTTATTATGTCCATTCTTGCAGGAGTAACGTGGTATCGCATTGTGGTTTTGATAGGCGTTTCCCTGATTGTTAGTGTTGTTGAGCATTTTTTCATATGTTTGTTGGCCATTTGTATATCTTCTTTTGAGAATTGTCTGTTTATGTCCTTAGCCCAGTTTTTGATGGAATTGTTTGTATTTTTCTTACCAGTTTGTTTGAGTTCATTGTAGATTCTGGATATTAGACCTTTGTCAATATGTATAGATTGAGAAGATTTTCTCCCACTCTGTGGGTTATCTGCTTACTCTGCTGACTGTTCTTTTTGCCGTGCAAAAGCTCTTTAGTTTAATTAGGTCCCAGCTGTTTATCTTTGTTTTTATTGCATTTGTTTTTGGGTTCTTGGTTATGAAACCCTTGCCTAAGGCAATGTCTAGAAGGGTTTTTCCAATGTTATCTTCTAGAATTTTTGGAGTTTCAGGTCTTAGGTTTAAGTTCTTAATCCATCTTGAGTTGACTTTTGTATAAGGTGAGAGATGAGGATCCAGTTTCATTCTCCTACATGTGGCTAGCCAATTATCCCAGGGCCATTTGTTGAGAAGGGTGTCCTATCCCCACTTTATGCTTGTAGTTTGCTTTGTCAAAGATCAGTTGGCTGTAAGTATTTGGGTTTATTTCTGGGTTCTCTATTCTGTTCCACTCGTCTGTGTGCCTATTTTTGTACCAGTACCATACTGTCTTGGTGACTATGGCCTTATAGTATAGTTTGAAATCAGGCAGTGTGATGCCTCCAGATTTGTTCTTTTTGCTTAGTCTTGCTTTGGCTATGCAGGCTCTTTTTTGGTTCCACATGAATTTTAGAATTGTTTTTTCTAATTCTGTGAAGAATGATGGTGGTATTCTGATGGGGATTGTTGTCTCTCTTCTGGGTCTAGCCACCCAGTGAGTCTACCTGGCTCCGGTCTGGTACTGTGGGTTGTCTGCATAGAGTCCTGTGATGTGAACCGCCTATGGGTCTCTCAGCCGTGGATACCAGTGCTTGTTGCAGTGGAGGTAGCGGGGTGGTGCAATGGACTCCATGAGGGTTCTTAGCTTTGGTGGTTTACTGCTCTATTTTTGTGCTGGTTGGCCTCCTGCCAGGAGGTGGTACTTTCCAGAGAGCATCAGCTGTGGTAGTATGGGGAGGAACTGGCAGTGGGCGGGGCCCTAGAACTCCCAAGATTATATGCCCTTTGTCTTCCACTACTGGGTGAGCAGGGAAGGACCATCAGTTGGGGCTGGGCCTAGGTATGTCTGAGCTCAGACTGTCTTGCTGCGGCTGCTGTGGAGAATGGGGTGAGATTCCCAGGTCATCGAGTTGTGTACCTAGGAGGATTATGGCTGCCTCTGCTGAGCCATGCGGGTTGTCAGGGAAGTGGGGGAAAGTCGGCAGTCACAGGCTTCACCCAGCTCCCATGCAAACAGAAGGGGGTGTCTCATTCCTACGGTGCCCCAACAACAGCCGCCAGTCCTTTCCAGGCGGAGAGCTACACGGGCTTGGAAACCTGCCCCAGGCTACCCGCCTCCCAGCTGCTAAAGAAAAGGGCTTGGTTCTTCCCCTGCTGTGGAGTCTGCACAACGGATTTGCGCTGAGTTCTGGCCAGGAGGCTTCTTAACCCGTTCAAATTATTACAAAGTTCAGCTAGAGATTTCCTTCTCCTTGTGTAGTTTTACCCCTGCTCCTCTCCTGTTGGATCCCTGAGGTGCCAGGCAGGAATGGCCTGCTAGGGGACCCAGCGAGCTCCCAGGGCCTTTCTGCTGCTTTCTCTACCCGTGTATTTCCCTCGGCTCTCCAGATTGACTCAGCTCCAGGTAAAGTCGGAAACTTCTCCGGCAAACAGGCCTTCGGCTTCTCCAGTGGGGATGTGTGTTTGGGAGGGGATGGTCTCCCTTTCCCACTTCCGCAGTTGGGGCACTCACTGTTTTGGGGGTGCCTCCCAGGTCCTGCAGGAGCAGTCCACTTCCTGCAGAGGGTCTGTGGGTCCTCCCAAGATTGCTGGTTTGTTCTTGCAGTCGATCTAGAGCTAAAATTTGCAATATGAGTCCCCACCTGCTGATCTGTCTGGAGCTGCAATCTAGTCCTGCCTCCAGTCTGCCATGATCTTGATTTTTAAATTATGGCCATTCTTGCAGGAGTGAGGTAGTATCTCCTTGTGGCTTGAATTTGCATTTTCCTGATAATTAGTGATGTTGAGCATTTTTTCATATGTTTGTGAGCTGTTCGTATACCTTCTTTTGAGAATTGTCTATTCATGTCCTTTGCCCACTTTTTTTTTTTTTTTTTTTGAGATGGAGTCTCACTCTGTCACCCAGGCTGGAGTTCAGTGACAACATCTCGGCTTACTGCAACCTCCGCCTCCCAGGTTCAAGCGATTATTGAGCTTCAGCCTCCAAGGAGCTGGGATTACAGGCAGGTGCCACCACGCCCAGCTAATTTTTTTTGTATTTTTAGTAGAGATGGGGTTTCACCATGTTAGCCAGTCTGGATTCACTCGAACTCCTGACCTCAAGTGATCCGCCTGCCTCAGCCTCCCAAAGTCCTGGGATTACAGGCATGAGCCACAGTGCCTGGCTTCTTTGCCCACTTTTTGTTGGGCTTATTTGTTGTGTTTGTTTGTTTGTTTTTTGCTGATTTGTTTGAATTCCTTTTAGATTCTCGGTACTAGTCCTTTGTTGGATGCATAGTTTGGGAATATTTTCTCCCACTCTCTGGGTTGTCAGTTTACTCTGCTGATTATTTCTTTTGTTGTGCAGAAGCTTTTACTTTAATTAGGTCCCATTTATTTATTTTTGGCTTTGTTGGATTTGCTTTTGGGTTCTTAGTCATAAATTCTTTGCCGAAGCCAACATCTAGAAGAATTTTTCTGATGTTATCTCCTAGAATTTTTATGGTTTGGGGTCTTAGATTTAAGACTTGGACTGAATCAGTAATTTAAAAAATTGCAAACAAAAAAAAAGTCCAGGATCAGATGGATTCACAGCCAAATTCTATCAGATATCCAAAGAAGAAGTAATAGCAATCTTACTGAATCTATTTCAAAAGATAGAGAAAGCAGGAATCCTCCCTAAATCATACTGTGAAGCCAATATCAACCTAATACCAAAACCAGGAAAGGAGATAACAGAAAAAGAAAACTGCAGACCAGTATCCCTGATGAACATAGATGGAAAAATCCTCAACAAAATATTAGCTAACTGAATCCAACAGCGTATCAAAAAGATAATACATCATGATCAAGTGGGTTTCATACCAGGAATGCAGGTATGGTTTAACATAGGCAAGTCAATAAATGTGATACATCATGTAAACAGAATTTAAAACTTACATGGTTTATTTTTAACATTTAAATCTCTGGTATGTTTATATAGTACAATGGATTCAATTTTATTGGTTTACAAATATAATCATCCACTTACTCCAGCACTTACTGAAAAGTCCATCTTGTCTCCATTGAGACAAGATTCCATTGAATATATTTTTAAGTTTACTATTAGTCTATCTGTTCACTCTCTAATAATACAGAACTATACTTAGAGGGCACTATGTTTTAATATTAGATAATACCTTTACCTTATGCTGTGAAGTAATTTCCATGGTATATTTCTTGCCCCTTTCCATTTTTCTGATTTTCAGGATGTTTTTCTTCTTTTTTTCTTTTTCTTTTTCTTTTTTCTTTTTTTTTTTGTGGCTCTTCTTGCTTCTTGTAATCAACTTATCCACTCTGGAAAAAATTATGAGAATATTTTTGTAGTGAACACATTTCATTTATAAATTAATTTAAGGAGAATTGACATAGTGAGTATTGAGCTTTCCTATCCCAAACAAGGTAAGTGTAATTCCGTTTGCTCAGGTTTGTTTTTGTGTCTTTCAGGAGTGTTTTATAATTGTCTTCACATAGGTGTTAGATATGTACTGCTAAATTATGCCTAGGTTTTCTGTTATTATTACTGTTACTATTTTTACTACTGTAAATGGAGTCTTTGCCTCCATTTTATCTTCGTTAGGTTATGCTGCGTATGTATAGGGACAAATAATTTCTCTATGTTCACTGAATTATGTTATTTCTGTAGTGTTTTTTCAGGGATGCTTTGAGGTTTTCAAGGTATTTAATAATTATACCTTCTGCAAATACAGTTAGTTATATCTCTTCCTTTCTAATTCTTATGCCTATAACTACTTCATATTGGCCAATCGCATTGGTAAATACCTTCACTACAATTATAGACAGGTGTGGAGATAGTGGGAATCTTTTGTTTTTTTTTTTATTTTGCTGGGAAATCCTTGAATGTTCCCCCACTTAAAAAGATGCACCACCACTATTTTTGTTCTTGCTTTGCCAAAAGAATACCCATTTCTTCCCCAGCCTTAAGTAACTAACAACAAGCCCTCTTTCTCACTGTAGCACTGAGGGTGGCTGTCTCTCGCCTTCTGCAAGATGGATGTGGAGAGAAATGCCCACCTCATCATCTCCACTACCAGGGATTGTAGCCGGGAATTAACCCGGGCACCCAATGGGAGAAACAGTGTCACCACTCCCCATTCTCCGGCAGAGGCACATCCACTCAACTGTGCCTTTATTCTTTACCCTTCCCCCACAGTCCTTCCAAAACCAAGAATTTCTTCTTCCTTTTTTTTAAAAAGAATTTTATTTTAGGTTCGGGGGTACACGTGCAGGTTTATTATATAGGTAAACTCATGTCACGGGAGTTTTGTTGTACAGATTATTTCATCACCCAGGTACTAAGCCTAGTACCAATAGTTATTTTTTTCTTCTCCTCTCCCTCCTACCACTCTCACACTTTTCAAAAGAACATGTTAGATTGCTCTGTTGGGCCTACTCACGCAAAAGATTGATCTCTCAAATGCTTAACGTTCTTCTCTCAGTTCATTCTGTCTCCTCAACTTGATCAGAAATCAGGGACACAGGTAGCCATACATGTTAAAACAATCAAAAATAGGCCTTGTACCTCAATTTTTCCATGAATGCAAATACCTTAATGTGAAGAAACCCCCTGAGTTTTTATGATAAGTAACATATAATTGGATTGCAGTGGTGGCATGAAGTCCAAAAGTGAACAGATATGCTTTAGATGATTTATTACTGCAACCTGTTGCTGAGAGTTTTAAATCATGCAACAGAAAATTATTTTATTCTCTGTAAAAATCATAGACAAGATTAGAAAAACTGTTCCAGTAACTTAAGTCAGAATAAATACCTAACATTTATCTCAGTGGTATGTGCCAGGTACTCTACAGATATTTGTTGATTGAATAAATGCGTGAGTCCATATATATGCCTGTTTCTAAGTGAGAGGCTTAAATTTAATAACAATATTTCAATAGCATTTTCTGTTGTATGCCAATTTTCATATGATCTTCACAAGATTGATCAGCTATAGATTTGATATTTAATGCCGTGCTTTTTCTACTATGTCAGTTTCTAAGAGGGTGTGTTTTGTGTTTCATTTGCTCTATTCCCTGAGCTAACTTCCTGCTTTGATAATGGTGTTTTGTTCTGTTGTTATTTATTTTATTATTGTTTTTAATGAGGGGAGAGTACAACTCAATTCAGAGCTGTTACAAAATTTATCCTGATAAGATTTTAAAAAATTACATAAAGCATTAAGAATGGTAAAGATGACTGGAAATTTTTTTTTAAATGTTGTTTATCCATATCCAGAAATCTGATCCCAAAAGAGAAATCAGTCCAGAAGATTTTGCTTGCCTCCTTTATGGAGCTGTCTCTTTTTACATGAAGGAGTAGCTTCCATCAAAGAGATACTTTTAGATCAAAGCCCAAGGAAAAGAACTCAGGATATTCCTGGGGTGGTTCCCAACCAGCTTGACATCATAGCTGTGGGGGAGTCATTAACTGTACCATATTCTTCATATGGCTTTAAATTCCCAAAACTAGGATTTTTTTTTCCTGACTTTCTAGAGTTCTCAGTCATAAGCTGCTTGGATATGATAGATTTCAAAAGTAATCATAAGGAGCATATTCTGATTTAAACACTGAAACATTTTCCCTGCAATTAGTATTAGTTGGACCTGCTCATGCATTATAAAAGCTCAGACATGAAGCGTCTGGCAGTCACATTCCACTTGCTGCAGAATGACCTTTCTGGTCTATAAAGTGTAGGAGCCTAAAGCATAGGTCTCTGACCTGGCCAGTTAGAGACAGAGAGACAGAACTCAGATTGGTGTGAGATTTGGGTAATGTGGTTTGAGGATACATTTGAAACAGTTCTGAGGGAGGTGAAGGGCCTTAGATGCTCAAGTACTCAAAGCAGTCACCATGTTCATGACCTTTCACTTCCACTTGTCTTGAATACATAGCTTTAGTATGCCTAGTAAGTGTGCTTCACCTTGAAAAACAGTATGTAGACCCTGACTACAGCCTTGACCTTGATCACCACACAGAGCGAGCTGTGGGAGTCTGCAGTCCTGTGAAAATACAGCCAATGAAACCAACAATAATTTGGAATGGTCATCTAGGTTCTAGGTTGCTAGAAATTTGAGACAAGATAATTTAAAGCTGTTATGCTAAATGATTGTATCATCTGTTATCATATTGCACAACAGCTCATGATTATTTATGCAATTATACAGTAATCTGCCTTTTGAGAGACATGGAACCTTAGCAAATTACTTAGCCTCTCTGATGTTATTTTTTGCTTTGTAAAGTAACTCACATAACAGACCTGCTGTGGGAATTAAATGATAAAATCCACTACATCTGATTGACTGTAGTTGTCTTGTCTTTTTTTTTTAACTTCTTGGTGAAATTCTAAGATATACCTGCTATGTGTCTGTGGGTGGGGTAGCAGGAGGCACTAAGTAGCTGAGTGAGACAGCATAGATGAAAGTCAATAAAATTTGTTTTTTTATGATTAATAATAAACCATGTATATTTATAGGTTTTAGGGCCTGAGAAAGCTCAGGTGATAGCTATATCACTATAGGTGGGATCTTCAGAATATGGGAGATACTAGTTTTATTATATTTTGTAATTATCAAGCTACAGCTGGAGTTCTGTATTAAAATTAGGACATCATATTAAGAGAGCATGTTAACAAATTTTAGCTGACATTTAGTAGGCTTCTCACACAAATCATCAGTTATGGGGACTCACTCCAGTCATTCCAAGAATGGAGAAAAGGCTTTCCTCCTTAGGAAGCATCTTATAATCAAGAGGTAAGGGGAACAAAACCCTACTGTCCTCCCAGACAAACCCAATCCCCCTGTTCCAAGTAGCGGCTATCCCCATCCAGCTGACAACCACTAATGCAGAGGATGATCAATGCGGTAAGGAGTCTCTAAACCATCTCACTGTTAATGATTGAGGGATTTAGGCTTTCCACTAAAAAAATATTAAAGGCAGACATCATAGCTGTCAGTAGGGAGAGAAATTGTGTTTCTAGACATGGTAGAGTTAAGATCATTGGGAAGAAGTTATATAAAGATAAGTTTTTGTTCCAAATAAAGTAGGTTACATCCAACAATGAACTTTAACATTGCAATGACCTGGAAATATTGTGAACCCCTTTTCATTAAAAGCGTTCCAGGAGAAGCCAGATGGTTACCTGACAGTAATACTTTAGAAGGAATGACATAGTGAATAGGAGAGTCAATTAAATGACCTTCAATGACCCTTGAAACTCCAGGAAACTGTGATTTGTAAGATTAACTATGTTCAGTCTCTTACTCTTCTCATAGATACCAAAATATGACTTTGTAACTCAAGTGCCATTATATATATATCTTGGAGCAGTAAGATTGTACATTACAACTGTACCCAGATGAGTAGTTAGATATGTTCTTATTATTGAAGAGTTTAAATCCTCTGTCTTAAATTTGAGTGAGCTAACAGCTCTTCAAGTAGAGATAGGAAGAGATTTGTGAAGAAAAGGAGTAAAGTAACAGTTAACCTTATAATTTACTTGACATATTATTAATTTATTATCAAATCAGTTTGGTCTTGTGTAAGGGCCATTGCCTTATATTCTCAATTTGACCCAAAAGTATTCCAGGTAATTTTTACTGGAAGCTCATTATCTAATTTATGAAAAAATATACACCCTTCTAAAATTATGAAGATATGATTAAATATGAACTGATTAATGAACTTCATGAACCTTCTTCCTGAATTTTTAAGTGCTAAATAATAAAAAGCATAGTTACAATGAGAGAATGATGCAGTATAGAGAGATGATTCATGCATTTCTGGTGTAGTGTAGAGCTTTTGAATATTATATTAGTAAGGCTATAGATGTGCTTCAAATGGATTTTTAATTAAATCTAACAAGGAAAACAAGGATGTTGGATGGAAGAAACAATGAATTAACAATGAGATTTATTGTAGAAATGTCATAAACCCCACTTCATGCTTGAATTAAATTGAAAACATTAACAAGTACATTATAATCAGCTTTGATGACTGTTAAACTCCTCTACAAAGAATAAAGGACATTAGGAAAACCAATAAAATTCATCATTTATAATGAGAGAGCTAAATTAATGTAACTGAGCTTAGAAAGCTTGTGTCAAAAGGCCATAATTATAGCTATAGATATGGGAACAGCTCCATCTTTTTTTCTGTCTTGTATTCCTGAATAATCTGGTATTGCACAGAATGAGTATTGTGCCTCCATGTCTAATATTACTAAATCTGATGTTCCTAAAGGAGAGTCTCTCTTCTCATTTTCCCTGACTGAGCAAAAGGTTGTAGCAGAGACATTTAATGCTCATCACACAAAAGGTGCTGCCCTCCACTTCCTAGTCTCCTTTACAGTTAGCTGGCACCATGTGACTGGTCCTGGCCCATGGGATGTGGCAGGAGTGAGCTATGCCTCAACTTGGCCATTAAGGTGCCATAAAGCTTCTAGGCAACCTGCAGCTCCCACTTACCCTCCCATGTTGATTGGTTTGGCCACCATTGAGAAGAGACAGCCTCAGTGAAGTCAGTCTGGATCCCTGTGTCATTGCTTGAAAAGAAGCTGCTGTACAGAGCTAATGGGCTCCTAGTAGACTTTGAATAAGCAAAACTTTATGTATTGAAACACTGATATTTCTGTTGGTCTGTCACTGCAGCACAGCCTAGGCTATCCTGCAGGTCCATACTTATCTTGGTATGGTGCAGTTGGGGCCGGCTTGTGAATGTTTATCTCCCGAGTATAAAGGCTGTGATATTTCGAGGACTTTTTGTCTTCATTGTACTTGAGCATGATTTCTACAAATAAATGTGGCCACTGCTCAGGATATGCTGAGGGTGGAATTGAGTGCTCCCGAGTAATTTTCCAGCATGCATTTTGCAGGTTCCTACATCTTCTTGAAAGGCATTTGCCATAAACACAAGAAAGCAACGAGAGCTGCTTGCTTTACATTGCACATGAGAGAAAAGTAGCTTTCCAGGTGGCAGCTTTATCATTATTTCCTGCTTTCAGAGCTCTAATATAAGAGCCTTAAGGTGGAGTGGAATGAGGCAGCCAGAGGGGTATATCGTTCTACCTGTTCAACTCTAAGAAAGCCCCTGAAGTTGAAAAAAATGTAAGCTGGGGATGGCAGAAACAGCATGGACTTGCAAGCCTTTCCATCATGAAAGCATGTGGGCTTCCCATGAACCAACAGGATGCAACTCTGCTCTCTCCCCTTAAGCACAGATGTGGATTACATTTTGGAGATTCTTAGCTACATCTCCTTTAAGGAATTTATTGGTCCTAAAGCACCATACCTTCATGGGCAAAGACTTCATGACGAAAATGCCAAAAGCAATTGCAACAAAAGCCAAAATTGACAAATGGGATCTAATTAAACTAAAGAGCTTCTGCACAGCAAAAGAAATTATCATCAGAGTGAACAGGCAACCTATGGAATGGGAGAAAACTTTTGCAATCTACCCATCAGACAAAGGTCTAATATCCAGAATTACAAGGAACTTAAACAAATTTACAAGAAAAAAACAAACAACCCCATCAAAAAGCGGACAAGGAATATGAACAGACACTTCTCAAAAGAAGACATTTATGCAGCCAACAAACACATGAAAAAATACTCAACATCACTGATTATCAGAGAAATGCAAATCAAAACCACAGTGAGATACCATCTCATGCCAGTCAGAATGGTGATTATTAAAAAGTTAAGAAACAATAGATGCTGGTGAGGCTGTGGAGAAATAGGAATGCTTTTACACTGCTGATGTGAATGTAAATTAGTTCCATCATTGTGGAAGACAGTATGGCAATTCCTCGAGGATCTAGAATCAGAAATACCATTTGACCCAGCAATCCCATTACTAGGTATATACCCAAAGGAATATAAATCATTCTACTATAAAGACACATGCACACGTATGTTTATTGCAGCACTGTTTACAATAGCAAAGACATGGAACCAACATAAATGCCCATCAATGATAAACTGGATAAAGAAAATGTGGTACATATATGCCATGGAATACTATCCAACCATAAAAAGCAATGAGGTCATGTCATCATGTCCTTTGCAGGGACATGGATGAAGCTGGAAGCCATCATCCTCAGCAAACTAACACAGGAACAGAAAACCAAACACAGTATGTTCTCACTCATAAGTGGGAGTTGAACAATGAGAACACATGGACACAGAGAGGGGAACAATATACACCAGGGCCTGTTGGGGAGTGGGGGGTGAGGGAGGGAACTTAGAGGTTGGGTCAATAGGTGCAGCTAATCACCATGGCACATGTATATCTATGTAACAAACCTGCACGTTCTGCAGATGTATCCCATTTTTTTTAGAAGAAATAAAGAAAAACAAAAAATAAAAATAAATAAATAAATAACTATTCAATCTCTTACAAGACCTCACATCCACACACTGCCAAAGCAGTCAGAATGTGGACATTTAATTTGAAGGCCCTGCTCTAGTTAACTCAGCCAGCATTTTTGCAGAAAATCATGTTTCAGGAGGTCTACTCTGACTCCCAGGAGACAACCATGTTAAATACCTCAAGCACTCTTAAGGAAGCTAGCCTCTCTGTATTAACCATCCAATTTTATATGTAGATTCCTGGAGAAGTCTCCTCTGATCACAAATGTAAACCTGGTTTCCCAGACCCCCTAATTCAAAAATGAGTTAGAAATATTTTATTGGTAAGTCTAGAAAATTCTTTCTGCAACTAAAGATCCTGAATTAATCACTCCCTTCCCTTGCCTAATATGGGATTTCATTCAATTGCATTGATGTGAATACTTCATCATTAAAATGACTGTCTTTAATTCATCCTAATAGATATAACATTCAGAGGAGCTTAATTCTCTTTCTATGTATTGTCAAATTCTACTCATAGTTGTTTATCTCCAAAAAACCCTTGGCTATTATGCTGGGTAATGGAAAGCTTCAGGCCCAAGTGGTCAGACTGCCCAGCCACTTGAAAGATTGCCTAGGGATGATTTTGTGTCTTCTTGATTATCCTTAAGGTCAAGAGAACTCACAGACTCTGAGACAGTCAAAGCATATAATTATATTTCCTTTTACAATGTCCCCACCACATTAGGGCTTCTATGATCTATGGGAATAAGCCACATAAATCTCACAGTTTTGGAGAATCCAACCCCAACTAGTGACTCTTCTCCATCCCCAGTGGGAATCTGTCTCACCTCCCCCATCTCAGGTAGGGTGATGGTGCGTGTTGAGTGGGAGAAGGTGGTAATCAGCCCCTTGTGTGCTTTCCAAAAGTCCATGACCAAGACAAGCTGGGTTTGCCTTATGTTGGGCATCAGCGGGGATGTTAGTAGAAGCAAAGACCACCATATCATAAGGGAACTGGGTTGGGGAAATTTATAAACATATATGCAGTTCCACAAGCACTTACTCAGCTGTGGAGAGGATGTAGGGGCCCCAGCACAGTTGGATACACCATGGCTGTAAGAATCTGACAATAGGATTCTGCAATAGTGCAGCTCCATAATAAAATGCCAGAATTCCTTCTTCTGCATCCTCCTAGTCGGTTACCACACTTTAATTGAATACCTTCATTGACAGAGTACCCTTTAACCAAGCTAAGTTAAGGGAGCATTAAAAGTAAAAAAAGCTTTAAAAAATTAGGCCTATGCAAGAGGCCTCTCCTGGGCTCACTGAGGCATATGCTCAGTGTGCCTTTAACCCCAAGATGGCCTAGTTCATATTCAGGCAGTTTCAGCCAGGGCTGTCACACCTGAAGGTCATTACCAGCTTTTTTTTTTTTTTTTTTTTGAGACAGAGTCTTGCTCTGTTGCCCAGGCTTGAGTGCAGTGGCACTATCTCAGCTCACTGCAACCTCTGCCCCCTGGCTTCAAGCAAGTCTCCTGCCTCAGCCTCCTGAATAGCTGGGATTACAGGCACCTGCCACTGTGCCTGGCTAATTTTTGTATTTTTAGTAGAGATGGGGTTTCACTATCTTGGCCAGGCTGGTCTTGAACTCCTGACCTCAAGATCCACCCGCCTCAGCCTCCCAAAGTGCTTGGATTATAGGCATGAGCCACCGTGCCTGGTCCATTACCAGCTCTTTACAGCTAGTGTCCACCTGCATGTTTGTTGTACACGCCATAACAGTTTTTAAATATTTTATTTTATTTTATTTATTAATGATTTGTTTTTGAGACAGAGTCTCATTCTGTTGCCCAGGCTGGAGTGCAGTGGTGCGATCTCAGCTCACTGCAACCTCCACCTCCCAGGTTCAAGCGATTCTCCTGCCTCAGCCTCCCAAGTAGCTGGGATTACAGACACCTGCCACCATATCCGGCTAATATTTTGTGTGTGTGTTTTAGTAGATACAGGGTTTTGCCATGTTGGCCAGGCTAGTCTTGAACTCCTGACCTCAAGTGATCCACCAGCCTCGGCCTCCCGAGGTGCCGGGATTGCAGACGGAGTCTCGTTCACTCAGTGCTCAATGGTGCCCAGGCTGGGGTGCAGTGGCATGATCTCGGCTCGCTACAACCTCCACCTCCCAGCCGCCTGCCTTGGCCTCCCAATGTGCCGAGATTGCAGCCTCTGCCCGGCCGCCACCCCGTCTGGGAAGTGAGGAGCGTCTCTGCCTGGCCGCCCATCGTCTGGGATGTGAGGAGCCCCTCTGCCTGGCTGCCTAGTCTGGAAAATGAGGAGCGTCTCTACCCGGCCGCCATCCCATCTAGGAAGTGACGAGCGCCTCTTCCCGGCCGCCATCCCATCTAGGAAGTGAGGAGTGTCTCTGCCCGGCCGCCCATCCTCTGAGATGTGGGGAGCACCTCTGCCCCGCCGCCCCGTCTGGGATGTGAGGAGCGCCTCTGCCCGGCCGCGACGCCGTCTGGAAGGTGAGGAGTGTCTCTGCCTGGCCGCCCCATCTGAGAAGTGAGGAGACCCTCCGCCCGGCAGCCGCCCCGTCTGAGAAGTGAGGAGCCCCTCCGCCCGGCAGCCGCCCCATCTGGGAAGTGAGGAGCGTCTCCGCCCGGCAGCCACCCTGTCCGGGAGGGAGGTAGGGGGGTCAGCCCCCCGCCTGGCCAGCCTCCCCGTCCGGGAGGTGAGGGAAGCCTCTGCCCGGCCACCCCTACTGGTAAGTGAGGAGCCCCTCTGCCCGGCCACCACCCCGTCTGGGAGGTGTACCCAACAGCTCATTGAGAACGGGCCATGATGACAATGGCGTTTTTGTGGAATAGAAAAGGGGGAAAGGTGGGGAAAAGATTGAGAAATCGGATGGTTGCTGTGCCTGTGTAGAAAGAGGTAGACATGGGAGACTTTTCATTTTGTTCTGTACTAAGAAAAATTCTTCTGCCTTGGGATCCTGTTGATCTATGACCTTACCCCCAACCCTGTGCTCTCTGAAACATGTGCTGTGTCCACTCAGGGTTAAATGGATTAAGGGCGGTGCAAGATGTGCTTTGTTAAACAGATGCTTGAAGGCAGCATGCTCGTTAAGAGTCATCACCACTCCCTAATCTCAAGTACCCAGGGACACAAACACTGCGGAAGGCCGCAGGGTCCTCTGCCTAGGAAAACCAGAGACCTTTGTTCACTTGTTTATCTGCTGACCTTCCCTCCACTATTGTCCTATGACCCTGCCAAATCCCCCTCTGCGAGAAACACCCAAGAATGATCAATAAAAAAATAAATAAATAAATAAAATAAAAAAGATCCTCTACTATTCCCAAAATGTTTTGGTACTTCAATTCTGAGGAGGGAATTCACAGTCTAGTGTTGAGATTGACCCAGTCCTTATTTATAGAGGATTTACTATAAATAAAAATGCAGGATTTTAGCAGCACTGTTCATGTATTCATTCCTAGTTTATGATTATGGAACTGTCTTATTACAATTTATTAAACTATATTGATTATAAGGTTAGTAGATAATATTATTGCTATTAGTATGTATCCAGAAACAACTAATATTTAATATAAGGCATGATCTATGTAATAGTTGATATTATTGTTATTATTTTACTATGGATCATTTGGCCACCATATGGAAAATCATTCTTATTCCTGGTTTGGGCCAAGTGATAAGCAATTTCTCTCTATGTAGAGACTAAAAGGAGCAGATGTATATAGATCACTATATACATCTTTTAATGAGTTTCTATTTTACAATCAACCAGCCAATAGTTGGCAAAATGAATATTGCTTGTCTCTTTTGGTCATTTTAAGTGGTTCACTCAGTAAGTTTAGTAGATTTAGTCGAGACTAAACACCAGAAAATGACCTGTTTTAATGACCATGCTGTCCTTATTAATTTTTTCTCCAACATTGTATTTTAAAATAATGTGGTTACTTTAACTGACTGGACAAATGTCAAGTGACTAAATGACAGTAAAATTTTGTCAAAAATTGTATTACTAATATCAAGTGGGTTGCATTTTTCTTATGCTAGTATATAAAGTCCAAGTCAATTTAAGGAATCAAGTTAGGAGAAATTTCTATTTGACTATTAGGAATTTATTATTATTCATGATTTTTGTATTTTGTATGCTGTATATCCTTCAGGAAAAATGTGAGGGCAGGAATTCTAGGAAGTTAAGCAATTATTACTGTACTTCATCAGGAAGCATAATCTACTGTTATCTTCACAATCATTCGAAGGATATTTGGTGTAGCTTCCAATAAGGCTTGAGTCTGTTTTATATGAGAGATTAGATTAGTTGCCCAAAAGCCTGTTAAGGAAGAAGAGGCTCCCTTCCCTGACTCCTGGGCATGCAGTTGGGATAAAAATGTAGCCACTTCATCCTCAAAGGGCTTTAACTGAAATGACCTCCAGTAGGTCAGGAGAAGAAAAATGGACCTTTGGAAATGTCCCTTGTTTTGTAATTTAGGAAATATACTTTCATTTTGAAAGCTTGACATTTTGTTCTCACTTACCAAGAACATACCCAGAGTATTTTTTCTTCTTCAAAAAAATCCTATGTATTTCCAAATCACTAGTCAGAGTATAAGGTAAGGAAGAGGAATAGTAATTTAAAATATTGCAATGATAATTTGAATGAACACTTGGGACCATATACTACCCTGGAAAGAGGATACATTAGAATAAACTGAAAAATCACTGAAAAGGCCCACAGAGTCTGAGGCAGACATTGGTTTTGTTGAGATATCAAGGATGTGCGTAGCTAGATGTAGAGCATAACCAGAAAGCCCATAGCAGATCCATTTAAGCAGACTGGCACACAACAGAGCTCCCACAGGTGTTTCCCGGTTGTGCTTTTTTGTGGCCCTCACTTTCTTTGCCAATAAAAATAATAGTGAAACAATTAAAATGTGCTAATATATCCTCAGTCTTAACTTTTCCCTAACCACCAACTGTGCATTCTTATCTATTTTTACACTGAAAAACAAACAGGGAAATATTCAGCGTTTTAAGAGTCTTGACATATTGGCCAGTGGTTTGATGAATGGTATTATAAATGACTCTCAGAGAGTTCACCACTCTGATGAATCATGGCTCTCTAGTGCCTTCAGAGGAATGTGGTTAGGGGGTAGGTACATGATCCCAGGAGTCAGGGGTCCTCAGTACTATCTTGTCACTGACATTGCCCATGGCCTAGAAGAGTGACTTTTAGGTCTTTGAAAATGTTAATATCCCTGCTTCGATAAAGGTATAAAGTTAGTGTGAACTTGAATTTCCTTGAACTCAGCTTTCTATGGGGCAGAAGAGTAGGAAGAACGCAGTAGGGAGCACAGCCTGTGCCAGCCAAAGGCTGGAAGTCCTCAGTTTTGCCAGCTTTCTTCTTCCCCTTGTTCCTTCTGGTGCCCCTTCTGGGTGCCCAGGGTTCTCAGCTGTCCTCTCTCTCCCCACCTGTAGCACCCACTGTGATGCATGGAGATGTCCTCCCCACAACACTATGCTGCTGATCCTTGGCCTGTGCCAGAGTTTGGTGGGGGTTTGCATGGGCTTTTGGAGTCAGACAGATCTGGATTTCCATTTTAGCTCTATGCCCTACCATCTTGGTCTGGATCAAGTTCCCAAGCACCTAGAAGCCTGGGCCTTAATCTGTGATACGAGGTTTTAAAAACTAGCACACAAAGTTGTGTCAATATTAAATGAGATTATGCAGTTAAATCTCACACACAGCTCAGCTGTAATTTTCTCCTTTTCTTTCGTTTCTGCTATTATCTTTTACTTCAAAATAAACTTTACCTGACCTGTATTTTAGTGTTTCAATGTTAGACACCTCATATAAGTGATCTCAGTTAATTCTGAGACATCTCTTTTCAATTGATATCATTATAAAGGATACTTTTCAAAACGGTAAGATCATGACTCATATAAAATGAACATGCAGCAAATATTTTACTTAACCTCATTCATTAATAAGGGAACTGATAAAATGTAAAACTAGTTCAAATTTGAATTTAACTTGTAGAGACTTATATTTTCAATCAGACAGGTATGATTTGTATTGCCCTAAAAAAGAATAATATGACATAGTTGCATCTCTATCATTTTTCTATAAATTAGCTTTTATCTCTAGCAAGTTGTAAAATAACCTCCTCAGGGATCACTAAAGATGATGTACAGAATCTAAAAGGCCAGGAGGGTTCTTGGGACAGCTAACGCCTGGCCCTCCATTGAAAATACTCCCAGGAATCTCTTCTGCCCATTTCAGTCTTTCATAATTTCTCTGAACATCTTTTCCATTGGATAGATGTGTAAACTAAAGCTTAAAATGTTCACTAATGTGCCCGAGGTCCTCAGGTAGCAGGGCTGGGTGAGCCTCCAGATCTGCTGGATTCCTCACCAGTAGGGACTCTCCCTCCCTGGCCCCCACAGAGCCGGCTGCATTCCCCATGTTGGCCTTCCATTCAGCTCCGGTGGCACAGAAAGAGAAGAGATTCTTCAGATGATTCTGGTAGAAGAGCCAAGTTCTGTGCCTGTCTTCCGGAGGAGCCCCATTCCTCATGTCCTCATGCCCCTGGAGCAGAGCACTCAGCTCTCTCTCCCTCTTCTCAGCATGAGGTTTCTCTAGCACCAGGTTCTGGAACCACGGCGCATGCAGGGTCCTGTTCCCAGATACCACTGGGAGCACCCTGAAGGCAGGTAACTTGTCTCATGTGGCCTCTGGAGAATAAGGGTCCAGGCAAGCCCAAGCCATTTATTTTTGGAATATTAGAATCTATCTTGCCCTTTCTTCCATGGTACTTTCTTTGATTATTAGACCCTCCTTGTCCTGGCTCCCAGGGTCTCTGAACCTACGGGCCCTAGACAAAGGCCTGAGATGCAAGCTTACAGCTAACACTGCTGGGGAACAAAATTCCAGGAAAGCGTGTGTCAGAGCAAATATAGGGTGACGCCTAGAAAGGGAGAGAGTAAATATAAGAAAGTGTGTTCCCAAGCTGGCTACCAGGTCTCCCAGGATATCTTCAGAGAGGCTGAGGCTGCTGCATTTCCGAATATTACATGTTGGAGAGAAAGGCAGGAGGAAAAGGGCGAAAGCTATCTATAGGCTTCCACTTGCTTCTGGCCACATTTGCTTCCCCCATGGCCCCTGGGCCCCAGCTGGATCCTAAAGCCACAGTGTTAGGGATGGAAGCATGTGATGCCAGCCCAGGACTGTGGCCACAGCAGGTGGCAGGAGGGGACACGGACCTCCCCCTGGTGATGGGGCCCAGCCACCCTCATGGTAATTGGGGGTTGCATATGGAACTTACAAGAATGACGAGAATGGGGCTGGTGCCAGGCCATCTCCTAGCATCTAGGGGACCATCTCCAACACAGAGCAGAAAACCAGTTTGAGAAAACCGGGGAGGTGCACAAATTGGGGCCAGCACACCCAAGCTCCGTCTGCTGGTGTTGGACTTGGACTGTGATATCCCTGGAATAAGAGCCCTCCCACACAATGCCTCCCCTAATTCCTGGCCCTGACCCCTAGGAATGGAACCTGTGCATCCACCCCATTCACCACCAGAACATCAAGGCACTGCATTGCACAACCATCTAAATCTCCTGGTGTTCTGATTGGTGGGATTTCAGGCAGGATGAGGGAAGCAGTCATAGTGACTAGTGTTCCTGACTCAGTCAGTCACCTTTCCTATCTCAAGAGCTTCTCTTTGATCCAGGAAAGTGAAAAAAAAAGGTAGGCCTTTAGCAGCCTTTTGCACCAAGAAGTTGGTTCCACCTCCTTCTTCCCAGCCGTTTCCCCCTCTGGGCTCTGAAGCAGTAGTTTACTCTGGCCACTCTCTCTCTCAGGGGTCCTTTCCACAGTCACAGGGCTGGCTGGGTGGGTGCTGGCTTCCCACACGGTCACTCTGGCTTCCTGCCTCCTCTAGAGTTCTCCAGTTTCCTCCCAATCCATCCCAGAAATCCAGAACTGCTCTAGGTCCCCAGCTCTCACAGCCCTGGTCCTGGCTCCCACACTGCTCTCTGTTCTCCTGGAGGCGGTGGGAACAGGGGGTGGAGGACAGTGGCCACCCACCATTTGCCAAGTACCTCTTTTATACCAAGCACTGGGGCAGGGGCTGAGGAATCAGATAGTAAGACATGGTCCGTGTCCTTTAAGGGCTGGAATTTACCAGAGGAATTCTACCTGGAAATGAAAAGGTGCCATAAAGTATACCAGCTTCAACCAGAGACACATGTGGGGTACTGGGGTACACAAAAGAAGGAGGGAGCATCCTTCCTGGGGAGGAGGAGAGGGGCTCTTGAGCTTAGTGTGAAAGATAAGTAGGTATTTTTCACAAACAGGAGAAGGAGGAAGCAGTGGGCTAGAGAATCTTCCTGATAGAAGGCACAGCATGTGGAAAAGCTGGTGGGGACCCTCCTGGAGAACTGTGACTTCGTGGATAACTGTTCAGTGACCACTCTCAGCCTTCTCCCAAAGAGAAAGACACACAGCTCCAAGATGTGTGTAATTCCCCACATCAGACCCTGAAATTTTTCCGTGAATCTCTATTGCCTCTCTAAAACCTTTGTTATATTTTAATGTCATATTCTTCCAACTTACTTCAAGTTCTTCCTCTCTAGTGCATAGCACTGACTCCCTGGCTATATCGCCAGTGTCTGGAGCACTCTGCAGCCCTGATCAGATTTCTCAGTGCTTGCTGGCAGGAGAGCATCTCTGAGCCGTCCAAGGGTGAGACCCTGAAACAGGTCAGCCTTGTCTGTCAGGATGTGCTTTTTCCCTCCCTGAAATGACTCTCAATTCTTAAGTGTTTCAGCCTCTCTTGAGGCTTGTTTAAACAGTCATCTGCAGCCTGCCCCTTGCCAAGGGAGTTTCTCACATTTACCAGTTTAGAAGCTCCTGTGAGGCTGACCATGCTCCCTCCGTCTGAAATGCCCACTCCTGTACCATGTACTCCCCCAAAGCTGGGCAGTGGCTCAGTCACTGTAACTTCCTTCTGACTGCAAGGTGGTAGCATAAGGATGATCACAGCTCCTGCCAGTGTAAATCTACCTTCCCGGAGTGATGAACTTGTTGACAGTCACAAGGACATCAGGCTGGTGACTAGGGGGATGACGTAATCTGACATGTGCTCTAAGGCTCCCAGACAAGACCCTCACAATATAAGCAAATGTCTGCTCTCCCCATCTGCAGCCACTGCTCTCACCCAAGACTACCCTGAAAGAGCTCAGCATTAGAGCCAAATCTACATTTTATAAGGAGGATGGATGAGAGAGTTTAACTATGTATGCTGGGAGCCAACTCTTTAAATCCTACATTGATATCTCTCTCCTCCCAAGTTCCTATTATGGGACACACTGTATTTTAAATACCTTCATCCTTGAAAATCTCGTGGCTTCTGCCTTCAAACCTGCACATCTCCACCTTCTGAGCACTTAGAAAACAAAGACCCATCCAGTTACCAGGGCCCAGAATTATAAATGATGCCATCATGATGCATGTTCTGGCCCGCACGAGCTCTTTGCACTGCCTTGTGCACTCCGCTCTCCAGGACGATGGCACCAAGGCTGCCCCTGCAAATGCTCACTCAAAACCCTGCTCCAGGGGCTTCCCTGGTTACTGCAGGCTTGCTTGATCGCTCCTTTCTTTGAACTCCTCTCTTCCTCTCTCCCTGTCCCTGGAGTATATTTCTGCTGTCTGGTTGGTTCTGTACTCTTGGCATGCTCCACACGCACCTTGGGCCAAATCAGCCACATCCATGGTGGCAACTAGTATCTATGTTCTGGATTGAATTGACGTTTGACTTGGACATTGCATAGTTACCTCAAACTGGACATATCCCAAATGGAATCAGTGTCCTTTCCCCAATCCTGCCCTTCCTCCTACTTTCATTAATTTGGGCCATCTGTGTGTGCAGATGACACAGGCATGCAGAACCCAGTCCAGATGCCAGGATCCATCTGGACACTTCTCTCTTCTTCACCTCTGACCTCCAGTTACTCACATCTCTCACGCTTTATGTCTCTGTTCTCCCTCTTCTGTACCCTCTTCCCCATTTCCCCTGCCCCTGCTTGGCTCAGGCCATCAACACTTCTGGACTGATTTCTGCAATCACTTCTGAACTGGGCTTCCTGTCAAAAATGCCCTTTTATTCTCCCTTTCATCAAACTAATATCTGCTAGTAAGTGTGCCATTTGAGGCTGTTAGCTCTGTGAAGACAGGGTTTGTCCCTGCCCTGACTTTAGAGCTCCAGCTTGGATAAGTGTCTGTGACAAGGTAGGCAGTTCAGTGTTCAGGGTAAGACTGTGGCTCCAGAGTCAGCGTCTGGGCACAATGAAAAGTTCCTAGCTATGTGACTATGGACAAACCACTCGACATGCTTGTGCCTTTATTTCCACACATGTCAAAAGGAGTATACTAGGAGGTATTTCACATGCTTGTTTTGATATATGTAAAGGGCTTAGATTAGGGCCTGGCATACTGTTGGCACTAAGTAAGTGCTAGTGTTTATACAAGGCATGAAATATTTATTTGTATGAATGAATGCATAAGTCCTAATTTAGCTTTCGCTTATCTTGCATTGTTTCCTATTGTTCTGGGTCAGGTAGTACCTGATAAATTCTAAGTACCTGGAATCAAGAGACCATGGACTTTTTATTCTTCACAGTACCTAGAAAACTGTTGCGCACATAGCAGACATTCAGGAAATACTTACTGATTGGTTTAATGTTCTAGAGAAGTAAGTACTCCTTCTAATAAAACCCTATGGTGTGCTGAGAGACCCCTCTCCATGTGTCCCTTGCCCTGCACACATCTTGCAAGCAGAGGCCTTGAACAGCCATGGAAAATAGAGATTAGTACCTTCCTCTGAAGCAGAGGGCAGCCTTGTTTACTGTCCAGTGTAATAAAGATAAAGTCTCCCTCTGGGGCAAAAACTGGGTCAGCTTGCTTGCAATCTGTTATAAAAGATTGAACGGATGTTTTAAGCCTGAGGTTTCTCAGCTGTAATGCAAAACCACTGCAATCTTACCATCCACATACACTGTTCGACCTCACACCCATGGAACGCACAGGCAAATGGAAACAACAGGAGCATGAATTTTAGGCTACTTGTTATGCCTTGGGTAATAGACTCCCTTGGCTCTGACCCAGGAGTCTAGTGTCTTCTGACAGCATCCACAAAACTGTGGCAGGCTCACTTGTTAGTTTGCAAATAGGATAAAATCTCAGACCCTTCACAGTTCGTGACATAGTGTTGGAAAGAAAAGCACATTCATCTAATTGCTGGGTTCAATATCATTCAGATATTCAGAATCTATTTAGAGGTATGGGGGACTAAATAAACAAGACCTCCAATTTTAAATTCTCTAAGCACTGAGTCCTAAAGTTCTAGTTTCTCATGGTGCCTCTCAGTATTATCGTTATGTTATTCTAACCTGCAGAACAGAACCAGTGAAAACATTAAATAAGTTGCTTTGAATTTTGCTCTGAGAACATACTTAGAATCCTTTTCTCCAGCTACACAGTTGGGTTAATTTAGGTAGTTGTTCAGTTGCCACAGGGCAGCGTCTAGAGATTTTTTTTTTTAAGGGGATTGTGTTATTCTTAAAGCACAATGGGATTCGTCGCCAAGATGATGAAGGCTCCACAAACCCTATGGTGTGATGAAGAGTTAAAGGAACTGGAGTAGTTAACTAAGGAGAAGTGTGGGACATTATCACACATTTGAAGGCCTGTCAAAGGTAAGCACTATTAGATTTGTCTCCAGAGTGTGGGACTTGGCCCAAAGACTGTAAGCACCAGAGAAACAATTTTCAGCTCAGTTTAAGAAAGTGTTTCAAATCGTAATGGGTTGCTTCAAGGGACAGTGTTTTCCTCATCATAAGAAGGACTTAAATAGGGGCAGGATGAGTTAATCATGTGGTTTTATAAATCTTAAGATTTACTAAGAGTTTAAGACAGCATTATGCAAAACGATTATGTTGGCTTAAGTTAATACCTGTAATATTTCTGACCATGTAACTGATATATTTCACTCTGTACCTTGCTAAATGAAAGACACTTTTTCTGTTTGAATTTGTTTAATTCACTGACAGATGGTTTATATTTTGTTGATAATGGTCGCTACTTGTCTCTGTAACTATTTCTGGGTTTTACAACCATGCAGTTGAAAAAATAGTGAGACTATAAAAATCACTAATCATAGACAATATTATTGACAGTTTTCTGTGTGCCAGGCACTGTGTTAAGGGCTTTCTATGATATACCCCATTTGACTCTACAATAACTCTCTGAAGTCAGCACTGTGTGACCTCCTTTTACAGATGAGGAAACTGAGACACAGGGCAGCATGTGGTTTACCCAAAGTCACGAGCTTAAGTACCAGAGGAGAGTGTGAATTTGGAGCAGTCTGATTTCTAAGGCAGTGCTCTTGTCAACTACACATTTAAAACAGAACCAGGTGGGGCACGGTGGCTCATGCCTGTAATCCCAGCACTTTGGGAGGCTGATGTGGACAGATCACTTGAGGTCATGAGTTCAAGACCAACCTGGCCAACATGGTGAAACCCCGTCTCTTACTAAAAATACAAAAATTAGCCAGGGCTGTTGGTGCACACCTGTAGTCCTAGCTACTCAGGAGGCTGAGGCAGGAGGATCTCTTGAGCCTGGGAGGTGAAGGTTGTAGTGAGCCTACAGCACACCACTGCACTCCAGCCTGGGTGATGGGTGATGGCAGTGAAACCCTGTCAAAAAAAAAAATCAGATATGGAAAAAGAAAGCTCATGAGTTGTTAAGGAGGTATGAAATGTGATAATTTTCCTAAGGTATCAGAGGAAGAGAGATTCATGTATTCTCTTAGGATATCAAAATAACCCAAGGGCTACTTATTCATTTCTGTCAATTGTGGTGTTACAGCTGAGTTTCTGGAGGTTATTTTAAAAGATGAAGTATTTCACAACACTGCCAGAATGGGAACATTTTTCTTTAAAGAAAACTTTGTATTTTTTTTTCTGACGCTTTTGAACTTGCTGTTCAAAGGGGAACAAGCAAGTTTTAAAAGCTAACGATTTCTAAATACAGTTAAAAACCTGTACACTTTATGTCCAGGGAATGTCTTTTTCATAGTGAAGGTTTTCAGTCACATAATATAACTATGCTACAGTTATGTAACATTTTAGGATGGTGCAATGTTGGATATGTTGCAGTTTTTTTTCAGGACTGAAAACTCTAAGGTCGATGCTGGTAGATTCCAAGGATAATACCATTATCCCTGCGGGCTCAGCAGTAGGATTATTAACGCTTGGGATGACTGCTCCTCTGACAAGTAGATGATGAAGTTTTGTTAAAAGTGGATTTTAAAAAATAACAGTGCTATTTTTCCAATGTGAAAAAGTCATTAAATAAAGATGGCATAAAAGAGGCATGGCTTTCCATGAACCTAATAACATTTTCAAAACCTTGAAAAGCTATGAGGCCCAGATGGCTTATACTTGGCACTGGCAAACCGGGGCCAGATAGTAAATGTTTTCAGCTTTGTAGGCCACATACAGTCTGTCTTGTAACTATTCAACTCTGTTGGGTAGAATGAAAGCAATTGTAAATAATATGGAAACAAACGAATTTGATTGAGATCTGACAAAACTTATAGACAATGAAATTTGCATTTCATGTAATTTTCAGTGTCACAAAATAATATTTCTTTTTTATTTTTTTAAAAAAACCATTTAAACATATAAACCTTGTCTTTAGCTCACATGCATACAACAACAGTCAGAGGGCTGGACGTGACCCTTGGATGATCCTGGCTTAACCTGGATTTAGCCTGGCTATATCTTGCAGAATGAGCAGAATCCTTGAGAGCTGGCAAGAGAGGCCAGTGAGTCTGGTCTGGGCACATTTCCATCTCTTCTTTCTTCAACCCCTCTTCACTCCTGGATTTCCCAAAGATCACCTGCTTCCAGTCAGGAGCATTTAATATATGCAGTACACATCAACTGCCTTCATGATTGTGACTACCAAATAGTGGGCACTGTTATCTGTGTTACAGGTATTACCTTGTCTTTAGTTCTGTCAGTCATCCTCATAGAAAGTGATTCAAGGATTGCTACTGAGTTTACCTCAAACAAGATTTAAGTTCAACTTGCAATGCTTTAATAGTAATAACAAAATGTCTGTCTCTCCGCTGGTTCATAGCTGCTGCTTACTAGTGATACAATGCTTCTCTGTGACAGAGCCTAGACAGATAGATGCCTCATTACCTCTTCTTGGGAGAATGCATTTCCTAACCTTGCTTGTAGGTAGTGGAGGTGATGTAACTGGTTTTAGCTAATAAGCAATGTATGGCGTTCGCAGGCCTGAGTCCAAAAACATCCAGACTGATCTATCATGGGCTCTCCTTTCTCTCACATCCACCCAGCTAAAAGCAAAGATGGCAGAGCTGCTAGAACTCTGCAATGGGTGGAGCCACAGAGTAGAGAGAGGGCGTCACTCAGCAGAGCTGCGCAACCCACAGTGGACATTGATTGGGGAAGAAATAAATAATTACTGTTTTGAGCTACTAGGATTGTGGGGTTGTTAGAGTAGCTAATATTAATTATCCTGACTAACATACAATAGTTTTGCAATCCTGCCTGCTATAGTTTGAATGTCCCCTACAAAACTCATGTTGAAACTCAATCTCCACCATGGCATATTAAGAGGTAGGCCTAAAATTAAGAGGTGAGAGGGTCATGAGGGTTTTGCCCTCATGAATGGATTAAACCATTAAGAGATTAATGAATTAATAAATTACCATGGGAGGAGAACTTGCTGCTTATAAGAAGAGGAAGAGAGACCTGAGCTAGCATGTAAGCATGCTTAGCCCCCTTGCGATGTGACACCGTGTGCTGCCTCAAGACTCTGCAGAGAGTCCCTACCAGCAAGAGGGCTCTCCTCAGATGTGATCCCTCAATCTGGGACTTCTCCGCCTCCATAACTGTAAGAAATATATTTCTTTTCTGTATACATTCCCCAGTTCTAGGTATTCTAAGTAACAGAAAATGGACTAATGTACTACCCAAGGATTTTATTCAACTTCCTCTCCTTGCCTTTGATGGGGTTTATTGGCAATCTCTTATATTGCAACAATTGCAATCTTGTGACTCATAACATGAGAATTCGATAAAAAGTTCACAAAACTGAGCAAACACACTTCTGGGCATTTATCTCAGATAACTGAAAATTTATATCCAGACAAAAACCTGTGTAAGGTGTTCCCAAGTAGTTTTATTTGTAATAGCCAAAGCCCAAAAACAACCAACATGTCCTGCAATAACTGAATTGCTAAATGAACTGTGGTATATGCATACCATTGAGTGCTACTCAGGAATAAAAATAAATGAACTATTGACACATGCAACCACTTAGATAGATCTCAAGTTCGTCATGCTGAATGAAAAAGAAAAGCCAGTCTCAAGGTAATACACTGTTATTCCATTTACATAAACATTCTCATTCATATAGAAATACAAAATTACAGTGATGGAAAACTCATCACTATAGTGATTGGTGGTTGCTAGAGGTTAGAGTTGGTGGGAGTAAGGGAAAGAAGTGGGTGTCACTTTATGGGTAGCATAAGGGAGAGACCTTCGTAGTGATGGAATAGTTCTTTATCTTGATTGTAGTGGTGACTATAGGAATACACACATGTGATAAAATGACCTCAAAATATACATCCACATTATATCAAAATCAATTCTGTGGTTTTGATATCATACTATAACTATGCAAGGAGTAATCATTGAGGGAAACTGGACGAAGGGCACAGGGACTTCTCCATATTCTTTGTGCGATTTCCTATAAGTCTATAATTATTACAAAAGAACAACCATTCATTCATTAAGTCCTTACTCTATCTCATTTAGTCCTAACAACAGCATTATGAGGTGGGTATTTTACCTGTTTTACACGGGAGGAAACTAAGGATTCGAAAGGTGAAATAATAGCAAAGAGCAGGCGCTAGAAAGTGACAGAGCTGGGATTCAGGTGAGTTTATCCGCTTCCACAGATCCTGTTCTGCATACCTATCCATACCTCTACATTTTATGTATTAAAAAATAGTTTTTGGTACCATTTGGTAAATGGATTTTGACAAGAAAGCAAAAGAAAAACAGCAGAACTGAAAACCATTTTATGCCAGCAGGAGCTCTACATGACACTTAATTAAGTAAAAATGGGAGGCTAATTGGCATCAGGTCCAGAACATCTCCACAGCTCAGCGTTCCACAATAAAAACAGAACACATTTGCTCACCCAAATTTAAGAATATTTGCTAATTAATTATGGTCCAGCTTTCCTCATCTAATATATAAATTCTGAATTTCCTTCCCTAACATGGAATTGATTTTATTTTTGCTTTACTTTTCTAGCTATATTTTATATCCAGAAGAGCACATGAATCATCTTTTTTCATAAATTTCAACAGAAAGATCATGAGAATTCAAAACAATTTCACTTCAAAAAATTATTCAAAGAAATATATTTGAGAATATAAAATGGGCTATGGAGATTGTGTGGTTTGGACCTCTGAGGAGCGCTCCCCTCTGGTCCACTTGATTAGTTAGAATGGATCTGGGGTGTTTTGAAATTGCATCCCATACACAGCATTAGCTGCTTCATGCTGGGCCCCAGTGCTGCCATTTGGGGGAACCATGTGGAGTTTGGGGAGAGCTAAGCAGACTTGTTTCCAAGAGCCCCACAGAGTGAGCGATGCTGATTTTGATCATTTGCAGAGTGTGGCTATGCTGCAAGTGACAAAAATGAACAGTTACAAGGCTGAGGGCAAAAACCTACAGTAACCAAGAAACGGTGGTTTATAATTTTAAGGGAGAATAAATAAGGAGAACAACCTGCCCAGAATCCTTGCCTTTTTGTTCTGAAATTCAAAGACCCTTTCTTGATTCTGTCCTTACTTTTTTTAACTCTACAACTAATTTGTTAGCAAGATCTATTATTTCTATCTCTAATTTTATACATATTTTTGAGATATTTATTTCTATTTTCATGATCCTGGTCCATAATGTCCAGTCTGGTCTATTAATTGTTCTCCCTGCCATGACTCTTTGTCTACCTCCAATTTGTGCCACAACGTATAGCCAGAGTGGTTTTCTTAGAATGGAATTTAATCAAATAATTCTCCTATTAAAAATCTCATTTTTTTAATTCTCAAGGAAATATATAAAGCCTCCAATTGAATACAACTCTTTTCTGATCTTTGTATAGATAGCATTCTGAATATCTGAACTCTCCAAGTTTTGAGACCCACACTGAGAAAATATGCATGCAGAATTCCTTTTAAGCATTTTCATTTTTCTTTTTGCTGGATATGCCATATGTTAAATAAGGAACGTATCTAGACATCTAATGCCGTGCTGCAATACTGGCACGTCAGCTAGAGGAAAGAATGGGAGGGAAGAGGTGCATGGTGAGCCCTGACTGTTCAGTCAACAAGTGCTAATTGAGCACCTGTTCTTTGCTATGTGCTATGCTAGGCACTAGAAGTACAGAGCAGAAAAGACACAGCTCTTGCTGCCTGCTAAATGAGAACATTATCCGAACACTTGTTAAAGATGGTAAGGCAGACTTTATTCAAGAGAGCTATGGTGATAGGGTCACCACCATGGGGTCTTGCAGTGGAGAGATTGGACAGTTCCAACTCCAACAAGGATAAGTGGGAATTTATAACCAAGGGTGGGGTCAGTGGATGGAAAATTACTAGAGGAAACATCAAGGATAAGGAGTTCCTGATTAAAGTGACTGGATAGGATTACTGCTGAAGGCAGGCCATGATGATAAGATATCAAAGTGGTCAGATACCAAGGGTGGGAGTCTCATTTCATTTTAAATAAAATTCAAGCTTTTAACCAGGGCCTGGAAGGCCCTAAAATCTGCCTGCTGCCTCTCTTCAAACTCATTGCCTGCCAGCTCTTCCTCTTGCTCAACCTGTTCTTGGCACACTGACGTTCTTGCTGTTTCTCAGTCATGCCAAACTATTCCACCACTGGGCCTTCGCACATGCTGCTCCCCCTGAGAACTGCTCCATGGGATCTCTACATAGAAGATTTCCTGGTTTTAATCAGCTCCCCCCAACTCAAATTTCTTCTTCTCATAGATGCTGTCCCTCAAATATGATAAGCATACTTAAAGTGGCTTTCTTTTCATTATCTCCATCTTGTGGTTCTTATTCAGCTTTCTTTTTAGCATTTATTACTTCTTGAAATTATACACTGCTTTATTTGTTACTTATTTATTATCCAGAACTCTCAATCAAAACAAGTTCTTAATGGACAGGGACACTGTCTATTTTGTTCTCTGCTGTATCTTCAGCACGTGGTGTCTGGCTCTGTCACCCAGGCTGGAGTGCAGTGGCATGATCTCAGCTCACTGCAACCTCCACCTCCTGGGTTCAAGTGATTCTCATGCCTCAGCCTCTCGAATAGCTGGGATTACCGGTGTGTACCACCATACCTGGCTAATTTTTGGATTTTTAGTGGAGATGGGGTTTCGCCATGTTGGCCAGGCTGGTCTTGAACTTCTGGCCTCAAGTGATCTACCCCCCTTGGCCTCCTAAAGTGCTGGGATTATAAGTGTGAGCCACTGCACCCGCCCTGAACCCCACTCTTCACTGCACACCTGGCTGATGTTGCAGTGTGGCCTTGTCCCCCTGCTCACGTGGAGTGGTCATCCTGAGCCCTTAGCTTTCATCCAAATGTTCAGTCCAGCCTTGCCCCAAGTTCATCCACCACAGTGCTCTATCCTCCCGACTTGACTCAGCCCCTTCCCAGGGGAAGTTCTCAGACGGCGTTTGTTAAAATTTAATTTGAGCCACAAAACCTAGTGTCAGACCAGAACAAATAAACACTGCACAGGAAAACATGACCTTATCACCCATTGCATTCTATCAGATTTCCTTTTACTGTTTGAAAGTGAGCCTGTTGCTCTAGGCCTATGGAGATACAGCCTCCAGAGATTGTCAAGTCTAATCGCAAAACCCATCTGAGGGAAATGTATGGGAAAATACCCAGATCTGAATACCAGCCCCGCCCTTCAAGCTTACCCTGCTCACCAGTCTTCTCAATTCATTGCTTGAAATCAAGAATGTTGAGCTTTCCAAACCCAGGTTTCTGAAACTGAAATTTTCCATGGAAAGCTGGAAGGGTGCTCCTGGGAATATTAAGTACTGTGATGGATTAGGTAACAATGGGATTATCCATACACTTCAGACAGCCTTAGAAAATCATAATGATGAAAGACATTCAGGCAGCATGGACTCTTTTTATTACATAAGAAAGCGTGGGAACATGTGAGAGACATAGTTTGGTTCCTCTCCAGAGCTCCTTCCAGAGCTTGCCAGGCCTCACCAACCGACTAACATTTGTTAAAATATTTCAGATCTTGATAATGAAGAAAAACTACAAAGTCGTTTTATTTCTACTGTAGGAACATTCTGCCAGTGATCTGTTCTGAAAGCATAAAAGTTGAAGCTGTCACAAAGAAAAAAGGGACAGAGAATGACTCTGGAATTCTTGTAAAAGAGGCAGTTTATGAAGTGCCATTGATTTCAGCTTATTTAAATAGACTTGGGCTTGAAACTTTGAAATGAAAATAGCTTAACATGCTTAAGCCTACAATTAGGCAATTAAAAGTTATACAATATTCACTGCTTATGAAGCTTAAATCCAATTGCTCTGATCTGGGGAATTTTTAGAAGTTATTGAATCTAAGCTCTTATTTCTAGATTTAGACAGGATTAGACCTATGGTGTGTTGGTGATAAGTGTCTACTCAAAACAAATGAGGAACAGGCCCCTGTCCCCTTTGCCATTTTTTTTACAATTCTAAAGGATTCTGACAATCCAGCTCCTTATGGTATCAATGGAAAGTCAGAGGAAAATCACCATTCACTTTGCAATTTATATTTTTAAAGGTGATTTTCATTTCATGATGCAATACATTTTTTTTCAGAGAATGAATTTAAATGGTTACCTTAAGGAGAGATTTGTCCATCATTCAGACAGTATTTTGAGATATAAAAATTTAAATGAAAAGATCTGGTCTTTAAAGTCTAAACTCTAATTATAATTTGAGAGACAAAAAAAATTACCTGAAATTAGTAATAGTAGTCATTAGAGCAAACATCTACTGAGCACCCCATAAAAACCATTATAAGGTAGGTACAATACTCATTGCTATGTTACAGATAAAACCAAATGTCTTATTCCAGGTCAAAGGACCAGTAAGTGGAGAAGCAAGATTTGAACTTGGGTCTCCTGTGTTCCTCCTGCTGATGGGGACTGTAACAACTTTCCCCATGTGCACTCGCATGGGAAGTGAGCCGTGAGAGACTTAGAGGCATTTAGAGCCATGGTTTTCAGATTTTATATTTTATAGACTAACATATATTTTTAAAAAGTAGAGAGGAAATCAATATATGGTTGCCAGGTATTTATTGCGCCAAGTAAAGATATTTTTAAAACTACCATCCATTTTTGCCATCTTCCCACTAAAAATAAGGATATTTTAACATCAAAATGTATGAGAACATAATTTGAGTAAAAACCAAAAGGTTTATACAATCTGAAGAGAAACCAGAATGAAGAAGGACATAATTTTAGAATAAAAGAAAACCCTTCAAATTGAGGAGTTTAATTTTATGAAAACCTCACTTGAGAAATATGAATTTTTATTTTTCTGTTTATTTTTTATTTTTTATTTTTATTTTTTTTTTGAGACGGAGTTTCTCTCCTGTTGCCCAGGCTGGAGTGCAATGGCGCAATCTCGGCTCCCCGCAACCTCCACCTCCAGGGTTCAAACAATTCTCCTGTCTCAGCCTCCTGAGTAGCTGAGATTACAGGCACGTGCCACCACGGCCGGCTAATTTTGTATTTTTAGTAGAGATGGGGTTTCTCCATGTTGGTCAGGCTGGTCTTGAACTCCCGACCTCAAGTGATCTGCATGTCTTGGCCTCCCAAAGTGCTGGAATTACAGGCATGAGCCACTTTGTCCAGCCTATTTTTTTATTCTTTGATATGACTACAGATCAGTGAAAATGTTGTCACAGATCAGCACTGCTCTATCGACTGGCATTTGGAAAACACTAGCTCAAGGACAGTGGAGAAATTTCTGATGAAAGATGTAAAACATCTCAACAAGATAAGGACAGAAACAATTCAGCAACCACATCCAGTTCAGTGTTTGCCCAATTCTTGTGTTTGGAGTCTCTCTAGCCCTGCAGAACCTCTTCGGATGATCCGTTGAAGCACTCATCTTTAGCCACTGGAAATGCTCTGGAAGGCATAAAAATAAGAAAGAAACCACCTTAATGGTATTCAGAGCTTTAACTGCACTAGATGCTCTAAGTCTTTCAAACCCAATTCATTTTACTCTCTATTTTTCAGTCTCTCACTTTTGCTCATTCTCCTGTTTCACGTTGTGCTTTAGAGTTCAATGGCCCTGTCTCTCCATCTAGAATTTGGCATCCTTCCACCGCTATTCAAATTTTCCTACAGTCTCAAATAATATAGATTGCTTTGGGCAATCCACCCTTCCCAGCTCAAACATTCCAGGAATCCTTATCTCGGGGCCACATCCTCAGCAGACAGCTCTCTACCTGTTTTACTTCTGTCTCACTGGAGTGAACTAGATAATAACAAAAGCTTTTCTATACCCTATACAAACACTGCAGAGTCTGTGTAATCTATAGCTTGTGATAAAACGATGTGTAGAGGACATCTGCTGTTTTTACCTGTAAAGCATTCCTTACTCCTTGATTTGAAAGCAGCACTCCAATTTTACTGAGGGGATAACCCATACCATGTGAATATATTCTTGAAGAAACTGTCAATCAAGGTGGTGCAGACCTGCAAGCCACCTTTGCCACCATGCCAAAGGGTTGGCATAAAAGTACCCATACTAGGCAGATAAGACTCTCTTCCATGAATCTGGAATTTGAACATCTAACCTAACAGCACAGGGCAGAAAAATCATCAGAGGTGAATCATTCTGATCATGGCACTTTGAGTAGATTTTTTAATTTATGAAATGTCGTTTCCCAGAGCATCCTTGCTTCCTATTTTTCCTGATTCAGTCTTCCTTTCTGTTCTCTGCTGCTTTATAGCTTTTATAACTAACCTTCCTTCCCCTCTTGTTTGCTTAAGTTAATCGGAATCTATTTCTAATGCTTATAATAAAACATGGTAGCTAACACATTTTGCTTATTACTATTATTCATAATAAAAATTGCTAAGGTATACTGCGGTCTTACCATGTGAGTGCTGGGCTGTGTGGTTTGCATGCTTCTTGATCTCCACCGTTACCTCAGGGATAGTTAGATTTATTGCCAATTTACTTTTGAGCACAGTTAGACTTAGCGAGACTAAGTAGTTTGCCTGAGATTATGCTACCAGGTAGAGGAGGCAGGGTTTGAACCCCAGGTCTGTTTGACCTCTCGAACTGCCTCTAGTCATGACAAGTACAGTATATATTGTTTTAATACTGTGGGTTAAGCACAGATCTTCTCAAGGAAATATATAAAGCCTCCAATTGAAGACAACTCTTTTCTGATCTTTGTATAGATAGCATTCTGAATATCTGAACTCTCCAAGTTTTGAGACCCACACTGAGAAAATATGCATGCAGAATTCCTTTTAAGCATTTTCATTTTTCTTTTTGCTGGATATGCCATATGTTAAATAAGGAACGTATCTAGACATCTAATGCCGTGCTGCAATACTGGCATGTCAGCTAGAGGAAAGAATGGGAGGGAAGAGGTGCATGGTGAGCCCTGACTGTTCAGTCAACAAGTGCTAATTGAGCACCTGTTCTTTGCTATGTGCTATGCTAGGCACTAGAAGTACAGAGCAGAAAAGACACAGCTCTTGCTGCCTGCTAAATGAGAACATTATCCGAACACTTGTTAAAGATGGTAAGGCAGACTTTATTCAAGAGAGCTACGGTGATAGGGTCACCACCATGGGGTCTTGCAGTGGAGAGATTGGACAGTTCCAACTCCAACAAGGATAAGTGGGAATTTATAACCAAGGGTGGGGTCAGTGGATGGAAAATTACTAGAGGAAACATCAAGGATAAGGAGTTCCTGATTAAAGTGACTGGATAGGATTACTGCTGAAGGCAGGCCATGATGATAAGATATCAAAGTGGTCAGATACCAAGGGTGGGAGATTTTTTCACTAATCTGATTTAGCAGGATTCCTGCTCAAACTAGATTCTATAAGGACACAGAATTTTAATCCTAGTTCTCTATTTTTCTGTTCAGTAGGCTTTTAGAACTCTGCATATTTTTTAAAAGTTGATTCTAACCTTGCCCCCTGCATTTTACTCTAGAGTAGCTCTAGTTCTGTCCAATAGAAATATAATGCAAGCAGCAGCATGTATAATTCTAAATGTTCTAGTAGCCACATTGTAAAAAGTGAAAACTGAAAGGTAAAATTAATGTTAATAACGTATACTATTTAACTCAATATAAAGTATTTTTATTTATCATGTAATCAAAATAAAAATTATTAATGACTATATTTTATGTTTTTTTAACAAAATCTTCAAAACCCAGTGTGTATTTTATACTTACAATATGCCTCAATTCAGATGCTAAATTTTCATCAAAATATTTTATTGGTACTTGGTTTCATAAATTTGGATTTGAAAAAGTAGATATACATACTCAAATTATTTGAAACATAAGCTTTCCAATAACTGAATGAGCACCAAAAATCATTATCCTTCACATTTGCATCCATATTGACAAAACTGGTTCATCATTTTTCAAAAAATGAATTTGATTTTGAAGTAAAAGCAGGCCAAGTTCAGGACTCAGAGGAGCCTGAGATTTTGGTCAAAGGAGAGGGTCTTTGTCAATCCCAAAGAGCCTAAAAGATAAACAATCTAGAAAAATGTTTTAATTGTGAGATAATTAAAATAATAAGTATTTCAAATTAATTACTAATTTTGATTTAGATAGGTACCACTGTAACTTGTGCTCCACATATAAAATATTCTAGTAAATATGTTACAATGTTACACCAGTGCATAAAAAATGAGCATTCAAACTGAATCAACCCTTTGACAATAACAAGAAATGATGAAGATGCTCAACACACACTATATAGTGACACAGGATTTTCTTTTTGGTCACTTTGCAAGCTGGGGACCTCTGGCCAGTGACACCCTGCCTGGGCACACTACCCACAGCAGGAGATGGCCCACCCACTTGGCTGCCAGGGCCAAGTCTGTCTTGCACACCAGTCCCCAAGTTCTTGTCCTGCACCCAAGAAGCATGAGAATGTGTTGACAGTCTAAGAGTGAGCAAGGCAGGTTTTTAAATTTAGTTTAATTTAATTTTAAGTTCCAGAATACATGTGCAGGATATGTAGGTGTGTTACATAGGTAAACATGTGCCATGGTGGTTTGTTGCACCTATCAACCCATTGCCCAGGTATTAAGCCCAAGGCAGGGGTTTTTATTGAGTGATGAAACAGCTTTCAGCAAAGAGAGGACATGGGAGTGGTCCCCCTACCTAAAGGCAGGAAAGTGCCCCCCAATGTGACTGAGTCCTGGGCTTTCATGGGCTCAGAATGGGGAAGGGGCAGGCCATAGGTAGTATTTGAAAAGGCAACATTCGATTGGTTAAAAGACATTATTCAGAAAAATTTAATCAGGAAAGGGTGGGCAAACAGGAGCAAAAGTTCTCACTCTGGGTTGCGGGTTTCATCCAGGACCAGCAGTCCAGTCTTTCAGCCTTCAGGCTGTTTTTGGCTTGAAGGTAGGGTTTCACCAGAGACCCACCCCTATCTGCTTAGGCATTTGGCTGCCTCCTGTTGCTACGAACAGAATAAAGATGGTGTCTTACATGTTGCAGTGCTTGTAAAACTTAGTTTACTGAAACAATAAAGTTATATTTAACAGAAAAATATTTTACATAGCCTTGGTTTTAAAATTTAAATGTAAACTAATTAAAATAAAATAAAATTAAATTAAAAATTTATCTCCTTAGATGCACTAACCAATAACCAGTACCCAGTAACCATGAAAGGAATGCTTGCTGCAGTGTCAATAGTCAGTACTAAGAGGGAAGTTTATAAGCGCTTACATCAAAAAAGAAGAAAAACTTCAAAGAAATAATCTAATGATGCATCTTAAAGAACTAGAAAAGCAAGAGCAAACCAAACCCAAAATTAGTAGAAGAAAAGGAATAATAAACACAAGAGAAGAAATAAAATTGAAATGAAAACAATACAAAAGATCGATGAAATAAAATGTTGGTTTTTGAAAACTTAAACAAAATGGAGAAAGCTTTAGCCAGACTAAGTAAAAAAGAGAGATGATCTAAAATAAATAAAATCAGAGATGAAAAAGGAGATAGTACAAATGAGCAAAATTTTAAGTGCCAAGGAAAAGAAAAGCTTATTTATGACTTAGCTAAGACAGGTATGATCATTTATGTTGAAATTGAAACTTTCTACAATACAAACCAAAAAAACAATTTTACATGTTTTTACAATATGAATCAATATGTACAAGCTTTTAATTGTAATTGACAGAATTGTGTATATTGGCTATAAGAACCACAAGAATAATTTAAGGAACGCTTTGTTTATAATAGTATATATAGAGCTGCTTTTCAATGTCTGCAATATACCTTTGAATTTCATGTTAATAACACCGAGTTGACATAAGAATTAGCAAATTTACTAAGCTTGGACAGCTATGCTTTTGCTTCAATGTCAAATCCATTCTTTGAAAAATGATGAACTGGTTTTGTCAATGTGGATGTAAATATGAAAAGATAGTGATTTTTGGTGTGCGTTCAATTATTGGAAAGCTTACATTTCAAACAATTTGGGTATGTATATCTATTTTTTCAAGTCCAAAGTTTATGAATCCAAGCACCAATAAAATATTTTGATGAAAATTTAGCAGATACTAAATTGAGACATATTGTAAGTATAAAATACACACTGTATTTTGAAGATTTTGTTTAAAAAACATAAAATACAGTTATTAATAATTTTCATTTTGATTACATGATAAAAAATACTTTAGCTATATTGGGTTAGACAGTATATGTTATAAAGTTAATTTTACCTTTCAATGTTCACTTTTCACAATATGGCTACTAGAACTTTTAAAATTATATATGCTCCTTGCATTATATTTCTATTGAACAGAGCTGGAGCTACTCTAGAGTAAAATACATGGGGCAAGGTTAGAATCAACTTTTAAAAAATATGCAAAGCAATAAAAGCCTTCCAAATAGAAAAATAGAGAACTGAGATTGAAATCAAGAGAGAAAGGTGTCAGAGGAGGAAAACATTTCAGAGAAAGAATTATCAAAATGTCAAATGCCATGGAGAAGTTATAAGATGTAATGGAGGAAAAAATATGTGTAAAACCCCAATTGCCTTAGAAGGAGGACTTGAATTTGCCAAACAGAAATCTTTGTGGTTCTGCCAGGCTAGACTTGTGAGGCTTAATTAAGTGGGCCTAGATTAATGTTTGGGAGTAGAACTTGGAGAGAACTGAATGACTTTGCCTAATAGAATGAGAAGAATTTGGGATCCTAAGTGTGGAGAGGGGACAAGGACAAACTTAGGAATGAGGTAAAAGGGAGGGATCAGAGGAGAAGGAAGAAAGAGGAGCCAGTGATATGTCTTGATGCTAAACACCAAGTGGGATGAAGGAGTGAGGGGGAGGCTGAAGAGCTGCTGAAAAGTGGGATGACTAATGTCATATTTGAAGTTGTTGAGTTTGCCACAGCATAATTCATCTCCTCTGTATCTACCAAACTATAGTAAATTCTGCTGCCCACACACAGACCTTTCTGAGTGTAGTTTGTATAAATAATGGAAAAGGATTAAATGGCAAGTATGGATTGTTGTGGGGTAGGACAACATGCATGGGCTGTAAAATAATCCACTGCAGAACTGATAGAGTGGAGCTGTGGACCCAAGTTTGGGGTAACCATGGGAAGATTGGAGAGTGCCTTATGCTCCCACATGTCCTAGGTGGCGGCATGTAGTTTAGATCTGATCTAAATCTCCAGGGTGAAAGTAACTCAAGTTAACATTTCAGTTACAAAGATAAAGTCTGAAGAACATTCTTTGGGTTCAGCAAAAAGAAGGTACTTGGGGACCTTGGAGAGTGGTGGATGGTCCTGATTCGGGAGGTGAGGATGCAGACACAGTGAACTTGGAGTCCTCTCTTTGGAGCTTTGCTGTGAGGGGATGGAAGGAGATTAAAGTGGCTAGAAGGGTTTTATTTTATTTAAGGATGGGAGGTTGGAGCACCTCTGCATGCTAAATAGAGCAGTAGAAAGTCTATTGTTTCTATAAAATGGCTTCATATTAACAGTATATTGATAAGGCCTTCTAATAACAAAGCAGAAGTGGCAGTGATACAAATTGGAGCAGCAGAAAGTGAATTTCAAAATCTCAGTGTGGTGCTGGTGCAAACGGTGTTAATCAAGAAACTAAGACCGGTTAGCTGTGGACTAGAATGTTATATAACCTGGCTTGCACCAGGAACTGAAGGTCAGTGACACAGAGATGATTGTGAGTTGTAAGGCAGCACTGAGCCAACTGGTAGATCCAAGATAGTAATATTCCCCTTCCAATCAATGCTTAGCAGGTCCTCACTAGCACCTCTTAGCCTTTGCACAGTGCCTTTCCAATACAGGTGATCCTTGAACTGCATGGGTCTACTTATATGTGATTTTTTTTCAATAGAATTTATACCAAGTGTGCCTTTCTCTTCTGCCTTGCCTTCTACCTCTTCCGTGTGTTCCACCTCTGCTACTCTGAGACAGCAAGACCAACCCTTCCTTTTCCTCCTCCTCAGCCTACTCAGTGTGAAGACAATGAGGATGAAGATATTTATGATGATCCATTTCCACTTAATGAATAGTAAATATATTTTCTCTTCCTTATGATTTTCTTAACAACATTTTCTTTTCTCCAGCTTATTTTATTGTAAGCCTACAGTGTATAATACATGTACAAAATTTGTGTTAATGGACTGTTTCTTATTCCTAAGGCTTCTGGTCAATAATAAGCTATTTGTGGTTAAGTTTTGAGGGACTCAAAAGTTATACATGGATTTTTTTTACTGTGCAGGGGTCAGTACACCAACCCCTGAGTTATTCAAGGGTCAACTGTGTTATTTTTATCATCTCATTTAGTAAAATACAGACTGGATGGATGGATAGATGGATGGTGTGATGGTTAATTTTAGGGGTCAGCTTGACTGAACAGAGGGATGCCTAGTTGGCTGGTAAAACATTGTTTTTGGGTGTGTCTGTGACAGTGTTTCCAGAAGAGATTGATGTGTGAGTCAATGGACTAGGAGAAGGCCAGTCCTCAGTGCAGGCAGGCACCATCCTATTTGTTGGAGGTTAGGACAAATGGGCAGAAGAAGGAGGATTGCTCTCTCTCTCTGCTCTCTCTCTCTGCTTTCTGGAGAGGTGTGCTTCTTTTCCTGCCTTTGGACATAAGACTCCAGATTTTTCAGCTTTTGGATTCTGAGACTTGCACACACAGCCCCCTGGAGGCTCTTGGGGGTCTGGTCTCAGACTGGAGGCTGCACTATCAGATTCCGTGGTTCTGAGGCTTCAGACTTGAACTGAGCCATGCTAATGGCTTTTCTGTTTCTCCAGCTTACAAACCAGCCTATCATAGAACTTCTCTGCCTCTCTGATTGTGTGAGCCAATTTTTCCCTAATAAATCTTTTTTCATATATTCTACTGGTTCTGTCTCTCTGGAGAACCCTGACTAATACAGACGGGTAATGGGGTAATGGATGGATAAAAACAGAAATAGTGGGGAAAAATAACAGTGACCTTCAGGTTTGTAGGAGCTCTGTCTTAGTCCATTTGTGTTGCTATAAAGGAAGACCTAAGGCTGAGTAGTTATAAAGAAAAGAGGCTTATTTAGCTCACAGTTCTGCAGGCTATACAGAAAGCATGGCACTAGCATCTGCTTCTGGTGAGGGCTCAGGCTATTCTCAGTGGAACACTAATGGCAGAGAGTGAAGAGGAGCTAGCATGCAGAGATCACATGGCAAGAGAAGAAGCAAGAGAAAGGGGAGGGAGGTGCCAGGCTTTACCAACCAGTTCTTGTGGGAATTAATAGAGCAAAAACTCACTTATTCCTGAGATAATGGCACCAAGCCATTCATGAGGGATCCACCCCCATGATATAAACACCTCCCACTAGGTCCCATCTCCAACACTGGGGATCAAATTTTAATATGAAGTTTGTAGGGAACAAATATCCAAACCATAGTTAGCTCCTACATGAATGATAACACAGGCTTCCATGTTCCCTAAAGGCAGAGTTAGAGGAGGCTTTGTTAACCCACAGCATAGAGTTATGGATTAGAGAGGACACAAATCCTTGTATATTAAAAATTATATACTACAGCAAATCATATAGCAGGATTTGTTTTGTTTTTATATGGAGGTCTTAAAAATGTGATAGAAATGGATATTTCTAAGTTGTTTAAATTGTGGACCTGAAGAAACATATAGACTAGTCAACAGGAGCTGGCAACTATTAGATTTACACACTAGTACTTACCCCCTCCACTCTCTTTTCACAAATACACATGTTAAACATTACTTACATGTCAGAGCATTTTCATCCTTTGTGCATGGCCACAGAATTCCTAATGTAGTATCCCAGGCAGCCTCCACCAAACAATTAGTATAAGCATAAGAGTTGAAATCATACTGAGATTAGATGATTTTTCAAGTCATTTCCAGTACTACATTTTACAATAATTCTAGTTAATGAAAAGAATCAACTCCATTCACCCTCACCCTCACATTACCTGCATAATCTGCTGATTAGCTACATCGCCAAAGTACTTCCATAAGTATCCTGTAATGTGATATATCTGTACGGATTCTAGGCATCAATCATACCTATTTTAGATTACTATGTGCCTTAATCATGAAGTCTTATGCAATTTGATTTATTTAAATAGACATTATTGATCACTTCCTGTGTGCTACATGGTAGAGAAATAAAGATACGTAGAAGGTAGGCAGACCCACTGAACACTAAATCAGTAGCAAGTGTTCTAGTGGTTGTTAAAAAGTTATATAATTTCAGAAAAACGGTGTTCTTGCTTGGGAAGTTGTGAGCAGGCTTCACTGAGGAAGTATGGGCCAAAAGAACCTTGAAAATAAATAGAACCTTGTGAAACTAAAGATGAAAGGGCTTTATGGATAGTGGCAATATTAGGAACAAAAACCAGAGAAAAGGAACATGAATGGCACATTGGGATAATGGTATTTAAGTCTGGAGCATGGGGCACATTGTTGAGCTGGAGGCATTGATGAGAGAGAAGATTTTTAAGGACTTAGAATGAAGTTAAGTTTGGATATTATCTTACTTGTAATGGGAATCCACTTAGGGTTTCTGAGCATTGATTTGACAAGTTAACTTACAGCAGCAGTATTGAGGATGAACCGCAGAAGGAAAAGAATAAGGGTCAAGAGATAAGACTATCACGAATGTCCAGGCAAGAGATAAGCAGGCATGCATTAGAAGATTGTAAGTTGAACTGAGAGTAGATAACAGATTTTGGGTGAAAGGAATCATAAATTGATTGCATGCTGAGATTGAGGGTAAGAAGGAAGAGTCAAGAATTTATTCACTACCATAAAAGAAAACAAATCCTGCCTTTCTTCACTTTTTCCTTTATCTATTTTTAGAAGTTATTTTTCCCTCTTTTCAGAACCAAATCAAACCGCCCCAGTGCCACTTGATTTTTCCAGCTGCAGCCCATCAGCTGACACCAGGACCCTTGCACATCCCAACCCTGATCTCTAGCAGCCTCCCACTTTTGATAAAGAGATGGGGAGGTAGACAAGTAAATGAATAATTCTGAGTCCCAACACTGAAGGTACAAAGTGCACTTAGGATCACCAACTCCTAATTTTTGCCTTTGAATTTTAGAATTATATCACCTTGCTGTCAACTTACCCAAACATTCACTGACCAGTAAAAACCTGAATTCTTCTTAAGAAGACTTCATATTAGGCCTATCAAAACTACTGGACCTACTCTTTGCAGGGTTCTGCAAAACTCAGTCTGTCAATTCAGAGATTTAAAGGTGAGACCCCAAAAGCTAGCCCACTCCTGATTCTCAATTACTTGCCATTGTCGTAGACAAATGGGTTGAATTTAAGGACCTTCTGAAGGGTATGGTCTATATGAGGGTCAGAAGGACACAGGTCACTCTTTTGGTTATCTGTTAGCCTGATCAGACTTCTTTTTTTTTTTTTTTTTTTGAGACAGAGTCTCACTCTGATGCCTGATGCCCAGGCTGGAGTGCAGTGGCGCGATCTGGGCTCACTGCAATCTCCACCTCCCGGGTTCAAGCCATTCTCCTGCCTCAGCCTCCTGAGTAGCTGGGACTACAGGCGCCCGCTACCTTGCCCGGCTAATTTTTTGTATATTTAGTAGAGACACGGCTTCACCATGTTGGCCAGGATGGTCTCGATCTCTTGACCTCGTGATCCACCCGCCTCGGCCTCCCAAAGTGCTGGGATTACAGGCGTGAGCCAGTGCACCCGGCCAGACTTCTTTATTTAAAAAAAAAAAAAAAAAGTAGAGGTGATATCTTCCAAGCATAGACTCAAGAGGAAGTCTAGTAGACTACCAAGCTATTACTGGGAATGAGGCTTGGGTGGGTCTTCCTGCCGTTTAAAAGCATGGATTGCTACAGAACTAAGACAGTCTTTGTGGACAAGAGTTTCCCCAGAACATTTCCTAGGATGGAATAAGTTTGATTTCTTGTTAAGGATTATGGGCTGTTGAAGATCTTGTCAGTTTCTATTATAGACAGAATTTTGGACAAAGACTTAGAATACTTCTCTGATATTAATTATTTGTGTATCAATGAGCAAATAAGAACTTTACTAAGCTGTAGTTTTTTTTGATAAACTGATCACTTTTGGCTATGTAAGATACAATGAATTTCTCCAAGTTTCTCTCCAAAAATTTGTCCTGCTAACTTCCTTGTCTTTTGTTCTCAAACTCAACTTTCCTGTTCCTCCTTGCCCCAGTTACCGTAAAAGAGCCTACCCCTTTCCCGTCAGCTCTAATCAATAACGCACATCTGTTCCCTTGGTTACCTGCACCCATTGTGCCCCTGAAACTGCACGTCTCACCTGCTCCACCTCTGTACCTCACGTCCCCCTCCCCTTCTATATTTAGAAAAATATGTACAAGTAGCCAATCAGGTCAGCTCAGATTGTGCGGTCTGACCCCAGCCCATGCGGGAGGGACACAGAGGTAGGGATTGCGTTAAGAATATAAAAGCCCCCTAGTCTCCTTTGTTCCCTGTGCTCTTGTGATCTTGATTGATGCAAGTGGCACCCTTCTGCAGAAGTAAATTGCCTTGCTGAGAGAATTAAACTTTTGCCTGAGTGCTGGCTTTACTTTGTGGCACTGAGCATTTATTCCTGAAGTATTTTATGTCCAACAGGCTATATGCTTTATCTCGGTTCCCTTCTGATCACAACTTTTAGAATTGTTCTCACCCCAGTTTGTGCTCATTGTGTTGCCTCTTGTGGCTTCTCCAAGGCCTTTGCTGGGCTTCTCTTGCTACTCTTTCTCATTCCCTTAGTAAAGTGAATCAATGTGATCATCCTCAGGACTAAGCTCTGCTTTTTGTTTTTGTTTGTTTGTTTGTTTCTTTTCTATCTTGCCCAGATTCCTATCTAAGGGTCTGGGGAGTCATGCCATACAAACTGTAAATTCTTGTCAAGGAGGTTTTATTTAACCCTATATGTCATGACTTACTTTCCAATCTGACTCTGGTATAACATTATGTGACAAAGAAGAAAGTCAAAATATTTCACCCCAAAACACATTTCTTTGCCCATATTTTGAAATGGCCCTGCAAAGCTGTCCTTTGTGGGGGAAAATTTGCAGCTGTAAAGAATCTCTATTAACATAGCTAGATCTTTTTCTTCTAGGACCACCCAGTCCTCAAGAGATTAACTAAGAGTCTAGCATCTTTTAAAGGTCTGAATAGAAACAATTTGTCATCTATTGTCTCTAAGGGCAGTCAGTATAAGACTTCAAAAGAACCTTGGTCTCCATAATCTTTCGTCTTAACCTGAACATTTCCTTTCTATGGATCCCAGGTCTTTAGACAAACTCAACCAATTGTCAACCAGAAAATGTTAAATTTACCTATAGCCTGGAAACCCACCCCACCCCACCCCCACTTTGAGTTGTCCTGCCTTTCTAGACCAAACCAATGTATTTCTTTCTTTCTTTCTTTTTTTATTTTTGAGATAGGGTCTCACTCAGTCACCCAGGCTGGAGTGCAGTGGCATGATCTTGGCTCACTGCAACCTCTGCCTCCCAGGTTCAAGCAATTCTGCCTCAGCCTCCCGAGTAGCTGGGATTACAGTCATGCACCACCACACCTGGCTAATTTTTGTATTTTTAGTAGAGATGGGGGTTTCACCAATTTGGCCAGGCTGGTCTCAAACTCCTGGCCTCAAGTGATCCACCTGCCTTGACCTCCCAAAGTGCTGGGATTACAGACATAAGCCACTGCGCCTGGCCCCAGTATGTTTCTTAAATGTATTTGACTGATGTCTCATGCCTCCCTAAAATGGAGAAAACCAAGCTGCACCCCTACCACCTTGGTTGGGCACATGTGCTCAGGACCTCCTGAAGGCTTTGTTTAGGGTTATGGTCACTCATATTTGGCTTAGAATAAATCTCTTCAAATATTTTACAGAGTTTGACTTTTTTCATCAACAGTCCACTGGCAAATTATGTCAGGGCTGCCTCCTCGCAGGTCTGTCTTGGAAAAACAAAAGTCAAAATTGTAGCAAAGTAGAGACTAAACTTCAACTATGGCAGAATAAATGGTATTGGGCTTGCCCCCTCTTCATAAACAATTTGAAAATTTGACAAAATACATGAAACAACAGTGTTCAGACATTGGACAACACGCAGCCCAAGACTATGATCCCTGAGGAAATGAAATGAAGTGAGTCATTTATTACTTGGCTTTCTGCCTTGGGACGCTTTCTAGAAAGTAGTGCAGGAAGGGAGAATTTGGGGAGGGCATGGAGTTTTAAGTGTATTGAGAAGACAGAGATTAGAGTCCCAGGCTTCTGAGGGCATTAAAATTTGCAGAACAGAGGGAGTACACAGAAACAAAGAAATCTTCCTGGCATCTCTTGATTCTGTTGTTGAATTCTAGGCTGTGCATACATAGACAAAGTCCACAAAGTTAGACAAAAACAGAGCTCACTAAGGGCTGATAGACCTTAAAACTACAGCCATCCAGAATGAAGAGACATAGTTAAATATCCAAGGCATTCAACAGAGCTCTGAAAGGGTTAGGTTTTGTAGTGGAGCTCAAATAGTTCTAGATTAAAGACTCTACCAGACTACCGCTGCAAATCTTCAAAACAAGCTTCCAAAGGATTAAGTTGATCCAAAAGTTATCTGCCACTTCAAACAAAGTCAATACTGTTAAAATAACAAATACCTGAATTCAAACACTCAATAATGTAACACTAGTACATGTAATGTAACCCTAGTACATGTAGTATTAGGCATGTGAAGAAGAAGGAAAATATGACCAGAAGAGAAATGAATCGAGACCTGAAAATGACAGAAATAATGGAATGATCAGACAAGAACTTTAAATAGTTATTAAGAATATGCTTAAGAATTTAAATAAATCAATACAATGAGGAGAAATGGAAGATAAACAAATAAATGGAATGCTTAGATATGAAAAAGTCAATGTTCAACATAAAGTTCACAGAAAAAGACACTGCAGAAGAAAATCAATTAACTTGATTATAGACAATAGAAACTGCCCAAAAATAGAAAAAAGAAAAGACCAGGAAAAATAAAAAAAGAATAGAGCCTTATTCAACTTTAGGATAACAGCAAATGTTCTAATATGTGTGCAATTAGAACCTCGAAAGAAGGGGGAGTAACAGAAAAAAAAAGAAGACAAAATAGTCATAACATTTTTCAAGTTTGTTGGGAACCAGAAATCCACATATCCAAGAAGATCGAGCATGAAAAACACGAAGAAAATGAACCCATGGTGCATCATAATCATCAAATTGCTGAAAAGGAAAAATAAAGAAACCTTAAAAGCAGACAGATAATATCAGACATTATATACAGAGGAACAAATATAAGAATAAACTCAGAACTTCGTATCAGAAACATTGTAGCCAGGAAACTATGAAACCAGCTTTAAATAACTGAAAGTAAAATAATTGCAGCTTAGAATTCTATATTCAGTGAAAATATCCTATAAAATGATAGTGAAATAAAAACACTGTTTGGATAAACAAAAGGTGAGAGACTTCTTTTTTTTTTTTTTTTTTTTTTTTTTTTACCAGAAGACCTGCCTGTAAGAGATGTCCTGAACTTTTTGGACTCAAGAAAGGCTATACCAAATGAAAACTTGAATCTACACAAAGGAATGAAGAGTGTTTAAAATAGCTGAAAAATGGGTAGACACAAAAGAATATTTTCCTTTAAATTAAAAAAACTTACTGACTTTAAGAAAAAATTAACAACAGTGTATTGAAGGGTTTCTAACATGTGTTGAAGCAACATGTATAGCAACAATAGCACAAAGAGTGAGAAGAGGGAAAGGAACTATTTTTCTAAGTTGCTTACAGTATACAGAAACTGATATAATATCATTTGAAGGTAGATGATAATAATTTGAAGAGGTATATTGTAAACCCTAGAATAAACAATGGAAAATGTAACAAGTCATAGCTAATAAGCCAATAGTAGAGATCAAATACTAAAAATTAAAAAGTACTAAATCCAAGAAGTCAGGCAGGAAGGAACCAAACAGATGGGATCAATAGGAAACAAATGGCAAGATGGTCTTGGAACCAGTCATTGAATAATTGATAATTGATAATTCCATTGAATAAAAGTGGTCTAAACACTCTAATTAGCAGACAGAGATTTATAGATGGAATAAAAAAAAGCAGAACCTAACTACAGATGAACAATGTGGGGTCAGGGCCACCAACCCTTACACAGTAAAAAATCCAAATATAACTTTTCACTCCCCAAAGACTTAACTACTACTGTCTTACTGTTGACCAAAGCCTTATAGATAATATGGTCAATTAACACATATTTTGTATATGTGTTATATACCGTTTTCTTAAAATAAAGTCAGCTAGAGGAAAGGAAAGAAAATGTTATTAAGAAAGTCACAAGGAAGAGTAGTATACTGTATTGATACTGTGAGCTCTATGGTCTGTTTACAAGATGAATATCCTGTCTGAACTCGTGGCAACCACTGGCGGCAACCACAGCTGCAGACCTCAATCTACAGTACCTACCAAGCAATTCAACTTCTTCTTGTCATGTCATGACTTTTCTTAGGAGCACTGCCAGCATCACTGGTGGCACTTTGTATGGGTCCCATGATGTTACTAAAGGTTTAAGATATTGTACAAAACATGATTTTAAAAATGCACAAGAACTGTGAAAGACCATTTTCATGGTGATATGCTCTTTACTAGAGAGATAAGTTGCTCAGGTGGAGTTGACTACATCACATGGCATTTTAAGCAGAGATCTGTAACACTTGAGCTCGCCACAACAGCAATAGCAGGTGGCTAGGAAATTATTACAGTATGAACTACAGTTAATTTCATACAGTTATGATTTAATACAGAATCTTTAAATTGTTTACATTTCTTTTGACTGCAAATGACACCATGTATGGTCTGTGTTTGTGTAAGTTTTGATAAACTTTAATTTTTATTATAGATATGTGTATACTTTGTGGTAGTAAATGATAAAATAGGCTAATAGCTACATTTATTTTAGTCACTCATGAGGTACCTAACTTTTTCTTAATTTTTTTTTAATATTTCTAGGCTATGTGTTTCACCGGTTTTTTCAAATTGTCACAAATCTTCAAAAAATTTTCCAATATATTTATTGAAAAAACTCCATGTATTAGTGCACCTATGTAGTTCAAACCCACATTGCTCAAGGGTCAACTGTATATGCTATCTGCAAGAAATGCACTTTAAAAAAACAGTTCAATTTAAAACAATGATAGAAGAATGTTGGGATTCAATCAGAATGGTGGCAGAAATATTAAAGGGAAATATTAGGGAAAGTTATAGGGAATAGTCACAAACCTTTTGGAAGGCAGAAAGGTTACATAGCTTGTAATAATTGAACAGGCTGAAGGCAGCCGGTTCTTACCTTAGAGCATTAGGTCATAGGGTAAATACTAGGGACAACAGAGGCTTCCCCAGTTAAGTCTGCTTACCCTACCTCCATTAACCAACCTTTGAGCCAGATAGCCCTCTCAGGAGGAGGTCGACTAGGGATATTGCCCCCAATAGTATTTACTTTAGACCACTGTACCTGAGCTTTAATCATTCGTAGACCTACTCTCTTAACCATGTTAATTATCCACAAGTGTGTTGACTCAGAGCTTCTGTTGTTAATTGTATATGAAATTAATGCCTGGAGTGTGAGCTGCTCAGGGCCAGCTGCAGTCACAAGACTCTCTTGGTGTGCAGGCTGTCGGACACTGAGCTGGACTGGCAAAACAGAGTATCTGTGTGTCAGTGTACGTTTTATTCATCCATCGTTTGGGTCAGGGTCTGTGGGCAGACCCCCGCAGGAGTGGGCAGACCCACTCCTCAAGTGTGAGGAGCCTTACTTCAGAAGAATATATACCATGTAAATGTTTATCACAAGAAAACTGGAGGGGTTATACTCCTATTATACAAAGCAGAACTTAGGACAAGAAATATTATCTATAATAAAGAGGGACATTTTATAATGGTAAAAAGTTAATTCCTTAAGAAGACATAACAATCCTTAATATATATGCACCTAATTAAAGACCATTAATATACATGGAATAAAAACTGAAAGAACTGAAAAAAAAAAAACAGACAAATTTATGAGTAGATGAAGATTTTGACACCCCTCTCTCTGTCATTGTTAGAATAAATAGACAAAAAATGAGGAAATACATAAAATATTTGAACAATATTAATCAGCTAGACTTAGTTGACATTTATAGAACGCTCCACCCAATAAGGCAGATAACATCATATTTTTCAGTGCACTTAGACTGTTAACCAAGATAGACCACTTGCTAGACCATAAAAGTAACTAAAAAAAATCTATGGATTTCCAAAGTTTGGAATCATGCATAACATGTACTCAGACCACAATAAAATTAAACTAGAAATAAATTTTTAAAAATCTGGAAAATCTCCAAGTATTTGGGAATTAAATGATACTACTCTCATTAACACATGGGTTAAAAAGTAAAGAGAAGGGAAATTGGAAAATATTTTGAACTAAATAAAAAGAAAAAATACACAGAGAAATTTATGTGATAGCATTGAGTCAGAAAATTAAAAGTTTTAAATGATTACATTAGAAAACACAAAAGATCTAAAATCAATGACCCAAGAAAGTTAGCAAATGAAGAGCAATATAAATCCAAAAAAAAGAAAGCAAGAAAGAAGAATACAAAATAAAGAACACTAATGAAACAAGAAGTTGGCTCTTTTAAAAGATCAATAAAATTGATAAATTATAGACTAGTAGTGCAAAAAGAAGAGACATAAATTAGTAATATCGGAAATCTAAAAGGAGATATCACTACAGACCTTGCAAATATTACAAGGTTAATAGAGGTATTATGAGCAATTTTATGCTCTTTTATACATTCAATCACTTGGATGAAATGAAATTATCTAAAGACATATATTGCCCAAATTCAGAATAGAAGAAATAAAACATCTGAATAAACTTATAGCCACTACAAAGAACAACACAGGCCCAGATGGCTTCACCTGTAAATGTTACTAATCCTACACAAACTGCTTTAAGTAAAAGAAGAACCCATCCCTACTCATTTAATAAGGATAGATTTATCATGATAGCAAAACTAGACAAAGACACTACAGCCTAAACATATGAAATCTTTAACAAAATGAATCCAGTAACATATTAAAAGGTTAAAAAATCATTAAGAAATAGAGCGTATCTCACATATATAAAGTTGGTTTAACATTTGAAAATTAACCAGTGTAATTCACCGCATTAGCAGAATAAAGGGAAAATATATGAATATCTTAATGGATGCAAATTAAAACCACACTGAAATACCAGAATACACCCATTAGGATTGCTAGAATTGAAAAGGCAATATCAAGTGTTGACAAGAATATAAGGCAACGAGAACTCTCATGTTATTGGAGGGAATGTCTATGTTACAAGCACACTGGAAAATGTTTTGGTCGTTTCTTATACAATTAAATATATCATAGAGCTGAACGAGTGGTCTCTTAGATATTTATATTTATGCAAAAAGAAATAAACACATACCCACACAAAATCTGTTTTTAAATATTCATATAGATGTTATTTATAATAGCTACAAACTGAAAACAACTACAAAATCCATCAAATGGGAATTTATCACAGAAACTATTGGGTATCTTCACAATGGAAGACTATGCAGCAATAAAATGCAATGAACTGTCAATATATGCAAAAGTATAGATAAATTTCAAAAAATTAAGCAAAAAATGTTGTACTTAAAAAAAGTACATACTGTATGTATGAGTCTTTTTACATATTAGGACAGGCAAAATGAATCTATAAGTACTGAAAGCTGATCAGAAAATGGTGGCCATAGTAGAGAAAGGGGTTGAATGGAAAGGGTCATAGGAGGATTTTTGGGGTGATGTGTCTTAAATCTCGATTCTGGCTATAGTTACACAGGTGTACATTATACAGTTGTTAAACTAATTACACTGTACATTTAAAATGAGTGCAATTCATCAATAAAGTTGACTTTAAAGATCAAAACAAAGCAGAGAGAAGGCAGTAGTGGACAAATATAAACAAGAAGATCTTGTTCAAGAGGTTTCTGAGGAAATGAAAGCTCAATTTACATTTTTTAAAAATTCACCTCTGCCAACACAAATATAAAGGCAGAAACTTCCAGGGGCTGCCTCAGCAGCAGATTTGCTATGCATTGTTCTTCTACTTCGTCTTTCCTTTGTTGATCTCTTTTATATTTCAGGTTGGAAGTTAAACTCATTTGAATTAGTGACATATATTGTTCTAAATGATGGCAGAAAAAGGAATTATGTGAAATATACAGATGGCAAACCTGCATTGTAGCTTGGTATTTATAAAAGAAACGCATACTCATTGTGAAAAATTTTAGAAAAACATAAAAAATAAGAAGAAAATAATCTTATGTATCTCATTAATCACAAATCTCAGTAATCTCATTACCAGGGGAGGGAAATACACACTATACATAAACAAATATTTACTCATTGACTACGATGTGCCAGGCATTGTACTGGACATAATGAACAAAACGAAGTTTTTTCCCGGGTGGGAGAGACAGCCATTACTCCAACAATACACAAGTGCACATAGTATTTTATATAGTGTATTGTCACATGCTTGTATACTTAATAATGTATTGCAAATATATTTCCATGTCATTTAAGGTTTTGTTCAATAGTTTTTTTCTTTTTTTTTTCTTGAACAGAGTCTCATCCTGTCACCCAGGCTGCAGTCCAGTGGCTTGGTTTCCACTCACTGCAACCTCCGCCTCCCAGGTTCAAGTGATTCTCCTGCCTCAGCCTCCTAAGTAGCTGGGATTACAGGCACCTGCCACCACTCCCGGCTAGTTTTTGTATTTTTAGTAGAGACGAGGTTTCACCATGTTGGCCGGGCTGGTCTTGAGCTCCTGACCTCAAGTGATCCACCTGCCTTGGCCTCCCAAAGCTCTGGGATTACAGGCGTGAGCCACCGTGCCCGGCCTGTTCAGTAAGTTTTAACGTATACATAGTATTCCAATGTACAGTTTTACTACTTTCTTCTTTGGCCAAATTTTCTTTTATTAACAATTTAGATAATTCTCCCTACTTCCTATTTTCAGTTATTAATAACAATGCTAATGTAGCAAAATATTTGGACCTAGTTCTGGAGGATTATAAATTCTAAGAAATGAAATTCTTTTAAAAATATAAATGCTATATAATTTGAAACATGTTGATAGATCCGTAAAAAGTTAGACATTTTCTTCACCTAGATGTTTAGGTGGTTGGGTTGCCAGTGGTCTTATTGAGATGCAGTAAGAAAAAATTTAATTGTTTACTGTGATTCTGCCTCCTCTAAATTTTATTCTTATAAAATATTGAAGTGTCAGGGAATAAAATACATAATCACAGGTTGTCCTAGTTTTGAATTTTCTCAATTTAACCTTTAAAACTTTACATTGTTGCAAACTAGCCCAAGTAAACAAATGTACATCCCAGAGAGTATTATGAAAACACAATTCTGACATGAATTCTTCTTTCAAGGATTCACATTCTCCATAATTTAATCTAGGGGACTACAAATGCAAAAAAATAAAAGGCTGAACTGGCTGTGACTTTTAATTCCAAAACTGATTTCCCAGAGCTTGTTGTGGATTATTCTTGGCAAGTATTTCTATGCTAAATCTGTTCCTTAGAAAACTCACGGAGGTGATCTCATTCTGTCTATGCAATTCTTTTTGGCATTAATGGGACACTACATAAAGATTAAATACATGAAACATCAGCTAAAACACTTGTAGCAATAGAGACAGTAGTTTATACGAATAGAATTTATATGAGTTCTTTCTGCCATGTTTCCAACAAATAAAGCTATAAAGCTTTCAATAGCTGAGGCATTCTAACTCATTGAAGAAAAGCAGTTTACCATAAAGGGGATTGTTTTCTTCTCTACCTCTGTAGGTAATTTCTTTTGAGATTGATAGGGGTTTTATAACACCTTAAAGAAAGGAAGTGCTCCTTTTTCAAAAGGTGTTTATCCTTAAATATAGTTAACAAGTCTTCTTTTATGAGACTGTAAAGGGCATTCTGAAGATTGCAATATGTTCATAATTATAATGCTCTATCCAACATCAGAAACTCAGTAGAGCTAGGTGGTAGTAGCCAAGTGCGCTAGGAAACCACACTAGTCCAGGGTTTTTTTGTTGTTGTTGTTATAAGTTTCTTTATCCCCACTCCCACAATCCCCACAAGTATTTAATCTAAAATTAAAGGCATGTAGGCTTAGAGAAATACTGATCTTCTGTGAAATCCACAGAGATCCTTATATTTCGATAACGATGATTTACTCACAGCAGAGAAACAGGAAAGGATTGTGGAAAAATACCATTGTTCTTTAATAGCAGCTCAACATCATAGGCTATGTTCCTCCAACTTTAGATCTTAAGCTTAGTGATCTCTGGCAATTATAATTTCAATAATAATGTCTTCCTTAAAACAATTATAAGTAAAAGTATCTCACACATATATCTCTCCTCTATTCAAACTATTACTTTCAGCTATAGAATGCATGCATATATAAATTGAGTGAATTTAGGGTATGTTAATATTAGACCTTGTGTGATATACTATGAAATTTAAAGGTGGAATACTAACAATTCAGTATAGTAAATTAGATTTTCTATTTATATAATGTAGAAGAATTCAAAGTATTTAAACCATTTGCCTTACTCTGACTCAACATTTAAAAGAACAATATAATTGTGATGTTGGTCTATTATATGTTCTGAATATCACTGGTTGTGGCCTAATTTCCTAATTTATCTACCTGTAGCCACATTTTGTATCTGCTGGGATGCTTTGGTTTCAAGTAAAAGAACACTGAGTTAAAAGTGGTTAAAGGTCAATAAAACTAAAGTAACACAATTCCAGGGCAGAGGTGTCAGCAGGTTCACAGTGCAGATCTCTGGATCCACCGAGTCTGCACAGTCTCTGCTTCTACTCACCCTTGTGAGGTGGCTGTCACAGCCGCACCCCACACCCCACATCACAGAATTCAAAGGCCACGAGACAGGAGCAGGCACTTCTCCTAGAGCATCTCCCTCTGATCAGTGAAGAAAATAATTCCAAAAAGAGTCCCACCCCTGAGAATGGATTTCTTTTCCGGTCTCCTTGGCCAAAACAGATAATAAGCGAAGACTTAGTTGAAAGAAAGACTAGTAGGAAAGCAAGTGTCTGGAATTTCAGCACCAGTAGTGGGAGGCAGGCTTAGGTCTAAAAACAAAGAAAGGCTGGGCCAGAGAAAGGCTGTTCGCCAGGCAGCCACAGCACTTTATGTATAAAGCGAGAAACAATCATCTCACTTGTGAGTCTTATTATCCTGGGACTTTGACAGTGGTTGTAGTGATAGAGAACAAAGCATTTCCTTTGCCAATTTGCTTTCCCACTTTCTCAGACAACTATTTCACAATGTTCTCTTTTCCTCAAACTTCTAAAAGCTTCCTTCTCTTCGTCACTCTCAGTTTATGGCCTAGCCCCTTACCTCAGTTAAAAATCTAGAAGCATTCCTGAGAAAATTTCCAGGTTTCTCTGCCATTAACCCTACTATCCTACTGGGACCCGAAGCCCTAGACTGCGTTCCTCATGCAGCTGATGGACTGCCAATCTCAGGCCATATACAGGGACCCTTGCCTACTCAAGGTCTCAAGTCTCCAAATTACCTTAGTCTCTCTCCTGTAACATCATTCTTCCCTCTGTTGGAGTAATCCCGTCCACCTGCCCATATGCTGCAATCTCTCCCTACTGTCAAAGATAAACAAGGTCAGACATTAGTCAAAACAGTGAAAACAGATCTTCTTCAGTAATTGCTGACAAAGGGGAAATGGCTGAGCTCAATTCCAGTTTGTGCAGAGGTGACTGGGTGTTGTGAAGGGAGTAGGGAGGGGGCGAGAAGACGCTCAGTAGAGTCAGGGAAGTAAAAAATTACAAGAGGTTGATCAAGTGGAAGTGCGATTGGGCCGGCTGTGCACTCCACCTGGCAATTATCCAAGTTAGGATTCCGTCCTCCCACAAACACTGGGAGACAGAGGCTCCATTCTTCCTGAGGCGCATTCTTGTCTTTGAGAAAGACACTCCTGAGTTATGGGAGACATATATACATCTTACAGAGAAGAGGAAGGATTCTCAGTTGTAACCCCTTTTAAGAAAATACTTTAAGAAAAGCAGACATTTTCATGGGGAGGGGGAGGGAGCATCCAGGAGACAGGGCCTTATGCTGCTAGGAGCCATGCTAGAGTTGGGTTGTCTCCTGGTGCAAACGTTTGGATGGAGTCATTACATGCTGAGAGTTCTGCAGTCCTCGCTTCTTAATAAAGCAAAACAAAAGAAAACCATCCCTAACTCTTAATACCTCTCCAGGAATCACACTTTTTGCAGTCCATTGTTCTAGTCAAACATCTTGGAACAGCTGGTTCTGCTAGCTGCTCCTTCTTCACCTCTTATTTTATCTTCAGCACATTCCTGTCAGGGTTTCCAACCCACCTCTTCACTTCACCATTCTCATTATCACTGTTTACCTTGACAAATTTAGCAACAACGTCTTTTTTTTTTCATTTACCCAAAATGTAGTTTTTGATACAGCCAAACAATCTCTTCATCTTGGAACAATTCCTTCCCATGGTTTCCAGGGCACCGTGCCTAATTTGGCTCCTATGCACTGGCAGCTCCCGATCCTCTCAATGTAGAAGCATCCTGGGGCCCCGGCTGGTTGTGTTCTCTTTTTTCTCTACCAGAGGCCTGTGTTTCTCTTCAAATTTTATAGATTTAAATACTCTGAACTCCTCACCAGTTTTCAGACTTGTATATCTACCTGCCCACCTGACATATCTTCTGACAGGCAACTTACAATCCTAAGTACAGCTATTGATTGTCCCCATGTCTTAGTTCATTTTCTGTCGCTTACAACAGAACTGAAACTGGGTAATTTATAAAGAAAGGACTGGTTTTTTTTTACAATTATGGATACTGAGAAGTCTAAGGTTGAGGGGCCACATCTAGTGAAGGACTTGTTGTTGGTGGGAACTCTCTGCAGTATCCTGAGGCGGGTGCAGGCCATCTCATGCTGAGGGGACTGCATGTGCTCACATGCTAGCTCATGTGAATCACCTCCTAAAGGCCCCCCACTCTCAATATTGCCACATTGGGGATTAAATTTCAACATGAGTTTTGGAGGGGACGTCTATCCATAGTAACCTTCACAATCAGCTCCTTCCCCAGTCTTTTCCATCTCAGTAAAGGTCATCTCTATTCATCCAGTTGTACAGGTCAGAAACTTAGTATTCATTCTTTCCTTTCCCTCACTCTCTGCAGCTAATCTATTAGCAAGTTCTGTCATCTCTGTTTTCAAAATGTAGCCCAACCTGTTTACTTTTTCTCACTTCCATTGCTGCCTACCACCATCCCCTTTAGCTTGTTATGCACTGGCCTCCTAGCTGGTTTTGCTTCCACTCTTGCCTACCTATAGTATAGCATCCACATGACTTCCTGTTTCATTCATAGTAAAATCCCAAATCATGCCTGCCCTGTGTAAGACCTGCATGATGTGGCCCCTGCCTGACTCTGAACGTATCTCCTATGTGCTTCCTTTTAAGCACTTGGTTCCAGACACCAAGTCTCTTGACTGTTCTTGAAATAAAACATACTTGTATTCTCAACATTTACTCAGTTGCTATTCATCTTGCCAAGAAAAATGTACTTCCAGCAGACCCTCACATAACGTAACCCCACTTAATTCACAATTTTATTCAGATATTATGTACAGAAGTCTTCAAGGATTATCCTATTTAAAAGAGCATCTCTCGCCGGGCACAGTGGCTCACGCCTGTAATCCCAGCACTTTGGGAGGCCGAGATGGGCGGATCCCAATGTCAGGAGATCGAGACCATCCTGGACAACATGGTGAAACCCCGTCTCTACCAAAAATACAAAAATTAGCCAGGCGTGGTGGCGCACTCCTGTAGTCCCAGCTACTCAGGAGGCTGAGGCACAAGAATTGCTTGAACCCGGGAGGCAGAGGCTGCAGTGAGCCGAGATCATGCCACTGCACTCCAGCCTGGGTGAAAGAGAGAGACTCTGTCTAAAAAAAACAAAAAAGCATCTGTCACTGCCACTCCCACATCAATTTCTATTTCCCTATTCTATTGTATTTTTTCATGCCATTAAATATTAATGTCTACCTGACCTATTTAAATGACATTGTATTAAATTTAATATATTAAATTATATTAATATTAAATGACATTATATTAAATGCTGTAGTTTTCATGTCACTTATCTCTACCTTGACAATATAATAAATCGCTACCTAATATTATATTAATTTGTTGTGCGTGTATGATATGTACTTTGCTTACTAGGATGTAAGCTCTCTTGCCATATCCCCATCACTAAAACAGTGTTGACACATAGCAACAAGTACTATATCTTTGTTGAATGAATAAAAATAGTGTAATCCCTTTAACACTGTGGAAGAGAAAAGGGTGGCTTTGAGGGTATAAAATCCATACATTATATAAACTTTTTTATTTTAAATAATAATTACACTGGGTGATGTAATATGGCCAGAGCTGTGGTGCTGTCAGGAGACTGTTGTATTTGGCAAATCTAGATAATTGACAATATGTATGTATAGAGTCTAATTATAAACTTCTAGGAGAATAGGGATCACGTCTGTTTTACTCAATTTTCCTAGCTTTTGCAGAGATAGGTCCGAGAGCCTCCTAACGGTGGTAAGGAGGACATCATTGTTACATGGCTGAACAGCAAATACTTCTTCAATACTTAAATTAAGTCGTTTTCCCTGAAAATACACACTGAAACTGAATCAGGAAATATACAGATCTGCGTAAAGAAAACATCTAGATGTTCTCCAGTTGAAACTGAATGAAGTTTCTATCGGAAAGCTATTTTATCAGATGAAAACATGTCAAAAAAAAAAAAAGAAAGCTATTTTAAATACGTTTTATGTTTATATCATATAAGCATAGACAAGTAATTTTTGTCTTTATGTACTAACAGGCCATCAACTTTTGTTCTATATGAAACACAATACATACTTATAGCATCTCCTGCACTAACTCAAACTGAACACTGTCTTCATCACATTTTCCAAAATTATGTATAGTGAATAGTAAGGTACAGTATTATGATTTTCTTTCTAAATTCTGAGTCAAATGTAATATTTACATAGTACTTATGGTGCTTATACATCACATCCTTTCATTTTAGCAATTAGTAGCAACATTGCTTAAGAAATAGAACCAAAACTCTGGTTTAGATCTTTGTGATTTTACTGGGAGCATTTTCACTGAAAAAACAACCTCATAGCCATTAAAACAGCATTAGAATTCTCTCAAGTTCAGGCATTGACCTCAGAAATAGTAATGGGAGAGTAGGATAAATTAACTGAGTTGTAGATCACTGGACTTCAAATCCTCTTCTGCAGAACTTGACAAGATGTCCCTGGGTTGCTGGAGTGGAGCCTCACCCTTTCACTCCATTTCAGCCAGGACAACTCCACTTTCTTCCATTTCAAACTTTGGTATGTCATGTATGATTTGGTGCTGAATTTTTTAACATTGAAAATCTCTGTTTTCACTGTTAAATGCCTATGACAAGGTTAAGTGAAAGCCACAAATAGAATGAAGTGGAGGAGATAAAGAGTGTTTTCTGATATGCTCTTTTCCTTATGGATTTCAGAATAAAGACATTTATTCCAGCATTCATTCCTTGATTCATAAATATTTGTTGAGCATAAACTATAAACTTGGCACTCTGAGCATCCTTAGTATTAGCAAAAATAGAAAAGAAAATCTGAATGTTCATCAACATGGAGATGGTTGAATACGTTGTGGTACAACCAGTCTCTGGAAAGCTATGCAACTTTAAAAAATTGTAAGTTGAATTTGTTAATATTAACTTAAACTTTTTTATTTTAAATAATAATTACATTGCATGTGCTCACATGCTAGCTCAAGTCTCTCTTCCTTTCTTAATATAAATGGATGTTTGTATGTGTTGACATAACAGGGAGAGGGTATGGCAGAACACATAGAAAATTGCTTCTGTTGTTTTTCTAAAAGTTTGGGAATGAAGAGGGAGGGTTGGACACACATACAGGAGAGTTAGGGACTATTTATATATGTACACATTTCTGTATTGTTTGGCTTGTCATGATGAGCACACATTATTATATTAAATCCACAATGCAGATGCCAACTTTTAAACTAGTTTATTGTTTAGTGTTGTCATGTGAAGCTTTAAAAATTAACCGTGTGACCTTAAATAATAGATAAGAATTACTAAATAAACTTACAGTCTTTATGCTGAGGACATCAATGCATCCAATATAAAGAAAAAGTGTGATCATGTTCTCTCCACTTACTGAGCTCTAATCAGATTTGTTTGCTTGTCTTGATTAAATATTTTAAAACATTGAAAACAGTATCTACTTCTGTTTTAAATAAAATATGAGATATAGTTTACATATGATAAAATGTGATTATTTTAGGTTTACAGTTCAATGATTTTTTAAATAAAATATGTATACTCATAGAACCTTAACATGTAGCACTTTTTTTTTTATACTTTAAGTTTAGGGTACATGTGCACAACGTGCAGGTTAGTTACATATGTAAACATGTGCCATGTTGGTGTGCTGCACCCATTAACTCGTCATTTAACATTATGTATGTCTCCTAATGCTATCCCTCCCCTCTCCCTACACCCTACAACAGGCCCTGGTGTGTGATGTTCCCCTTCCTGTGTCCATGTGTTCTCATTGTTCAATTCCCACCTACGAGTGAGAACATGGAGTGTTTTGTTTTTTGTCCTTGTGATAGTTTGCTGAGAATGATGATTTCCAGCTTCATCCATGTCCCTACAAAGAATATGAACTCATCATTTTTTATGGCTGTATAGTATTCCATGGTGTATATGTGCCACATTTTCTTAATCCAGTCTATCATTGTTGGACATTTGGGTTGGTTCCAAGTCTTTGCTATTGTGAATAGTGCCGCAATAAACATATGTGTGCATGTGTCTTTATAGCAGCATGATTTATAATCCTTTGGGTATATACCCAGTAATGGGATTGCTGGGTCAAAAGGTATTTCTAGTTCTAGATCCCTGAGGAATTGCCACACCGACTTCCACAATGGTTGAACTAGTTTACAGTCCCACCAACAGTGTAAAAGTGTTCCTATTTCTCCACATCCTCTCCAGCACCTGTTGTTTCCTGACTTTTTAATGATCGCCATTCTAACTGGTGTGAGATGCTGTCTCATTGTGGTTTTGATTTGCATTTCTCTGATGGCCAGTGATGATGAGCATTTTTTCATGTGTCTTTTGGCTGCATAAATGTCTTCTTTTGAGAAGTGTCTGTTCATATCCTTTGCCCACTTTTTGATGGGGTTGTTTTTTTTTTTTCTTGTAATTTTGAGTTCATTTTAGATTCTGGACATTAGCCCTTTGTCAGATGAGTAGATTGCAAAAATTTTCTCCCATTCTGTACGTTGCCTGTTCACTCTGATGGTAGTTTCTTTTGCTGTGCAGAAGCTCTTCAGTTTAATTAGATCCTATTTGTCAATTTTGGCTTTTGTTGCCATTGCTTTTGGTGTTTTAGACATGAAGTCCTTGTCAATGCCTATGTCCTGACTGGTATTGCCTAGGTTTTCTTCTAGAGTTTTTATGGTTTTAGTTCTAACATTTAAGTCTTTAATCCATCTTGAATTAATTTTTTTATAAGGTGTAAGGAAGGGATCCAGTTTCAGCTTTCTACATATGGCACCATTTATTAAATAGGGAATTAATAAATGGCACCATTTATTAAGTAGGGAATTAATAAATGGTGCCATTTATTAAATAGGGAATCATTTCCCCATTTCTTGTTTTTGTCAAGTTTGTCAAAGATCAGATGGTTGTAGATATGCGGCATTATTTCTGAGGGCTCTGTTCTGTTCCATTGGTCTATGTCTCTGTTTTGGTACCAGTACCATGCTGTTTTGGTTACTGTAGCCTTGTAGTGTAGTTTGAAGTCAGGTAGCGTGATGCCTCCAGCTTTGTTCTTTTGGCTTAGGATTGACTTGGCAATGTGGGCTCTTTTTTGGTTCCATATGAACTTTCAAGTAGTTTTTTCCAATTCTGTGAAGAAAGTCATTGGAAGCTTGCTGGGGATGGCATTGAATCTATAAATTACCTTGGGTAGTATGGCAATTTTCACGATATTGATTCTTCCTACCCATGAGCATGGAATGTTCTTCCATTTGTTTGTGTTCTCTTTTATTTAATCGAGCAGTGGTTTGTAGTTCTCCTTGAAGAGGTCTTTCACGTCCCTTGCAAGTTGGATTCCTAGGTATTTCTACAACTCCAAAAGTTCCTTTTGTGCCCCTTTGCAGACAATAACCCTCTACTCTCAGATCTAAGCAATCACTGATCTGATTTCTACCATCATGGATTACTACTGCCTGTTCTATAATGCCATATAAATGAAATGATACACTATACAATCTATTGTTTCTGGCTTTTTGCTCAGTATAATGTTTTTGAAACTCATTCATATTGTGATGCCATTTCTTTTTATTTCTGAGTAGTGGTCCATTGTGTAAATATATCATAATTTTTATCCATTCACCAGTTAATGGATATTTGTATTATTTTCAGTTACTAGTTAGTATGAATAAAATGGCTATAAATTTTTGTGTCCATGTCTTTCGATGTCAACATAAGTTTTTACTTATTTTGGGCAAATATCTAGGAGTGAAATTACTGGTAAGTATATATTTAACTTTGTAAGAATCTGCCAAACTCTTGTCCAAGGTGGTTATAACATTTTACACTTCTACCAGCAGTGTATGAGTCCTAGTTGCTCCACATCTTTTCCAACACTTAGTATTATCATTTTCTATTTCTTTTTTTTTTTTAATTTTATTTATTTATTTATTTTTATTGATCATTCTTGGGTGTTTCTCACAGAGGGGGATTTGGCAGGGTCATAGGACACTAGTGGAGGGAAGGTCAGCAGACAAACAAGTGAACAAAGGTCTCTGGTTTTCCTAGGCAGAGTGTTTGTGTCCCTGGGTACTTGAGATTAGGGAGTGGTGATGACTCTTAAGGAGCCTGCTGCATTCAAGCATCTGTTTAACAAAGCACATCTTGCACCGCCCTTAATCCATTTAACCCTGAGTGGACACAGCACATATTTCAGAGAGCACAGGGTTGGGGGTAAGGTCATAGATCAACAGGATCCCAAGGCAGAAGACTTTTTCTTAGTACTTGTACAGAACAAAATGAAAAGTCTCCCATGTCTACTTCTTTCTACACAGACACGGCAACCATCCGATTTCTCAATCTTTTCCCCCCCTTTCCTGCCTTTCTATTCCACAAAACCGCCATTGTCATCATGGCCCGTTCTCAATGAGCTGTTGGGTACACCTCCCAGATGGGGTGGTGGCCGGGCAGAGAGGCTCCTCACTTCCCAGTAGGGGCGGCCGGGCAGAGGAGCCTCTCAGCTCCCGGACCGGGTGGCTGGCCGGGCGGGGGGCTGACCTCCCCACCTCCCTCCCTGACGGAGTGGCTGGCCAGGTGGCCCCCACCTCCCTCCAGATGGGGCGGCTGGCTGAGCCCCCCACCTCCCTCCCGGATGGGGCGGCTGGCCGGGCGGGGGGCTGACCCCCCCACCTCCCTCCCAGATGGGGTGGCTGGCCGGGAGGGGGCGCTGACCCCCCCCACCTCCCTCCCGGACGGGGCGGCTGGCCGGGCAGAGGGGCTCTTCACTTCCCAGTAGGGGCGGCCGGGCAGAGGCACCCCTCACCTCCCGGACGGGGCGGCTGGCCGGGCAGAGGGGCTCCTGGCTGGGCAGAGGGGCTCCTCACTTCCCAGCAGGGGTGGCCGGGCAGAGGCGCCCCCCACCTCCCGGACGGGGCGGCTGGCCGGGTGGGGGGCTGAGCCCCCCACCTCCCTCCCAGACGGGGCAGCTGGCCGGGCAGGGGGCTGACCCCCCCACCTCCCTCCCGGACGGGGTGGATGCCAGGCGGAGACGCTCCTCATTTCCCAGACGGGGTGGCAGCCAGGTGGAGGGGCTCCTCACTTCTCAGACGGGGCAGTTGCTGGGCGGAGGGTCTCCTCACTTCTCAGACGGGGCGGCCGGGCAGAGACACTCCTCACCTCCCAGACGGGGTCGCGGCCGGGCAGAGGCGCTCCTCACATCCCAGACAGGGCGGCGGGGCAGAGGCTCTCCCCACATCTCAGACGATGGGCTGCCAGGCAGAGACGCTCCTCACTTCCTAGATGGGATGGTGGCCGGGACGAGGCGCTCCTCACTTCCCAGGTGGGATGGCGGCCGGTTAGAGACGCTCCTCACTTTCCAGACTGGGCAGCCAGGCAGAAGGGCTCCTCACATCCCAGACAATGGGCAGCCAGGCAGAGACGCTCCTCACTTCCCAGACGGGGTGGCGGCCGGGCAGAGGCTGCAATCTCCGCACTTTGGGGGGCCAAGGCAGGCGGCTGGGAGGTGGAGGCCGTAGCGAGCCGAGATCACGCCACTGCACTCCAGCCTGGGCACCATTGAGCACTGAGTGAATGAGACTCGGTCTGCAATCCCGGCACCTCGGGAGACCGAGGCTGGCGGATCACTCGCGGCTAGGAGCTGGAGACCAGTCCGGCCAACACAGCGAAACCCCGTCCCCACCAGAAAAACACGACAACCAGTCAGGCGTGGCGGCGCGCGCCTGCAATCGCAGGCACTCGGCAGGCTGAGGCAGGAGAATCAGGCAGGGAGGCTGCAGCGAGCCGAGATGGCAGCAGTACAGTCCAGCTTTGGCCCGGCATGAGAGGGAGACCGTGGAAAGGAGAGGGAGACGGGAGAGGGAGAGGGAGAGGGAGACGGGAGAGGGAGAGGGAGACGGGAGAGGGAGAGGGAGACGGGAGAGCGAGAGGGAGACGGGAGATTCTATTTCTTTTTAATATTGCCCAGTCTAGAGAGCCTATAGCGAGTCTAGACAGTGTCTCATGGAAGTTTGAATTTGCATTTCTCTAATGACTAATGCTATTAAACATCTTTTCATGAGCTTTTGGGCATTCTCTTCTTTTGTAAAATTGCTACTCAAATATTTTATATATTTTTAAAAAAATTGGTTTGTAATCTGAATTGAATTGAATTACTGGAGTTTTTTATATATTCAGAATATAAGAACTTCATCAGATATATGTATTTCAAATATTAATGATTGTTTCTCTAGGTGTGTGGCTTGCTTTTCTGTTTTTTTAACATTCTGCTTTGCAGAGCAGGTTTTAGTTTTGATAAAATTTATCAATGTATTTGTTTTATGGTTTGTGTTTATTGTGTCATAAGAAATCATTGCCTGTCATAAGAAATCATTGCCTTTCATAAGATAGTGAAAATTTATTCCAGGAATTTTCTAGTTTTAGTTTTTGTGTGTAAGACTATGATTTACGTCAAATTTATTTCTTTGTATGGCATTCCATACAATTCAGTTGTTTTAGCACCATTTGTTGAAAGACTATTTTGCCCCATTAAATTATTTTGGCAATTTTGTAAAAATTTGATTGACAAAGTAGTGTAGATCAACTTAAAAATTCTTTATTCTGATTCATTGGCCTATATATTTACTATAATGACCATATCACAGTGACCTGATTATTGTAGCCATATAAGAAGTCTTGAAGTCAGGAAATCACAGTCCTAAATTTTGTTATTATGTTCTTTCTTCTTTTTTCAAAACTCTTTTAGCTTTATTAGGTTCTTTGCATTTTCTACATAAATTTTAAAATCAGCTTGTCAATTTCTATGAAAATATTCCATTGAGAGTTTGATTGAGATTGCACTGAATCTATAGATCAATTTAGAAAACATTGACATTAGAACAATGCCAAGACTTCCAATTAATGAGCATGGTATATCTCTCCATTTGTTTAGATCTTTCATAATTTTTCTCAGGAATATTTTGGCTGGGTGCAGTGGCTCATGCCTGTAATCCCAGCATTTTGGGAGGCCAAGGTGGGCAGATGACCTGAGGTCAGGAGTTCAAGACCAGCTTGGCCAACATGGTGAAACCCTGCCTCTACTAAAAATACAAAAATTAGTCAGGCATGGTGGCGCATGCCTGTAGTCTCAGCTACTCAGGAGGCTGAGGCAGGAGAATTGCTTGAACCAGGGAGGTGGAGGTTGCAGTGAGCTGAGATGCGCCACTGCACTTCAGCCTAGGCGACAAGAGCAAGACTGTCTCAAAAAAAAAAAAAGAAAAAATAAATATTTTGTAGATTTTAGCATACGGATCTTGACCATATTTTGTTAAATTTATGTAAATTTATGTTGATTTTTTGAAGTTACTGAGAATGTTATTTCTTAAATTTTTTTCCCAATCATTTCCAGTATATAGGCATACAATTAATTTTTCTGTATATTGATGTTTCTGTAAAGTTGCTAAATTCATTAATTAGATATAGTTGTTGTTTTGTAGATTCTTTAGAATTTTCTAATATATAATTATATCACCTGCCAATAGCTTTTTTTTTCTTTATTTTTCATCTATAAGTCTTTTATTTATTCTCTTTGCCATATTTAACTGGCCAAGAACCCTAGGACAATATTTATTAGAAGTGTTTAGTAGACATTCTTGTTTTGTTCCCAATTTTAGAGGAAAAAATATATTTTACCAAGAAGTGCTTTTTTAAAAATTTTAATTTAGAGATGGGGTTTTGCTATTTTGGCCAGTCTGGTCTCAAACTCCTGGCCTCAAGTGATCTGCCTGCCTCAGCCTACCAAGAAGTATTATTTCAGCTGCAGATTTTTCATATATGGTCTTCATCAATTTGAAATTGCTTGGGTTTTTGACAGTTTGTGACGTAAGTAGGAAATTAATTTTACCAAATGCATTTTCTTCCTATATTGAAACAATCATATGATTTTCTTTATATTTCATTAATATATAAATTATATTGCTTGATTTTCCAATGTTATAGCAACCTCTCACTTCTTTCACAAATTCTACTTAGTTATAATATATAATCATCTATACATATTACTGGATTCTCCATGACAACTTTGTTAAGGGCTATTTTGTCCATGTTCATCAGTGGTATTGTTCATAGTTTTCTTTTCTTGCAATGCCTTTGTCTGATTTTGCTATCAGAGTCATGATGGATTCATAAAATGAGTTGGAAAGTATCAACTTATATTTTCTGAAGGAGTTTACAGAATTATATTATTTCAATTTAAAAATTTTACTGATTTTAGCTTCTACATTTATTAGTTCCTTCTTTTACTTATTATTAAATTCAAATTGTTGTTTTTTCTAGTTTATGAAGTCAGAAGCTTAGATTATTAATGTTAGTCTTTTTTCTAACAGTAATTTAAAGCTTTACATTTTGCTTTATGCTCTGCTCTACTTATGTCTCACATGTTTTGATATATTGTGCTTTCTTATCATTCAGTTTGAAATTTTTTTAATGTTTCTTGTGATTATTTGACCCATGTGTTATTAAGGTGTGTGTGTGTGTGTGTGTGTGTGTGTGTAACGTTCTAGTGTTTGGATATATTCCATGTATCTTTTGGTTATTGATTTTTAACTTGAATCTGGTATAGTCAGAAAACATTGCCTGTTTAATTTCAATCTTCTTAAATTTAGTGAAAATTTTATTTCTTTCTTCATTATTTTAATGTTTCCTTTAGACTGCTAATTCTGTCACCTATGTCATTCTTAGTCTGACTCTATTAACTGATTTTTCTCCTCTGTATGTGACATTTTTCTGCTTCTTCACCTCTGTACTAATTTTAATTGGGTGCTTATTATTGTTAATATAATGTTGTTTGTCTAGTTTTGTTAACTTCTTTTAAAAATTGTCACATTTTCTTCCGGTAGGCAGTTAATTTAATTGCAGAACAACTTGACCCTTTTGAAACTTGTTTTTAGGTTTGTTAGGATGAGTTTGGATTAGCCTTTACTCTAAAACTACTTTGGTTCTCCTCTTAAGTAATGACAGCTCTTTGGTCTCTACTGAATGTTCTGGTTGTTCAGCATGGTTGCTTTAGCTGGTTGGCTAGAACTCAATATCCACAACCAGCCCAATGTTATCTACAGTAATGTTCTGCCCTGTATAATGTTTCCTTTCTCATTCACTTGGGGTCACTCTATACCTGCAGAACTGAATAATCAGTCAGAAAGTCAAGAGTACTCAATGCAGGTATCTGGAACTGTTTTTCTGCATCATCCCTTTTACTTTGGACTCTTTCTTATGAATTCCTGTCACCTAACCTTCCCCAGCTCAAGGAGGACTCCACATTCTTCTTCCTCTGGGCTAATTCTGTGCCTGCACGGCCCTGGCAGCAAACATCTCTCTAAATTTTGCATCTTCTGGATCTCACTGGACTTTCCCTCATATGGCCCTGTTCCTGCTTCACTCCTTCCTGTGCCAAAATTCACTAAATGCCTGCAGCAGAAAACAGAGATGACCGCAAGCCTCACCTTGCTTACTTCCCTTCTTTTGGGAGTCAGGATCATGAGCTTCCTGTTGTTGAATGTCTGAGAAGTATTGTTTTTATATATTTTGTCCAGGTTTTTTGTTGTTTAGGCAGGAGTGTGAATTAGTCCCTGTTATTCAATCTTGGCCAGAATAAATGTCTCCTAAACCCTATCTTAAAAATCTAAATAAATGATCCAAAGATTTTTCAAATGATGTTAATAAAATCTACAAAAGCAAAATACAAAAGCATCAATAGAAACTCAAGCAATCACGAAACAAGATAAATTCTTCAAACTTATCCCCAATCAGTAATATATAAATTTTTGTTTTAAATCCTTAATGTATTTAAACATATATTTAATAGCAAAATTATGCAGGCATAGTTTTATCTATTTTATAACTTTATTTTATGTAGCTGTTATGATACTCGTATAGTCTAATTTCAGTGCACTTTAACATTTGTTACTTCTTGTGATCCTAATATAAAACCCATGAGATAGGTAGAGTATCGCTAAACCTGGAAAATAGGTATCTTAATTCCAAATCATTATCAGACTAAACAAATACAATAGATTTAAAAGGCTCTAAAGTCTTTCTGGTTCATATAAATTACCATACTTTGCAGAAACTGCAAATAATAGGGAAGACCAGTAAAACTGAAAGAGGCAGCTGAGGGTTTACATTGAAATAATACTTGAATATCTGCCCGTCTAGGGGGTTTGTCACTTTTCAAATATAAATATAAATGCAGGACATGAGAGTAGATGAGCCTTTACAGGGAAAAACAAAAAGAGGAGTTGTCTAACACCTTAATTCATCTTTTGCAATATTCCTAAGTCAGAAAACACAATAAACATAATAAAAATAATGGTAGCTTTTAATTAGGTACCTGCTGTATGATCAGCTCTGTATTAAGCACTCGTTATAGAATTTAATTCTCACATCAATGCATGTGGTAGCTATTATTACTAGCCACTTTTACAGATGCACAAACTAAAGCTTAGAGGGATTAAGAACCCAACTGAAGTTTATGTAGTTTAAAACTGAGTGAGCCTTCATATGATCCAACTTGAATTTCTGACTTTAAAGCCCACACTCTTAACCATAATTATATCACTACCTCATTAGAAACAAAACAAAACAAAACCCTGCCTTATGGCTTCATGTTGAGACAGAGGTTCTTAATTTTTTCTTTGCCACATTCCTGTTTATGTTAATGATCATAGGGTTTATCATGAAGCTCATATGACCCAAGCAATATTAAGTTGATTTTAAAAACTATCTCATGGAAAACTTGGCAAAGGGTGAAAGAAAAGTAGCCAATTCAAATGCATAAGGATATATGTTTCACAGATTTGAAAAAAATCAAAGTGATTTCTGGTTTCAATAATTTCTGAGCATGCCAATTCCCGAACCCTTATATTGTAAAGCCCCCCAGTGTTGAATAAAATATAACAATGACCTTTAATGCATATCTGAGATAGCAGGAGTTAAAGGAAATAGCCAGAAAGGAAGATCAATATGCCAGATTATATATGTCTATCAAGATATTAAAATCAGTATGAACTGTTGGTTCTCTATTTGAAAATCAAACCTAAAGAAACAATAGAAAGGAAAAAGAAGAGGAGTTGAGAAATTAAAAAAAAAAAGGGCTGAAATCAGTCTGGACTTGTGAGTGGATGGGCAGCTACATCTTGGTTGAAGGATGGCCTCAGTCTCACAGTCTGTACCTTGGTGACAGCAGTGAGAGGAAAGCTTAGAGAAAGGCTTTAAGCTATAGTCTGGTCTCTTCCTGAGCTGTCTAGGGGCAAGCGTCACTTTCTGCACTCAACAGAAATTAAAGACAAAAGCCCCAGATTACTGGTGTTCATAGAGTAATACCAGGGCAGTGCAAAGCCTGAGATCACAGGTGAGCCACATCAGGCATTCTCTCCTCTAAGCTCTCTTTTCAAATCCCCAGGGAGGGTGAATCAAAACCCAGGAGATTGTATTCCCTCCATCCATCTTCCTTATGTGTTGTCAGTGGAGTGATTGCAAATCAGAATTGCAAAGAGTGGTTCTGCGGTTCTTGGGGCTCTTTGCCCTGGCACTGATCCCCTCCTCTCTCCTTAATCTCAATGGAAGGGATCCAGACTGGGGTTTGGTCTCCTGTCCTTCCTCAAGAAACTTTGCCAGACATAGTAGCTGATACATCATATTATCATGTATCAGAATATGACTTTGTGAGCTAAAATATCTAAATACCAGATGGATACAAATACTATAAAAGAAAGACAACAAGTTGAACTACATATAATACACAAAGCAGAATTCTGATCAATCCTAATAAATAATTATCAATATGCTTAAGGCAATAAACAAAGAAGTTAGTACTATGAAGAAAGAATATGAGCAGTTAGTACAGAAGCTAATTATGCAGAGACTGGTGGAGCATTATTAGACTAGAAAATGGGTGGGCATTGATATTTACATACACACAAGCGCCCTCTCATCGAGGGCTGCACTTTTGTGGCTGAGAAAAACAGTTCACTAAACTCAGGGAAATGTTTTCTTTCTGAGTTAGGGTAGAAAAAAGTTACCTTTTAAAAATTCCAGAAATGAGTATCCATACTCTGCATGATGTGAGAAATTCCAAGCTGAAAAATCAACGAAAAAAATGTTCCTTTATTAGTGATACTGATGGCAGCAGGGGCCATCTGGAGCGGCCACTGCCATCATGCCAGCTGTAGCAAGGAGGCACAGCTGGGGCTGCACACTCCGTGGAGCTGGCAACAAGTGGGAGCCCCACCCCTTCCAAGTTGGTGGAGCAGGAGCTCCCAAGGTGCAGCCGCAGCCGCTCCAAACACAGCTGCTGACCCAGGCCTCCCACTCCGTAGAGCTGGCAGGACTGCTGCAGCTGCCCGAACCTCAGCTGCAGACCCAGGCCTCCTGCTCCACAGAGCAGGCAGGACCCCCATCCCCCCAGGCATAGCGGCAGCTGCCCAAATTGTGGCTGCAAACCCAGGCATGCCTGCACTCTTGGGAGCTCGGGAAGGACCCCTGCCCTCGCTGGCTCAGAAATGCCTGTTCCCACTGCCTGGCTTCTCCCTGCTGTCAGCACCTGTTCTGATGTCAGAGCAAAGTCAGGGCTGATCTTGGGCACTGTGACAGCCCCATGGGGTGTGCACATGCTCAGGGCAGAGCTGACATGCCAGTCCCTGCCGCCTTGTCCCCCTCCAGATTTTGGGCGCCAATGAGCATAGGAGGGAAGCCGCGGAGGGTCTGAGGGCAGCTCACACTGGCCTGCAGGCGCCCCTTGGCACCTACAGCCTCGGCACCATGAACAGCAGCAGGAGATAGACAGGTTCCTGGGTAGAAGGGGGCAGGTCCCCAGTGAGCCTCCACCTTCAGGCCAGGGAGGGCCTGAAAGCTGGGGGCTGGGCTGCCAGTGCCACAGACCAGTGTGGAGATATGTGGTGCCTTTTCCAGGCCTGCCCATGACCACCCATGGGCCAATCAGTGTGCACTTCCTCCCCTCTGAGGCCCAGAGAAGCCCCAGCTCAGCCAGAGCTGGTCAGACGACAGGATGAGCTGGGGCAGAGAGGAGCTACCAACTCCAGGGCCTCCTCTCTGCTGAGAGCTGCAGAGATGACTGGATGACCTCCCTGCAGAGAGGATCTTCCCACTCCAAGTCTCCTCTCTGCTAGGAGCTGAACACTCATCAGGACATCCTGTCTGCGGAAAGGAGCTGCCCCCTGTGGGAGGCTGAGCTGTTCCATTGCTCAATAAATCTCCTCTTCGTCTTGGTCACCCTCCACTTGGCTGCATACCTCATTCTTCCTGGGTGCAAAACAAGAACTTGGGACCATCGAATGGCAGGACTAAAAGAGCTGTAACACAAACAGGGCTGGAACATGTTCCTTGCTCACCATGTTGCAGGTGAAGAGGAGAGAAGAGCTGTGGTCCTTCAGGGACCCCAGACCCGGGGGCTCCCGAAGCCAGGGCTGTGATTCCCTCTTTGGGGCCCTATGGTTCCTGGCATCTCCAAGCTTCTGGGTGCCACCGGGTTTCCAATGCCAGTCGTGGAAGCTGCTTCCAGTGCACCTAGTCTGGCTGCATCCTTGCAGAGAGCCTGAGCCCATGCTAGCACCTGGAGTTGCCTGCCCCGCTGCAGCAGCTGGCATGTCTGACTGCACAGTGGCCAGACCCCATGCTTGCTCACACACCCGTCACAACTCCATGCCTGACTCACCCTTGGCAGGTGTGGGACCCAGGCCAGTAGTATAAGCCAAGCACGGCCTGACAGGCCAAGTGGGCGAAAAAAGCCCAGGGGGCTTGAGCAAAACTTGGGCAAAGGCACCACGGGTCACAAAGGTTTCTAGCCAGAAAAATGACACCTCGAAGATCCTGTAACAACACCCCTGAAGAATCTGGCAGAAGTGAATGTAAAACTCCTCCTATAGTCCAGAGTACATGAGAATCTAATAGACAAACCTCTACTGAAGATACACTTAAGATAAAATATTATTAAAAACTTGAGGAAACAGTCACCATGAGCAAGAGTCAGCAGACTTACCACCTCAAGGGCGTGTAACTACAGAAACAAACTAAAAAGATGATTTTAAAAGCCTATGTTGAAAATAATTTAAAATAACAGAAATATTCGAGACCTAAGAAATATTTTATTCTTTCTTATGAGATAGTTTTTAAAGTCAACTTACCAAAGTATAAAAAAGGGGAAAAAGAATAGAATGCTAGTAATAAAACATATAGCTAGTAAAATTAAAAAATAAATGGATTTATTAATAGCAGATTGGGTTATAAATTGATGGAATTATCCAAAATATAACCCAAGATTTATTAGAATGAAACTATTACAGAAAGGTAGAGACTAGGTAGAGATAAGATCTATCATATATATGTATAACTAGAGCCCCAGAAGAAGAGGCTGTAAATCATTGAGAAAACAGATGTATTTGAAGATAGAATGTCAAATAAATACTTTTCAAAAGTTACTGGAAGACAATCCTTAGATTCAAGAAACACACAGTTTTTTTTTCTAAAATCTTTTTATTATTATTATTTTTGTTTTTATTATTATACTTAAAGTTCTAGGGTACATGTGCACAACATGCAGGTTTCTTACACATGTATACATGTGCCATGTTGGTGTGCTGCACCCATTAACTCGTCATTTACATCAGGTATATCTCCTAATGCTATCCCTCCCCGCTCCCCCAACCCCACGACAGGCCCCAGTGTGTGATGTTCCCCATCCTGTGTCCAAGTGTTCTCATTGTTCAATTCCCACCTATGAGTGAGAGCATGCAGAAGAAACACGCAGTTTTAAACAAGATGAAAATAATCCACATTTGGTGGTACTTATACACCATGGAATACTAGGCAGTCATAAAAAGAACAAGATCATGTCTTTTGTGGGAACATGGATGGAGCTGGAGGCCATTATCTTTAGCAAACTAATGCAGGAACAGAAAACCAAATACCACATGTTCTCTCTTATCAGTGGGAGCTACATAATGAGAAACTCATGGGCACAAAGGACAGAACAGACACTGGGCCCACCTTAAGGGTGGAGGGTGGGAGGAGGGAGAGGAGCGGAAAAAATAACTATTGAGTACTAGGCTTAGTACCTGGAAGATAAAATAATCTGTAAAACAAACCCCTGTCACATGAGTTTACCTATATAAAAAACCTGCACATGTACCTCCAAACCTAAAATAAAAATAAAATAAAAAAGAAAGCAAGATTAAAGAAAAAAAAGAAGGAAAAAAAATCCACATTTAGAATATGATGAAACTACAGGACAACAAAGAAGAAAAATATTAAAGAAACCAGAGTGAAAAAATAGCTTACTTATAAAGGACAAAATATTATACTTTACATAGGGCTGACTTCACAGTTTTGAGCAAGGTCTTCAAACTACTGAGGAAAAATGTCTTCCACATAGAATTTTATACCTATATTCATTTGCTAGAGCTGCCATTGAAAAATACCAGTCTGGTGAATTAACCTCTCTATCGGCATCTCTCTAAGCTTGCCTGTGCTAAACAGAGTTTAAAAAATGGATTATTAGCAAATTCAGCTATTTAACAAATATTTGATTGCCTGTTACAGACCAGATACTACTAGTTATAAGTATCACAAAGATAAATAAGAAACGTTCCTATTCTGAAGAGATTACTGGTTTAAAAGGAGAAAAATGTTATCAGAAAAGGGCTTCTTTTTCCCTTTGTACCTTTCACTCACTGGTAGTAGACTAAGTATTCTAAGCTAGTGCCCCTCAAACTCTAGCAGGGATAAGAATCACCTAAAGTTCAAACTCTAAATTAGAAGGTCTGCATTTCTAACTGGCTCCCAAATGATGCTGATGCTGTTGGGTCTGTGGACCATGCTGGAATACAAAGTTCTAGGCCAGGCGCAGTGGCTCACGCCTGTAATCCCAGCACTCTGGGAGGCCGAGGTGGGCGGATCATGAGGTCAGAAGATCGAGACCATCCTGGTTAACACTGTGAAACGCCGTCTCTACTAAAAATACAAAAAAAATTAGCCAGGCGTAGTGGTGGACGCCTGTAGTTCCAGCTACTCGGGAGGCTGAGGCAGGAGAATGGCGTGAACCCAGGAGGCAGAGCTTGCAGTGAGCCAAGATCGCGTCACTGCACTCCAGCCTGTGCAACAGAGTGAGACTCTGTCTCAAAAAAATAAAAAGTGTCTAGCAGGTACTCTTTCAAGTTGCAGAGAATTTCTTTGGTATTGTGGTATTCTGATTCAAACATTTTAAAATGCTCCACTTTAGGAATCTAGTTACATATGCTATATTTTCTAAATTGACAGTTCTGTTTGTTTTATAAAAGTATGTCTGTTAACTTTAACAGTTCACATATCCAATCGAATCGACACAATCCACAATTGGATTAACACAATGTGGATTGTGTCAGTTTGACTGGAAAGGTTAAGACATTTTCTGGAAACTGTACTGTTGGCTAACAAAGAGCAAGTGATCATCTCGGCCTCAGAGTATAGTGTGCTTTCCTAATTACAATGCAGGCCCAAGCTACAGCAAGTGTCGCTTCAATAACAACGTTAAATCGGAAGGATGTCAGGCGTATGCCAAACACATTGCAATGAAAAAAACTGTTTTGCAAAAATTGCTCTATCCCTCTTCCTCTCAACTTTTCTGTCTTTCCTTTTTTTTCTTTTTTGGCAAACCCTTAGAGCCAGAGTGTCTTTTCTTAATAGCCTCTGTTTTAGAGTCTTATTCATCTTCCTCCATTAAGAGCTTACTGGGAAGGAAATGCAGGCACTTTAAATCTTATTTGAATTGTTATTCACTTATTTTTAAAAATCTTGTTATAAAACAAAAGCCACATTCAATGTTATTCACTTATGACCATATTATAGTACCAAACCAGAATGTTTATTTTCTGCTTGCCTCCATACTCAGAATATTCTGGAATTACCTTTTTCCTACACATTTCCTATTGTTTTCCTCTAGGCTAAACCAGCTATTTAGCAGTGAATTTTAGTGACAAATTTGGCTTATGACTCATATTGTTTGGTTAAAATGTAATCTGTATATTCCATTGTATGGAAGGTTAAATTATGTGTTAATATGCTTTCAAATGTAAGCTAAGCTGTAACAATCACATTGTCTAGTAGGAACTTTCCCAAAGGATGAGTACATCTTCAACAAAAGAGTACTAAATTTGTTTCTATCTAGCTTTCTGTATTTTGACTCTGTCCTATATCCATGCAGCGTCTATATAAGCATAGTAATAACACATACATTGAATAAAAGACAGTGTTGCTCCACAAATAGAGCAGGACTGAGTGGGGTCTGGCTTACCTAGGGAAGAGCTCAGATTGATGCAGATTAGAGGAGATGCAGATCAGAGGATACAAAGGAACAGATATGGAGGATAAACAAGTCTAGAGATCTAATGTACGACTTAAAGGCTTTAAGTAATCAAATACACAGTTTTAGGTTTCATACTAAATGAGTAGATTTTAGCTATTCTTGCCACATAAACGAAGGGTAACTATGTGAGATGATAATCTGCTCCACTATAATAATGGTTTTACCATCTACATGTAATCCACAGCATCATGTTGTATACCTTAAATATATACAATAAAATGTATTATAAATAATTAATGCAAATTAATGGAAGCCACCTGACTAATGTATAGTGACTCTAGTTTGTAACAACTCATAAATAATTAAGAATTTAGGCTGGATGTGGTAGCTCACACCTGTAATGCCAGCACTTGGGGAGGCTCAGGTAGGAAGATTGAGTCCAGGGGTTCAAGACCAGCCTGGGCAACATGGCAAGACCCCCATCTGCACAAAAAATTTAAAAATTAGCCAGGTATGATGGCTTGTGCTTATGGTCCCAGTTACTTGGGAGGCTGAGGTGGGAGGATCACTTGAGCCCAGGAGGTTGAGGCTATAGTGAGCTATGATCATGCTGCTGTACTCTAGCCTGAGTGACAAAGTGAGACTCTGTCTCAAAAAAAAAAAAAAATTAGAAAGAATTTTAAGAGAAAATAACTTTCAACCCAATCAAGCTGTTATGTATAAGAGTTCAAAGCTGAAAAAAGCAAGATTAAATACTTCAATAATTCAGAAATCTTAGAAGTTACCCTTTTATTAAAAGCTACAAAGCTTTTATTAAATGAGATAATTTCTCTTACGTTCTTATCCAAGGTCTAGGTATGAATTAAATGCTCAATAAACGATAGCATTATTTATAACTAGCTAAATGCTTTTCTTCCTTTTTCTATTTAGTATCTTATGTTTTAAGATAATGTATTTTTTCATCATATATTTTTATTATATATGAAATTATAAATATTTAATAAGCATCAATGGAATTAGACCATATAATTCCCACGATTCCTAGATTTCTATGCATAAGCCTCTTACCTTTCTTTTTTTTAAGAAAAAGAAACTCATTAATAACCTAAGAGCCTGGTAACAAGAAGTAAAAGTAAAGATCTAGTCTATAGCAAAACTAACCTCATGAAGCTATAACCCAAATCTTTGAGCCATGGCTGTCATGATGCACATGTAATTAAAAAGTGACGAGTGGTAGTGGCTTGAGTGATTTTTTTACATTTTGAAGAAACAGCTTCAAAATGGACTATCTATCTATCTATCAAGATATATTCTAGATCCATAACCCATGAGCTTATCCCTTCTGTGTACACACACACACAGGTGCACACACACACACACACACAAACACACATATATATATAGATATATGTAGATATCTGTATCCCAGTTCCATCTGAGATTTTCATTAGAATGGCCTTTACTGACCATATTTCTATCTGCATTTTGGTATGACCACTTAACCAATCTCTAAGGAATTCCAAACTTTCCCTAGTCTTCTTGCCTTCTAAGGATCTTTCCAGAACCCTCTTTAATGTTCCATTTACAGAAATATAGGGTTTTTCTAGCCTGCTTTCCCAAATTCTTCCAGCCTCACCCCATTATCTGGTTCCAAAGCTGCTTCCATGTTTTCAGGTATTCATTACCATCAACACCACATTTCTCAGTACCAATTTTCTATCTTAGTTTTCTGTTGCTTCTAACAGAACACTGAAACAGAATAATTTATAAGGGACAAAATTTATTTATTACAGTTCTGCCAGCTGGGAAATCCAAGGTTGAGGGGCTGCATCTGGTGACAGCCTTCTTGCTGGTGGGGACACTCTGCAGAGTCTTGAGGGGGAGCAGGTAAGCAGGATGAGCATGCTAATATGCTAGCTCAGGTCTCTCTTCCTCTTCTTACAAAGCCACCAGCTCCACTCTCATGATAGCCCATTAATCTATTAATTTATTAATTCATAAGTGGATTAATTCATTCTCCCCTTAAAGGCTTCACCACTCAAAACTATCACTATGGGGATTAAACTTCAACATGAGTTTTGAAGAAGACAAACATGTGAAACATAGCATTCTGCTTCTTGCCTTGATCCCCTTTTTTCCTTCCCTCTTTCTTTTTTCTTTTTTCTTTTTTACTTTTTCTTTCTTTCTTCTAAAAAATCAGGTTTCTCAAGGTTTCCTTTATATGCAAAAATTCACCGATTTTAAGTGCTCAATCTGATAATTTTTGGTAAGTGTATAGAGTCACATAGCTACCCCACAGTCATGATGTAGAACACTCCTGCCACTCCAGATGTCCCTTCAGAGGCCCTTGAAGTCAATCCCCTTCTCCTAGCCTTGTCCCTGGGAAACTTGTTTCCTATCTGAAATATGAAGAGGAATGTTGACAGTCTAAAAAACAGCTTGGTAATGTAAATGTTCCCTATGGCATCTTGTTCTTAATCTACAGTGATTGCACGTTGTTGGTCATTTCCTAATTGGCATCCGGAAGAATTGGAAATCATTAAAATCTGCCTACCTTCTGTCCACTTCCATAGCCACCAGCTGGACTCATTATCTTTGTTGATTTGCTCCATGTATATCAAAGATACACTAGCTCCATGTTTCCAAAGATATGTCATGCTAATTGGCATCTCCTCAGAGGTTGAAAACACACTCTGTGCTTAAACAGAAAGAGATGCACAGATGCAATTAAATGTAGTAAACTCCAACTCCTACTTATTTTTCTATTACCCTTTGGCTAGATTTTGATAAAGCTTTGTTTCTGAAAGATTGTTATGTTATTAACCTGTGGAAGTAGGAAAAGATAAGTAATAATGAGTGAATGAGGCTCGAGCAATGCATCTAGAGGATGGACAATTGCAGTATAAATATGGTGAGATGAATAAAAATGCATTATACACCATTTGTTGAGCATGTGTCAAGCACAATTCTGAGATACTAAACCAGAATATGCTGTGATTTTCACCCACAGGCATACATCCAAGTAGGGGAGACAGCCAGGTAATCAGGCAAAGATGATAAGTGATGCATGCAATGAGAGCAGCAACACTATTTACTATGGGAGCACACACAAAAAGCAGGCTGAGATATTCTGAGAGAATGCACTGAAAGTGGATGGAAAGGTGACAGAGACAGTGGGGCTGCAGGAGAAGGAAGCTCGGAACCCTGCACAGGGTTGCCAAAGCACTAGGACTCATTCCTGGCCCTAAACACCTTCTTTTCTTTTCTTTTCTTTTTCTTTTCTTTCTTTCTTTCTTTTTTTTTTTTTTTTTTTTGAGATGGAGTTTCACTCGTCACCCAGGCTGGAGTGCAATGGTGTGATCTTGGCTCACTGCAACCTCCGCCCCCTGGGTTCAAGCGATTATCCTGCCTCAGCCTCCCGAGTAGCTGGGATTACAGGTTTGTGCCACCACGCCTGGCTAATTTTGTATTTAGTAGAGACAGGGTTTCACCATGTTGGTCAGGCCAGTCTAGAACTCCTGACCTCAAGTGATACACCCATGTCAGCCTCCCAAAGTGCTGGGATTACAGGTGTGAGCCACAGCACCCGGCCCCCTAAACAGCTTCTAAGGAAAGGGTAAGTGAAATAACTGCAGTGTGGCTCACTGTTACCATGGACCTCTGGGATCCTAGCTGCAGGAAATCTCACAATACCCATGGACATTTGACTTGGCAGGGGGACCTGCCCAGAGAGTCAACAGAGACAGAGCTTGAGTCTGAACAAAACCTAGGAGGTTTGGTGCAGAGACAGCGGCAAAAGAACACAGCCATAGACACCCACTCCCCAAGGCTCTCCATACTCCTCTAGGTGGCTCAGGCCTTTGTTAACTGCCAGACCTAGAAAGAGCTGGGCTGTCTTCCTCCTGGAACTAGGGCAAATTGGAGCTACATGTCTCCTGTCTACTGGCCCCTCCTAGAGTCCCTGCCTGGCTGCTTGCAATGGAGTGAGCACATAGCACAGCCTCCACTGCTCTGCTGGTGTTCTGCTGAAGACCACTGCTGTCGTGCTTTTACTGATGGCCCCCACCACTCTACTGGAGCACTTTTGCCAACAGCCTCCTGACACAGTACGCTAGCAGTCCTTACCACCCCAGGGAGTGCACCACCAGCAGCCTCTGCTGTCCCCAAAGGAGTGCTTTAGCTGGTGGCCCCCCAATGGAGTGCTTTTGCTAGCAGCCAGAGAGCACCCCAGCACCCCTAGCACAGCTGGTACTTGACTTTGAGGGGCCAGAGAATAAAACCACAGGACTGGTGCCAGCCCCCAGGGTTAGAGAGTACAGCCTAGGAGTGTCAAGCTGAGCCAGAAACAAAGTCAGAAAGTCAGTAAACTATACCCAATTTACGCCAGTCAAACCCTCGAGAGAAATAAAGAACAGTTTTATTAAAATTGTTGCAAAAATCAAGGAGGAAGGAGTCCTCTTTAATGCATTTTATGAAACCAGCATCATTCTGATACCAAAGTTGTGCAGAGACACAATGAAAAGAGAAAATTTCCAGTCAATATCCCTGATGAACACAGACACAAAATTCCTTAACAAAATACTAGCAAACTGAATCCAGCAGCACATCAAAAAGCTCATTCAACATGATCAAGCAGGGTTTATTCCTAAAATGGAAGGTTGGTTCAACATACACAAGTCAATAAATGTGATTACCACATAAACAGAATTAAAACAAAAACCACATGACCATTTCCTTAGAAGAAGAAAAGGCTTTTGATAAAATTCAACATTATTTCATCTTAAAACTTTTCAACAAATTAGGCATCAAAGGAATATACCTCAAAATAATAAGATCCAAACCCACCACTAAGATTATAACTGATGAGCAAAAACTGGAAGTATTATCTCTGAGAACTGGGACACGACAAGGATGCCCACTCTCACTGCTCTTATTCAGCATAGTACTGGAAGTCCTAGCCAGAGCGATCTGGTAAGAGAAAGAAATAAAAGGTATCTAAATAGAAAGAGAGGAAGTCGAATCATCTTTCTTCACAGACAATATAAGTCTATACTTAGAAATCCCTAAGCACTCCACCAAAAAGCTCCTTGAACTGATAAATAACTTCAGTAAAGATTTAGGATACAAAATCAACATACACAAATCAGTGGCATTTCTATACACCAATAATGAGCAAGCTGACAGCCAAATTAGGAACACCACTTACAATAGCCACAAAAAGAACAAAATACCTAGGAATACAGCTAACCAAAGAGGTGAAAGAACTCTACAATGAGAATTGAAAGACACTGCTGAAAGAAATCAGAGATGACAAAAACAAATAGAAAAACATCCCACCATTCCATGCTCATGGATAGGAGAATCAATATTGTTAAAATGGCCATACTGTCCAAAGCAATCTATAGATTCAATGCACTTCCTATTAAGCCATAAACATAATTTATCACAGAACTAGAAAAAACTACTCAAAAATTCACATGGAACCAGAAAAGAGCCTGAATAGACAAAGCCATCCTAAGCGAAAAGAACAAACCTGGAGACATCAAGCTGCCTGACTTCAAACTATACTGCAAGGCTACAGTAACCAAAACAGCTTGGTACTGGTACAAAAACAGATACATAGACAAATGGAGGAAGATAGAGAATGCAGAAACAAAGCTACATACCTGCAACTATCTGATCTTCAACAAAGCTGATAATGACAAGCAATGGGGGAAAGGAATCCCTATTCAATAAACAGTGCCAAGGCCAGCTCGGTCGGGGACACCCTAACCCAGAGGTGCCAGGGAAATTAAAGACACACACACATAGAAATATAGCATGTGGAGTGGGAAATCAGGGGACTCACAGCCTTCAGAGCTGAGAGCCCGGAACAGAGATTTACCCACATATTTATTGACAACAAGCCAGTGATAAGCATTATTTCTATAGATTATAGATTAACTAAAAGTATTCCTTACAGGAAACAAAGGGATGGATCTAAACAAAGGGATGGCCTCTGGCTAGTTATCTGCAGCAGGAACATGTCCTTGAGGCATAGATTGTTCATGCTATTATTTGTGGCAGATTGTTCATGCTATTATTTGTGGCTGAGGAACGCCTTTAAGTGGTTTTCCACCCTGGGTGGGTCAGGTGTTCTTTGCACTCATTCTGATGCCTTCAGCGTGGGCATCATGGCCATCACCAACATGTCACAGTGCTGCAGAGATTTTGTTTATGGTCAGTTTGGGGCCAGTTTATGGCCAGATTTGGGGGCCTGTTCCCAACAATGGTGTTGGGATAACTGGCTAGCAGATTGAATCTGAAGCCCCCCTACCTTTTACTATATATAAAACTCAACTCAGCTGGGCGCCGTGGGTCACACCTGTAATCCCAGCACTTTGGGAGGCTGAGGTGGGTGGATCACCTGAGATCAAGAGTTCGAGACCAGCCTGGCCAACAGGGTGAAACCCCGTTGCTACTAAAAAATACAAAAATTAGCCAGGCGCAGTGGCAGGTGCCTATAATCCCAGCTACTTGGGAGGCTGAGGCAGGAGAATTGCTTGAACCTGGAAAAAGGAGGTTGCAGTGAGCTGAGATTGTGCCATTGCACTCCAGCCTGGGCAACAAGAGTGAAACTCTGTCTCAGAAAAACAAACAAACAAACAAAAAACTCAACTCAAGATGGATTAAAGACTTAAATGAAGTCCTTACACTATAAAAATCCTGGAAGAATACCTAGGAAATACCATTCTGGACATTGGCCTTGGCAAAGAATTAATGAGCAGTCACCGAAAGCAGTTTCAACAAAAACGAAAATTGGCAAGAGGAATCTAATTAAACTAAAGAGCTTCTGCACAGCAGAAGAAACTGTCAACAGAGTATACAGACAACCTACAGAATGGAAGAAAATATTATCAAACTATGCAGCCAACAAAGGTCTAATATCTAGAATCTATAAGGAATTTAAACAATTCAACAAGCAAAAAACAAGCAGCCCCATTAAAAAATGAGCAAAGGACATGAATAGACACTTTTCAAAAGAAGACATACATGTGGCCAACAAAGGTATGAAACAGTGCTCAACATCACTAATCATTAGAGAAAAGCAAATCAAAATGAGATACCATCTTACACCAGTCAGAATGGCTATTATTAAAAAGTCAAAAAATAACACACGCTGGCAAGGTTGCAGAGAAAATGGAATGCTTACACACTGTTGGCAGGAAAGTAAATTAGTCACTTTGATTTTGAGATTGCTCAAAGAACTTAAAACAGAACTACCATTTGACCCTGCAACCCCATTACTGGGTATGTACCCAAAACAAAATAAATTGTACCACCAAAAATACACATACACTCATTTGTTCATTGTAGCACTATTCACAGTTACAAAAACACGAATCAACCTAGATGCCCATCAATGGTGGAATGGATCAAGAAAATGTGGTACATATGCACTGTGGAATACTACACAGCCATAAAAAGGAATGAGCCATATAAAAGAATGAGATAACACTCCTTTGTAGCAACATGAATGGAGCTGGAGGCCATTACCCTAAATGGATTAATGCAGGAACAAAAAACCAAACACTGCATGTTCTCACTTGTAAGTTTTGAGCTAACCATTGAATATACATGGACACAAAGATGGGAACAATAGACACAGGGGACGATTAAAGGGGGTGGGAGGTTGGGGTTGAAAAACTACCTATCAGGTACTATGCTTACTACCTAGGTGACAGTATCACTCATACACCAAATCTCAGCAATACACAATATTCCTATGTAACAAACCTGTACATGTGCCCCTAAAACTAAAACGTTAAAAGAAACAGAATATGTGCTGTATTTTAATTTGAAATGAGTATTTTGTTTATTTAAATACCAAAAATGTTACACTGATTGGAGTTTTAAGACCTTTAGAATGCAGGAATGTTTTTATTATATTTTATACAGAATAAAATTTGTATTTACCACACACAAAAACAAAAGCAAAACACGAAATGTCTTGTGGTCAAGCAGGCTTCTTAAAGATTGTGATATCTAAAACCAGCCTTGAAAAATATAAGGCGTATAAAACTTGAGAATTTGTCAGGGCTGTTCATAGTAATAAGTGATTCATAAAGGAGAAATAGAAGAATATTTAAAATTAAGTTGTATCAATCAAAAGCACTCAAGAAGTGAAGAAAAATAAAAATGCAATCTGAATCATATGGAAATCAAAAGTGGTTCAAAGAAATTTTAAAAAATGAAAAAAGAAAGAATGAGAAAGAACACTCTGCACCCCACTATGGAGCAGGCACGATAGCAGGGGCTGAAAACTCGGGCTCTGCATTTGAGGGGCTAACGCACTTACTCTGTTCCCAAGGATATTTGCATCATCCATATCTGGGCATTTGGTGGAAATCATGCTAAATGGGAACTGGGAGACCACGTTTCTCAATTTGGCCTAGCCTTTAGAAAACTCAGTTTACTCACCTATACAATCAAGAGATTGAGCTAAATTATGGCTCTAGCGCTCTAACCTCTAAAATTTTCTGATTTGATGTGCACTCAGCAGATGTTTATAACTTTGTCATGAGGTATAATCATGTCATTTATTGAGGAACTTTATTAGAAGAGTAACAATGGCCATATCTGCCACAGCCCTCTGCAAAGGAAAGTACCATCAGGCCATTACACTTCTTCAAGTTGCTATGGCTTTTCCCATGTGTGTGGAAGTCAAATACAAATAACCTTGCTACTCTGGCTGAAATGATTTGGCCAGATGCAAGACAGCTATGTGAATGTATGTGAGAACTACAGAGTGATAAGGAGCTTGGGGTGAAACACGACCAGTATGAATGACCCAACGGGAGCTCTTCATGCCAGTGTGAACATTGATACGTGGAAGAAAAAGGTCGAGCACAGTGGCTCACACCTGTAATCCCAGCACTGTGGGAGGCTGAGGCTGGCAGATCACTTGAGGTCAGGAGTTCGAGGCCAGCCTGACCAACATGGTGAAACCCCATCTCTACGAAAAATACAAAAATTAGCTGGGCTGGTGGCGCATGCCTGTAATTCCAGCTACTCGGGTGCCTGAGACATGAGAATTGCTTGAACCTGGGAGGCGGAGGTTGTAGTGAGCCGAGATGGTGCCACTGCACTCCAGCCTGGGTGACAGAGGGAGATTCCATCTCAAAAAAAAAAGAAAAAGTAAAAGTGGGTCAGTAGAGTTGCTTTTGTATTCTACATGACTATGAGTCATTCCTGAAGAGCTTCAGGATCTGCTGAACATGACAGTTTTAGAAGCGCTGAGAGACAGAATGACTCTACAGTTGCTTGCCTTCCTGGGCTCCTCTTTACTACAGATATTTGTTCACAAACTCCCATCACCCAGAGAAATATGGGTGTGTCTCATCTTTTACAACTGTGAAAACCTCAGGGGCAGGCAGGAGGATGTCTCCATCTGAATGGGGCTTATACATGAAGACAGATGAGTAAGCAGCTAGTTCATCTCAAAGAATGGGTTATTCAGGAAGACCTTACAGAATAATACAGTTTTAGCAGTTGATGTGGCAAAACTATATATTTTCTATTTGGTTTAGGACTAAGATAAAGAAATAAATTGGGAAAGTTGGTTTTACCACTTAATTAATTTGGGTTGTGTTTTATTTATTGAATTATGATTAGAATTTTCTTCAAACTCATAAAAGCAAAAAGAGTTTTTTTTGCTATTAGAAAGACTGGCTTTATTATTAATCCTTTTTAGGTCAATTTCTGGGCATGCTAACATGAAGTATTTGAAATAACATGACAAGGAAAAATTTATCTTGTAGTTCAACTTTGCTTAAAAGTTACAGGAAGTTATAAAAAATCCCTAAGTCATCTCTGAAAAAGTCTGAATTTTAAAAAAATGTCCTTTTTCATATGATTATCCTTTAATTTTCAATTTTTTTTTAACTTGAGGGTGTAGTGAAATCTCAATGTGGACAAAATTATAGTTCTGTATATAAACCACAGAAGTTTTTTCCAAAACGTGGGGATTGCGACTGTCAAGAGTGTGAAGGTTCTGAGACTTTACTCTGCTTGCGGCTAACAAGTGAGTCTGCTAGCCACATGGATGCTGGCGGAAGTCACTAGACTCCAGGCTCAAGACAAAGCAATTGTGCCATTTAGAGTGTCAGCATTTGCACTTGTTCCTCAAGCCCCAGCTTCCACAGGGTGACACTAAGAGGGTCTCAACTTGTGCACACACAATTGGATGCATTCCAGGAAAGGAACTCTGAGTTGAGGAATCCTAAATCTTTTATAACTAGCAATAAACCTGCCCTACGTTTGCCCCAGAGCGAGCCATCATTTACATTATAATGTAAATAAAACCAACTTGTCCTTTGCTCTAGAGGGAAACACCATCTGTGTCTTCCAAGGCTGTATAAACATCCTTGAAAAGATAACATTGTTGAAAAGGGAGTCAGTCCCTCTGCAGGAAAGACATTGAGAAACACAAGAAATCACAGAGATTTGTCTCTCAACAGTGACTCATTAATGGAACCATCAAATCAGTTTGAAGGGTATAAAAATATACAAGAATATGTCATATATCAGGGTAAGTACTGTTTAGTGAAGCCTTTGTTTGCTATATCTAAATGTAAAACTTATTTTAATTCTCAAAAAGTTTGAGAAACACTTGCTAGGACATGATGGCTATATTGAGTTCTTACATTCTAGGTGACACAATTTGTCTTGTTTTGTGTCTAAATCTGTGTTATAGCAATATGTATTATGTTGAGATTTTTACGTAATATAAATTATGAACAAAATTCCATAGACTACATATCCTAATTATGATTGATGAATAGCATTCAAATGCTATTTTCTGCAGATGAGAAAATTTTAGATATTATATATATATATATTTTTTAGAGACAGGGTCTTGCTCTATCACTCAGACTGGAGTGCAGTGGTGGGATCTGGGCTCATTGCAGCCTCAACCTCTTGGAGTCAAGCGATCCTCCTGCCTCAGCCTCCCACGTAGCTGGGACTATAGGCATGCACCACCACTCCCAGCTAACTTTTCTATTTTTTGTAGAGACAGGGTTTTGCCATGTTGCCCAGCCTGGTCTCAAACTCCTGAGCTCAGGCAATCTACCCAACTTGACCTCTCAAAGTGTTGGTATTACAGGTGTGAGCCATTGTGCCAGGACTATATTTTTTTTAATAAATGAAATTTTAAGGTGATAATTTTACCTCAGGTTTTAGATAGGTAGTGAGCAAAATGTATATGTCCAGATCACCTAGAGAATAAAATACAATGTGAGAAATTTTACATTACTCACTGATTTGGTGCTTTGCAAGCAATAAGATTTAATGAAGAGTACAAAAAAAAAGTTAACAAATATTTGATATCTTAATGGTGCCAAAGCATATATATATATATTTTTTAGGCTGATTTGTATGCTGGTGAAACAAGTGTTTTGAATAAACAAAATGAATGTTGGGTCCTTAATGTGTTTGTTAAATTCATTTTTTTTGAGAAACACTTTACAAAATATACAACATTTAATTAAAAAGTAGCTTTTAAAAGTCCAGTTTCATAAATACTTACTGAGTTCTTGCTATATTCATAGGATCTGAGTTAAGTCAGAAGATACAAAGATATGCAAATTACTTACCTGGCTTTATGTTGTGCATATGGATCAGAGTGATTATAATTTCAAAGGGTTGCAACTATTTCCAGTTTTCTATTGTATATATAGTTGTCCCTCTTTATCTGTGGGTTCCACATCCATGCATTCAATCAACAAGATCAAAAATATTTGAAAAACAAAATACCAGTAAAAATAACAATGCCATGGTAAAAATAATACAAATAAGCAATATAGTATAACAACTATTTACATACCATTTACATTGTATTCGGTATTACAGGTAATCTAGAGTTGATTTAAAGTAAATGGAAGGATGTGTGTAGGCTATATGCAAACACTATATCGTTTTTTATAAGGAACTTGAGCATCTCAAATGTTGGTATCTGTGGGGGTCTTAGAACCAAACCCTGCGGATACCAAAGTATGATTATACCTACAGAACTGTCTCCAATAAGAATTCAATATTACTATTGCTAGGATTGGGACCATAGTACAATGTTATAATGCTAACATAATTATTTTACATTAATTTTAAAAGTTACACATTTAATTGTTTATTTCTAAATCTGGGAGAAACAATTTTAAGAATAGATGTAGATCCTGTTTTAGAAAAAGACTATCCACAGTCTTGATATATGAAAGCCACTGTTTCTGAACTTCAATTATCTGCCAAAGAGAGAACTTTAATGGCAGAAGCAAACACCATATCACTGGATCTACTAAAAAAACAGAATTATTGTTTCTATAGGATATAATCACTTAAGGAAAGAATATGCAAATAATAATCTTCTTGGAAGTTTTATATTTTCAACATGTAAAATGCCATCAGTTCATTGTTTTCTTTCTCAGAAAGGTAGTAAAAACACTTTTTTTTTTTGAGATGAAGTCTGGCTCTGTCGCCCAGGCTGGAAGGCGCTCACCACCACGCCCAGCTAATTTTTTGTATTTTTTTTTTTTTTTTTTAGTAGAGACGGGGTTTCACCGTGTTAGCCAGGATGGTCTCGATCTCCTGACCTTGTGATCCACCCACCTCGGCCTCCAAAAGTGCTGGGATTACAGGCGTGAGCCACCGCGCCTGCCGTAAAAACACTTTTAATGAGGGTTCAACTACGCTGAACCTTTCATTAATTATATTGTACCCCTCCAATGCATATTTAAAGGAAAAAATACAAGGAAACTAACTGGCAGAGATTAATTTTTTGTTTTTTTTGAGATGGAGTCTCGGTCTGTCGCCCAGGCTGCAACCTCCACCTCCTGGGTTCAAAGGATTCTCCTGCCTCAGCCTCGCAAGTATCTGGGATTACAGGCGTGTGCCACCGTGCCTGGCTAATTTTTGTATATTTAGTAGATATGGGGTTTCACCATGTTGGCTAGGCTGGTCTTGAACTCCTGATCTTGTGATCTGCCTGCCTTGGCCTCCCAAAGTGCTGGGGCGTGAGCCACCATACCCGGCCAAGATTAATTTTTATAAAAAACATTTTCCAGGGTAAATTTGAAGGTCAGGAGTCATTGAAAGGAACCAAAATGTCCTTAACATCTAAGATGCTAATAATGTTTCATAAACTGATATTATTTATTCTGTACACATGGAGACTATAAGGAAAACTGGTATTTGTAGGAAAGGTAGCAATATCCAGACATTTAGAAGAGGTCCTATGTCTGATGTAATCAGAACTAGTGTGGGCCAGTTAACTGAGAAAACTGCATTAAAGTGGAGAATTACAGAAAAAAACTAGACAGCTTAACAATTGAACCTAAAACAAGTAAAAATATATCCACTTGTCTATCTTTTAAGGCAGGGTTTTTCATTGGGTATAGTTTCTAGTTGCAGTTTCAAGTTGTCTTACTTGCATCAGCCTACATAATTATTTTGCTTTAATTTAAAAAGTTAACACATTTCCTTTTTTTTTCTTTTTTGTTTCTTTTTTTTTTTTTTTTTTTTTTTGAGACGGAGTCGGAGTCTCACTCTGTCGCCCAGGCTGGAGTGCGGTGGCGCGATCTCGGTTCACTGCAAGCTCCGCCTCCCGGTTTCATGCCATTTCTCGCCTCAGCCTCCCGAGTAGCTGGGACTACACGCGCCCGCCGCCACACCCGGCTAATTTTTTTGTATTTTTAGTACAGACGGGGTTTCACCGTGTTAGCCAGGATGGTCTCGATCTCCTGACCTCGTGATCCACTCACCTCGGCCTCCCAAAGTGCTGGGATTACAGGCATGAGCCACCGCGCCCGGCCTAAAAGTTAACACATTTAATTGTTTATTTCAAAATCTTGGGGAAAACAATTTTAAGAATAGATGTAGATTATGTTTTAGGAACAGACTGTCCACAATCTTAATATGAAAGCCATATAATTTTCATGTGTATGTATGCATTGTTTGAAGCTTCTGACAACTTGATACTAAAAAAACAAGTTTCTTTCAATCAAATTCCTATAAAGGTTTTCTGACATCACTGTACCACATGTAATTAATCAAATGTTTTCTTATTGTCATAACTTCTTTTGTCGATTAAATGTTATCTGTTAATACCCATTCTCTATGATCAATTATCACTTGAGTGCTAGAACGCCTCTTGGAGCTACAATCTTTCAAGTGACTCCTTCTTTCCACATACCTTGGCATTTTCTCCCTCAAGTCTTAAATCCCTTTTTTGCAGTAGAAATGCTCCAGAGCTTTTAGTATTTCCCTCAGTGGTATACTGTGTATACTGCCACACTGAATGTGACCCTATATTATTCTCCAATATCCTTGGAAAATATTATTCCGTTTATTTTGAGAAATCTCAGACTTCCCAATGATGCTTTTAATATTGACATGATTACTATCCAACTCATCTTTTTGCTGCTGTCATAGTGTAGGTTGGGGTGGTTCTGTTTAACTTAAACCTTTATATTTCAACCCTGATGTTTATCTTTATCCCTGGGATGGGTTTTGAGAATTACTCTGTGACATTCACTTTTAGATATTTGAAAGCAGCTTTGCTTCATTGCAAAGTTACTCTCAAAAGCTGACAAGAAAGGCAATGCTAGTTCTTTAAGTTCTGGTGCTGTCAATACTCTAGGGATTGTTCTTTCACTGATTTGTATTTGTACTTGATTTTGTGCTGTGATTCTGGCAGGGAAATCACAGTGCTTTTGTTGTATGTGTATAATCTGGCAGTGCTTTTGTTGTATGTGTATAATCACATGCAAATTCTAGGGATGCCCTGAACTCTAAGTAAGCGGTAAAGGTCAGGCTCTACATGACTTGCTTAGCAATGGATGTTTAGAAGTTTGGTATACTTGCAGTTTTTCAGGTGGTTAATTCTAAAGTCCACTTAAAACCAATGCTGTTTTGCTATGAACAGTAAAACAGGCTACATTTTAAGTTGATTTATATAGATATTTTAACATTTAAGAACAATACTATACATCTTAATATTCACTTTTAAGATTAAAGATAAACTCATGAATACTTATAAAGTATTCACTATCATTCTAGCTAAGATCGGTGTTATAGTAGAAGGTAGTTATTTCTGTCAAAATACTTCGAGAGCCTACGCTGACTCAAAGATTACATGTTCTAGACTGACCATCTCCGGATAACCTCTATTTTAAGTGGACTCTGTCAAGCAATTCCTCTTCTTAAGCTCTGGTAGGAGAGCCAGGCTCGAGTACCCTTGGAAATGAGAGAAGCCTGGTTTGCTTTCTTTCATTATGAAAAACCCGGATCAAGGCATGTTTTTCAGCTGCTTCGAGGATGGTTTATTCTGGCAGGTGGAGGAGAGAAACTCTATACACACATAAGCATTTAGGGCACGACAAAGATGTCAACAGAATGAAGAGCCAAGTACAATTCTTCCCCTCACCGCCCAGTTCCCCGTCCTGCCGGGAAGAGCGCGGAGAAGCGACTTAAAGGTACAGGCTGTCTACACCCCCGCTGGCTAAAAAAGCTTGCAAATCAATCTTTTAAAATGGTTTATTGTGTTTTCCTCCATTCCTCAATAATCTGAGAGTGATGAGAAGACTAGACTGTTACTGTGGGTTTATTACAGCCAGCCATAGTCGTACAATGGGATATTTAATTTAAACACCCACAAGGCACTCAGCACAGCACACTGTCCTGTGCGGATTGCTGCTCGCCACTTCCAGGAATACCTTCCCACCCAGACCAAGGAAGGCAGCTCAGTCCAGCGCCTCCTGTCCCGCCCCGCCCCGCCCCAAGGGGAGGTGCCCAGCTCTCCCCGCCCCTCGCCCTCGCCCTCGCCCCGCCCCGTCGCGTAACCCGGATACACACCCACGCTCCCCTTTCACCTCGCGGCCGTAGGCTAACGTGGAAGTCGGACCAGCCGGCCGGCGGAAGAACCTAGAGCGCGCTGCCTGGCGAGTCAGGCGCGCGGGGCGGCGTTGGTGGTCTTCGCGGCGCAACTCGGCCTTTCCTGGGAGGGAGTGATGGGGCGCACCGGGGCCGGGGAGCGGGCGCCAGTGTAGCCCGCGCGGCGCCTGGCCCGGAGCGCGGCGGCTGCGGCGGCGGCGGCGGCGGGCGCTGGAGGCCTGTGAGAGCCGCAGCCCGGAGCGCCCGGCTTCCCACGCCATGGCCCCCATGGGCATCCGCCTTTCCCCACTGGGGGTGGCAGTGTTTTGCCTGCTGGGGCTCGGCGTGCTCTACCACCTCTACTCGGGCTTCTTGGCCGGCCGCTTCAGCCTCTTCGGCCTGGGCGGCGAGCCTGGCGGCGGCGCGGCGGGGCCCGCGGCCGCGGCCGATGGGGGCACCGTGGACTTGCGCGAGATGCTGGCTGTGTCAGTGCTGGCCGCAGTCCGCGGCGGCGACGAGGTGAGGCGCGTCCGCGAGAGCAACGTCCTCCACGAGAAGTCCAAGGGGAAGACGCGCGAGGGAGCCGAGGACAAGATGACCAGCGGCGACGTGCTGTCCAACCGCAAGATGTTCTACCTGCTCAAGACCGCCTTCCCCAGCGTCCAGGTGGGAGCCCACGGGCGGAGCGCCCACTCGAGCCGGGTAGCGCGTCTCGGCCCGTCGACTCTTAACAGTATGGGATGTGGAGCTTCTGGTTCCATTTTGTAGATGTGGAAATTGAGACGCAGAAGTTAACGTGCACAAGGTCAGACAGACAGCAGAGGAGCTGGGTGAGGTTGCACGTAGTCTGACTCAGGGCCCGTGCCCTTTTGGCTCGTCCTGGGTCGGGTGTGCGCCGTGTGTACCTGGGATCAGAAGGCCTTGAAACGAAAAGGCTGACAAAGTTAATTGCACCCGCAGCTTCAGGCTCCTCTGTAGAATTAAGGGGTTGGCTAAAATCCACCAAGACTCTCTATCCTTCCTTGATTTCATCCCTAGAAGGGTCGAAACTGGAGTACACATTTTCTGGGTGGCCTGCCAGTAGCCAGCTGAAAGACCGAGTCTTGTTGCAGAGCTGTTAGTGTGCGGGGCATTTGTGTGTGCGTGTGTGCGCTCGCGGGAGTCGGGGTGGGGGGGTGGGGGATGAGTATGCTCATTTCGCTGTCTTTTTGTCAGGACGCTCTAAAGTTTATAGTTTGCGGGCCCTTTAAGGAGGTACTTAGAAATATACCAGCTGTTGGTCCTACCTGGCCCTTGATTAAAGATCCATATTTACTCCAGAGAATAAGAATTAAATAACATTTGGCTTTTCTTTGGGTAGGTTTCTGGGAAGGGAGTTGACATTTTCTTAAGGAAATCCAGACATTTTGGATTTGTTATTAATACTTTTTGAATTCATCATTTCACTGGAGCTGCTATTGAGTTGAATAAAGCATATTTAAAATTTGCAGTTCCAGAAACTGCAAATTTTGTTGAGGAAGAGCTCAGCATAGCGTAGCAGCACCTTATTAACGTATATCTTAACTCACCTAACTGTAGTTTTGGCTACTGGGAAGAAAAATTGTCTTCACTGGAATTTTATTAGATAAACAGTGATGTGCAAACCCAGGCTTCTTTGGAAGGTGACTGACCTTTTACTGCTGATCTTGAAAGAGTTAGGAGAATATTGTCATTGTTTAGTTATGTATTTTGCATAAGGCTTCTTCCAGTCTATCATAATATTGCTTTGGTTTTGTTTTTTATTCTCCTCTCTTCCTCCCTTTTCTTTCGTCTTTTTCTTTTTCCAGTGGAAAGGAACATTGTATTTCCTAACATGAGCTACTGGATACCAGATGTAATTAACGTTAGAATTTTTTTTTTCAAATTTCTACTTAAAACACAGAATATTTCCACTTTTTCTTCTTCCCTACTCTGTTTTTATCATCACAAATAATACTTAAATTTTTTTGCATCTAGATGTAAGGTGTGTTTATGAAATATTTTACCCCCTTTCCAAAACATACGTGTTTCCTTCCCCAAGAATTTATAGAGGAAACAGGAGATTCAGAGAAGTTGCTATTTAATGGTTATAACAGTACTAATAATAACCATTTATTGAATATATTTTACATGCCCAAATACTGGCTACACAGGACTTCATTTGATCCTTAACAGCAACTTTAAGAAGTAAATTTTATTTCTGCCTACTATACAAACGGGAAATCTGAGGCTCGTGACACTCCAGCTTATATGAACTATCCCACATTTTAGCTAGATTTTTAGAAGGCTATTTAAAACTTATAATTGTAGAAGCTTAAAAGCAGTAATAGTGAAATACAGCAAGCAGAGTTGATTTTTCTTTTTTTAAGTAAAAACAAAAGTATCTTAAATGTTGAAAACACATCTGTATGTGTGTGCATTCTCATTTATTAGCAAACAATAAGGGAATGGCTGCCAAGGGCAGTGAGCTGCATTTTATTAACATAAAAGCTAAGCTTTTGGAATTGCAGATGTTGAAGTCTCTGGCTTAATATAAAACAACTTCTTGTTTTCTTGTGACTATTTGAATGTTTGCATGTGCTTCTGTAGTATTCATGTTGGGTCATGACTGAAGGAATAGAAGAGGTTTGTGATCATTTATACAGTGTCAAAGTAGGGATGGTGTCATGTTGAGCGATCTCCTTATACCCCTGTGTTATAGGCTAGAGGCCAAATATTGTAGCCAACTAAGTGGAGAATCAACCTAAAAGGAGTCTTTCTCCTTTTTTGCCTTCCCCTCTCCTAATGCCCAGAAGTACAGTCTTAAATCCCTGGTTAATTTTGAAGCCTCACCCCAAATTTCTTGGTAAGAAACTTAAATTATATCCCACTTAGTTTACTTCCTAGTGGAAAAAGACCATTGAGAAGCAACAGATACTTCTTTCTTTTATCCTAGTGCCCTATGTAAATGTAGAAAGATCTGTTTTCTCCCACTACTTTCCTATGTAGAGTCTGAAGTCTGAGCTTTCGTATGTAATGTTCACTCCTCAGTAAAAGGATATACCAGGGGTTATCCTAGAGCACTCAACTGGAGACAGTTTTGTCCCCTAACTGACATTTGACAACGTCGGAAGACATTTTTGATTGTCACAACCAGGGGTGGGATGCTACTGGCATCTAGTAGGTAGAGGGTAAACATCCTATAATGCACAGGACAGCCCCCTATGACGAAGAATTATCTGCTCCATTTGTCAATTGATGCCCAAGTTGAGGAATCATACTCCAGAGAAGTGAGTGCTATCCTAACAAAACTCAGATTTCACCTAGGCTCCCTGGATTTCCTTTTGTCTTCAGTTTTCTTCAGGTTAGAGATCCCAGAGAGTCCTCTGGGCAGCTAGTCTCCTCTTCCTAAACACTTTGGCAATGCTTGACTTCATTGTGTCAAAGTAATAGTAACTCCAGCCATTTGTATGGCACTGTCTCTTTATCCTTGCAGGTAACAATGAAAATGAAGGCTGAAGATACTTTTGTGGAGTGGGTTTGCAGCCACAGAACAGACAAACTGAGATTTATAGTTTTGATTTAATGTACAGGGGACTGTCTGTTTGAGGGGCTCCTGTCCTCAACTTGATTTGTTCAAAGTTTTGACAATGACTTATTTGAAGGTAAAGCATGGTACTCCAAGCTGGTAGCAGCCACTTGGGTCTGTGCCTTCCTTGACCTATAAGATGGAAGTTAAGCTTCTCTCTTTCAACAGAAGTATGTCCCAGAAAAGTTTGAGAAGCACTAATATAGTGCACAGAGCACTTGCATTGACATGTTGTGCAGTCACCAGCCTAGGTGGTACTGGCCAGTCATTTAACTTTTTTGAGCCATAGTTTCCTCTTCTGTAAAATCAGAATAACTAGTAATTGGTGTAGACATAAGCACTGAAAACAGAGGAAAAGAATCTAGTTCAAAGGAACAGGCCCAAGAGAGATAGTAGGACAGCTAATTCTTGTAATCTAATGAGTTTGAGTAAAATGCACTTGGGAGAATTATTGTGGAAGAGATTGGAAAGGTAGGTAGGGGCTAGGTCATATTCCAAGCTCAAAGGAATTTGGACCTAGTCCATGGTTTACTAGTAGAATACTAAAAGAAGGCCAGATTTAGCTGACTTTTCTTGAGGCCTGCAATAAGCCATACTTTGGGCTTTGGGCATTTGGAGGTAGATAGGAACTAGTTAGAGACTGTTAAAACAGGCCATGGGAGAGATGAGGACCAGGACTCAAGCAGTGGGGAAGTTATGCTGAGCTTGTTTTACTAGCTAACATTTGCATAGCCTTCTGCAAGCCACAAAAATTGAATTAAACTTCTTAATGACATTATTAATTTTATCTTCACAACAACAAAGGAGGTTAAGTACTACAGCCTCTGTTTTTCAGATAAAGACTTGGAGAGGCTAAATAATTTGCCAAAGATTGTCCAGCTAGAATTTTTTTTTTTTTTTTTTTTTAAAGATGGTGTCTCGCTCTGTCGCCCAGGCTGGAGTGCAGTGGCACAATCTCAGCTCACTGCAAGCTCTGCCTCCCAGGTTCATGCCATTCTCCTGCCTCAGCCTCCCAAGTAGCTGGGACTACAGGTGCCGCCACCACGCCCAGCTAATTTTTTGTATTTTTAGTAGAGACGGGGTTTCACCATGAGAATAATCTTAGAGTCACTGAGATTGACATAATGGTCAGAGAATCATCTCAGGTCTGTCTAATTCTCTATATAAGGCGGTATAGCAGATGTAACAAGTATACTCTTAACTACAGTGTTAAAAATGAATGGAAGGACTCAGAGTAGTTGCTTGGAGGATGGTTTGGAGGGGAGCAAAGTAAATACAGGGAGACCAGTTAGGAGGCCCTTTTTCAGGTGAGAGCTTATATCTTTTGAATTAGGGTTATGGTTGTAGAGAAGATAGATGTAGAAGGAAGTGAAAGAATTTTTAGGGATATGTCAAAAATAACTCCTCTGTAGCTTTCACAATTGGGGTTTTGTTGCTGGTGAAGGGGAGTGGTGGTTAAGTTGGAGGACAGATTATGAATGCCATTTTAGACTTGCTATGTTAGAGATGCCTTTGATATGTCCAAGGTTAGCTGTCAAAGAGTCAGTTGAATATATGAGTCTGAAGGTCTGAAGAAACATCTGAACTGAAAATACAAATCTGCGAGTCATCGGTGTTGTGATGTTAATTGAAACTGGTTGTGGACAGAATTGGTTAGGGAGAGAATATAACATGAAAGGGGAATATCAGGGCCTAGAACCAAGGATAATGAAGACTGAAAACAATCATTTAACAAGAATAGTAGCAACCAACCTTTATTAAATGCTTACTCTGTGTTAAGCACTGTACTAAGTTTGTTTTACCTTTTCTCTTTCAGTCTTCTTAAGAACCTTACAGGGAGCTAGATCATTGTCCCTTTTTACCAATGAGGTAATTGTAGCTCAGAAAGTTTAGGTGACTAGCCTAAATTATTCATATACCCAATAAATTGAGGAGTTGGCATTTGAACTCAGGCAACCTATGATTAGGAGGTGAGGAAATGGAGACTGTGAGTAAAGACAAGTTTTGTGAGAAATTGGGCTTTTAAGGAAGTTGGCTGGGGTGTTAGGTGTATTATGTTTCCTAAGAGAAGGTTCTGTGCTTTCTTTTTGGTATATTTGTTTTTAAGATATGAGACACTACAGCATGTTTAATTGTTTATAGAGCTATATTTGAAAGACAATAGTTGATAGTAAAAGGTTTCTGTAAAGGTGGGAAGAGAATAGGACAGGTAGAGGTACGTTTATTTATATGTTTAGAAAATAGTTATTGAGGCCTGGCGTGGTGGCTCATGCCTGTAATCCCAGTACTTTGGGAGGCCGAGGCGGGTGGATCATGAGGTCGGGAGATTGAGACCATTCTGGCTAACACAGTGAAACCCCATCTTTACTGAAAATACAAAAAATTAGCTGGGCGTGGTGGCGGGTGTCTGTAGTCCCACCTGCTCGGGAGGTTGAGGCAGGAGAATGGCTTGAACTTGGGAGGTGGAGCTTGCAGTGAGCCGAGATCACACCACTGCACTCCAGCCTGGGTGACAGAGCAAGACTCCATCTCAAAAAAAAAAAAAAAGAAAATAGTTATTGAATGCCTACTGTATTGGTCAGGGTTCTCCAGAGAAAGAGAACCAATAGAGATTTATTATAAGGAATTGGCTCGTGTGATTAAGGAGGCTGAGAAGTCCCTTGATCTGTCAGCTGGAAACCTGCAAGCTGGAAACCCAGGAAAGCAAGTGATGTGATTCAGTCCAAGTCCAAAGGCCTGAGAACCAGGAGAGCTGGTGGTGGTAGTCTCAGTTGGAGGGCAGGAGAAGACTGATGTTTCAGCTCAGCAGTAAGGCAGAAGAAGGGGCAGTCTTTCTTCTCCCTCCTTTTGTTCTATTCACACTCTCAAAACATTGAATGCTGCCCACCCACATTAGAGAGGGCAGTCTGTTTTATTGAGTTCACTGATTCAAATGCTAATCTTATCCAGAAACACCCTCACAAATACAACCAGAAATAATGTTAGCCAAATCTCTGGGCATTCCATAATCCAGTCAAGTTGCCATATCACACCTATGGTATGATAGGCACTGTGTGAGGTTAGGATATAATGATTTATGGAGAAATGAAGTAAATGATCGATTCCTTCTTAAGGCATTAACCAGAAGTCCCTTCAAACCCCAAAGTAACTGAACTAGCATACTAATGGCATTGATTGTGTTTGGGGGCCTTGAACTTTGACAATACTGATGGAGAATAGTTTCCTTCCCCTTTCTGGAATTTAAAAGACTAGCCTAAATACACTTATGTGTGTATATGTATTATATGTATATGTATATGTGTGTGTATATGTCCATATAATTAAATAAAATCTTTAAATAGACAAACTTGTCTTAAGAACCTTTGTATAGCTGGTTCCCAACTTAAGATGGTTCAACTTAGGATTTCTTTACAATGGTGCAAGAATGATATGCACCATTCATTGTAAAGAAACTATACTTGTAGTACCCATACAACCATTCTGTTTTCCAGTTTTAATAGAGCAGTCAATAAATTACATGAGATATTTAACACTTTATTATGAATTAGGCTTTGTGTTAGATGATTGTGCCCAACTGTAGGCTAATGTTAGTGTTCTGACTACATTTCAGGTTGGCTAGGCTATGCTGTGATGTTTGGTAGGTTAGATGTGTTAAATGTATTTTTGACTTCAGATATTTTCAACTTATGCAGTACAAATGCTTCTCAATTCACAATGGGTTTATCAGGACGTAACCCCATTGTAAGTTGAGGAGCATTTGTATTACATAAGCATTTGATTCCTGACCCCTGACTTGGTTGTACTAATTTTAAGGTATTGTTTAGCATATAGATTAAACATTTTCTGTCCTCACAATTACGGAACACTCCTACTATTCTGTACCTATTCTCATCTAATGCTGCCTCATTTAAGCTGTGCTTTCCCTTCAGATCTGTACCTAGCTATTACTATTTTATCCCCCAAATTATTTTTCCTATTTCCCCTACCTCCCATCCAGTAACAGCAATGTTTTTTTTGTTTTGGTTTGTTTTTTCTCAGAGTTCCTGATGCAAGGTTGAGGTTTAAAGGAAGAGACTCAAATTAAATTGATTCACACGTGTGAATTTCTTCTGGCTCTTAAACTACTTAGGAGTATTTACTTTTATAAAAGGGAAAATGCATTAGTCAGGAAAGACTGAGTAGGAAATGCTGTAGTAACGACATCCTCCAATTCTCAGAAGCCTGACACTCTCCAAAGCAGTTGTCCTCCATGTAGTGACTGTGACCTAGTTGATGTTGATATGTGATTCTGCCATGTCAACATAGCAGGGAAAGAGAAGAGATTGGAGAATTGGGCAGGAGCTTTCTTTTTATTGCCTAAGCCAGAAAGTGATGCGCATTCACATTTTTGTCCATATTTTGTACATCTACATTTTTGTCTATATTCTGCTGGCCAGAATCACTCTCATTTGCCTCTAACTACAAGGCACATGGGAAGTATAGCCTTCCAGATGTTCAGGAAGGAAAAGAAAAGTGGACATTGTGAGTACTAGAAATGCCTACACAGAAGGCAAGTTAACCTAAAGAAATCCCTACTTGCTATACATAGAGGCTAACAAAAGGATCTGAGAATGTTTTGATAATTGCCAGGTGTAGGTGGAGACTGCAAGATGAGCTATTATGTATCAGCATAGACCAAGATCAGTTTAGTGTTTTCTGATTTCTAGAACCTTTTTATGCTTACCCTTCTAAAATTATAGGTTCTCTAAAAGCTGCATTGTTCATTCCCACCATAATGGGCTTCTTTGGGAGTGATTGGCTGGGTGTCGGGAGGGGGCAGGGATTGGCCAGGGCTGTTAGTAGGTATGGGTTTTTGGAGCTTGGGTTGATTTCTTATGCTTCAATTCCCTGTTGAGGTCTTTGACAGGTAGTAAGGATGAGGAAGGAAGAGTAGGTTGAGTGGAAGAGGATTATGGGGAAGAAATGAAAAACTACAGTGGCTGAGAATAATATTGTCAGTTAAGATGTATTTATTGAGTACCTACTTTGGTTTAGACAATGGGGATGGAGCTACAGTAATGAAGAAAATTTGTGTCCTTGCACCCACAGAATTTACGTTCTAGCTGATCAAGATAGTAAATGTAAACAAGTAACGTGGTTTCTGATAAGGGCTTTGAAGAAGAAAAAATAGGGTCATGCTGGGAGAGTGTCTGGTGGTCCTTCTTTATCAATGGTAGTCAGGAAAGGCCACTTTGAGGCAGTCTCATTTGAGCCGAGACCTTAATAAGAACCAGGATGTCATGCAGAGATCTGGGAAAGCGTGTACAAGCAGAAGAATACAGTAAGTACAAAGGCCCTGAGGCTGAGTGACCATGAGAAGACTAGTAAGTCTGGGGTACAGTAAATAAGGGTGCAAACAAGAGAGAGATTACGGGATAGCACTTACTGCTGTCATTACCCAGATCATCTGGAACTTAATGTTGTAGATTATGATAAGGAGTCTGGATTTTATCTCTGCATAATGAGAAACCATTGGAAGGTTTTAAGCTAGGGTGCCACGGTCTGATTTAGGAAGATGGCAGGTTGCTGGGTTGAGAAGGGAAGCTCTGTAAAAGCAGTGATTTTGTCTGTTTTGTTCATTACTGTATCCCAATGTCCAAAGCAGTTTAGCGTATATAGCCATTAGATGTTGAATGAATGGGTAAATGAATATATTGTAGGAGGTGAGAACAATTGAGGACTATTGTAGAAATCCAGGTGAGAGATGGTGGCCTAAACTAAGATTTTCTTGGTAGACATGATGACATATTTAGAATTGGGAGGTAGAATTTCCAGGACTTACTGACTGATTCGATGTGGCACGCGAGAAAGGATTGAGGAAGACTTTCTGGTGTTGACCATAGCAACTATTGATAAGGTTGTTTACATTGGTGGGTAGTAGATTTTTCAGATTTGTAGGTATGTAGTGGTTGCGGCCGGTTATAAATAGCAGTTACTCAAAAGCAGATTAGGTATTTGTGCTAATGTTCTTGTTCTCCTGCTGTTTCTCCCTAACCCGATTCTCAGTGAAGATCTTTTCAAATACTGTTCTATAATGTGTTCGCTCATACTCAGCTGCAAGTACATGGAGAAGCTGACTTGAATTGTGCAAAAAATCAGTGAAGCTCAGTAGTTGCCAGACTTGGCACTGCCGTTTTGTAAGCTACAGTGGTTAAGGCCCATAAGCTACTTCGTCTTTTCTAGGAGTCATGTTTCTTTTTTTTTTGAAGTTTATTCCTTTTTGCATGGTGTTACTGTTATCTTCATTCATCTGAGGTAGTCTGGCATTGTTGTTAAGAGTGGTTTCTGAAGCCAAAATGCCTCACCAGTGCCACACTGTCTTAATTATTCTGGTCTTGATATCTGGTAAGGTAAGTCACCACACCATGATGGTATTTTTTTTCCCCTCTTCCCAAAATGTTGTGTTGCTTCTTGACTTTTTGTTCTACCATGTAATTTTCAGAAATGCCTTGTCCAGTTTCCAAGGAGAAGGTTAAAAAAAACCAACAACAACAAAAAACACTGGGGATTTTGATTGGAGTTGCATTTATCTGCAAGCTCTTTTAGATTTTCTCAGTGCTCAATAATCAACTTCATATTATGGATTGGTTTTTCTTTCTAAACTTTGTACCTCCCCACTTGCTCCTCTCCCCCTCCCTTTAGCTTACTGCAATGACTAGGACCCTCTGCACATTGTTAATAGCTGTTATGATGGAGGGCAACTGGCTCTGTGTTGCAGCCTGCGAGGTCCTTCACCATCTGGCTTCCATTACTCTCTGACCTCAGCTCCTTAGCCTTTCTCCTTGGCTCACTCTGCTGTAGCCTTGCTGGCCTCCTTGCTGCCCTCTGAACACACCAGGCACATTCCCACCTTAGGATCTTTTCATTTGTTATTTATTGGGCTAGAATGCACTTCTAGATGCCTGCCAGGCTTATTTTCTTTAGATCTCTTCAGTCAAATACCACCTTTTCAGTGAGGGGCTTCTCTAGCTACATTACTTTTTTTTCAAAACAACTTCATTGCAGCATAGTTTTTATATCTTACAATTTGTCTATTTCAAGTATACAATTCAGTAATTTTTAGAACTGCCAAATTGTACAACTATCATCATTAATCAGTTTTAGAACATTTTCACCACCCTAATAATACCCCTGACCCCATTAACTGTTTATTCTTGTTTTTATCCCTTATCCCAGGCAACCACTAATCGGTCTTTCTCTATAGATTTGCCTTTCCGGACATTTTACATTAATGGAATCAAACAGTATATGATCTCTTGTATGTTGATGCTTTCACAAAGCAAGGGGGTTCATCCATGATTTAGCATGATCAATACTTTATTCGTATATATGGCTGAGTAACTTTCCATTGTATGGATATACCAAATATATTTATCCATTCATCAGGGTAATGGATAAACTACTAATTGATGGAATTAGTAGTTTTCTGATTTTAGCCATTATGAATAATTGCCTAGCCACCCTTTCTTAATACTATCTACCCCTTTTTCTTAAAGAATAACCCTTCCACTACTCTCTAACAGTCCTTTCTCTACTCTCCAACAACACTCTTTCTGTCCTTTTGGTCTTTATTTTTTCCTCCTTATCACTATCCAGCATACTACATGTTTTTTCATGTGTCTCGTTGTTTATCTATACTAGAATCTAAGTTCCACAGGGCAGAAATTTTTGTCTCACATTGATCACTGTGGTATCTTTAAGACCTGTAACTGTGTCTGTCATATAGTAGGCAATCAATAAGCATTTGCTGAATTAATAAAGACATAAGTGAATAAATTGAATGTTTACTTTGCTCTGTACTGAGAAATATTTAAAGATTTACCAGGCGCGGTGGCTCATGCCTGTAATCCCAGTACTTTGGGAGGCCGAGGCGGGCAGATCATGAAGTCAGGAGATCGAGACCATCCTGGCCAACACGGTGAAATCTCGTCTCTACTAAAAATACAAAAATTAGCTGGGTGTGGTGGTGGGTGCCTGTAGTGCCAGCTACTCGGAGGCTGAGGCAGGAGAATCACTCGAACCCGGAAAGTGGAAGTTGCAGTGAGCCGAGATTACACCACTGCACTCCAACCTGGTGACAGAGCGAGACTCCGTCTCAAAAAAAAAAAAAAAAGAGATATTTAATGATTTAAGCGGTTTGATGTTTCTAGAATATTAGTATTTTTAACCTCTCCTGTGATAATTTGGGGTGTTTCAGGGTACCTTCTGGAGATTGGTGATAGTTATATTTTTTAAAATCATGTCTGTGTCTCTGCAACTTTCTGAAGACTATAGGTGAGAGATGTTGTATTGACAATACTCATGTATTGTCAGTGCTGTAATCGCTTTGGCACTGTAGCGTGGGGTCTAGGCATGGCATCACATGTAGCATAAACATGACCTACTCTGGAAAGGGAGCTTGTCAGAAAGCACAGGACCCAACAGCCTGTCCTGCTGAGAGTGTAAGTCCCTAACTAAAATCAAAATTTTGGGGACATTTTTTCTTGTGTGTGTGTATGATGATGTGATAGAAGTCTCATGGTGAGGCAGTATTCATATAAGATTGATGATCTGTTATTAACTTAATTCTTAAAGAACACTCAATTCTTAGATTTAGTCAATTGGTATATGCCAGTTTACAAAAGTAAATGCAGTTCTAAAACATTTTTTTATTATTATTTATTTTTTGTTTTTTTTGAGATGGAGTCTTGCTCTGTCGCCAGGCTGGAGTGCAGTGGCGTGATCTTGGCTCACTGCAACCTCCACCTCCAGGGTTCAAGTGATTCTCCTGCCTCAGCCTCCCGAGTGGTTGGAACTACAGGCACGCACCACCATGCCTGGCTAATTTTTGTATTTTTAGTAGAGATGGGGTTTTACCATGTCGGCCAGGATGGCCTTGATCTCTTGACCTCGTGATCCAGCCGCCTCGGCCTCCCGAAGTGCTGGGATTACAGGCGTGAGCCACCACACTTGGCCAAAACATTATTTTTAAAACACTGTTTTACAAATTAGACTAATTTTAGGATGCATTAAGAAGCACACTGTTGAAAACAGTGTTTTTTACATAGGATGGGACAGGGGCGCACTTGACAATGTCCGGAGACATTTTTGTTTGTCACACCTGAGGGTGTTGTTGCTGGCATCTGGTGCGTTCTAGTGGCATTCAGCCAGGGATGCTGTTAAACATCCTACAATGCACAGGACAGCCCCACAACAAGGAATTATACAGTCCAAATTGTCAGTCGTGCCAAATTGAGCAATCTCAATTTAAAGGAATCTGTAATGTGTTTGTAAATGAATAGAATACTTACATAAAGTATTATACAAACACATGTATATATATGTTATATGTAGAAATAATATATAATATATATTATACAGAGAGAATATATATGTGTAAGGGGGGTTTGTGTGTGTGTGTGTGTGTGTGTGTGTGTGTGTATATGTATGTATGTAAGGGTGTGGGGTAAGGAGAGAATATATTCCTTAAGGAGAGAATATATTCCTCTATTCTCGTAACAACCCTTCCTCTACTTATATTTCTCTCCTTACCCCACATCCTTACATATCTGTATGGTAAGTTAAATTTATTTTATCTTTTAATTTTGTTCCTTAGTTAAAAAAAAAAAGGTAGAAAATTTGACTGTACCTCCCTATTCTATGATACGTCTTTCTTCTAACTCTAGTTGCTTGTGTTGTGTTCCAGAATATTGTCTATTTTCACACTTTAGAGCTATTATCTTTCATAAAGCATTGTTAAGGTTTAAGTAGCTTGTTTCTTCAATGCTCAGTTTCTCTATATTTCTCTATATCCGAATTATCTGTCTTGATTAGTCAACAAACCAGGCTTGAATATTAGATTGGGAAGCATTTAAAGACCTGATGTCATGGATTTTTTTTTTTCATTTTCATTTTCATTTTGCAATATGGAGCATCAAAAGAAATAAAAATAGGGATTTACTTATTTATAATTTGGGTGATTGTTGTCTGAAATACTTTTGTAGTTTATCAAATAGTGATTGTTCGTCTTACTTTTTTTAACTGTCACCTGTTTTTAATGCAGATTAATACTGAGGAACACGTGGATGCAGCTGATCAGGAGGTTATCTTGTGGGATCATAAGATTCCTGAGGATATCCTAAAGGAAGTAACTACTCCTAAAGAGGTACCAGCAGAAAGTGTTACTGTCTGGATTGACCCACTTGATGCTACACAGGAATATACAGGTAATTTTTAAACTGAACTCAAAACATTTGATTGACGTTTAGTAGTAGAGAACCAGAACCAAGGCATACTTCCTATAGGTGATAGTGGCTCACTGATTGTTCAGTAAAGAAGCATTTTTAACAGTAGTAGCAAAATGTTTTATATTGGACACCTATAATTGAAGAAACTTCTTTAGCCAGAATTTAATGTTTACTCGGGATGTTAGGAATTTAAGTTTTAATGCATGTACATCTGACTTTGGAATTCAAAATAGTAAATTTCTAGGTACCCAGAAGGCAAGTAAGTAACAAAACAGAACTACTGTCCCTCCAGTCCCCTTTTTTACCTAGTCCTAGTCAGATTTTATTTTTGTAGATCCCCTCTCAGGCCTTGTTTCTTACCCACAGGTAGCTAATTTCTGCCTTTTCACTCTTCATTTGGTTTATATGTTACAGTTTATCTATTTATCCTGATAGATGGTAAGTTCTGTAAATGTGGAGCCTTCTACCTTTTTACCTTTGTATTTCAGTGCTTTTGCACTGAACTTGAACCATAACAATCAATACATAACTTTGGAGAACAGGGAGAAGACACTAGATGTATATATCTAATAGTAACTAAAATTACAGCACAGAACTTTTCAGGAGTAGATAATAGAAATATGGAATATCGAGAAATTTGTTCATAAAAAGTTCTCCTAAACTGAGATTGGCCTGTTCATATAGTAATAACATTTAGTGAGCACATCCCTCGTGCAGGGACTTTCTTAAGCATCTAATTTGATTTTTTTTATTAAAAGTTAATTTATACCTAAAGATGAGTGCTTAGTTATTGTTTATATTATACAGACAAGGAAGCTGAATTTAAGTAATTTACTCAAGGACATTCAGTTAACAAAATGGTGGGCTAGGAGAATAACCCAGGTAATGCCTGTAGAACCAGAACTCTTTTGTTTGTGTGATTTTTATAATATAAAAGGGTCTTGACTCTAAATGCAATTTGTTTTAAAACTTTTAAGTTCAGGAGTACAAGTGCAGGTTTGTTACATAGGGTAAACTTGTGTCATGAGGGTTTGTTGTACAGATTTGTTTCAACACCCAAGTATTAAGCCTAGTATCCATTAGTTATTTTTCCTGATTCTCTTCCTCCTCCCACTCTCTATCCTCTGAAAGGCCCCAGTGTGTGGTGTTCCCCTCTATGTGTCCATGTGTTCTCATCATTTAGCTCCCCACTTAGAGAACATGTGGTATTTGGTTTTCTGTTCCTGTGTTAGTTTGCTAAGGATAATGGCCTCCAGCTCCATCCATGCCCCTGCAAAGGACCTGATCATGTTCTTTTTTATGGCTGCATAGTATTGCACGGTGTATATGTACCACATTTTTTTTTTTTTACCTGGTCTATCATTGATGGGCATTTAAGATGATTCCATGTCTTTGCTATTGTGAATAGTGCTGCAGTGAACATACACATGCATGTGTCTTTATAATAGAATGATTTATATTCTTTTGGACCAGTAATGGGAATGCTGGGTCGAATAGTATTTCTTTCTTCAGGCCTTTGAGGAATTGCCACACTGTCTACCACAGTGGCTTAACTAATTTACACTCCCACCAACAGTGTATAAGCATTCCTTTTTTTCCACAACCTCACTTGCATCTGTTATTTTTTGACTTTTTAATAATAGCCATTCTGACTAGTGTGAGATGGTATCTCATCGTGAACCAGAACTGTTAGCCACTCCTTTAAAGGGGCTCTTGCCCTCAGACTCTGTTTGCTTGAAGGGATTGTTGTTTTGGAAAGATATTTCATGTATATAAATTTTTTAATGAACTAAAGTGTAATATTGTATCTTGAATTTATGCACATTACTTTGACATTTGTGTGTGTTGTTTTGTTTTTTTTCTCATAGAGGATCTTCGAAAGTACGTCACTACTATGGTGTGTGTGGCTGTAAATGGTAAACCCATGCTAGGAGTTATACATAAGCCATTTTCCGAATATACAGGTATGAAATTTGCTAGAACTTTCAAGAATTATTGTTATTGAACTGTTTGTCTATAGTATTTACTGTCATGTACCTAAATTTGTATCCACTCCTATATTAGTTTCCTAGGGCTGCTGTAAGAAAAAAACACAAATTATGTGTCTTAAACAACAAAAATGTAGTGTCTGACAGTTCTGGAGCCTAGAAATCTAAAATCGTGGTGCTGAAACTGTAAGGGAGTATCTTTTTTGTTTCTTTTAGCTTCTGGCAATTTGCCAGCATTCTGTGGTGTTCATTGGCTTATAAGTGTTTATTCCAGTGTCTGCCTCCATCATCATATGGCATTCTCTCTGTGTGTCTGTGTCTCTTCTCCTCTTACAAGCACACCAGTCATATTGGATTCAGCGCCCACCCTACTCTAGTGTGACCTCATCTCAACGTAGTACATCTGCCATGACCCTATTTCTAAATAAAGTCAGATTTCAAGGTGCTGGGAGTGAGGATGTCAACATATCTTTTTGGGGGACACAGTTTAACCATAACAACCCAGAAAGTTAAGGTAAGCATTGAGATGAGATTATACTGGATTAGAGAAGGTTCTTAAGCCAATTAGAGTGTTTTTATAAGAAACAGAAAGGACATAGACACATGTGGGATAAGATGATGTGAAGGTGGAGGCAGAGATTGGAGTGATGTCTTTAATAGGCTAAGGACTGCAGTCACCAGAAGCTAGGAGAGAGCCATGGAAGTTATTTTCCCTCAAAGCCTCCAGAAGAAACTAACCCTGCTGACCCCTTGATTTTAGACTTCTGGCCTTTAGAATTATAAGAAAATACATATATTTTTATAAGCCACCAAGTTTGTGGTACAGATTGAGTATCCATTATCTGAAACGTTTGGGGACCAGAAGTGTTTCACATTGCAGATTTAATGTATTTGCATATATATAATGAGATATATTGGAGATAGGACCCAAGTATAAACATGAACTTTATTTATATTTCATATATAGCTTGTTTACATAGCTTGAAGGTAATGTTATACAACATTTTAAATAATTTTATGGTTGAAGCAAAGTTCTATCTGTGAGCTATCATGAGGTCCAGTATGGAATTTTCCATTTGTGACATCATGTCAGTGCTTTCCTGGATTTTGGAGCATTTCAGATTTTGGAATTTTGGATTAGGGATTCTCAACCTGTAGTTTTTTATGGCAGCTTTAGGACACTGATACAATGGGCATCCCATACTACCATCGTTTACTGCAGTCATCCCCATTGTGTCTTAAGGGCGTGACTGATAATTGCATAAAAAGGCTGTCTGTGAAGTGGGGAGAAATGGAAAGACAAAGTTAATTTTTGATTACTCTAAAATTATGTATTTGTTTTGCTGAATAACTGTGAATCCCAAATTCTGGCTGCTCTGAGATTGGCTAAACATCTATTTGAGTGTTGGCTCTGTGTTTCAAAATCAAGTCCACTTTGTGCTATCTGACCTTTTTTCTTCTTTTCATAATTCAAATAATTTTTAAAGTTGATGGTTTGATAAGCTACAAAAGATTTATGCCATTGCTATGACAATATACTGTAAGATTAATTATATAATTGCTTTATGGCTTATGGATTACCTTCACATATTTTCCTTAATCCTTACTGAATTAGTTAGGATACACACTAGGCCGTTAATTTAGACTGCTGTAATGTACACCAAAATATATGAGGTTGAATACAAAGTAGTTTATTTTTCTCTTCTCTAACAGACAGTATATAAGCAGCCCATGACTGCCAAGGTAGTTCCCTGGTGCCAGGCATGCAGTTCTATCTCTATTGTTGCTTTGCTGTTGTCTTCCTCTGTGTAACTGAGGATGGCTCACCACTTCAGCTGTATTTCACCAGTGGAAAGGGTAAAAGGGGAGACGTGGAGGACATTTCCCACTAAGGGTTTGACTTGTGAAGTCAAACATGCATCTCTTCACCTCACATCCCATTGCTATCTAGAACCTAGTCGCAAAGGAGGCAAAAAAATGTAGTCCTTATTTTCAATGGCCATCCAAACTAAAATGTAGGGATTCTGTCATTGAAGGAAAACAGGGAAAGTGGATGTTGGAGTACAGCATAGTACTGCTACACAGAGAGAGGGACACAGTTACTAAAATCAGTACTCTCACTTACAATTGAGGAAATGAGACTCAAAAATTTAATACCTTCCTCAAGGTCATTCATGTAAATTAGTGGTAGAATCAACCATAGAAATTTTATTCAAATCAGTGTCACACCACTTTCAAAATAATAACTCCATAATTTCTAACATTTATATCGTGTTTAACAATTTGCAGTATACTTAATGTTATCTCATTTGAACCTTTCAGTAACTATGTGACAAGGAAAGACATTATCTTTTTTTATAGATGAAAAAATGGACTTAGGAGCTCCTATCATGAAACCATAAGTTCAAAATGTTACTCTAAGAACTAACCACTCCTTAATAGTATCTTACAATTATTTTGTATTTTCACAGTTTATAAAGTGCATTGACATAAGTTTTTTCAGTCTTCAGTAACTCTGGAAGGAATATAAAATGGAAATTATGACTTTTTTTAATTAAAAAAACAGGCATATAAAAGTTAAAGACAGAGCCTAAGTCTTTGAATCCCTCTTTTTCTTTTGACACTGTCCCTTATTATCTCGCTATATCAGTTAGGATGGCATTTAGCTACACACAGTGTAAATCTGATTACAGTGGTTCAAGAAGGGTTTCTTTTTCTCAACTAACAAGGCCAAAGCGTAGGTGTGCTTTAGTGGCTCCATAATACGTATAAGGATCTGACTCCTCTCTTTTTGCTTTTTTTTCTTAGAAGGTAGCTTTTTGTTTGCATGTTCACAAAGGTGGCTCCTCTCATTTACCACGGTTCTCAGTTCTAGGCAGGAAGAAAGGAGAAAGAAGAGAGACAAAAGGTCTACCCTAGATATTCTTTGTATGAGGAAAAAAATATCTTGAAGTCCTATCCATTAAACCCCTGCTTCATTTTATTGGCCGAATGTCACATGGCACCCTTAGCTGCAAACAGAGCCTGCTATTCCAAAGAGAATTGGAAGCTCAATAAAGGAAATGAGGAAATTGGTATTAGATAGGCAAATAGATTGACATTCTCTGGGCATTGATTTCCACATCTGTACGTATTAGAGGGAAGAATAGGGATAATAAAATGCCCCTTTTTAGAAACCTTTATTTAATAAGAATATATATTCCTCTCTCATCTGTAGGCTTACCCACCTTAAAGAAGCCAAATGTCCCTAACTTAGCAAAAAGTGGTTTCTAAAAATGTCTTTTTAAGTTAGTAATATAATACCCCATTCTTCTGTAATGCGGCTAACTTGCCCAATGTACTGGAACACAAAGGTGCTTGCTAGTCCGCAAACTCTCTAAAATAATCAATACGTTTAGAATTATGTTGGGTTGACCTTCCATTCCCACACTGAATGTTTGCTTGTGCCCTCCTCCTGGAATGTTATTTTCAGATCCAGACGGTATGTTGATGTTGGAGGAATACCAGTTGTTAAGTATCGGTATGTTTACCAGAATTTAGCTACACTTCACTATAGTGGGAACTAGATATTATTGTTGTTGGCAATAAGAGCAAAGCTTATAAAAATTTTTATCAGACTTAATTAGAATTAATTCCTTGAAATTCTTAGAATCAAGAGATACTTGAATAGTATTTTACTGAAGTAATATATAAATGTATAAGTAAGTGTAGTACAGTAGACCCATGAACAGTGCAGGGGTTGGGGCACTGATTGTTGAAAATCTGTGTGTAACTTTTGACTCCTTAAAAACTGAACTGCGAATAGCCTCATTTTGACCAAAAATCTTAACAACATAAATAGCTGATTAACACATATTTTGCATATTTATGATGTACTGTTTCTTACAATAAAGTAAGCTAGAGGAAAGAAAATGTTACTGAGAAAATCATAAGAGCAAATATATGATTGAATAAGAGGGAAATTGCTTATCCTAAAGGTCTTCATCCTCTTTGTCTTCACATTGAATAGGCAGAGGAGGAGGAGAAAGAGAAAGGATTATTAGTTTTGTTGTCTCGGGTGGAGGAGGTGGAAGGAGAGGCAGGATATACTTGATGTAATTTTGTGAAAATATGTTGTAATGTCTGTTTGACTTTTTTACTTTTCATTTCTCTAAAAATTTTACTATATGGTACCAATCCTTCCTTATTTGCTTTAGTTTCAGTGACTGTATCGTAAAATGGTCCATGTCATAAAAGAAGTCAAAAGCAGTCTTGAATAATGAGAACCTTTCTTCCAGATTGTCTAAAATCAATTTATTTTCTGGCACTGCTTCTTCTACATCTTCTTTCTCATCGTCTAGCCCTGGTTTGAAGCACTCATCTCCATCAAGTCGTCTTCTGTTAATCCTCTGGTGTGGTGTCTGTTCACTCTTGAATGTCTCCAAGATCCCTATCTTGAAACCCTCTACGCCCCACCTTTTAAAAATAATATCTGCACTCTCATGATTTTCTTGATTGCCTCTGTTGTAAATCTTGTGGAGACATGCACAACATCTGGACAGTTTTTTCCAGCAGGAACTTATTATTTTGGGCTTGACGAATTCATGGGTTTTCTATAACAGTGGCATCTTTAGTGGTGTAATCCTTCCAGACTTTGAATGATTTTCTCTGTCAGGGTTCTCTACTATTGGTATTGACAGTCCTTTCCATAGAGTACTTTGTATAATGAGCCTTAAAGGTCCTTATGACCTCCTGCTCTAGAGGCTGGATTAGAGACGTAGTGTTTGGGGGCAAGTAAATCACTTGATGCTTTTAGTGTTGAACTCATGGGGTTCTCGGTAGCCAGGGGCATTGTCCAGTACTCAAAGAACTTTAAAAGGCAGTCCCTTACTGGCAAAGTACTTTCAGACTTCAGGGTCAAAGCATCAGTGGACTCAATCCAGAAAAAGGATTCTTGTTGTCCAGGCCTTCTTGTTGTAGTCAGAAGACTAGCAAGCAGCTGGTGTTTTATCTTTTCCTTTCAAGACTCGGGGGTTAGCGGTTTTGTAGATAAGGGCTGTCCTGGTCATAAACCTGACTGCATTATACAAAACAGTAGAGTTAGCCCATCCCTTCCTGTCTTAAATCCTAGTGCTCATTTCTCTTCCTTACTAATAAATGTATTTTGTGGCCCCTTTTTTAAATTTTTTTTTTTTTTCCAGAATAGGACACTTGTCTGCATTGAAAACCTGTTCAAGCAGACAGAACTCAGTGATTTTCTTAATGGCATCTGGGGACTTGTCTGCTGCCTCTTGGTTGGTAGAAGCTGCTACTCCTGTTATCTTGGCATTTTTAAAAACCAGACCTCTTTCTAAAATTATCAAACCATCCTTTACTGGCATTAAATAATCCAGCTTTAGATTCTTCACCTTCCTTTTTTTTAAAGTTGTCATATGACTTCATTTTTTCTTGAATCATACTACAGTCTTTAGGCATGTAGCAGTTTTATACCCACATAATAGCTGCATTTTCAATATGAGATAAAAAGGTATTTCATTAAAAAGTGTTAAGGTTTTTGCACCTGTTGGTGTGTAGCTTCAGCAATGGCTTCATGAGTTTTCTTGTTTTTTTTTTCCCACAATTATTCTTACGCTGTATTCATTTATCTTGAGATAGCAGGCAGCCACAGTTACAGACCTCAATCTGTGGTGTATATCAAGCAATTCAACTTTTTCTTGTAATGTCATGATTTTTCTCTAGGTGGGAGCACTTCCGGCATCACTAGTGGCTCTTCAAATGAGTCTCATGGGTGTTATTCAAAGTTTGCATTAAACACTATGAAATTGTACTAAACACTATGAAAAATATGCAAAACCCACAAAAGATCACTTTTTACCATGATGAGCAGTTTGCCGGAGAGACAAACTGCTCACACAGAGATGATTACATCACGTAGGGTTTCTTTTTTTTTTTCTTTTTTTTGAGACGGAGTCTCGCTCGGCTGGAGTGCAGTGGCGTGATCTCAGCCCACTGCAGGCTCCACCTCCCAGGTTCACGCCATTCTCCTGCCTCAGCCTCCCGAGTAGCTGGAACTGCAGATGCCTGACACCACGCCCGGCTAATTTTTTGTATTTTTAGTAGAGACGGGGTATCACCATGTTAGCCAGGATGGTCTCGATCTTCTGACCTCATGATCCGCCCTCCTCAGCCTCCCAAAGTCACATAGGGTTTTAAGTGGGTGCTCATGACACTTGGGCCCACACAGTAGCATTGTGGGGGGGGGGGTGGTACAAAATTATTTCAGTAATACATACTATAATTTTGTGCAGTTTATGATTTTACATTTGTTTACATTTCTCTTAACTGTGAATGGCACTACGTATGTATGGTCTGTAAGTGCTTGTGTGCTTAAGTTTTGGTAAGTTTTAACTTCTTATACTTTGTGTATATTTTATGGTAGTAAATGACAAAATAAGCTAGTTCCAACATATTTTATGCATTCATAACATACCTAGCTTTTTCTTAAATTTTTAATATTTCTAGGCTACTTAATTTGTCCGTGAATTTTTTTCAAATCGTCACAAATCTCCAAAAAGCTTACCAAAATATTTATTGAAAAATATCTGGATGTAAGGGGAGCCACACAGTTCAAACCTGTGTTGTTCAAGGGTCAAGTGTATATTCACTCGGTGGAAATTTTATAGCTATTAATAATAAATTGTTATTTCTGAAGTAGGTGTAGGAACGTACCAACCAACCACTTTTTATTTCCTACTGGGCTTTTTTTTTTTTTTTTTTAAGCTTATCTTACAGGTAAAATAAACACATTTTGTAGCTGCTCTTCTGCCTTACCACTATACCTCATTATCATCCATCATTTACATTTATTTAAGCACCTACTGTACTAGACACTTGAAATAATTATGTTCATGTAAGTGTTACTAATAAATGTATTGAGTTTATGTAACATGAAGAACATTTTTAAAAATACTAAGTCAGCAATTCTTACATTATTCTGGTAGTATGTACTGAGATATGCTATAATATTTTTATTCTCTTACACAATACTGACCTCTAGAGATAAAGCACTGTAAATTCACTTCTTAGTAAAACTGGTTTTTGGAATATTTATGAAAAGGATTAAGAGGATTTTTTGTTTTGTTCTCTTCATTTTTTTTTACTTTTATGAATAATTTCAAACAAACGTAAAATTATAATGAATACTTATATACCCCTTCATCCTGATTTAGCAGTTGATAACAGTTTTACATATTTGCTTTCCTATTTTTTGGCCTGTGTACCTTAAAGAAAATTATAAGGATCATAATAAACATTTTACCCTTATACTTCAGTATGCATCTCTAAAAAGTAAGGAGATTTTCTACAAAAGGACAGTATATTAATATAATAAAATTAACAGTTATTTCCTAATGTCATCAAATATTTACATTTCCCCGATTGCTGCTAAAATGGATTTTACAGCTGATTGCTTCAAACCAAGATCCAGTCAACCAACAAGCATTTATTTTGGTTGATAGGTTGTTAAGGTTTCTTAATCTAGAACAACCCCTAGGCCCCTTATGCCCCCCATGACATTGATGTTGGGAAGCTTAAGTCATTTCTCCTTTAGAATGGTCTGTCTTTTGGACTTGTCTGATTGTTTCCAAAGGGTGTCATTTAACTTCTTTATTTTTATATCCTCTTATAAAAAGTGCAGATTAGATCTGAATCCTTGATTGGATTGAGGTTAAGCATTTTTGTCATGAATACATTGTAGGTATTTTTCACATACTTCCTACTGCATCATATTACACAATACTTGTCTCGCCATTCATGATGCTCAGATGATTAAAGTGTTCATGACCTGATCTCTTAGTTACAAAATTTTTATTTTTTTGCTACTAGCAAGTAATCTGGAGAGATTTTGACATCATTTGAGATCCAGTTTTATTAAACCTTTTGCATAATAGTTTTAAGCTCTATTAAAGATGTTATAAAATGAGATTTTCTGTTTCTGTTGTTTCTACATATATTAGCATGAATTCTTCTATAGAGAATTTTCTCTATTAACTGGAATTAATTTGTTTATCCTGAAATGTTTCTTCTAGAAAAGCGGGATAAATGTTTAATTCTTTTACTTTATTTACCAATTTTCAGAGTAAGGAGTTAGAGTATAGAACCCTTCCAGCGGTAACATGTTTTTCCAGGAAGGAACAGGCTTCCTCTCTGTAAAATATTCTTATGATCTTAATGAATTTTATATGTTCAGTGTGGTTCAGACAACTACTGTTATTTTAAGTTAAATTTGTTCTTTTTGTTGCTTTTACTAATGCCTTTATTTATCCTTTTTTCTTTACATACTCATGTAGTCCTTTTCTTTAGACATTGTCTCATTGTCTCTTGGTTCACTACTATAAGCGTCAGTGAAATTAGCATATTTCATCCTTGACCATCATTTCATTTTAGACAGTTGTTTTTTTTTGATGTTTACTTTTCGACTCTGCTGTTCAGCTTGTCAGAGTTAAATGGTGTCCTTTAACTTTTATCAGCCAAGTATGAGAAAACCATTTATACACCTTTATTCTTTTACCTTATTCCCATCTTTGGTTTCCCCTTAAATCCACAGTTAAATTTGTTCAATGGTAACCGACAATGCATTTGCTAAGAGTTTCTCAGTCACCCCTTGGTTGGATAAAGCTTGTCCTGTAATAGATTACCTTAGAAGAGCTAACTCATGGTATGATCTTCCCTGAGTACATGCTAACAACTTTGTCTATAGTCTTGATACTTAAAAGACTACTTGGCTAGTTATACAGTCTTTGGTTCACTCTGTATTAGTTTCCTCGGGCTGTCGTAACAAGTTAACCACAAACTTGAAACAACAGAAAATTATTCTTTCAAAGTTTTGGAGGCCAGAAGTCTGGTATCAAGGAGTCAGTGGGGCCATACTTTCTCTGCAGGCTTGGAGGAAGTTTTCTCTTGCAGCTTCTGGTGGCTCCAGACATTGTTGGCATTCCTTAGTCAGTAGATGCATCACTCCAGCCAGTCTCTGCCTATCTTCACATGACAGTCTCCTTTCTGTCTCCCCTGCTTATAAGGACACCAGTCATTAGATTTAGAGCTCACCTGTCATTAGATTTAGAGCCCACCTTACTCCACTATGACCTCAGCTGAACTAATTGCATTTGCAAAGATCCTGCTTCCAAATGAGTTCACAATCTGAAGGTTCCAAGTGGACATGAAGTTTGGTAGGATACTGTTCATTCAACCCACTAAACTTCAATGATGTAACTATGATGTCTTTTAGAATTGGCATTCTGGGCAAATTTCCCATGTACTCAGTATGTCTCTCAGTGTAGATGTTTAGGTCCTCTCCTAATTTTTTTATTTTGTTAGAGACAAGATCTCACTCTGTTGCCCAGGCTGAAGTGCAGTGGCATGATCATAGCTCACTGCAGCCTTTAACTCTTGGGCTCAACAAGTGATCCTCCGACCTTGGCCTCCCAGAGTACTAGGATTATAGGCACAAGCCACTGAGCCCAGACTAAGGTTCTCTTTTGTTTTTTAGGGACATTTTCTTGAATTGCAATTTTAAAGATTAGCTCTATCCCATTAATTTTTCTTTTTCAGGGACTCCTTATATATGTATGTTGACTCTTTTTTGTTTTTTTTTTTTTTAATCTATCACTTTCTCTGTGATCCCTTTTATCTGTTTACTTGTTTCACTTTCCTTTTTGCTTTTCTCATTGCTTGCTATACTTTTGGAGAAGTCTGTTGCCCTTTGTGTGTCCTGTGATTTAGTGCTAAGCCTGCAGTGATTTTGTTCTTTTCTTTTTATTCAGTTTCTTTTCTGTGTTATATGAGCTCCCACTTTACATCTTGTTATTGTTTGCCCATCTTTTCTGAGTTGTTGATCTTGTGTTTCATGGCATTTATTCAATATATTGTTGCTTATTATTTTTAATCATGTTAGAATATTGGTTTATGGTTTTTCTCTGCATTGTGGAAATTTGAGTATCCTGAAATGTTTTAATCTATGTTCTCTATGTTTTCTTTTTATATTTTTCAGTGGACATTGCAGTTTTATACTTCTTATCCCTGTTTGGGCCAGCTATTGTGGGATTAATGGAAGGTTGGTGGCAGGAAGGGAGTTTGGATGATTCCCAGTTCAGGAGCTTTCATTTCTGTTAGTGTGGGAAAGGCTTTATCTTCATTGTCAGTATGGTTTTTGGTTTTCAGAGCTCTTCTTTCTTGTTTGATCTGACCTTGTTTCAATAAAGCCCCTATCTTAATCTCTTCCTTCTCTTCAGCTCTAGTTGCTACCTTCCAAATCCCAAAAGATGTCTTACATCATCATCCCCTCCCTTGCTGCCACCAGGGTGTTCTCAAGACTACAATTCTGGTCCCGTATCTCCTCCAAGCTGCTGCTTGATGCTTTGTTGCCAAGTTTCAAGCCTTTTTCAATACTTCCCATTTTAGATGGAACCTCTTCCTTCTGGGGAGAAATCCTGGCTGCTGTTATCTGAGTCCTACAGCCACTGAGAGTTCTCTGACCTCTTAACTCCTCTGTGAAGCTCTTGCTATAATCCCCACACTAGGGTCAGCTCCAGCGCTTATCCTGCTGTTCTTCAGTGTTTACCTCCCTACTTTCTCATACGTTTGTGTTGGTAGCTCTCTTCTGTCTCCTACTTACTCTGTAGGTACAGAGCATGGGTATTTCTATTTGTTCTTCTTGTTGCTGTGTATAGTTTTTAGAAGGAGGTATGAGAAGAGTCCAGGAGACTGCCATCATTCTTGGGGAACTCAGAAACCCAAACTCAGCTAATGTTTTTGATTTTTTTCTCTGCAGCCAGAAATAAGCTGGTGATGCAGCTGGTTTCATTACTAGCCATGGTGGACTATATCTTGCCCTGTAGTGAGTGACTGCTAAAACAACAATCTAATTGGGATAATTCTGAGTAAGTTTGTTCTCTTGTATAGTTTTATAGTCAGTGAAGAAAACTTCCAAACCAGGAAAATCATCTGAAGCCATCTCTGACATCCCCTTCCCTTTTAAAAATTCTATTCTATTTTGAAATCTAAGGCTTTTTCTTTAATACTCTCTGATAAGGCTGATATGTAAACCTAACTCACCTCTTTTAACTGTTTTCTGTTTATAAAGTCACTTAGGAGATTGAGCTAATATTCAAATAATTGAAACCATGAGTATATAGAAGTGGAGGCAGTATAGGAGAAAATGCATTTTAAAATTGGAGTTAGGGAAGTTACTTGTGCTTATGTTGCAGGTTGGGTTCTCCAGGAATCAGACTTGGAGCTGGAGATTAGCTTCAGGGTGTTTATTAGGGAGTGCTGTTGGGATCACAACTGTGAAAGAGAGGGAAGGAAGTTGGATAGATGCAGGGAGAAGTGGAGTTGCAGTGTCATCCCAGTGGAGCATGGGAATCCTTAAGCCAAATATTTAATAGTCGTTGTCTTTGGTTATGCAAGATAACATGAACTTTTTTAGTTTTGTCTTAATACATGTCTATTTTACAAATACATATATACTACTTTTGTACTCTGAAAAAAAAAGCTTTCTGTTTTGGGGGAAAATACAAATAATTTTTTAGAAGAGAGCTATTTTGTCAGTCATACATAGCACTTTGGGTTCTGAAGAATATAACCTTTAGTTTTAAAGCTTCAGTGCCATTAATGGATATTATATTTGCTTTTCAGCTTGGGCAATGGTAGATGGTGGTTCAAATGTGAAAGCCCGCTCTTCCTACAATGAGAAGACCCCAAGGATCGTTGTGTCTCGTTCCCATTCAGGGATGGTCAAACAGGTCGCTCTTCAGACTTTTGGAAACCAGACTACAATTATCCCAGCTGGTGGTGCTGGTATGTTCCTCTTCCTGTGTGGTCCCTGGAGAATGTTCCTGGCATGGTCAAGGCTATGTTAGGAGACTAATTTGCTTGTCCATGCTTGGGAGGAAAGTGAGGAGGAGTGGTGTACTTTCAAGACAGGCTTGGTCTCCTGTTTGGTAACCTCGAGGGTGGGATTTTAGTCACTCTGCCCTTCTTATTAGAAAGAAGCAGTCTCACAACAGTGGTTTCTCTTTCTTGAATACACAAAAGCATATTCCCATTAGATCTACCACTAATTGCTTTTTATGCAGTCTGATTTCAAAATAATTGTCTTACTTAACTGTGGGAATATCAAGGAGAGGAAGAAAGATCAAGCACTTAAGATGCTTCATATGGCAGAAAGACGCCAGGAGTCATCATAAGTATTATTAGAAAGGCTAATCCCTGAGTCACTTTTAACACCCCTGAACTCTTTAACCTGCATACCTGGGATGAGCAAGAGAGGCTAGTGCGCACCCACCTTATCGTATATTCTCTACTATTGTATTATAGTCAACCTAGTTTTTTGGAAAAGAAACCGATAATAAAATTTGAAGCCTCATGAGCCATATATATACAGTCTCTGTTGCATACTATTATTTGATTTTCTTTAATGAACTTTTGAACATATTTTTTAAAGATTCTCATCTTAACCCTGTAAGAACAGGCCATGACCCGGATTTAGCTTGAGGGGCTGTTTGTCAACTCCTGTTATGAGTACTGTCTAACATGTCAGAAATGTTTTAATTCAGGTTAATAGCAAATTATGGTCAGAAAACAAATGTGTTGGAAAACCTTCTCAGCACACATAAAGGGAGAAGTAATACTTCTTTTTTGTTTTGTTTTGTTTTGTTTTTTCTTTTTTTGAGATAGGGTCTCATTCTGTCTCCCAGGCTGGAGTGCAGTGGTGTGATCTAGGCTCATCGCAACCTCCGCCTCCTGGGCTCAGGTGATTTTCGTGCCTCAGCCTCCCGAGTAGCTGGGACTACAGGCATGCACCACCATGCCTGGCTAATTTTTTATTTTTAGTAGAGACGGGGTTTTGCCACGTTGCCCAGGCTGGTCTTGAGCTCCTGAGCTCAGGCAGTCTGCTTGCTGTGGCCTCCCAAAGTGCTAGGATTACAGGCGTGAGCCACCACACCTGGTCAATACTTTTTAACTTTTATGCCTAATAATTTTAATTTTCTGTTCTATATATCTGCCTTCTTTCATATGGCTTCATTATTTTCTTAGAGGCTCTCTGTTAGGTTGGTTAGGAAAAGTAATGTCCAGAATACCCAGCAGGGATGAGATGACTAGGTTCTAGACCCAGTTTCTTCTGCATTTGTTTTATTACTTTAGTTTTTAAATTCTGCCTCATTACAAAAAGGCTTTAGAGTGGTAGTGTTACTGTTAGTTCTCTTTCACATCGGGCCTACTTAGATGTTTAGGTAAAACTTGTGTGTATAATATGTCATTCCATAGAAAATGGCACGTAATGAATGTGTCATTCCATAGAAAATAACCACAATGTAGATTTAAAATTTTTAAATTGTAGGTATATATTTGGTTACATTTGAGACTAGCTTAATAAGTTACTTTGCAGGCCGGGTGCAGTGGCTCACGCCTGTAATCCCAGCACTTTGGGAGGCCAAGGCAGGCAGATCACGAGGCCAGGAGTTCAAGACCAGCATGACCAACACGGAGAAACCCTGTCTCTACTAAAAAATACAAAAAAATTTAGCAGGGCATGGTGGCACGCACCTGTAATCCCAGCTACTCAGGAGGCTGGGGCAGGAGAATCGCTTGAACCCGAGAGGTGGAGGTTGCAGTGAGCCAAGATCGCGCTGTTGCACTCCAGCCTGAGTGACAGAGCGAGACTCTGTCTCAAAAAATAAATAAATAAATAAAAATAAACAATAAGTTACTTTGCAATGTATTTTTGTTCTGAGTTTAATGTTTATACAGTTACTTTAAAATTTTTTTAATTTGAAATAATTTTAAACTTAAGCAGTTGCAGAGACTGCAGCAAGCTCCTGCACACTCCATCCTGCTATTTTAACAGGATACTTAATCAAAAAAGTATGCTACTTTCTTAAAATTTTTTGAATAATAACCTAAATTCTTTGTTTATCTTTTAGGTTATAAAGTTTTAGCACTTTTGGATGTGCCTGATAAGAGTCAAGAAAAAGCTGATTTATACATCCATGTGACATACATCAAAAAGTGGGATATATGTGCTGGTAATGCCATCTTAAAAGCCCTAGGGGGGCATATGACTACCCTGAGTGGTGAAGAAATCAGTTACACTGGTTCAGACGGCATTGAAGGGGGACTCCTTGCTAGCATCAGAATGAACCACCAGGCCCTGGTCAGAAAACTCCCAGATCTAGAAAAGACAGGACATAAATGAGCATAACTGATTACAGGGTACAGTTCTTCACAGCTGAAATGGTTAGCCTGAGATGCTGGAAGCTTCAAAGGATTGGTGGAGACTATGCATGGTTAAGGCCATCCCGAACTTTTTAAAGTATTTATGAAGCATCAGAGACTTATTTTCCCTGTAATAGAATGCAAAATCAGGGAAAATGGGTTGCTTTGTGTCTCAAGTATTGTCTTTATTTTTGAGACTATTTTCATACAGTTGTCATACACAAGGCGCATATATATATTTGTGAATTAAAATCTGTAGCTGAGTCTACATTGTTATGAGTCACCATTTTCACACAACATCATGAATCTTCACTGTTAGTACTTTCATATAGAATTCGGTTGAAGGAAAGATTGATTTTTGTGTAGATGTTTAATATAACTTTACAACTATATCTCATTGAAAATAAAGTCATTGGGGATTTTTACCTCTAATTTGGATGGAAAGCACAAGAAGCCACACATTCATTAATATGCAACAAATGTTGTATTTATGTTACTGAATATTTCTATGGATTAAAATAGAAAAAGTTTAATTGATTTTTTCTTTTAAATTTTAATAACAGGTTCACCAGCTGGTAGAAAATAGAGACACATGATGATTTGCATTGTAATAATTTCTGTGTGTATGTGTGTGTGTTGTTTTGTTTTTATAAAGAAAAGTGTGTTTGTACCCATGAGTTCAGCATTTCTGCCATCTTGCTATTTTCATTTTCCCTGTGGAAGATGCATGGTTGCATCCTTTTCCTTCTGACCAACACTTAGTCTTTAACTTTGTAAGGTTCGGTTTAAGGTTTCAGGGTTAGCACTATAGTTTTGGTTCATTTTCTCATTAACGATAAAATATGCTGTAAGGCACTATAAGAATATAAATGATTCTATTACAATTGAAAGTTACTTGACATTACATGAATTGAACTGCCTTTCATTATCTTCAGACACTTTGTTTTAGTATTTTTTTTTAATTTGCTAGGTTTGTATATAGAAGATCCTTTCATTATCAAGAATGAGTATGGTTGCTTTTGCCATGGTTGCTTTTACTATTAATAAATGTATCTAGCCTACCCAAACTCTGTAGTAACTTTTGAGATTCTCTTAATTTCCCCTCAGATTAAAATAGAGAAGGTTGAAGGTACTTTTTGATGAAATTTTTTTCTAGTCTGGTTAGAAAAAAAAAGTTGTGACATATTCATTGTGTTACCGTAACTAGAACCTTGCTTTGTGAACTGTCTTTCATTGGGATGTATGGTTTCTCTCAATGTGAAATCTGGAAACTTCATGTAAACTACCCATGCCGTTATTTCATGTGACTCCAGTGCCCTTGTATTCCATAACATGCTGATGAGAGGGATTTCTCACGGTTTCTTTCTTTGCTAAATTTTTTAACCATAAAGCAGCTTACCCTTTATTTTCCCATCTTGGAAGTAAAATTGACCAAAGAATGTACGTTCTAGCCTGGTGGAATGTGCATACTTTAGGTTTGTATGTTACATTGTCCAAAGCCCTTTACTTTCTTATTAGTAAACTGAATCTAATATGACACAAATGTTTTCACCCAATCTCTTGCAACTGGTCAAATTCGAGAAGGTGTTGGGCCTTAGCAGTAGGCCTTTTCAGTGAAAATTCATTCAAAGTTTTGGTAGGTGGAACACTTGATATTTAAATAGGACTTGAAAATTTTGAAAAGAGTATCAGAGACCTCATTTTTTTCCTTTGCAATAAGCTGAAGAAACTTTCTTTTTCAGGAGAGATGGCAAAGGTATATGCTGTTGCCAGAGTCCTGTGGTATAAGCATCTGTTTTTATTATAGTATGTCAAAGTTAGGGAAATGGGACTGGCAAGTAAAAAATGGAATTTAATTTCAATGTTTTATGGGAACTCTGATTTAATGGGAAGCAAACTAGTTCATATTAGCAGGAATTATTTTATTTTTTCGAGACAGAGTTTCACTCTCGTTGGCCAGGCTGGAGTGCAATGGCGTGATCTCGGCTCACCGCAACCTCTGCTTCCCGGGTTCAAGCGATTCTCCTGCCTCAGCCTCCCAAGTAGCTGGGATTACAGGCATACACCACCACACCCAGCTAATTTTTTTGTATTTTTGTTAGAGACAGGGTTTCTCCATGTTGGTCAGGCTGGTCTCGAACTCCCGACCTCAGGTGATCCGCCCACCTCGGCCTCCCAAAGTGATGATTTTATTTTTATTTTTAATTGTATTAATCTGCATCTAGATAATGACTTTGTGAAGGGTGTGTGTTGTGTGCAAAACTTAAGGTATTGGTTGAGAGTTAAATACATTATTTTTATAATATGTTGGGTATAGTCTAGTTACTAATGATTTTTTTTAAGTACTTTTATAAAAAGTTCATTTTTAAAATTGTTTGTTTTTAAAAGCCAATATACGTTGCAGAATTAGGAACAGTATTTATATTTATTTACACAAGACATTGTGCCATAGCATCCTAGTAAAACACCTTCATGAATGAGTAATGTTATCTCCCAGAATTACATTAAAATTATTTCTAAAAAGTAGCAAAGTCATTACCTTTTGCTTTTAATGACCCACACCTCACCAGCTCCTGGTCTTTTCTTCACTGTTGCCCTTATTTTGAGGCAATTTTTCTTAAAATATGACTTTTATGCACCACATTTAGTAGAGGCAGTGACATCAGTGATCTCAGTACCCATCAGCTGTCCCCCTCCTCTGCCCTTCTTCATCTCTTCTACCTTGTGACCATTTCCCTTACCGGTTCATGTTCTCCTTTATCTCTGCTTTTCTTTCTTAGCCAGGATACTTCCCTCACAACTCTCACTCCCAAATTCTTTTAGATATACATTTTTCTGGATATTGGCTGCTGAAATCTGAAGCTCTGGTAAAGTTCCTAGTATCAGAGATCAATCCTGGAGGAGGCCTAGTTCACTATTAGATTACAAAGACTCCTCACAAAGTAAAGGAAAATCACCTTCAAAACCACAACCCTTTATGTTGTCAAGTCTAATATGAGTGTTTTTACGAAGTATTTCTTTCTACCCATTGTTCAAGAATGTAAATGTAAAAAAAAATACAAGAGAGTTGGGTAGATATGCATGCTTGAGGAAACTTGCTTTTACTGTTTTCCTACTTGTATCCCCAGTTCAGTTGAATTTACAAGGACCTACAAGATGGTCATGTTTGTCTTGGTATGTGCTACCCCAATTTTAGTGTTTCTTTCTTTATTTTAAATCAGTAATTATTCAGTTGATTGTTTATACTATATAATGAAGTAACAAAAACATTTTGGTTTGTATGTTTTAAGTAACAGTTGTGCAAATTCCTCTTGTTTGTTAGGTGCTCCCTTTGAATATTTTGTGAACTGTGTCAGAGGGAGAGGGGTGGTGGCTAGGAAGAGGGTCAGAAAGAAGCTAGAGGGAGGTCAGGAGAAGGGTAACAGGGAGGATGCAAAGCAGACATCTACCCTGGTCACCCCAGGATCAGGATATCTGTCCTTGTTTCATGTTGAATTCAAAAATTGGATCTCACTTAGGCTTTGAAGGTGACAGCCATCTCTGATAGCTGAGCATAAGTAAAGAAAGGTGGAGTGCCGATGCAGAAAGGAAAATATTCAGCTTTCCTCTCTTAGATCGCACTTTGAAGATGGCCTTTTGGAGACAATCTGACAGGTTAAAACAGGAACTGTTGGAATTATTCTAGCTGTAACTACCTATTGGCTATGTGTTGATTGATCCTAGAAAGAAAAAATAATTTTTCATTTTAGATCTTGATTGAATTTAAGATGTATTTATATGCCTACAAAAGGTCTGTCTTGTAACTGTTGTATAAAATAAACCTAATCTATGGTTTCATTTTTAATCTAAAAAAAGTTGTGCCTTAACAATAGGGCATTGTATGTTAATAAGGGAAAACAACCTTTTTAGTAGATGGGGGAAAATAGGAACTTTTTGCCATTAAAACTTAAGTTCTTTTGATGTTTTTAATATTATAGTTGGGGGAGATTCATTAAAATTAAATTGAAATAAAATTATTTTTGCATAACCTAGCATTTACAACTAAAGTATGTTTTTTATAAGAACTGGCATCTTGATGTATATAGGTCTGAAATAATATTTCATCTTTTGATTTTTAATTTTAATAATATTAGACCAGGATAGATCACAGTTTTACAAATCTTAGTTTTAAATAAATTATTTCAGTGTGCTGTTAGTCCTCTACAGTCATTTTGGTTTAAAAAGTGACTATTTATTTATGGTAGCATATCAATAATTTATTAATGTTAAAAAATACTGTGTATGACATTACAAACCAGAACAGTTCCTGGGGGAGAGGATTCTAATTGATTGGCAGTTCTGAGAGGGCAAGAAGAATGGAACTTTATACTTCAAAAGGAGGTTTTGGTTTTACCAGGTACTGCTTATGTAAATCGTTTATTTTTATTTCATCAAAGCCTGGCAAGTATATGCATTCCAATTTACCATTGGCAAAGCTTTATTTATTTTTAAGGTTGGATGTTGAATTAATTTTGTGGGAAAATGAGATTTGTAAGTAGTTTTCTTTCTAGATAAGATAACATAAACCAAACTTTCAGAAGTTAAGGATGATGAATAATATTGAAATGACTTGTTATATATTGTAAGGGTTCCCTTAAGTATCATAATTAACAATTTGTGGAAATTGAAAAAGCATAAACTGTGTTATTTGATTAGTAATATGTTCCCTTAAAATTCATTTTGAGGTGTATGTTATACACACAGTAAATTTTTGTTCAGGAATGACTTGCTCATTCTGTGTTTTTAAAAATAGGAAATAAGGCATAGTGAGTCATCATTACATCAATTAACCAAAAAATATTTCATCCCCTCCGTCACTGAAATTATCTACTTCAGCCACCTTTCTTATTCTCGTGTTAGGAGGGCACGTTTATGGACTTTTTAATTTCCATGTGCCATATTGTCCACTACCGGCAGTAGCCAAAGCTAGCTGTTTCAGTCCCACAGAAGAGACAGTGCTCTGCCATGATGACAGGGCACTGCTAGGGCTGGTTTTTCTTGTTTTTCCCTTTTGGCAGTGTGGACTTCAGGAACTAGATGTATATGCACAAGGGATTGAGTTTACACTAAAACTAGGAAATGGAGTTTTCAATCTATGTTCTTGCCTCTTCATACTTTTATTTATTTTTTGTCATCCTGCCTTATACTGGGCTAACAATGAGATAAAATAAAAATACCTTTGAATACTCTTTTCCCTTTCATGCATTTAAAGCCATGGAGGAACTAGACCATTAGCTGTTGCCGTCACATGCTTAGACACCAGTTTACTTAGCGTGTTATGACCTTCCTCACCCATACTACCAAATTTAAATGGGTCCCGACTTCACCCTCTGGAAGGAAGTAAACTCTTCTCTCCCCATGGTTTCAGAGCAGTTTTTACCTGCAAGCACCATCTCTGTATGTGCTCTTACTAGATTATACAGTTCTTGAGAGGGATTGCATCTTAGTGTTTTTGTATTTCCACCTCACCCCCAGCACATAGCCCAGTCTCTTGCACAAATTAAGTACTTAATGTGTGTTGAGCTAAATTGAATAAAGGATTATTAGCATTAGCATATTTTGTGCCTTGGTTGTATAAGCTGGTTGTTTGTTTTGTTACCTTTGCAAATATTTATGATTATCACCCCCCCACATACTAAATTGTTTTTAAAAGTTTTGCCTTTCCTTCAGATACTACCCCAGGCAATTTGCTGTAGATAATGTGATTGCTTCCAATGACATAATTATCCCAAACTCTCTGCCCCGGATATACTTTGCCAAACGAAATTTGAATTCTCTGAATAAATTGGTCATGTCTAAAAGAGATGGTGTGCTGCATCTGCTTTTTTTTGCGCCCCCCGCCCCCCCACCTTTTTTTCTCATTGCGGTAAAACACACATAAAAATTTACCATTTTAACCATTTTTAAGTGTACAGTTTAGTGGCAGTCAGTACATTTACAGTTTTATGCAACCACCTGGAACCATTTCCAGAACCTATTCATCATTTCTAAACAAACTATACTCATTAAATAGTAACTCTTCATTCTCCACCATCCTCGCCAACCACTGCTAAAATCCCTGTGCCCACCCCTGAGCCAACTCCTGGTAACTCTTCAGCTTTCTGTCTCTATGAGTTCATCTGATTTTGAACTCTTAAGTCATCTGTTTGAGAACAGATGTACATGACATACATATAAAACTAACTTGAATCCTTTCTGAGATTTTTAAAAAGTAAGATGGAGGATAAAAAAAGAACAAAAGACAGGAAAAAATTGTAGAAAGGTGGTAGTGTTATTGAACATCACAGTTTTGGTCTAGGTTTGGTTGTTTGCTTCACAGAAAGCCAATCACTGAGACAATGAGTATTGCCAAGGAAGAAAGGCTTTATTTATTTGGGTGATGTTAAGTCAGGGAGATGGGAGATAAGTCTCAAATCTCTCAAATCTGTCTCTCACTGAATCCCCCCAAATTCCTGACTAAAGTTACAGGTTTATGTAGCAGAGAAGGAAAACAGGAGGGGTGAGGAAATGGAGTGGGTCAACAGGCAGCAAGTGGTTGAATGAATGGTCTGGCATCTCATTGGATGGATGGGATGATTGGGTAAGATTCAGTTCCTTGCTATTAATACTATCTGGGAGGCCTGAAGGAACTCAGATAAGACAAATATAAGTTTCAAGCTTTAAGCCCAGGAGGGTCAATATGTTGATTGAAAAAAATCCCATAAACATCAGTTCTATTGGTTAGTTGGGCCAGTTTCACTAATAAAAAAAGTATGATGAAAAGGCTACACAGGCTTTTGTTCTTAAGTTTTGTAGGTGTTAGGCATCATCTAGCCTCTTTAGAATTTTTCAAGTTTCTTCTGAGGATCAATAAAGCAAGCTTCAAAATAGCAAGACCTCTCATTCCATCACTGGCAAACTGTTTCTCTCTTTAAGTCCATTGAGAGCAACATTTTATTACCCACAACATTATCTTAATTTCTTCAGCTATAGTTCTTAAGTATAAATTGACATTCTTTCCAATGTTGCATGACTGAAATTTTGCACATTAAATTTCCTAAGGACTTCTTGGAAAAAGTATTTATTGACTTTGCAGGTTAGTACTTCCCCATTGACAAAGCTGCATGTAAAGATGGCTGGGTTGGGGAGACTGTGGGCTTGCTCTGAACGCTGGCGAATTCTGCCCCAGCCTCTGTTGTCTAGGTGGCCGGTGTTCTGGAATTCACTACCACTTCTTCCATATACTTCCAAGAACACTCTCCAGGTCCAGGCTACAATTGCATATGGAGGCAAAAAAATACCAGAATATTACAAGAAGTTCATGACTTCTTGATGCTTTTTAGAGACCTAAGTAATATTTTACTGTCTATGAGTCCATTGGAGTATTGGGTTTATATGTTTAAAATATTGTAATTGCCTCAACGCCTATAATCCCAGCACTTTGGGAGGCCGAGGCTGGTGGGTCGCCTGAGGTCAGAAGTTTGAGACCAGCCTGGCCAACGTGCTGAAACCCCGTCTCTACTAAAACTGCAAAAATTAGCTGGGCATGGTGGCAGGCACTTGTAATCCCAGCTACTCAGGAGGCTGAGGTAGGAAAATTGCTTGAATCTGGGAGGCAGAGGTTGCAGTGAGCTGAGATCTTGCCACTGCACTCCAGCCTGGGTGACAGAGCAAGACTCCATCTCAAAATATATATATATATATATATATTTAAGAGTCTAGCTTCTTGTGTTGGAATACCTTTGTTCATGGATTACATAAAAACAAGTAGTACCTAGAAGAGTACAGATCACAGAAGGTAAGCTGGTAAAAAGCAGGAAAGAGTACAGTGGATATTTGATAATTACTTGAGGAAGATAAATGTAATGTGTCCACATAAAAGGGTGGTGAATTGGATTATGTGCATCTGAGGATGGTTAGATAATTTGTATAATATTTTTACATTTCTTATGTCAACCTTACAGCCCATGGAGGGGAAGGCAAATATTCCCATTTTAGAGATGGTCTTCATACTGGCCAATAGTGACTTCCCGAACTGCCCAGTGGGTTTCCTGTCTTGCTGTCTGGCTTGAACTTTGCTGTGGCTAATTAATGCTTTCTGGGAACTATTTTCCCCCCTTTGATTTCAGTGACCTTGTTTTCTTCTGGTTATCCTCCTACCTCTTCAACTATTCTTTTCAGTTTCTTTACTGTGTCCTCTGCTACAATTCACACTTCAATGTTTGTGTTTTCAAAGTTTCCATTTTTGGGTCTCCATCATGTTCTCCCAGAGCAATTTTCAAATATCGCCTATGTGCTGATGACCACAGATTTATACATCCCTGCTTTAAATTTATCCTACACTTTAGACCGATATTTTCAAATGCATATCTTTAATTGACTATACTGCATGCTCCTCAAATTCAGTATGTTCAAATCTAAAGTAATTATGTTGCAGTACACAACCTCTGGTAGTCTCCTTAGCTAAAGATGATAGTGTCCAAAAAGCCTCCCAAACTAGGAAGCTTAAGAGATATGTTCATCACCTTTCTCTAATTGTCTGCATCTGTTTTCACCCCATCTTCAAGAACTTATACTCACCAATGTCTCTTGAAACTATTTTTCCATTTGCCATTGCACAATTTTAGATTCTATCATTAAATCGGTTTAGAAGATTTAAAAATAATTAAGGGGGTAGAACTGAAAGTAATTTTTTTTTCCAAGTTTAGTTTTCTTCCTGTTTTTTTGTTTTTGTTGAGACAAGGTCTCACTTTGTCACCTAGGCTGGAATGGAGTGGCACAATCTTGGCTCATTGCGACCTCTACCTCTTGGGTTCAAGCAGTTCTGACTCAGCCTGTCGAGTGCACACAGGTGTGCACAACCATGCCTGGTTAATTTTTGTATTTTTAGTAGACACAGGGCTTCGCCATGTTGGCCAGGGTGGTCTCTAACTCCTGGGCTCAGGTGATCTACCTGCCTCCCAAAGTGCTGGGATTACTGGCATGAGCCACTGTACCCGGCCGTCTTCCTAATTTAAAACAATGCATGCTCAAAAAGAAAATGAGTAAAATACAGATAAGTGCAATGCAAAAAATAAAAACCACCCTAATCCTGCTATCCAAAGAAAACTGTGATTCACATTTTTATTGTATTTTTGTCTATATTTTCCTATGGAAATATAAATTGTATTGTGTATTTCAATAATAATAGAAATATGTTTTTTCTCTGCTTTTTTAACTTAGCAATATAGCTTTGATTTCTTATGTCAGTAGATATTCATTATAGCATAAGTTATAAAACATATTCAACTATACAGGTGTGTATGATTTACTTAATGTATCCTCTTTTGTACAATTAGGTTATTTCCCATTTTAGCTATTACAAATAACATTACAATGATCACCCCTGGGATTACTTCCTTAAACTACTTCTATATAAAATAATACACACATTTAAAGGATTGAAGCAGTGGAAACATTCTGATAAAATCAGTAATATATGTTTATCATAGAAGAATTATAGATCAGCCAAAATTGCAGAACCCCACCCAGACAAACACTACATAATGGCTGCAAGTTCTAGAGCTCCCCAAGACCACTCTTAGCTTCAACTTATTAGAAGGATTTATAGAACTCAGTAAAACTGTTATATGGTAATTATTTATTAAAGCAAAAGGATAAAGATCAAGATCAACAGTGGGAAAAGGGTCATAGGGCAGAGTCCCTAAGAGTTCTAGATATAAGCTTCTAATTATCCTCTCCCAGTGGAGTCATGCAGACAGCACTTACTACTGTCATTAACCGTATGTGGCAACATGCATGGAGTATTGCCACCTTGGGAGTGTAAATGCCAGACAGGTTTATTTTGCCTACTCCCCAGATAAAGCCAATTTATCTAGACAGGGGAATTGCAATAGAGAAAGAGTTTAATACATGTAGAGCCTGTGTAAGGCTAAGTGGAAGATAAACGCTTTATTATGACTCAAATTAGCCTCCCTGAAAATTCAGAGACTAGGGTTTTTCAAGAATAGCTTGATGGGCAAGGGGCTAAGGAATGAGTGCTGCTGATTGGTTGGGGATGCAACCAATAGGGGTGTGAAAATCAGTCCTTGTGCATTGAGTCTGCTTCTGGACGGGGGCCACCAGAGGAGTTGTTGGTCTGGGTGGGGCCATCTGGTCATCAGAAATGCAAAAGCCTGAAAAGACATCTCAGAAGGCCAATCTTCAGTCCCACAATAGTGATGTTATTTATAGGAGAAATTAGGGAGTTGCAAATCTTGTGACCTCCAGAATAACAGATGGTAATCATGTAACTACTATCTGTCACAGAATTCAAGCCTCCCTCCCCCTCCTAACCTGGTGGCCTTTTATTAGTTTTACAAAGGCAGTTTAGTTTTTGGAAAGGGCTATTATTTAAACTACAAACTAAATTTATCCAAAAGTTAGCTTGGCCCATGCCCAGGAATGGCCAAGGACAGTTTGGAGGTTAAAGACAAGATGGAGTTGGTTAAAGCAGATCTCTTTCACTGTTACAATTTTTTCACTGTTATAATTTTTGCAAAGTTTGTTTCAGGAGGTTCACCCATGCCCTGGTGTCCAGGGTTTTTACTGGGCTGGATTACTTAAGGATGATTGATAGGCTACATTACTGACTTTAGTCTCCAGGTCGGGTTGATACCATGGGAACCAAAGTTCCTGCCATAAATTATGTTGTTAGCCTAGACTATCTAGTGTGGCTCACAGCCCCCATGTAAACACATACTGTCCTATCAGGGAGGGTATTTCAAGGATTAGAGGTTACTTCCTAGAAATTAGTCAAGAGCCAAGAGCCAAATATTCCTGGTCAAGGTTAATCCTTTACTGCATACTGGTGTATGTCCTTCTAACCTAGATTTCTTTGTATGTCTATATACATATTGATGCAGGATTTTTGCTCCTTAGTTCAGCTAAATCCAGGTTCTTGTCTCATGACGAGGAAAAATTAGGCACATGGACCCACTGAAGGGTGAGGAGGGTGGAATTTATTAAGCAAAAGAAAAGCTCTCAGCAAAGAGAGGGTTTCTTCAAGCAGGTTTCCCTGTCACAATTCAATACCAGGGCTACCCTACACAAGCTTAAGAGGCCAGCCCCCTCCCCTGCATAAGGCATGAATTCCTGGTTGCTCCACCCCATTCCCCTAGTGCCTGTGGGCCTCCAGTTGGCTGCGGGCATGCCCAGGCAAGCCCCCTGTGAAGGTAAACACTTGTGGGGAGGGTTGGAGATTCTCTGGGGACCCTTCCCTATCTGCCTAGGCCTTTGTCTGCCCCCTGCCTCTTATCAATATGTTTCCCATCATATTTATATTGTATTCTATTTGCTTAGTCTTTCTTTGTCTAGAAATGCTCAACTGAATTTTTAAAAATAATTGTTGAATAGGATTCTATCATATAAATGTGATATGGTTTGGCTCTGTCCCCACCCAAATCTCATCTTTAATTGTAGTTCCCATAATGCCCACATGTTGTGGGAGGGGCCCAGTGGGAGATACTTGAATCATGGGAGCAGTTTCCCCCATACTGTTTTTGTGGTAGTGAATAAGTCTCATGAGATCTGATGGTTTTATAAGGGGAAACCCCTTTCGCTTGATTCTCATTTTCTTTCTTGACTGCCACCATGGAAGATGTGCCCTTTGCCTTTGCCATGATTGTAAGGCATCCCCAGCCACATGGAACTGTAAGTCCGTTAAACCTTTTTTTTTTTATATATAAATTACTCAGTCTTGGGTATGTCTTTGTCAGCAGTGTGAGAACAGACTAATACAGTAAATTGGGACCAGTAGAATGGGGTGCTGCTGTAAAGATACCTGAAAATGTGGAAGTGACTTTGGAACTGGGTAACAGGCAGAGTTTGAGACAGTTTTGAGGGCTCAGAAGGAAAAAGGAAAATGTGGGAAAGTTTGGAACTTCCTAGAGACTTGTTGAATGGCTTTGACCAAAATGCTGATAATGATATGGACAATAAGGTCCAGGATGAGGTCACCTCAGATGAAGATGAGGAACTTTTTGGGAACTGGAGTAAAGGTGACTCTTGCTATGTTTTAACAAAGAGACTGGTGGCATTTTGCCCCTGCCATAGAGATTTGTGAAACTTTGAACTTGAGAAAGGTGGTTTAAGGTAGCTGGTGGAAGAAATTTCTAAGCAGCAAAGCATTCAAGAAGTGACTTGGGTGCTGTTAAAATCATTCAGTTTTAAAAGGGAAACAGCATAAAAGTTCAGAAAACTGATAGCCTGACAGGATAGAAAAAAAAAATTTTCTGAGGAGAAATTCAAGACAGCTGCAGAAATTTGCATAAGTAAGAGGAGCCAACTGTTAATCACCAAGACAATAGGGAAAATGTCTCCAGGGTATGTTAGAGATCTTTGCAGCAGCCCCTCCCATCACAGGTCCAGAGGCCTAGGAGGAAAAAATGGTTTCGTGGGCTCAGGGTCCCCATGCTCTGTGCAATCTAGGGACTTGGTGCCCTGCCTCCCAGCTGCTCTAGCCATGGCATAAAGGGGCCAAAGTACAGCTCAGGTTATGGCTTCAGAGGGTGCAAGAGCCAAACCTTGGCAACTTCCACGTGGTGTTGAGCCTGCCAGTGCTCAACAAGAATTGAGGTTCGGAAACCTCTGCCTAGATTTCAGAGGATGTATGGAAACGCCTGGATGTCCAGGCAGAAGTTTGCTGCAGGGGCAGGGCCCTCATGGCGAACCTCTGCTAGGGCAGTGCAGAAGGGAAATGTGAGGTTGAAGCCCCCACACAGAGTCCCCGCTGGGGCACTGCCTAGTGGAGCTATGAGAAGAGGGCCACTGTCCTCCAGACACCAGAATGGTAGATCCACCGACAGCTTTCACTGTGCACCTGGAAAAGTCGCAGACACTCAATGACAGCCTGTGAAATCAGCTGAAAGGGAGGCTGTATCCTGCAAAGCCACAGGGACAGAGCTGCCCAAGACCATGGGAACCCACCTCTTGCATCAGCATGACCTGAATGTGAGACACGGAGTCAAAGGAGATCATTTTGGAGCTTTAAAATTTGACTGCCCTGCTGGATTTCAGACTCATATGGGGCCTGTAGCCCCTTTGTATTGGTCAATTTCTCCCATTTGGAACAGCTGTATTTACCCAATACCTGTACCCCCATTGTATCTAGGAAGTAACTAACTTGCTTTTGATTTTAGAGGCTCATAGGCAGAAGGGACTTGCCTTGTTTCAGATGAGACTTTGGACTGTGGACTTTGAGTTAATGCTGAAATGAGTTAAGACTTTGGGGGACTGTTGGGAAGGCATGATTGAATTTGAAATATGAGGACATGAGGCTGGGTGCTGTGGCTCATGCCTGTAATCCCAACATTTTGGGAGGCAGAGGTGGGTGGATCACTGGAGGTCAGGAGTTTGAGGCCAGCCTGGTCAATATGGTGAAACCCCATCTCTACTAAAAATACAAAAAATTAGCTGGGTGTGGTGGCACACACCTGTAATCCCAGCTACTTGGGAGGTTGAGGCAGGAGAATCACTTGGACTCAGGAGGCAGAGGTTGCAGTGAGCCAAGATTGTGCCACTGCACTCCAGTGGCACTCCAGTGCACTCCAGTGGCTCTGGGTGACAAAGCAAGACCCTGTCTCAAAAAATATTTTTTTTTCTTATTATGAACTATATTTTCCTGACTCTTTGCATGTGTAGTTCCTTTTGATTTCAAGAAGTCAGCATCTTGAGCAATGAAAAATTATTTCAACAAAATTTTAAATTTGTTTAAGAGGTGCATATTCTCCAGAGCAGTGGTCCTCAACCTTTTTGGCATAATGGACCAGTGTCATGAAAAACAATTTTTCCACAGACTAAGGCAGGAAGGGGATGGTTTCGGGATGATTCAAGCACATTACATTTATTGTGCACTTTATTTCTATTATTATTACATTGTAATATATAATGAAATAATTATATAACTCACCATAATGTAGAATCAGTGGGAGCCCTGAGCTTGTTTTACTGCAACTAGATGGTCCCATCTGGGAGGTGATGGGAGACAATGATAGATCATCAGGCATTAGATTCTCATGAGGAGTGTGAAACCTATATCCCTCGCATGTGCAGTTCACAGTAGGTTTGCACTCCTATGAGAATCTAATGCTGCTACTGATCTTACAGGAGGTGGAGCTCAGGCAGTGATGCAAGCAATGGGGAGTGACTGTAGATACAGATGAAGCTTTGCTTCACCTGCAGCTCACCTCCTGCTGTGCAGCCCAGTGCCTAATGGGCCATGGATTGATATTGGTCCATGGCCCAGGGGTTTGGGACACCTGCTCCAGAGGACATAATATTTACTAACTTATTTTTAAGCATTTTGTTGAATATCCATCTTTTATCACTTGTTTATTACAAAACATCAGAAAATGAAGAGAAAGTAAAACATGATCTACAAATATAAGTTTATCTACTATTTTTTCCTTTAAAACCAAGAATAATTTATAATGAATGAAATTTGATGGTCAATGTCTTGAGAATTAATATGCACTTTAAGATTAAACATAGGTAGTCTAATCAAAATGTCAGGATTCCTGTAATGCTCATAATTTAAACTGCTTAGTTATTGGAGTATAAAAAAATTTAAACTCTAGACTTTAGTTTTCTGAAAATGAACATTTTCTATAATTTGCATGAACTTGAGTCATATATTGAATTTAAAAGCTAGTTATATGGTAATAAAAGCAGAATAACAGTCAAGTTAGAGCATGAGTTCTTTCATTTGTGAAGGCAATTAAAAGTGTTTCCAACCAGAAAAGAATAAATTTATTTTTGCACAGAGAAGGTTTTTATCTTTAGTTCATTCAGAGACAATGTTTATTGACTCCAACAATTTCTTAGTTATTGAAGTCAGGGGAGAAGTTCTTCTCTGGGTATGTGACGAGCACTCCAGGTCTACTTCTTGGGAAAAAAATTCTGGTTTAAATGGAGAAAGAGATGAACAAAACCTGGGATACACTAGATCCACAAAAAAAGTGTTTAGGGCAAATATTAACATAAATATTATTGTAAAATTTGGCAAAAAAAAACAAGACATACTGTTTTGAAAAAACCTTCAAGCTGTTCTCCACTGCTCTTATACCACAGCAATCAACACAGAAGACTTATATGACCTTGTGTAGAAAAAAACTCTGTTTTTTCTCTACTCTCACAGCGTAACAATCATCAACACAGAAGACTTCTGTAACAAAATGTGTGGGTTTTTTTTCCCCAGACACCAAGTAGTGGACACAGACTGGGTGTCCTCTAATTCAGTTCTGACAGTATTTGCTCAGAGACAGTGTCAGATCTCACAGATTGAGGGCTCAGTCCCTAACTGCTCCTCCCCACACACCAGTCTTAATTCTGAGCCTCCAGAACTTCTGACTGATGAGCTTCAAGTTGGGGTCCCCATGTTACTGGTGGTGTAGCCATACAGGTCTGCTGCAACCTCAGTTCTTGCCTCCTCAGGAGAAAGAATTTGACCAAGGGGCATAAGGCAGAGAGTGAGAGACTGAGGCAAATTTTAGAGCAGGAGTGAAAGTTTATTAAAAAGCTTTAGAGCAGGAACAAAAGGCAGTAAAGAACACTTGGAAAAGGACCAAGTGGGTGACTTGAGAGATCAAGTGCATTGTTTGACCTTTGACTTGGGGTCTTATATGTTGGCAGGCTTTCAGGGTGTTGCATCCCTTTCCCACAATTCTTCCCGGGTGTGAGCTTTCCACATGCACAATGGCCTGCAGCACCTGGGAGGGGCTGCAGGCGCAGTGTGTTTACTGGAGTTGTATGCCTGCTCACTTGAGGTGTTTCTCCTTACCAGTCTAGCATTCCTAGAGGAAAGTCATAGAGCAGTGAAACTCCATCATTTTGCTTCTTGGTGCACATGCTTGAGCCCACTTGCCCAACTCCTGAGATTTTATCAGGAAGCTGATCACCAGTTTCAGGTGTTTCTGTCTATTGGGAGACTGTCTTTCCCTGGCACTGGCTGCAACTTATTTTATTATTTATTTTATTTCTTATTTTAGAGAGACAGCTTAACAATTGCCTGGCCCTCACCAGATGGGTGCCTGACACCCCTGGTGTGTGTGTTGCAGGGAGAGGGAGCCCTCTCCTGCCCTGCTGATGCCTGTCTAGCTACCCAGTAACAACCCCTCTTTGGGTTTGATTAACTTGTTGAAGCAGCTCACAGAACTCAGGGAAACACTTATTTATGTTTACTGGTCTATTATAAAGGATATTGCAAAGGATACAGATGAAGAGATCCAGAGGGCAAGGTATGGGGGAAGGAATGCAAAGCTTCCGTGTCCTCCCCAGGGCACCACCCTCCAGGAACTTCCACGTGTTCAGCTATGGAAGCTCACTAAACCCTGTCCTCTTGGGTTTTTATGGAAGCTTCATGATGTCAGCATTCCTTTCCCAAGAGTATAGGATGGGGCTGGGCATGGTGGCTCATGCCTATAATCCCAGCACTTTGGGAGGCTGAGATGGCCAGATCACCTGAGGTCAAGAGTTCAGGACCAGCCTGGCTAACATGGCAAAACCCTGTCTCTACTAAAAAATACAAAAATTAGCTGGGCATGATGGCAATACCTGTAATCCCAGCTACTCGGGGGGCTGAGGCAGGGAGAATCACTTGAACCCAGGAGCCAGAGGTTGCAGTGAGCCGAGATTGTGCCACCGCACTCCAGCCTGGGTGACAGAGTGAGTCTTCCATGGGAGAATCTCAGGAGTCACAATCAGAAAGGCGGGGAATGTTAGAGTGAAAGAAGGCAGAAGAGGGTCAGAGGGCTGCCTCTGAGGCCTAACACACCCAACTTGATAACAAAAGACTGCAACAAGGGCTATGGGAGCTATGAGCTAGGAACTGTGGGTGAAAACCAATATATATCATAACCCCACAGACCCCAAAATATGTGGGGATTTCTCCCGCATCAGCAAGCAAGCAGTCAGTTCTACAGGACACCAGCTAGTGTCCTCCAATCTAATCCCAACACTATCTGCCAGGAGATAGCAGCAGATCTCACAGGTTGAGGGCTCAATCTCCAAGACTTCCTCACTCCCCATAGATACCAATTTTAGGTCTCTGGAATTTTGACTAACCAGCTTCAAATTGGGGTTCCCTTGCCCCTAGGGCTCTTTGGGTTCAGGAGCAGCTCATAGAACTCGGGAAACACTTACACATTTATTATAAAGGATACAAATGAAGACATGCATGGGGCGAGGTATGCAGGAAGGGGCACAGAGTTTTCATGCCCTCCCTGGGCAGGGCACCCTTCAGGAAATTATTCTACAAGTTCAGCTATTTGGAAGCTATCCAAACCAGTCCTCTTGGGTTTTATGGAAACTTCATGATGCAGGCATGATTGATTAAACTATTGGCCACTGGTAATCAACTTGACCTTCAGCACCACCCCCTCTCACCCTCCCTGGTGGTTGGGGGTGGGGCTGAAAGTCCCAACCCTTGAATCAAGCTCTTTCTTTTCCAGTGACCAGCCCCACACTGAAGCTATCTATCAACAATAGCATACAGAAAGTGCTTGGAGATTCCAAGGATTTTAAGGTTGTAAGACAGGAAATGGGGATAAAGACTAAATATATATTTCACAGTATCTCACATAGTGACTTCTGGATAGCAAGAAAAACAGCACATGTCAATCACTCACTGTACCAGCCAAGGGTGCCACATCTTTTTCCTCCTATAAGGGAAGATGCTTGCTGTCCCGCCCCCTCTGATGTGGGTCAGCTGTGTCCCTACCCAAAACCTCATCTGAATTGTAGTCCCCTTAATCTCCATAATTCCCACATGTCAAGGGTGAGACCAAGTGTGGAGGGGGAAAATTCCCCCATGCTGTTCTTGTGATAATAAGTGGGTTTCATGAGATCTGATGGTTTTATAAGCATCTGGTATTTCCCCTGCTTGCGCTCACTCCGTCCTGCCTCCCTGTGAAGAAGAAGCCAACTTCTCCTTTGCTTCGGCCAAGATTGTAAGTTTCCTGAGGCCTCCCCAGCCATGCTGAACTGTGAGTCAATTAAACCTCTTTCCTTTATAAATTACTAAGTCTCGGGTGTTTCTTCATAGCAGTATGAGAACAAACTAATACACCTCCTGAGCACTTGAAATTTTCCAAAATATTCACGTGATGTGTGCACCATAGAGATATTGATAAGTAGCATTAATTTGAAGCTATACAGTTTGGGACTTTATGAAAACAACAATGACTTGTCAAGAGTATCCTTCCACCCAATGAAACAAGAACTTCACAAGCTTTAGGTAGTGTAAGTTAACCAGGTACAGCAACCATAAATGCTATTTGGTGGGTTTCTAATTATAATTTACTATTCTGTCTCTCAAGGAGCTATTAAAAAAGCAACAAGCCTTTGTGGCAGTTGCAGCAGCCCAGAGAGATGTTTATTCTCAGATGAGGGAATGTAGGGTAGTGGTGAACACAGGCACAGTAGTCGGATGGGATAGCTTCTTATCTAGTTGAGTGACCTTGGACAAATGATTTATCCCCTGTGTGACTCAGTTTTCTTATCTGAAAAATTAGGATAATTTGTTTTCCCCTAAGGTCTAATCACAAGACATCACATTGAGGTAGGAGAGCAGCAGGATTGTTTTCAGGGCCCTGCTGTAGGATGAAGCAGAGAAACCAGCTAAAAACAGCTAGGACTAGGAATTATAATACATTTACATGCTATAAGACACTCCTATCAGTGCCGTGACAATTCACAAATGCCATGGCAATGCCCAGAATTTACCTTATATGGTTCAGGGAACTCTCTGCCCTCTTTCCAGAAAGTTCATGAATAACTCACCCCTTATTTAGCATATAGTTAGGAGTAGGTATAAATATAGCTAGCCAGCAATTCACGAGTGCTACTCTGCCTATGTAGTAGCCCTGCTCTGTCTATGGAGCAGCCATTTTGCTGTACACTGTTGCCCTAATAAACCTGCTTTCTTTCACTATCAAGAAAACTCCTGAGCTGAGCTCCAATTTAGGGGTTTACTTGCATCAATGTCACCTATAAAGGTTAGCTATTCTTACTATTTTTGAGTTTTCTCATTCCACAGAGCTTCATCTGTGGGCTCTACATGGTCCATGTCTCACAGGGGCCAGAATTGCTGCACATATTTCCCTGAATTTGTGCCTCATATTTAACTGCAGAATATTCACAGCTTCTCAGACTGTAAATAGTCAAATTCCAGACCTTACATTCAGAGCTTGCATTGACTGTTTAAAGAAGGTTGCTTTCCTCCAGCCACATGCCCACTGCCTGCTCCTTATTGCCGTTGGAATGGTTTCCTTTCATTTTCTCAGCCCTGAAGGTGTTTGTTTCTCTTTGAGGGTTCTTTTTCTGACCGTCCATTTTTAAGATCCATTTTCAGCTTTATGTTGTCACAAAAAAGGGTTTTATTTCCTTGTTTCCTGGGGGACAAAACTCCTTTCACATTGGATACTATGTTGGCTGGCCACTTGGAAGAGAATAGATGCTTTTATGATTTCTGTAGCCTGGGATTAAATGTCCTTGTCTACTGCAGCTCAGCTCCAGGTCTGGTATTTAATTATTTTACAGACATCATCATAGAGGCCACACAAGTTTGTTTCATTTAAATGTGTAACAAAAGCACTGAGTGATAAGTAATTGTACAAAATCATAACCCATATAAATAATTGGGCATAAAAATTTAAAAGTATGACAGGAATTTGCTTATAGGTAGAATTCCTTATGTTTCCACTTGCTCAGAACAATCCTCATTAATGCGAGAAGTTTAGCACCCCATTTAGTCATATATTTTCCCTAGATTTCTAAAAATTTTTAATGAAGCATTTAATAGTTGCATTAAGATGAGTGTGGAAGGTTTTGCTAGGCCTCCACATTTTATTTTCAGCTTCTGCTTGTCTTTTCTGGTAGTATGTGACATGAATGTGCAATGAATAAAATGCTCACTTTAGCATATGGCTAAATCTGAAAAACAAGTGATAACCTATCTTAGTCAGCTCAGGCTGTTATAACAAAATACCATAGACTGTGTGGCTTTAACAACAAACATTTATTTCTCACAGATCTGGAGGTTGGATGTCCAAGATTAGGGTGCCAGCAGGATCAGGTTCTTGGTAAGGAGCCTCTTCCTGGTTTATAGGTAACTGTCTTCTTGTTGTTCCTCGCCTGGCCTAAAGAGAGCTAGCTCAGCCTCTGGCCTCTTTTTATAAGGGCACTAACCCCACTCATGAGGGCTCTACCCTCATGAACTAATTACCTCCCAAAGACCCCACCTCCAAATGCCATCCCACTGGGATTTAAGTTTCAACATATGAATTTGGGAGTTACATATTCAGTTCATTGCATAACTCATTCTAATTTCCAGACACACATAATGAATGCCTTCTGATATGGATTGGCTATGTCCCCACCCAAATCTCATCTTGAATAGTAGCTCCCATAATTCCCATATGTGGTGGGAGGGACCTGGTGGGAGATAATTGAATCATGGAGGTGGTTTCTCCCATACTGTTCTCATGGTAGTGTCTCATGAGTCTGATTGTCATGAATCAGTCTCATGAGATCTGATTGTTTTATAAGGGGTTTCCCCTTTCTCTTGGCTCTCATTCTTTCTTGCTTGCCACCATGTAAGATGTTCCTTTGCTTTTCCTTCATCTTCTGGCATGATTATGAAGCCTCTCCAGCCATGTGGAACTGTAGGTCAATTAAACTTCTTTCCTTTATAAATTAGCCAGTCTTGGGTGTGTCTTTATTTATTGATCCAACATTGTATTTTCTCTACTCTGATTCCACACCCTGAAGATCAGTTCTAACATATATTCCTCAGGTTTATGTCAATATAAGTTGGAAAATCATGCAGTTATTTTGGTGTTCATTGCATCTCATTACAGGCCACATTTTGAGTCTCACCCTCTGAGGCCCTCAGGGACCTGTGGTGGGAGTATGTCCTGGAGAGCACCAGCAGCCCTTTGTAAAGCAGCCAAGTGAAAGTTATTAGAGTTCTTCAGGCAGCAGCAGTAGAAGTGCAAAGAAGGCTTGGTGGAATTTGGGGGTACAAGGTCTCCAGATTTATCAGAATCTGTCCATATGACCCAATCCCAATTTTTAGAATCTCATTCCTTCCCAATCATTGCCCTAATTTTAACAAAATAGACCATGCAAGTTTGAGTATTCAGTTTGCCTTGTAATTCACCCACCAGCAAGATAAACTTTGAATTCGTTTTTCAGAATCTCAGTTCTGTAGTCACAGGAGATAAGAATTTTTTTTAAGTTTTTTATTTATTTTAGAGACAAGACCTTGCCCTGTCACCCAAGCTGGAGAACAGTGGCACAATCATAGCTCACTTTAACCTCAAACTCTTGGGTTCAAGTGATCCTCCCACCTCAGCCTCCCAAGTAGCTAGGACTACAAGTACGTGCCACCACACTTGGATAATTTTAAAAAAATGTTGTAGAGACAGATTCTCACTATGTTGCCCAGGCTGGTCTTGAGCACTTGGCCTCAAGTAATTCTCCCACCTCAGCCTCCCAAAGTGCTGGCATTACAGGCGTGAGTCACTGCCCCTGGCCCGTATTGTTTTTAAGGCAGTCATAGGAGCTTTTCAGGTCCTTATGCAGATATTAACCTGGGAATTTAAAGCCCTGAACTCATTTTTTTCCCCCTAAGTTCTACAGCACATTTAGAAGAAACCAACCTACTCCATTTTACTCTGCATTTTGCTAAAATGTTCTAGAGTAGTAAATACTTTGTCCCCAAGAGACTTCTCTTCTATGGGTAAATGTAGTTAAAAATTTGCATGACTTTTGCAACTGATTGCCATGTTCTGCCCCTTTGCCGCTGGAAACAGGGTCATTAATGCCTTCAAGTCTAATCAAATTGAAAACCAACTCCATATTCAATTCAAAGAACTTGTCCTTAAGATGTTGTCCATCTGAAACTCTTTCTTGGTGCCAAATTCTGTATCAATTCAAATTCAATCAGAAAAGCAAAACCACTAGGAATATATATTATGTACATTTATATAAAAGTATATATAAAAGGACGGGCAAGGTGGCTCATGCCTGTAATCCCAGCACTTTGGGAGGCCGAGGTGGGCAGATTGCCTGAGGTCAGGAGTTTGAGACCAGCCTGGCCAACATGGTGAAACCCCATCTCTTTAGTAGATATATTTTTAGTAAATATAAAAATTAGCCAGGCGTGGTGGCAGGCACCTGTAATCCCAGGTACTTGGGAGGTTGAGGCAGGAGAATCGCTAACCTGGGAGGTGGAGGGTCACAGTGAGCCAAGATAGCGCCATTGGACTCCAGCCTGGGCAACAGGAACGATACTTCATCTCAAAAAAAAAAAAAATTATATATACAATAAGGAACTTGTTAAAAGGATTTGACCTCATGTAATTGTGGTTGTTCTTTAAACAGTCTCTCTAAAGTTGCTGTCTTGTGCTGATGCTGAGTAGCAGGGTCAAGCCCTATCTAAGTCACAGCATCAAAAATTGTGAAAATCAACACTACCATTAGCATAGGGCTTTCTTCAAAAATCCCAGGGACTAGAAGGCCCTGAGAGAGCGGTCTAACTAAGGGAACAAGAGTGAAATGTTTTACAAGACTTGGGCAAGAGGCATTTTGTGAAAGTTTAACTAGTTTAACTTGGATGATTCTCTGAGAAGGAAGGGATTGTTCTGTGGATGTGCAGCCACTGTTTGGGCAATTTGGATTTTATTGGTCAGTGTAAATCAAAGACAGTGGTGAGTCTCAATCATTTTAAAAGGCTTATTCGCCAAGGTTAAGGATGCACCTGGGAAAAAGACATGGAACCATACGAAAAACTGTGGTTCATGCTTTTTCCAAAGAGGGTCTGGGACCTCAATATTTTAAGAGAAAAGGGCATATATTGGGAAAAGAGTAAAAAAAGTTTATAAGGGTGTGGGTAGATAAGAGGCAAGCAGTTGCATTCTTTTGAGTCTTTGATCACCATTTATTGAATACACATCTTACATGTGAGAAAGAAGTACAGAAATAGTCACTTATGCATTTTTCTCGCTCAGTGAAACTGCATTTTTATGTAAGATAAAATAAACATAGGGCAGAGGAAGCAATACATTTGTCTCAGGTGAGCAGAGGGATGACTTTAAGTTCTGTCCTTTGTTCCATGCTTGTGAAGATAAATAAGCTATCAACTTACATTGTCAGGATGAAATTCAACAAAGCTGTTTTAGGGTAAAGATCTTGGAGCCCATTGTGGGCACATGGTGAGGGAGGTATGTAGCTCTTTTATCTCTGTACCTATCTTATTTAAGAAAAAAAGGAGAGGCAGCTTTGTGTGACTCCGTTCCCAGCTTGACTTTTCACTTTGGCTTAGTGAGCCTGGGGCCCCAAGATTTATTTTCCTTTCACACCAGCTACAGGAACAAGGACATGCAAGGGCCACAGTGAAAAACTCTTGTCTCTCCACCATGTTCTCAGGCAGTGGGAAGCCCTTTTCTCCTCCCCTAGAAATGGTAGGGATGCATGTTACTCTTCTTTATATTCTCAGTGACCAGCATGGTACCTGACACAGAGGGGTGCTCCATAAATATTTATTGACTTAAAATAACCTGAAGAGAGAAGAGGAAGGTGCTGGAGAAAAAGATAAACAATTGTAGAGTAAGATCATAAAGAAGTGGAAGTAGTTTTAAAAGCACAGATGGGCTGACTCAGGAAAGGAGAAGAAATCTTATTCTCTGAGACAAGGAAGGAAGAATTTGTGTAAGAATAAAAGTATTTAATAAAAGTATTTATAAGGAAAGCTCTCACACCTGTAATCCCAGCACTTTGGGAGGCCAAGGCGGGCGGATCACCTGAGGTTGGGAGTTCAAGACCAGCCTGACCAATATGGAGAAACCCCATCTCTACTAAAACTACAAAAAATTAGCTGGGTGTGGTGGTGCATGCCTGTAATTCCGGCTACTTGGGAGGCTGAGGTAGGAGAATCGCTTGAACCCGGGAGGCGGAGGTGACCCAAGATCATGCCAATTGCACTCCAGTCTGGGTGACAGAGCGAGACTGTCTCAAAAAAAAAAAAAAAAAAAAAAAAGGGAAAGCTAAGTGGGAGTTATTTAACAGCCTTGGCATTTGTATTTCTTGGAGAATTGGGAGTAAGATGAAAAATTTTAGGGACAATGGTAACAATGCTATTTTCTTTTTATTTTTTAATTATACTTTAAGTTCTAGGGTACATGTGCACAACGTGCAGGTTTGATACATAGGTATACATGTGCCATGTTGGTTTGCTGCATCCATCAACTTGACATTTATGTTAGGTATTTCTCCTAATGCTATCCCTCCTCGAAGTCCCCACCCACCAACAGGCCCCAGTGTGTGATGTTCCCCGCCTTGTGTCCATGTGTTCTCGTTGTTCATCTCCCACCTATGAGTGAGAATATGCAGTGTTTGGTTGTCTGTCCTTGTGATAGTTTGCTCAGAATGATGGTTTCCAGCTTCATCCATGTCCCTGCAAAGGACATGAACTCATCATTTTTTAAGGCTGCATAGTATTCCATGGTATATATGTGCCACATTTTCTTAATCCAGTCTATCATTGATGGACATTTGGGTTGGTTCCAAGTCTTTGCTATTGTGAATAGTGCTGCAATAAACATATGTGTGCATGTGTCTTTATAGTAGCGTAGATTTATAATCTATATTTGGGTTATATACCCAGTAATGAGATCGCTGGGTCAAATGGTATTTCTAGTTCTAGATCCTTAAGGAATCGCCACACCATCTTCCACAATGGTTGAACTAATTTACACTCCTGCCAACAGTGTAAAAGCGTTCCTATTTCTCCACATCCTCTCCAGCATCTGTTGTTTCCAGACTTTTTAATGATTGCTATTCTAACTGGTGTGAGATGGTATCTCATTGTGGTTTTGATTGGCATTTCTTTGATGACCAGTGATGATGAGCATTTTTTCGCATGTCTGTTGACTGCATAAATGTCTTCTTCTGAGAAGTATATTTCTTGGAGGCTTTGTTCATTTCTTTTCACTCTTTTTTCTCTAATCTTGTCTTCTCGCTTTATTTCATTAATTTGATCTTCAGTCAGTGATATCCTTTCTTCCACTTGATTGAATTGTCTATTGAAGCTTGTGCATGCGTCACAAATTTCTCGTGCTTTGTCTGTCAGCTCCATCAGGTCATTTAAGGTCTTCTCTACACTGTTTATTCAGTTAGCCATCTGTCTTACCTTTTTTAAAGGTTGCAATGGGTTAGAACATGCTCCTTTAGCTCAGAGAAGTTTGTCATTACCAACCTTCTAAAGCCTACTTCTGTCAACTCATCAAACTCATTCTCCATCCACTTTTGTTCCCTTGCTGGAGAGGAGCTATGATCCTTTGGAGGAGAAGAGGTGCTCTGTTTTTTGGAATTTACAGCTTTTCTGCTCTGATTTTTCCCCATCTTTGTGATTTTATCTAACTTTGGTCTTTGATGTTGGTGACCTACAGATGGGATTTTGGTGTGGATGTCCTTTTTATTGATGTTGATGCTATTCCTTTCTGTTTGATAGTTTTCCTTCTAATAGACCTTTCAGCTGCAGGTCTGTTGGAGTTTGCTGGAGGTCCACTCCTGACCCTGTTTGCCTGGGTATCACCAGCAGAGGCTGCAGAACAGCAAACATTGCTGCCTGATCCTTCCTCTGGAAGCTTCCTCCAAGAGGGGCACCCGCCTGTTGAGGCATCTGTCGGCCCCTACTGGGAGGCGTTTCCCAGTCAGGCTACACAGGTGTCAGGGACCTACTTAAGGAGGCATTCTATCCATTCTCGGAGCTCGAATGCCATGTTGAGAGAAACACTGCTCTCTTCAGAGCTGTCAGACAGGGATGTTTAAGTCTGCAGAAGCTGTCTGCTGCCTTTTGTTCTACTATGCCCTGCCCCCAGAGGTGGAATCTATAGAGGCAGTAGGCCTTGCTGAGCTGTGGTGGGATCTACCCAGTTCATGCTTCCCAGCCTTTTTGTTTACACTGTGAGCTACTCAAGCCTCAGCAATGGCAGACGCCCTTACCCCCATCAAGCTGCAGTGTCGCAGGTCGATCTCAGACTGCTGTACTAGCAGTGAGCAAGGCTCTGTGGGCTTGGGACCCACTGAGCCAGGCATGGTAGGGTATCTCCTGGTCTGCTAGTTGCTAAAACTGTGGGAAAAGTGCAGTTTTTGGTCAGGAGTGTACTGTTTCTCCAGGTACAGTCTGCAACAGCTTCCCTTGGCTAGGAAAGGAAAATCACCTGACCCCTTGCACTTCCCGGGTGAGATGATGCCCTGCTCTGCTTCAGCTCGCCCCCTGTGGGCTGCACCCACTGTCCAACCAGTCCCAATGAGATGAACTAAGTACCTCAGTTGGAAATGCAGAAATCACCTGTCTTCTGCATTGATCTTGCTAGGAACTGCAGACTGGAGCTGTTCCTATTCAGCCATCTTGGAAGCGACCCCAACAATGCTGTTTTCAAAGGTGGTGTGGGGAAAATGTGTTTGCAGGAGGAGTGTCCTTAGGGAGAAGATAGCAAAGTTACCTGTAGGAAATCTTGCTCTTTTGTTTGGAAACACCATTCTAAAGTCTCTTCCATATGCAGATTTTATCCTATAGGAGCTGTTATCATGTGGAGGAGTCTAATTATGGTCTCTGTCATAATATATGAGGCAGTCTTCACTGAGGCCAGAGAATATCAATAATATGGATAAGTAGGTTTAGAATTTGTGATCATGAACCTGATTTGAAAGAATGTAAATTTTTGTGTTTCTGAGCTCAATTTTAGGACATCTTTTCCAGTTAATGAAGAAAAAAACTTAACCTTGTGAGAGACAAAAACAGACAATGACAGACAATATGAAAATAGAGCTTCAACACACAACCTGAAGCATTCTTCCCAGGAAACTACCATCCAGTCTATAAGAAACAGCCCAGAAAACCAGCTTGTTGTAAGTCACACTTGCAAGTGGCCAGATTACTATGTCTAGTAACAATCCAAAAAGCTAAACAATCAATTCAGTAATAATCTGTCCAAAATAGCCAGGACTTGATCAATAACTGGCAGCTTCCTTAACTTTTGTCTCTACTTCCAACTTAGGACTAACCAGAGGAAGCTGGATGCACCCCCGTTCCAATTACATAGGACACTCCTTCTAGTCAGTCACCTCCATCTTCCCTGGACCAGCAGCCTCCACTCAGAGCACATTCGAAGTCTTGGCTTTTTCCTCGATTAAGTTTTCCCACTCATCTCTCTGCCTTTCAGTCTCTGCCAAAACACAGTGATGGTGGTTGACCGCTTGCTATAGCAAGCTCTGTATAAATAGCCTTTGTTTTTCCTATTTGGTTGGTCTTTGCTCATTTTCACACTTGCACACTCAATATAACACTGATTTATGATATAACACTGGGCTTTCTACCTGTAACCAAGTACCCCTACTTTTCTAAGAGAAAGAGAATAAGTTATTTTGTATATTTTTTTCTTCTTTTGTCTTTCCTCCTTTTTCCCTATTCCCCACTTCCTACTTAGCTCTTTGGAGATGCAATTATAACCTTTTACCTTTCCTTCACCAGGGATACAGGGCAAGCTTATCTAACTATGTGCTTAGGAGCTCCAGAGCAGAAACCTCTTCCACCAGAAGATTGCCTTGAAAGACAACAGTCAATTTACAACCCGAAGTATGCCCACTACAAAACTCTCTCCCACCTGCAGAGCACCTTGGGACAGCAACCATTTTACAATCTAATTCTGCTGGTAAAGGTGCCAGCTCGACCACCCAGTAGATAAGGCACCAAAACGAGTCACATAGACCCCTCGCTGCTTGCCCCTGTCCTGCATGTCATTCATGCCAAGTCCCCCTTTTAAAAACCCCTGCTTTCTGCCCCAGCAGGGAAGCAGTACCCTTAAGGTAGGAAGCCTGTACTTCTTCCTCTAAGTGAGCTATGGCATAAAAAGTCGCTTTCTTTATATCAGACCCTGCTCTTGTTAATTGTACTCTGCAAGTGGTGAGTTACTGACCCTGCAATTTGGCTACATATGTGCTGTCACACACAGAGCTCTCTCCTTCCCTTGTGCTTTCATCTTTCCCCTGGGGTGGCAGAGTTCACAGAGGCTTCCATTACTATCTTGGTTTCCAGGATAGGTGTCTGGTCCAAGTACCATTCTCTTTCTCAAAATGTGGCCTCTGCTCAAGGTATTCGTGCTGTAGCCTTTGGGTATTGGCCTTTTATTCTTTTTGCATCTATGCCTGAAGTGTCCCAATATCCCACAGTGGACTTCAGTTATCAGCGTCTGTGTTCTCTACTCCCCTTGCTCCGACCAGGCCCTTTGGATCCACCAGCCCTCTAAGTACTCCTGTGCCCCATAGAGGCTTGTGGGACTCCTAGCATCTTTCTCCTCACCTTACTGGTGTGCAAGGGACTCTGGAAGGCTGTCCTGAGGCCCGTCTATCTGTATGGATGTTTGTTTTGATTCCTTGCTTCACAGAACTTTGAATCACACCTCTCTGTTTACAGCTTCATCTCCACATGGTAGAACCAGAAACTCTTGTTCCCAGTCTTCTTTTCCACCAGGACACTGATGCATGGCTTGGACTCTGCAAATCTCACATGTGGCTTCAACCTAGAGAGCACTGATGTGAAGAAGGCAGTATGGTGTGAAGTAATGAAAGTGAGGGTGATGGTGAAAGATCAGCTTGCAGAGGAACCCTTTGAAAGACAAATCTTTGAAAGGTAGTGTCTGGCCGAGGGTGTGCACAATGAGCTCAGGTGTCTGTGCCCAGAGGCAGTGGCTACAGGGTTTTTCCTGAACACCTCACAGTATAATTTGGGTATTGTTTCTGGCTTTCCTTCCCTGCCCTTCCTGATATTCTGGGAGCTCCCTATTATATGTTAATATATTCTTTTAAGTTGAAACTAAAGTGAGTTGTTAATTTGCAGCCATGAGCCCTATCAAATTCTTTCTCAACCATCGCTAATCTGTAATTTACGGACCCTGTGGCCCAAGCAAAAACAGGCCATATCAGATATTGATAGCCAAGCGGCTTTCTGTATTCCAGGCTACACCCTAAGAAGGACAGCACCTTGAGCAAAACAGTTAAGTAGAGGAGGAAATAGCTATGAGAAGTAGCCAGTGACCCAAACACAAGGCTACAGGGCTGGAGCAAGAGATGACAAACGGCAACCAGAACTGATTTGGAGAATGGCTGTGCTTTCCCCAGATTCCCAGAAATCCCCACTTGTCATTTTTTATAGGCACACAGGGTGGGGCAGAGGAGACTCTGCTATTTGAGATTATAGTACAGGATGGCAACTCCTGGATCTGAAGAACTTGAAGGCAGTCAGGTTCCAGAACCCACTAACATGAAGGGCTTGCTGCATAGCAGGCCCCGTTCTAAGTTGGGAATGTTCTTTATCTCATTTAATCTTCTTGACAGCCCTCAGAAGTAGTATCATACTTTCATTGTACAGATTTAAAAATTGAGGCTTGGGCCACACAGTTGGTAAGCTGTGGAATCATGACACAGAAAGGGAGGAAAGGTGAGGAGAGGGAGCTATCCAAAGTGCCTGCCATTTGTTTAAATTCATAATATAGTTTTTCGGTTAAGAATCTCTCACTTTGTTACAAAAAAATTACAAAAAAGAGAAATATGTTAATTAATGATGTGGTTTGACTGTGTCCCCACCCAAATCTTATCTTGTAGTTCCCATAATCCCCACATGTTGTGGGTGGGACCAGGTGAAGATAATTGAATCATGGGGGTGGTTTTCCCATCCTGCTCTTGTGATAGTGAGTTCTCATGCGATCTGATGGTTTTAGAAGGGACTTCCTCCTTTACTGGGCACTCATTTCTCTTTCCTGCTGCCATTTGAAGAAAGACGAGTTTGCTTCCTTTTCCACCGTGATTATAAGTTTCCTGAGGCCTCCCCAGATCTGCGGAACTGTGAGTCAATTAAACCTCTTTCCGTTATAAATTACCCAGTCTTGGGTATGTCCTTGCAGCAGTGTGAGAATGGACTAATACAATTAAATAAAGACTCTAATATGATTGCAAGGTTGATATGCCCTTACCTGAAAAAAAGGCATAAGTGAGAATGGGGGCTTCCTTCCATTAGTCTGTGGCCACAAAAGAACACATGGTTCCCCCAAAAGTTGTTTGCTTTTCCAGTTCTAAGGACGAGTGATTATAAAGGTATGTTCACAGTTGCTCATAAACAACTCTCGGAGCTACACCTTGTCCTTGCTATTGTCAGCACTGTTTCAGTCGGGAGGCAGGATGGTTTTTAGTTCTGCTGACAGGGTCATTTGACTTGGCTGACTCTCGCTGCTCTTCTGGTTTCTTTATCCTCTCAGGTATCAGCCTATGCCAACCACAGACCACACAGAAATAGGAGGCAGGCTTTGGTTCGTAGCAAGTGCTTTTCTTGATTCAAAAAGTTGCTGTTTTAGAGCAGTGGTTCGCAAAGTGCAACCCCCAGAGCAGCAGCATCAAAATCACCCAGAAACATATTGGATATGCAAAGTTTCAGGACCACCCCAGAATTACTGACTCAGAAACAGTGAGGGTGAGGCCCAGCAATCTGTGTTTGAACAAATTTCCAGGTGATGCTGATGCTTGTTTGAGTTTGAGGATCACTGATTTAGAGTCAATATTAAATATAAATCCCTAGATGTTTTTTGGAAAAAAAAATAACAGTTTTATTGAGATATAATTCCTATACCATAGAAATCACTCATTTCTAAGTTCTCCACTGTGGCCATTAGCAGAAGCGGCTCCATGGGTGCTGAAGGCTGGCATCCAGCTGCTCCACAGCTCTGAGGGCTGGTTCCAGTGCTCAGGTATGGATAGCATGCTTGTGACCTGTGTGGGCACAGTGATTCCAGCAGTTCCCAATAAGTTGTAGCACCAAATGTTTGATTCAAATAGTTCAATAAGGTTGCCCCTAAGCCCCCTTTGCTGTAGGAGGTCAACAAGGGGATTTGAAGCTTATGGGATGGGGACATGCACGTACCTTACAGGTAGACAGGGAATTCTAAACTAAGACGCATACATTTGAGAGGGATGTCAGGTATCAGGAAAAAAACACTCAGAGAACTTTCCTCTCAACACTGCACGGCTGCTACAGGATCAGGTGAATAGTTTCTCTCCGCAGGTTGAGATGATCTCACTGAGGGGGCCACAGAGTACCTCTTTCTCTAAGTGGATAAAATATTTATTTGTAAGCAACAGATGATAAGGGGTGTCTCCTGGAATTTATTGTTTATGAACATGAAACTCAATTCAATGTGTTTCTGCATTTTGGAAATTTATGGTCTTAGAAAGCACTAATGCAGAAGTGAAAAACATTAAATGAACAAATTTATAATCGTATTTTTAAAAATGCTTTTTATTTGCTCATAAATAGATAGTAAAGAATTCTATATCCTTATGAAGTATGAGCATATAGACCATTATTTTAAAAATTATTTAGTATCTTGAAAGTACAGACATGTTTTCAAATGGCTTGGCTCTTTAATAATTTCAAAGACTATTTTCTTCCTCCTTTGAACTTTGTTGGGTGGCTTTAATCAGGACTATCATTTCAGAGTTTCCAAAAAGCTTCAATAGGGATTCAAGTTTTACTAAAAGAGTGCCAGGTACCACCTAATATTTTGGAGGTGATATCTGAAGTTTTATTTTTTGTAATTTCCCCAAATTTTAATTTGTCTTGCTCAAACAGTTTGGAGTTTGGAACAAATGGAGAAAAAACATGACTCACAGTGAATTCACGGACAGGGGCCAGCACCTAACACTGTCTCCATTTCCTCTCTAGAACTTTCATCCCTCATCTCAGCAGTGCTGTTTGCCAGCCAGTCTTGCTTAGGGGATTAACATGAGAACATCAGGAAATGAAGGATTCCATCTTGTCAGACAGAGAAACAGAGTGGTTTCTTTCTCAAACCAGATTTCCTATTGTGAAGCAAGGTTCCCACAGCTCTGGCGGGAGTCCTTCCCAGATATGCATGGTGTCAGATCTTATTTCTCAGTAGGAATGCAAACAGCACATTCACCCCAGTTTGCTTTCTGTTTTCAGTGAATTTCTTTCTCTAGCTGGATTAAGATCTTTGGTTACATCAGATCTCCAGCTGGCAGAGGCCCAGACCTAATTTTTCAAAGAGAACATTGTCATGGAAGATATTTTAAAAAGTGGATGTAATTTTGCCTGTAGCAGCTATGGGAGGTGAGCCACCAAGTGACACTGAGCCTCGGGGAAATAATCTTTATCAAATCCACTTTTTCTTCTTTGGAGAAGTGATAAAACATTCTTCAGCATGTCAAACAGTTGTTTTGGACTACAAGCCAAATACATCCTGGAAACCTCGGTGGGTTACATAGCTCAGGAAAAGGAAATATTTAAAATTGCAAGATCTGTCAGACAACAAAATGATCCTGCCTCTAACAGTAAGGGCTAGATTTCCAGTAGCAATAGGGCACCCTCCACCTGGACCCCTGTGAGCAATGGGATAGATTGGCAAAAGCAGTGGCCTTATGCACCAGCAGTTCCTGATAAGTTGTAGCACCAAATGTTTGACTCAAATAGTTCAATAAGGTTGCCCCTAAGACCCCTTTACTGTAGGAGGTCAATAAGGGGATTAGAAGCTTATGGGATGGGGGCATGCATGTACCTTACAGGTAGAAATTAAGCAGTGTTTAATTCAACGGTCTAAGGAATAGTTCATTCCTGAGCCTTGTCAGAGGCAGGAATTAGGAGCTTCTGGAGACAGAGCAGGGCAATGAGCATGCAAGCTCACTGCAGGACACTGGTGAGGTGGGAGGGCCCTGCGAACTCCTCTGCCTACTATTAGCTGCATGGTCTTAGGCAAGATACTCAGCTGGAAACAAGACTAACAGCAGTGAAAATCACTTGGATATGTGAGAAGAAAATGAGATAAAATATAGAACCACCTTGGAACAGTCATGCAGCCCTGAAAGATAGGTACTCTCGCCCCTCCCAGCCCTTGTTAATGCTTGTCTGATCCAAAGACCTTCTCCCCATGCTGGACTTACTAAGCAGGATTCCCTTGCCTTCTAGAGACACAAATTAACTTAAATTAACCTAAGCAAAAAATGATTACTTGAAATGTCTGAGAAAGAGGAGATTAGGAATGAGAAGATCGACTATTGGAGTGAGGTTGTCATCTCTCTCCCTCCTTCTCTCTCTCCCTTGGCTTTCTCTGTCTGCTGGTGTGTTATTTTTGTTCTCTCCTTCTATAGACTTTCATTCTCCATAAATGGGGAACATGTTTCTTGGAGTCCAGACCCACATTCTCCAAAGATGCCACATGCATGGAACAGTATTCACATGAACTTTACATAACAGTCCCATGGATTGCACACTCTGGTGGCTTTCATTCAAAATTAAAATAAATAAAAATAAAAGTAAATTTAACAAAAGTCCTGCAGAACATTGTGGTTGGTCTGATTGGGATATATGCTCTCTCCTATCCAAGGGGGCAGGGCAAGGTCTTTTAGAAAAAGAAGGAAGTTGGTTCCAAGTCTTTGCTATTGTGAGTAGTGCTACAATGCACATGTACCCTAGAACTTAAAGTATAATTTAAAAATATATATATATATTTAAAAAAAAAAGAAAAAAAAGGAAGATGGTTGGGAAGAGGAAACGGTAGTATTAAACCCAAACAACAGGATTTACCTGTGGGGATGAGGTGCGAGGAGTCTCCCATCACCAGTCAGCACCCGCCTGTGAGAGTGAACTGAGGGACCGCCATCACCAGTGCCCACCTGTGACAGTGAACTGAAGGGACCACCATCACCAGTGCCCACCTGTGACAGTGAACTGAGGGACCCCCATCAACAGTACCCACCTGTGAGGATGAATTGAGGGACCCCCCTCACCAGTACCCACCTGAGAGGAAGTTGAGGACCCCCCATCACTAGTCAACGCCCACCTGTGAGGATGAGCTGAGGACCCCCCCATCACCAGTCAGCGCCCATCTGTGAGGATGAATTGAGGGACCCTCCATCACCAGTCAGCACCCACCTGTGAGGGTGAACTGAGGGTCCCCCAGCACCAGTCAATGTTTGTGATGAAGAGGTCAGTCAGTGCCTGCCTGTGAAGACAACCTGACAACCATCATCTGCTCGGGTTTCTCACAGGGTCTTCATGACTAGAGGCTCAGGTGTCAACAACATCCCAGCTCCACAGCCACAGACAGCCTCCTCCATTGCCTGAGGCCTGTCAGGCCACTGACCTGCACCTTGCTCTTCTGTGGGATGCTAGGCTGGGGACGGGGAGAGATTACCTCTCCACATTGGAGAGCACCCTTGTTTTTGTGCTCAGAACTTGCATCCCTACCACGTTTACTGACCCTCCTGTGGACTTCTAGAATCAAGGTAAAAGCCATGATTGCTGTTAGGGCAGTAGATGCAGTGCCTTTGACTGGCATGTAGGTGGCAGCAGGGGCACAGGCTGAGGCAGTGGAAACAGCGAATGCTGCAGGTTTGAGTGGGATGAGTACGGGGGTTCAGGGGAGTGGGTCCAAGGCTTTTGTTACTTTTCCCTAAGTGGTAGGGTAAGCAGGTTGGCCCCACCCTGGCAAGAGTAGAACGTGAGGTCCTGAGCCCATGTGGAGGCTGTCAGTATGGTGGCCTTGGTGGGGAGTGAGGAGAAATGATGTCATTTCAAGAGACCAAATAAACCAAAGCTTTAGGTTTGCTGACCCGGACCTGGCCTCTCTTGGAGTAAGCCCCTGGCTCCTATTTGGCTGTTTTAGGAAGATGGGACATTTGGGAACAGTTGTAACTATTGGGAGAAGATAGGGGCTGTAAAAGAATCCAAAGCATTCCTCATTTGTCAGACCTGATAATTTAGGGCATTTTTAATCCGGAGGCAAAGTGTAACCACAAAAGGGCCCTGTGAGAATGAGTGAGAGATTTGGGCAGAAATGTCCCAGGGGCAGCCCAGTCCTTCTCTGGGAGAATTTGAATCCAGGGTCAAGCACTTTGGGAACTCCATGGTGATACTCCTGGGAAGAGCCACCCACAAAAGTTAAAAAGGAAGAAGTAAATAGTCCTTGAAGTTATTAAGGAGTTAAGACATCTTAAAGGTTTTTGGTGCTTTCAAAATACTACAGTTTTAGAAGTGATTAAAAAATGGTCCATATTCTAAGTATCCTCTATTATAATGAGCAAATAAAAAAGCATTAGAAACCCAGTTATGAATCTGTTTATTTAATATCCTTGACTTGCACAGTGTCCTCTAAGATCATAAATCTCCAAAATACAGAGCCACATTAAGTTTCACATCCATAATCAGAATTCCAGGGAGGCACCCCTTATCCTCTGTTGCTTAGAAAGAAATCTTTTGTTCAGTTCCATGGTGTCAGTCCTCACACTGTCAACCTGCACCTAATCCCCTGGTTTGTGGTCTTTGCCCGGCTCCTCTGGATGAAGTGGGGAAAGTTTTACTTGCATCAGTTTTCTAGGGCTGCTGTTACAAAGGACCACAAACTGGGTGGCTTAAACAACAGGCATGTGTTGTCTCACAGTTGGAGGCTAGAAATCCAAAATTGATGTGTTGGCGGGGTTTGTTCTTCTAGTGCTGTGAGGGAGAATCTTCTCCACACCTCTCCTAACTTCTGATAGTTTGCCAACCGTCTTGTGACATTCCTTGGTTTGTGAAATCATCAACAGGATCTCTGCCTTCATCTTCACATGGATTCTCCTTGTGTGTCTGTACCCAAACTGCCCCCTTTTATAAGAACACCGGTCATATTGGATAAGGGGCCCAACCTATTCCGGTATGATCTCATCTTAACTAATTACAATTGCAATGACCTTATTTCCAAATAAGGTACCCGTAGAAAGAAATAAGAATAAGAATGGAATGGAGATTATGAAGAAGCGCTTTGAAATCTATACTAATGGCACTTAAAAATCACTGTTAGTGCAACTAAAGTGACTCCTTACTGTAATACCTTATGATAATTTTGTTTGCTTTTAAGAAATTTTAAGTATTTAAGAGAATCTGACATATTTGACTTTCAAAGAGTTTGTTTTCAAATAGGTTTTAGATGCTTTGAGATACCTTATTTATTACAGTTATATGCTTTGATGTAGTTTTGATATAAACAGTATGAGCATATTTAAAATAATGTCAATTTTAAAATGAGAAATTGAATATTAGAAAAATGGTAGTGTTTTTCATCATAAAAGAAAGCCCTGCAGATATTGATAAATGCTAAGAGGAAGCCACAGCAAAAATCCTGATGTGAAATATTCTTAAATCCTTAAATTTCTTGCCATTTTCCCAAGTATCTCAGTAAAAACAAGAGCCTCCATGTGGAATTCTGTGTTCTAGGCTAAGCACGACAGGAGATGGGCCCGAGAGGGTAGGTAGTGAACTCTCAATGTTAAGCTAAGGTCAATTTTCAACCATCTTTAAAGTGCAGAATCTTTTGTGCAGCTAATATCTCACATATGAACTCAATCTATAAATCAGATGAAATCTGCTATTCTCCACTGTTACTGGGGCAGTGTTTCTTTGCAGCATTCTTGCACCACTCATCTCAGAATCACCTGGAGGTAATGGTTGAAAAAGTAGATTCAGGCCAGGTGTGGTGGCTCATGCCTGTAATCCCAGCATTTTGGGAGGCCAAGGTGGGTGGATTGCTTGAGGCCAGGAGTGTGAGACCAGCCTGGCCAACATGGCGAAACCCAGTCTCTACTAAAAATACAAAAATTAGCTGGGTATGGTGGTGCATGCCTGTAATCTCAGCTTCTTGGGAAGCTGAGGCATGAGAATTGCTTGAACCCAGGAGGTGCAGGTTGCAGTGAGTCAAAATTGTACCACTGTGCTCCAGCCTGGGCAACAGAACAAGACTCTGTCTCCAAAAAAAATAAAATAAAAATAATATAAAATAAAATAAAATCACAGACCTACCTTTAGGCTCCCTGATTCAAAAGTTTGGCACTGGGGCCCAGGGATCTGCATTTTAACAAACTTTTCAGGCTATGTCATATATACACTTAAGTTTGAGAAATGCCTTGCTAGTTTTGTATATGTCTGGCACAAATTTGCTGTAGCCCATGTTAGACTAAGAACTTGGGGTTCAAATCCTGCTTTCTCCACCTACTAGCTCCTTGCCTGGGGCACAGGACTAATCTCAGTGCACTACAGTTTCACTACCTCTGTTGTTAACAGAGTTCAATTAAACAATGCACATAAAGCCCTGAGCACAGATCCCAGCAATGCTGAGTGCCTACCAGGTGTTTATCAATATTAGTGTTGCCACTGTTATCACCACTGCTATTCCTACAATGACTTCTTCCAGGTTGACTTATCAAAGATTGCTCAGGAGAATTAAAAATCATTGCTAAGTAAATGAACCCCTGCTTCTATTACCCCTGGAAGTCACTCCTTGTCCTTGGGAAACTGATTGCAAATCAGTTTGGATACTTGCCTTTGTCTCTTTTATTCTGGGACTCACATTTTAATCAGAGATGTTTTCTTTGACCATGACATCTCTTCCCTCATGGGGTTTTGGTTGGTCCAGTTGTTCTATCCCAGGGCTTCTCAAACACTAAAGTGCACAGGAATCACCTAGGATCTTGTTAAAATGCAGAGGTAAGGTTGAGACACTGTATTTCCAAGAAGCTCCCAGGGGATGCCTATGTTGCTAGTCCAGGGAGCACACTCAGAGAAACAAGGCTCGAGACAATTGTGTGTCTCTGGTGGATCTCCTTGGATCTCCCGTGATAAGTGCTGCTGCTGTCACATGGCCTGTGTCTTCGTTTGGGTTACCCACGAGGCCCTCCAGCCTGCCCTCTGTCTCAGGGGTTCTGAAGAGTGACATCCTAGGCAGGTGATGCTGACTCTCCTCCTGGGACTCTTCGACTTCAATTTTTTGCGTGTCTTATATACCATTTTCTGAAGAATGGGGATTTTACTTTGTTTGCATAGATATTATTATTTTAATTTTATTTTTATAATTATTTCATAAAACATAAGAGCTGGAGAGATATATGAACTTATCACTGCTTTCCCCTTGAGCACTATATAACATTAAATAATGTTCTTTATTTTTACAGTGACTGAGGGCTACTTACTAACTTCTGAAACTTAGAAGAAAAGCAAGTGAAAATTTTTCTAAGTATATTATAAAATTGCTATCAGCTTTTTGGTCTAGGCTTTTTGTCCAAAAAGAAAATTACAATATGAGCTGTTTAAAATAAAAATATAAATCTCTTAACAGCGCTTGCTTCTCCCTTTTGTTTTGTCTGTAAATCTGGTTTCCACAGGGTGAAATATCAAACTCTGCCACACAGGGGAAGCATCGCTCCTTCTACACTCAACTAGAAAGGCCACATTTTGAGGTTTTGGTTGAATTTCAAAACCTTGAAGTTAGAATTGAAAACAACAGAAATTATCTCGCTAGTGGGAAACCTCTCCTGCTGGCTGAAATGTCACAGGTATAACATTCTAACTTAAAAGTTAATTTGAAGAATTGTATCTTAAATCAACTCTCTTAAGAGAAGCAGCTCATCTCTCTCTGTGTTTGGGTCTAGACCTAATGAGCCTTCAAGGGGGCTGTTAAGAGGATGAAGATGGTGTAGGTGAGCAGGGCATTGTTTAACTTAATTCCGATACAAGATGTTATGAAGACAATGGTTTCCAGCAAAAACAGGCAGAAAGAGAAGTCCGGGGGAACAAGAAGCCTTTGAGGAAAGAAAACTGATTTGGAGGAATGATGTATCCAAAGAGCTCCAGCAGAAGGCTATCTTGAAGAATCACTTCTTTCAAAATATTCATGTTGAAGAATCATTTTGGAGACTATTTGGATAAGGTTTGAGCTGATATCTAAAATACCACCTGCTCCTGAAGGTGATAAGATTTTTATTTTTAAACTTTTTACTTGGTTACTTTGAGGTTAGCCTGCAAAGGCAGGCAGTTTTAAACAGGCTTCTATAAACTGCAGTTTGTTTCTCTGCAAACTGAAAAAAATTCCTACTAATCTGTGTTCTCTGGTGGAAAGTTAGGCAAAAGGGTGATGACTTGAGATTCCATAAAACACATGTGCAGTTCCTGTCATCTAGCTGTGACCTCAAGTCATAAGGAATGGCTAATTTCTGAAGAAGAAACAAGCTCTTGTTGCATTCCATCCCCTTCCTTCTTTAAGGTGAGCAGATTGAACACGAAGGAAGGCCTTTTAGAGGAGATCCTGGGTACTGAATGGCAAAGGAGGTCCCTTCTCTGTGGGTTTATATAGATCCCCAAGAAAGAGTCAAGGAAACGGATGCTCCTCTAGAGCTGCCAGAAACACGACCCTGATGACACACCTTGGTTGTAGTCCAGTGATACTTGTCAGACTATGGAACTATGGAATATGAGATAATAAATATGTGTTGTTTAAGCCACAAAGTGTGTAGTGATTTACTACAGCAGCAATAGGAATGAACACGAGGGGTGTATCTGAGAGACATACAAAAGGTGGAGGTGGGAGAAAAACCACTTAGAGGCTCTTGCAGTTTTCTGCATCAGAATTAATGAACTTTTACATTAGGACAGGGGCTAGTGGGCAGAGGGAAGAGACATTTGGGAGGCAGTTTATAGAAGCTAAGGAGCCATGATTGTAAAATGCCCAGGATGGGTGCAGGTAACTGAAGCAGGGAAGGAAGGAGCAAGAGCAGGTTTGAGGGAGAAGAAGGGGAGCTGAGCTTCTGGCACGTTACGATGGAGACACCCTGGAATGTCCAAGCAGAGTGAGCCACCAAGTAAGTTGTGAAAGGGGTTAAGAGCTCCAAAGAGAACTGAAGGCTGAAACAACACAACTGGAGTTCCGGGGAGACTTCGTGACTGGAATCAAATGAGGTCCCTCAGAGAAATGCTAAGATCAGGAAGACCACAGCACAGTGCTTGGGCTGAACCATACAAGGTGGCCACGGAAACAAAGACCAAGGCAAAATAAAACAAATAGAGGGAAAAAGAGGGTGGAGATAGGAGGGGACTCTGAAGAGCTTGGTGTCGTGGGATCCAAGAAAGGAGGGAAAGATCAATCGTGTCAAACGTGGTAGAAAGGTCAAGTAGAATGGCGGCCAGAGAGAGGGCACGGGAGTGGCCTCTGGTGCTGACCTGGAGTCCAGGTAAGAGGAAGCCTGCCCTGCACCTCAGTCTCTGTTATCAGTGGTCGTCTGAGTTGAGGCGGTGGCCCTCAGCCCTTTCTTTCCTGTGAAATGAGACACTGTCTTAGTTTCCTATTGCTTCTCTAACAAATTACCATAAACTGGGTGGTTGAAAACAACCCAAATGTATTCTGTCACAGTTCTAGAGGCCAGAAGCCTGAAATCAAGGTGTGGGCAGGGCCATGCCCCTCTGGAGGCTGTCGGGGAGGATTCATTGCGGTTTGCTTGTATCAGCATCTGTAGGCCGCACCTCCCTGGGCTTGTGTCTGCATCACTCCAGTCCTTGACTCCACAGGCACATTGCCTCCTGTTCTTTTCTCTGTGTCATCTTCCTCTGCCTCCTCTTATAAGGACACCTATTATTGGATTCAGGGTCCACCCTGATCACCCAGGATAAACTTCTCCTTGAAAAAGCCTTAGCTTAATCACAACTTTTTTTGCCTTATAAGGTTAATATTCACTCTTTTACCATATACAGTAAATATTCACAGGTTGTGGGGATCAGAACATGGACATGTATTTTCGGGGACCGCCATTTAACCCGCTAGCATGGGTTGGCAGACACTCAGACCAAATTGTATCCACCACCATCCCTTTCAGCATGGACATTTTATGATTCACCAACAGACTGACAACATGGGAAACGAATATTTAGGATAAATCCAAAATAATTGAGAGAATAAATGAGTTGTTATTTTCAACAAGAAGAATAGCTTACATCTGTGTTGCATTTACTTTTATTTTTATTTTACCCACAGAGATGGAGTCTCATTATGTTTCTAAGGCTGGACTGAAACTCCTGGGTCAAGCAGTCCTTCCTCCTCAGTCTCCTGCATGGCTGGGTCTACAAGTGCTGTGCCATAGCATCCAGCTGTGTTGAATTTGTTTTTCTAAAGACTGTCCCATGCCTTATTGTAGTTGTATGTCCCTGACCCCATGCTTTGAAGCATACAGTGACGTCCTTTGGTGAACTATAATACTTTTTTTAAAACTTATTCACCTGACTTGTCTTACCTTTCTAACACTAGGTTTGCAATTGTGGCAAATTCTTTGCAGGGTGAAATTTGGAGACCATCAATGTGATAAGGGAAAATTTTTGATTTTAGAATATTAAGATATTTCAGTTAATTACTTTAAAGCCCATTAAGCGCAGTCTGTGAAGATGCTGATGGGTAGGAAGGGGAAGGTCTTATATGAAGAAAATACTTTAATAAATGGATAATTTATGAGCATATTCAGTGTTCAGGACCAAAATTTACATATAAAGTGGTTTTCTAAATTGCCCTAAAATAGTTTCAAGACTTAAGCATTTTCCTTGCTTACAGTTTTAGATTGCTGTGTAAGCTGTTCATTTCTCAGACAGCACAAAGGGACACTTTAGCCCTGTTAGCCAGAGTTATTTTAAATTCTGATTTAGAGGCATCTTAAAAACAAATAAGATTCTCTGCCATATTTGAAAGAAACCAAGTTGAATTTTATGTGGATTTTGTGCCAAATAAGACAGGACAACCCCTTCCTCGCTGTAACCACCCTTCCCTACTTTGGCTGCATGGAGAGAAACATTTTCTATTTTCCTCTCATCTGTTTTAGTCTCTCCACCTTTCTTGTTGCTCAGATTATGTATTTCTCAAGGACTAGGGATATGAAAAAAAAAATCCAAACATTTAAAGTCTCCAATCACCTTGTAGCACACCATGGTTAATAAGTGTTTGTTTATGAAATGCAGGAACAGGATAAACTTTCCACTAGCATTTCTGACAATTTTCCAATAGTCTCTGTTTTAGAAACCAGATATTCCTATCCATTGTGTTCCCAATATTTGGGATCTCTTCCCTACTCTGTAGGAAATGAGAAGGCAAAACCTGAGAGTCTTTAAAGTCCAAAGAGCTAAGAAGGAGACTGAAATCCCTTAATAAAAGTGGAACATTGGAAAACCAAAACAAAGCAAAAACTCTGCTTAATTTTGTCAATATAAATTGAAACTAACTAAACATTCCTTTTAAAAAAAAGGCCATTTTCGGGAAAAAAGAAACAAGGTCTATCTGCAAAGGATTTCTGCCAAAATAAAGGAAGGGGCAAGTGAACTGAGAAAGTGCATTGAGAGCAGTCAATGCTTGTTGCAGAGGTGATGCTTTCTGCCCCTATAACAAGAATATGATATTGAGCATAAATATACTGACAAAGAGTCTCTCCTTCATCAAGCTCTAGTCAGACTCTTCTGAGCTCTCTTTCTGACTAGGCCAAACCTTGGGCTCCTGTGTCCTTCCTTGAAGGGTTTAGTTCTAGCAAGACTACTGTTAGTGTAGCCAGAATTCTCTACCTGGATCATCTGATCATCCTTGATATCTGATGGGGTTTCTCACCCTCCGCCATCCCCCAGGTGATGTTGGTGCACCCTGGCCTCCTTTCAGCAAGAATCCTGTTAGGTCAGTTTAGCCAGAATCCCATCTTATCCCTGATATTTCCTCTCAGTAATTTTCCATTCACCGACCCTCATCTGTGCCTTGTCTGTAAATTCCCACTTTTCCTATTGAGAGTTGGGCCCAATCTCTCCCCTAATAGCAACTCTGCTGTAATAGCCCCACTTTTAACAACTTCCTTACCATCTCTAACACATTTCTTTAACAGTACCTACCATTTCATTCTCCACATTGCCCAACATCTATTCATAGCAATACCCCATTTAAAGTTCCAAACTCCTAGGTCTAGTTCATAAGGATGATCTGGGCCTGCTTACCTAGCCGGTGTCTTACAGCTCTCTCCCCAGCCCTCTCACACTCCACAGCCCTGTCTCCTCTAAGTGCATCACAAGCCCTATTTCTGTTTTCTGGGCCCTGTCTTATGTCTCTGTCACCCCCTTACCTCCCACCTTCAATCCCCACCTTTCTCTGCTTCTCCCTTGCCCACCTCTCAGCGGTCGCTAAGACGATTTCCCCTTTTGGGAATGCATTCCCACTGCCTTTCAGTTGGCTGGCTAACTACTAGTTGTTCCTTCTCCTTCTCCTTCTCCTTCTCCTTCTGCCTCCTTCTCATCCTCCTCCTCCTTCTCCTCCTCCCTCCCTCTTCCTCCTCCTCTTCTTCTCCTTCTTCTTCCTCTCTCTCTTCTTCCTTCCTTCCTCCTTCTCCGTCTTCTCTCAGCATAAGTGATGTTGCATCGTTTCCGATACCTTCTCTGAATAGCACCTCCTCCCTCAGTGTTTAACTGCCCCTTCCTTTGTGTGCAATAGCACCTTCTTATGTAAGACCTATCACCACCCATTATTTCTTTTTTTGCCTAAAGTACATTTCATTTATTTAATTTTTCTTCCAATCTCATTTTACTAATCTTTTTGAGAACACAAGCTATTATACTTAATATTGCTCAATAAATATTTGTTGAATAAGAGAATGAAGGATATTTTGAGGCTTGACAATGTGGTTTTGATGAGTTAGCATAAAACTTGTTTCTACTAAAGAAATAACTTTCTTAATGAGTGTCATCAGTATGATTTCATGGCATCCTTTGGTGAACTTCATGCTTTTTTCTTACTCACCCGACAGAAATAACAGGTATTAATAGTTGAGTAGATAAGATCTATTTTCTCAAAGCTGGAGAGCTGTCCTCAACCTTCTGAAAATACATTATATAGGCTAAGTCTATTCTTCTATGTTTTTTAAAGTGTTTCAAAATTTCATTAATAATATCTTTAGATTTGGATTTAAACCCCCCCGACCCTGACTCAATTTCTTCTATGTTCGTGGATTTATGTCATTTTAGCTTTTCTTTTCTTTAAATTTTTAAAAATTATACTTTAAGTTCTGGGATATGTGTGCAGAACATGCAGGGTTGTAGCATAGGTATACACGTGCCATGGTGCTTTGCTGCACCCATCAACTCATCATCTACATTAGGTATTTCTCCAAATGCTATCCCTCCCCTAGTCCCCCCACCCCCTAACAGGCCCCAGTGTGTGATATTCCCCTCCCTGTGTCCCTGTGTTCTCATTGTTCCACTCCCACTTGAGAGTGAGAACACACGGTATTAGGTTCTCTGTTCCTGTGTTAGTTTGCTGAGAATGGTGGTTTCCAGCTTCATCCATGTCTCTGCAGAGGACATGAACTCATTCTTTTTTATGGCTGCATAGTATTCCATGGTGTATATGTGCCACATTTTCTTTATCCAGTCTATCATTCATGGGCATTTGGGTTGGTTCCAAGTCTTTGCTATTGTGAACAGTGCTGCAACAAACATACATGTGCATGTGTCTTTATAGTAGCATGATCTATAATCCTTTGGGTATATACCCAGTAATGAGATTGCTGGGTCAAATGGTATTTCTGGTTCTAGATGCTTGAGGAATTGCCACACTGTCTTCCACAATGGATGAACTAATTTACACCCCCACCAACAATGTAAAAGTGTTCCTATTTCTCCACATCCTCTCCAGCATCTGTCGTTTCCTGACTTTTTAATGATCGCCATTCTAACTGACATGAGATGGTATCTCACTGTGGTTTCGATTTACATTTCTCTAATGACCAGTGATGATGAGCTTTTTTTCATATGTTTCTTGGCTGCATAAATGTCTTCTTTTGAGAAGTGTCTGTTCATACCCTTCGCCATTTTAGCTTTTCTATTTCTAAACTAATGATTAGTTTTTTCAAGCCCTTAAATCTCAGGCCCTGGTGATTCTCATTAAATTATTATACATAAAAGTCATGTTCTAAAAAAATAGACCTAAATCACATTTACTCAACAATTAGCTTCAGAGAAAAAAGAGAATACACAAATATAATTTGTCACTTATGAATGTAAGAATGGTTCTTATTGAAGACAACAGACTTTAATGCCTATTTATTCAATAAGCAAATAGTATGATTGAGAACAGAATGTCAATTGTCCAAGGTGACTGAGAGATCTCCTTATAATGAACTTGAGCTAGATGCCATTGTTTAGTGGCAATATTTATAGTGCATATTTTCTGCAGGAACACATGCTAAATTTAATTTCCCATTCCCAAGTTTCTCATGGTAGTAATAAGCCACATAAAGCAAAGCTTAACCCCATGAAAAAACTTAAGATACTCTTTATGCTTTCTTCCTGTTCTTTGAAGCAATGGATGAAATTCCAAATTATGTTATGTGACAGAAAGAGCACCTTGACCCATGTTCAGAAGGTATATCACCTTCTGAACTAAAGGACGCTCTCCTCAGAATGACAAAAGTAATTCCAACCTCACAGGGCCATTAGGATAAGATGAGGGCACGTGGGGCCATTTGACCAAGAACTGGGAACGCACTTGAATTGAACATGGCACTGCAGTTGAACTGAGTAGCTGCAGCAGATGGGAACCCCTCCTCACCAAGAGCCAAGCTCCTCAGGGTTCCCAAGACTCAGCTGTGTGGGATCTTTATTAAAATCACAAAACTATCTGAAAATGAAAGCATCGCCATGGCTAAATTTTGGCAATGTGTGCCAAAAGCTCACATCACATAATTAATCAGGCTGGAGAATGAATATCAACAATTATTTGCAGTTGTTTCAAATTTTCCTGAAAGAGAACAAGAACCTGGAACACACACACAAATTAGTGAAAGCAAACAAGCAGAAACAATTCCATTCCCAATATGTGGAAAACTATAAAATATGTATGAATAAATTTAACAGAAAACTTAAATGATATTTATGAAGAAAACAACAAAAATTCACTAAACAAATACAAAACAGAAAAATTGAATGAAAGAAAATGACATATTGCTTTCTTGAATGTGGAAACAATACTATAAAAATATTACTCCATATCTATTTTATTTTATTTTATTTTTTTATTATTATACTTTAAGTTTTAGGGTACATGTGCACATTGTGCAGGTTAGTTACATATGTATACATGTGCCATGCTGGTGCGCTGCACCCACTAACTCGTCATCCAGCATTAGGTATATCTCCCAATGCTATCCCTCCCGCCTCCCCCCACCCCACAACAGTCCCCAGAGTGTGATGTTCCCCTTCCTGTGTCCATGTGTTCTCATTGTTCAATTCCCACCTATGAGTGAGAATATGCGGTGTTTGGTTTTTTGTTCTTGCGATAGTTTACTGAGAATGATGATTTCCAATTTCATCCATGTCCCTACAAAGGACATGAACTCATCATTTTTTATGGCTGCATAGTATTCCATGGTGTATATGTGCCACATTTTCTTAATCCAGTCTATCATTGTTGGACATTTGGGTTGGTTCCAAGTCTTTGCTATTGTAAATAATGCCGCAATAAACATACGTGTGCATGTGTCTTTATAGCAGCATGATTTCTAGTCCTTTGGGTATATACCCAGTAATGGGATGGCTGGGTCAAATGGTATTTCTAGTTCTAGATCCCTGAGGAATCGCCACACTGACTTCCACAAAAATATGGAACGCTTCACGAATTTGCGTGTCATCCTTGCACAGGGGCCATGCTAATCTTCTCTGTATCGTTCCAATTTTAGTATATGTGCTGCCGAAGCGAGCACTCCATATCTATTTTAATCAATGTATTTAATGTAAATGGGATTAAGTTCTAAAACAAAATTTGGTGAGAATATGGAAATAATTACAAGGTGAGTCTGAAAGGAAAGACCAAACAATTTTAAAGAAAGAAAAAAATAAAGCAGTGCATATTTTTACTTCCATTTAAAAAAGATATTATAAAATGTAATAATAAGCTGTGGGAGAGATCCATGAATTCAAATAGATATAGGGGCAAATGTTCATAAAATTTGGGAAATAATAATCTGGATTTTCAAGTTAGTGAAGTAAAAACTTAATAATTGATGTTAGAACAACTGGAAAAACATTTGAAAAAAAATTCATTGAGATTCCCAGTTTCCAATATAAACTAAAAATTTTTTAAATATCTAAATATACAAAATAGCTAAATTAGAAAATAAAAACAAGTGACACCAGAGGATATATAACACTCAAAAATAAACAAATAGAAGTAAAGTTATAAATATAAAAACTCTTCTATATGAAAAGGTACATAAACAAAACTGATGCTTGAATGGTAAATTAGAAAAAATGCTTGTAACATACAGGATAGATAAAAACATAATAAACCAAATAATAAATAATAAAACCAAAGAAACTGGATAAAATCCAAACAAATATTATCAATGAACAGAGAGAAAAAGAGTAAATAAACAATATTTTGAATGATAGAAGCATATAGTTTTAGATGCAATGCAGACTTAATTTTATAGCTAATTTTTTGCCAACACTTCAAAGAGCAGAGAATCCATTTTTGAACAAAATATTTTAGAGCTAAAAGGGGAGGAAATAGAGCCAACTTATTTGTGAGATTAGTATAAGCTTCATATCCAAATAGGAAAACAAAAGCACAAGAAAAGATGTGTATAAACCAACTTCATTTACAGATATAGATGTAGAATCTTCAATTACATACAATGAGTCAAATCTACTAGTGATTACATATGTATAACATGATCTTTTAGCAGTATCCACATATATACTATGTTTTATATAGAGATTTATTTTACACATATTCTTAGACTTTAGTCTCTCAGTCTAAATACGTATAAACATATGTATTATACATTATCAATCTAAATTTTATAATTTACACATATATAAATACCCACAATTTTAGTAATATTATATATAAAAGGTATGCAGGGCCAAAGGAAGTAGGAGGATTCCCTTTAGGTGGAAAGAAGTAATTACGTCAAGGTAGAGACAAACAAGACCAGGCGTGGTGGTTCATGCCTGAAATCCCAGCACTTTTGGAGGCCGAGGCAGACAGATGAAGAGGTCAGGAGTTTGAGACCAGCCTGGCCAATATGGTGAAACCCTGTCTCTAATAAAAAATGCAAAAATTAGCCGAGCGTGGTGGCATGCGCCTATAGTCCCAGCTAGTCAGGAAGCTGAGGCAGAAGAATCTTTTGAACCCAGGAGGCGGAGATTGCAGTGAGCCGAGATCACGCCACTGTACTCCAGCCTGGGTGACAGAGTGAAATTACGTCTCAAAAAAAAAAAAAAAAAAAAAAGAGAGAGAGAGGGAGAGACAAACAAGAGCTCCTTCTTTATGGGTAATGTAGTAGAGCTTAAGAAAAAAAAAAAAAGACCAGAATAAGTAGAGCAAATTGTTAAGACTCAATAAAGCTAAATGGTAGATTCAAATGTATTTTATATTACCCTTTACACCTTATTCTCTATTGAAATATTTCACAAAGAAAAGACTATGAAGAACTCTTTGAAACGAAATAGGGAAAGTAAAATGTTTCCATTTGCAAAATGGTCAAAGAGTATGCAAAATAAGTTCACAAAATAAGAAATGCAAATGATGGAACAAATATATTAAATAACTCAGTCTTACCTGTAAAATATGTTACCATCCATTATCAATAAGATTGAGAGCATGTGGACATACCCCTGGAATGCCAATGTCAGTTTAATTTGATATATTGTGTAAGAGTATGGCCATAATGAGTAAAAGTCTTAATGTTTTATATATCTTTTGGCCCAGCAATTCCACACATAGGAATTCATCTTAAGGAAATAAAAAACAGCACATATATAAAATAAAGCACGAGGCTCTGTTCAGAGTACTGTTTATGAAATAGCAAACTACTGAAAACATTCTGGATATAGCACAATAAGGAAATGGATTACTATGTAGTTGTTTAAATTATGTTATAAAACAATATTTATGACATAGGGAGATGGTGTGACATATTATTCAAAAAATAGACCAGTTAAAAATATGTACAGTATGATCTAAATTCTATAATATGCATATGCAAAGAATGAATATATGACCTTATACATGCATACACACATAACACACACTCACAAATAAAGGACAAAACAAAAGAATGACAAAATTTCTACAACAAATGCCAAGAGTGATTTTCTCTGGGTAGTGGGATTGTTATTATTACCATGTTCTCAGTTTGGCTTGCTGTGCTATGCAAACTTTTCACAAGAAACATATTTTGTTTGTTTGTTTATAAAATAAGAAAATTTGAGGTTAATGAAAAGAGGGATGTGTCATGCCTTTAATATAAATACCATCTCCAGATTCTTAGATGGTTGAATTAACATTGCACACTATCTGTGTTTTCTTACACTGAAGCACATTATTCCTTTTTGTAGCCTAACCTGTCCTTGTCCTGTATTAGAGGAATAATGCAATTAGTTGCTTATCTCATTAAAGCTAGTTCAGTGATTAAGACATTTCTTGAGACAAGGCAGATGTTACTGATTAATTTACTTGATTGGATTAATCTCTGAAATGGAAATATTCATCCAGGTTGAAATTAGCTTTGCCTGAGTTTGTCATACTAAATGGTTATAAAGCTTAACATTGTACTGATGTAAGTAGATTTACCTAAATGGACGATTGCTGTTTAGTTATTGATTGTATTCTTCCTAAAAAGTTAAAATTGTCATTTCTTGATATAAAATATGATACCATGGTAGATGTTTTTGCTCTTTTTATTTACATTCCTTTTGTTCATTTTTGGGAGTTCCACTTAATAAACATTTATTGATTTGCTTCTGTATGTATAGCACTGTATTAGTATCAAGGAGGGGCAGAGTTGTATAAGGTCTAATTGCTACCTGCCAGGGTTTTGTGCTCCACTGGAGCATTCAGATGCACGTATATTGGGGGTAGGGGGTAGCCTTCTAGATAGAAAGAGTAATTTGAACAAAGAATGCAGAAAATATATAGAGTATGTTTTTAGGAACTATTAAGCATAGAGGCATGGCAGGACCACAGAGTCTGTTGGAGTGGTAGAAATAAAGCTAGGCATTTAAGTTGGAGCCAAGGTGTTAAATATCAAACTGAGCCGTTTAAATTTACTTTGTTTGCAATGGGCATCAACCAAATATTGTCACTAAGGAAATTTTCTAGAAAGAAGTGTGACTTCTGGAATAAGAAAGGGAAAGATAAGAGACCTGGAAACTGGTTGAGAGGCCAGTACGCTTGTACAAACAAAACTTACTGAATGTGTGGGCAACATGGAGAGGAGGCAGATACACCTCAAACAGTCAGGGAAGGCCCAGCAAATCTGCGCACAGATTGGATCCCATACAACGTGGAAGGGGAATGCTAAGATGGCTTCTCGTATCAGGCATGAGCAACTGGAAACATGAGAATGGCATTACTAGAATGGAGCTATCATAATAATAGCAACAATGCTGATAATAACACCAACGAGAGAGGGAGAAGGTAGCGAGTTTGTTTTATACGTGTTGAGAAGATGGCACTGAGAAGAGGAATGTGTGAAACACGCAGCAAGTGTGGACCTACACACTTTCTGGAGAAATTGCGGCTACATTTGAAGGGAAGATGGAAGAAGAGGGAACAAAAAACAGAGAAAAAGAAAAAAAAATACAGAGGCCAAGAGAAGAAACTCAAAAAGAAAGTCATTCATTATCAACTCATCCAGTAAACGCTTATTAAAACCTCGCAACATACCAGGTATTCTTCTAAGTGCTGGGACAGAGTTATGAATAAGGCAGCAGATCCTCTGACCTCATGGGACTCACCCTTTCATGAGGGGAAGGCAGGTAGCAAACAAGTGGAGAGCACTGTGTCCAGCTGATGAGGGATCTGAAGAAAATGAAGCAGGCAGGGGTGGCTCTCCCCCAGGCTCTGAGACACAGTGCTTAGGGCTCAGGATACTACAGGACCATAAAGAGGCTTTAATGTATTCTAAAATCTGAAGAAAAGTGAAAACTCTTAGGTTGAAACAAATGGCTTAATATATAATAATTGTCTTTATACTCACACAATTGTAAAATATAATTTTAAAATATTTTTGTGAAAGAAGGGGCCAGAGAAAGTAGAAGTGCCCAGGGCCCACAGGAACCTGGGGCTGCCTTCTAGAGAACGGCATGGCTCGTCTTCTGAGGAGACGATTGAATCTGAGGAGACATGGAACTGGTGAGGAGCAGGTAGGCTATGTCAAACCAAATAAGCACCTCCAAGAGAGGTCATTTCATCTGGAACTTTGCAGATCCCTGGTGGTCTTCAATAGCAGAACAATAAAGCATTAAGAACTAGACTGCAATGAATGGGTTTAGAGGCAATGGGCGGAAAGAACAGCAGAGTCCATAAAACCACAGTAAGGAGAAAAGGATGATGGAATAGTCAATGGAGGAGAAAGCCAGGTTGAATAAGAGTTGCATCTTAGTTTTCTTTCTTTCTGTGCACCTTGATTTTACACCACTGCTGTTAATATTGTCAGGAGAGAAATTTGTGAAATTTAATAAATAATTGAATCTTGTCCAAATGGCACCACAGTGTCCATTGGGTTCTACAGAGCCAAAGCTAACGCCTGCTAATGTTCAGGAAATAGTAAACTAATACGGTCTAATAAAATGAATATGCAAACTGTTCACTACTCTTGTACTTTTCCAGTCCTTAGAACAGCACACTAACTAACATGACCTAATGTGACAGCTACTGTCTCATCAGTCACATTTACCTAAATGATTTTCCTCTTCTCATCTTTGCTCTGGTATTACTTAAGCAATAATGAAGGAGATGACTTAGACATTGAGCTCCTGGCTAACTTTTACTGTAGTCAGCCTCATTAATCTTCAAGCACTTTCATTACCACAGATCTGTGACTCATCCCAACATACAGAGCCATCAGAGGTAAATTGAATTGGGAATCTCTGTCTCCTACCACTGTATCTTTTATTTGTCCCAGTTGTACAGCTCAAAAACTGTTGCTTAGACCAATAGTTCCGTGAACTGAAATGGTGATTTCTTTGGCTTGGACGTCAGTGTTCTAGCCTGTGGAACCAGGGTGGACTCAGGGGCTCCTTATCCTATGAAGGTTTCCTAGCTGCTACTCAAACTCTGACTCCAGCTGCAACAACCTCTCTCCTATTTTATACCACACCAACCATGCCATCATAATGGTTAAACAGTGTGAACTATGGAGTGAGACCTGCCCAGGTTACCTTACTTCCTTCTCTCTCAGTTTCCTCATTTGTAAGATGAGTATTAACCTAGTATCAACTTTCTAGAGCCGTTTTAAGGATCAAATGAGTTAATAAATGCAAAGCTCTTAGAATTTAAGTGGTCAATAAAAGTAAGCAATTGGTTTTTTTAAAATCCATTTATTTATTTATTACTTATTTTGAGACCAGCTTATGAGACTGACTAATTTTTGTATTTTTGGTAGAGACAGGGTCTCACTATGTTGCCAAAGATGGTCTCAAACTCCTGGGCTCAAGCACTCCACTGGTCTCAGCCTCCCAAAGTGCTGGGATTACAGGTGTGAGCCACTGCACCTGGCCAGCAGTTGGTTTTCATATATATAATATATTTCCTTCCTAGACTGTAAGTCACTGACTTCCTGTGATTGTTTGTTTGATTATATGCAGCCCAGGGCATGATTTATAGAAAAGAAACACATGTAACAAAGGAGTGATTCCCAAAGAGACTCCTCTTCCTCCCTCATCCATCTTCTCTGTATCTATCAAGCATTAAATTCCTATTTGATCTCCTAGATATCTTTCCACTATCTCTTCTCTTTATCAGAACACCATCACTTCTTGCTTAGATGATTGTAATGACCTCTGGACTCTTCATCATTCCTTAAGCACTTGTTCTCCAATCTGTTTTCTGCATGCAGCCAGAGTGAGGTTTTAGAAATTGAAATCAGAACATTCAGAGGCTTTTGTTACCCTTAGGGTTGAGACTGGAACCTGCCCTTAGTTTACCCCATATGCCCCTACTCCTATCACACTTGTGCTGAGCCTCCTTGTCCTCACTCTACACTGTCACGATGACACTGACCTCCCTCCCTGTGCTCTTGCTCACCCGTGAGTGTGGGGAAGGCAGCCTTCCTCTTCCTTATCTGTCTCATTTACATCCACGTGCTGAGAACTAAGTACATATTATGCCTTGCACACAACAGGCACGAAATGAACACGAGTTGAATAAAAATGATTGAAAAGAGGTATTTGGCATTTAGAAATAGCTAGTTTTTGAAACTGTAAGTTTGGATCTTGAGCACTTTTGATAAAGGAAGAAAGACGAAGTAGATGGGGTAACACCTACTCCATGACAATCAAAGAAGATAACATTTAATGAAGCTGCTAATCCCAGAGCCTGACACACGGTAGGTAAAGAGAGAATTCCTTTTCCTTTGTGCCCCTTCCCTCTGGTTGCCTGCTTCACTGCACTTTTTTGTCTATGAGGATTGAGGCGATGCACAGCCATCAAGCCAACGCTGCTTTCATCGATTTTCTTGGTCAGGGATATCCAGGGCTGCCTACTCTGGTTCTGCTTGTGGTCCTCCAGCCCCAGAGCAGGTGAAGTGTGAACAAAGATTATTTTGAAAACATTCATCTATCCCCCATCCCCCCAACCCCTCTCACCATTTTCCACTTGCTCTTTTCTCCTAAACATGCAATTAGACCATTTTCAGTTTATTACCTTAGGAGATAAATGTGAGAGCAGAAAGCAGAGAAAAAGAAGTGTTTCCCTGGATTTTGAGTTTCAAAAACCCAAGCCTTTAGGGTAATGGAGAGGATACAAAAATTGAGTGGAGAGGTTTATACATAAGAGCAAATTTCCATCCACTTCCCTAGAGCCCCCCACCCCAAGACCCTTAGGATCAAAAAATTATTTCTCAGGCTCGTGGGAGAAGCTGGCAGGGGTTAAAGACAACCCAGACATGGTGGTTTCCTAAGGCAGAATGTCTCCAGGCTAAGCCTGACAGAAACATTCAACCCAGTATATTTTTGGTATCCAAGAGCACAAGGGTTTTGTAACTATGTCTCAGGTATAGCCTGGGGAAATAACAAGACCTCAGAGAAGAAATGTTGGCATCATGTTTCCTGGAAGCCTCACAGAATTTTCTGAAGAGTCTGTGCAAGCAGCGGAATAAATCCCAAGTGCCCAACAGTAGCAAAAGGTGGCCACAGAGAGTGCCATACCTGACGGGTTCCAGGGGACATCTGTGCTGCCACTCATGTGGACTGATGACAGAGGACCAGGTGGGCAATAGACATGGCACCAGGCGCTGGTGTGGCCAACACACAGGGAAGAAGAGACAGACCATAATGCCATCCAACCCGCTATTGGCACTATTGATGTCCTAGAAACTTAGACACAACCCCAAGTGGTGGAAGTGAGATGATGATTCTGTACAATTAAGTTTTTGTCATGTTAGTAGATTAGAAAGAAGGTAAAAATAATTATTAGGTTGAATTATATCAAAATAAAAATTGTCCTTCTAGCATGCTTGAGTAGTAATCTGACACTATTCATGGTGCTAAGAGCCCTGCAATAGCGGTTCAGGCAAGGTCAGAATAGTAAACAGTGAATTATTCTTGCCTATCTTCTTGCTGGGGTGCAGGCAAGAATGGGGTGAGCTGCTTTCTGCTAATTTATTCTATCCCTTTGTCTCTGATGACAAGGATAAAGTGTGTAGCTCTTTATAGAGTTTGCTCTTAAAGCCACCATAGAGTCACTGCTGCAGCCATGGTTGTTCCCAAAACAGTATAGTATTTTGAGTCACCATAGCTTTTGTCACAGTAGCAATATGCCCTTTCAGAGCCAAGATCTGTTATTTATTCTAGTTAATAAGAAACTCATGACATCTGAATGTATTCTAAAATAATGGCAGGTGTCTGTTTGACCTGTCAGCCTGGCGGCAGTGGAGAGTAGTAGAAGAAGAAATACATAAGCTCTGGAAGCAGTCAGACCTAACTCCAACACTTTCTTTTACTTATCAGCTATGTTGGCTGGAGTAAGCCATTTTACCTTTATTAGTCTTAATTTTCTAATATATATAGTTAACTTAATATCTGTATGGAAAGATTGATGTAAGGATTAAAAATAAGATGTATAAAATACTTAATGTTGTTCTAGGCTAGTTGATGCTTCTCAATAATAATGACCTATTAGTAGTTGATCAAGAGCTTTTAAAATTAAAATACGAAGCTGGGGAGAAAATATCCAACAAAACTCTACATCATGTACCATGAGAAGCAAAACAGAGAGAGAACTTGTGAAAGAAATATTAGCTCATTTTCAGGAGAGATGAAGATATTTGAAATTCACTTAAGGTCTCAAGTGTTTGCATATATATGCACAGTGCATTAGTGGGAGTCAATTAAACTTGTAATTTTAAAATAAGTATCAGTTCAGTTTAACGGATTCACATTAAGCATGTTTCAGGACTGTTCTTGACTCTGAAAATACAACAATGAATATATCATGGCTGCTGACCTAAAGTAGTTCATAATCCAGAAGTTGAATATCTCCAATTATTGGTGGTATGAAATTCATGACTGAAATAACACACCAAAAGATAGATTTCTTTCAAAGGAAACAGCTCTAATAGAATATAGTAACCTTGTTTTTGAAAAAATGTATAAAGTTTATACAAAGCCATGATCTTAAGGTAGATAGCACCCAGGTGCTGAAGAAAGGGAGCAGAAACAAGTGATCATATTGTGATTATGTAAAACAGACTTTCCGACCACGTAGAAGTTATAGAGGAAGGATCTTATTCCAGAATATAAAGTGGCCCAGAGGCAAGAAGTAACAGTGAGGAAGCTTTTCAACTCTTAGGACATTCTGTGGAAAGTAGAACTCTGGCATTCTTTATTGAAAATTTCATCTTTTAGTGTGAAGGGGAAGCAACAAGGAATGTTGCTATTCTGTTTTTAATTCTAACGAACGAGAAAGAGCTTACTGTTAGAGTAAAGGTTATACTAAACTTGTGAGAAATCAAGTCATGTTGGAATCCGTAACAGTGAAGAAAGGAAACAGTAGGCATGGTCAGACATGCACTCTAGACTTTAGGATAACAGATTGTTCAAGAGTTCATAAAAAGGCTGGCATGATTTCATGGCTAGAGACTCTGGAAGGAAACACAAGAGCAAAGAGAGTTAGGAAAATATTATTTGAAGAATCCTAGAAATAAAAGTATGGATATTAAACAGTTGAAAGCGAGAAGGATGAAAACAGTGACAGAGATGTAGAGGTAGGCAGTCTAGGGTAGACAGAGGAGGGATACGACAGACAGACCAACACACACACACACATAGACGGAGAGAGAGAAAAGATACTGTCAGGGAGACTTAGACAGACAGAGTTGGCAGGAGGGAGAGGGATATGCTAGAGGAGCAGGCAATGAGTTCAGGCCAGCACAAGGCTCGTGGAGGGTGGTTCCAGCTTCCTGCGGTGTGGACCTCTCCCTTAGGCAGAAAGCCAGGAGCCTAGAGCAGGTGATAACTGTAGCCTTCCAGGCTCACATTATGCCCAGGGGACTGCTTCCCTCAGGAAGACTTCACTGCCCTGGAGAGCATTATGTAGTGACCATGACCCCTAAGTGCTAACAGCTGGGGTTTCTCCAACAGCACAAACAACAGCCCATCCCAGATGCGTTCCAGGCACAGATTCAACAGAACATATTATCTGAGAGGAATGGAAAGTTCTAAAGGTGGATCTCTACAACCACAAGTGATTCCAGCTGAAAAGAAAAGACATGGACAACCAAGGAAATTCACATTTAGCTGCACAGGAAGCTCTCAGATGACCTTAGATTTAAAATATACATACAAAAGTAGGAAGAAAAATCATATAACCAAAAGAGAAGGGAAAAATGAATAAAAATATGATACAAACTATACTTAAAAGACAGACTACAGAAGGGAATCCAGAATGAGTTGAAACTTTTGAAAAATGCTAAGGACAAGATATTAGAAATGTAACATTGGTTATATTGATTTAGGTAACCCAACTAAATTCTGGAACACTCATTCATTCACGTATTCATTTGGTTGATAAATTTATTCCGTATCCTATGATAGGCAAGGTAGAATTGAGGTATTTAAAGAATGACATTGTTTCAGTTCTATGAGCTTGAATTCTAATTCAGAGACTGTCAAGAGACACCTACCCAAATTAGTACAACACACAGCAGTGGGAGGTGTTGAGAATGTGTAGATGCAGTCAAGTGCTCTGAAGCGCAGTCAATAAAATAGGGCAATGCGTGATCAGGAAAGACTGCCAGATGGACTTCAACATCTGTAGAGTTATAACAGGAGGACAAGAGGGACTCGGAGGAGATTATTAAACCAATCTGTGGTTGTATTCATTAAGGGTAGGCTAGGGCTGGGCTTGGTGGCTCAAGCCTGTAATTCTAGCAGTTTGGGAGGCCAAGGCAGGAGGGTTGCTTGAGCTCAGGAGTTCAAAACCAACCTGGGCAACATGGCGAAACCCCATCTCTACAGAAAATACAAAAAATTAGCTGTGCATGATGGTGTGCTCTCAGCTACCTAGGAGGCTGAGGTGGGAGGAGGTCGAGGCTGCAGTGAGCCATGATTGCACCACTGCACTCCAGCCTGGGCTTAAAAAAAGAAAGAAAAGGCAGGCTAGGCTGCAGTAACCAACATGCCCAAACATGTCACAGGGTCATGACCATTTTGGAAAGAACATGACCACTAGGAGACAGCATACATGCCAAATTAACTATAGATATGCAACACGATGTAGACAAATTATTTTTTAAGATTGAAAGGTAGTTATGAATACTATCTAATATATATTGAACACTTAGTAGGTCCCAAGTTGTTACCAGTGATATGACTATCTTTTACATGAGAAACTTGAGGATTGGATCAGGTGAGCACCACCCAATGTCCTGTAGCTGGGACATTGTCCTGAACCTGATGTGTTTGACTCCAGAGTTTAAACTCTGTTTTGTTATGCATTATGTCACCTATGTGGTTAAGGCGGATGATAACAAAGTCAGGTTGGAATATTAGTAATTGAACAGCCTTTTGATGTTATCTGAAATGGAATATCAAATGGCATTGTTGTTGGCCTTACCTCATTGAGTAAATAAGTTACCAACTTTAATAAAAACATAGGTAACATAATATGAAATTTACAATTTACAAAAAGCTTGGATAGACACTTAATGTAGCCATATATTATGTAATTTTTATAATAATATTGTGTAGTCAGTGTTATTGTGTATTTTTTTTAACAGATAAAGGAACTGAGACTTAGAGATTGTGAGGAATATGACCAAAGTCACTTGTCTACTGAACAGAGGATCCTAAATTAGATCTAAATCCTGACTCCAGTGATTGCTGCTCTATATACTGGAGAGACCATGTCTGGAGTACTCTGTTCAGTTATGGCCTCTATATTTTAAGATAGTCATTAGTAAATGATTGTGCATAAACAGGGAACAAGAAGAGTTTATAAAATTGTAAATTTAGAATTCTATCACCGTCCCTCAAGTGCCCTGCTTGACACTCCGCCCCTAAGTGGCAGTACTGTTTGGCCCTAGCTCTGGATTATTCTATAATGTTTTGAAGCAACTGCACAGTCAGAATATAGAATTTGACTTTCTTTAGTTACTCTGCTTTCCACACTTGGTCATGCCATCCACAATGGCACACACACACATGCTGAGCTCTGAAATGCAGTGAGAGGCCAGGCCTAGTAATGCTTTCTCTGCACATTTCTCTGTTACATTCAGAGCCAAGCCCTTGGTTGCCATGAATAATGGGGAACTTCTTATCTTCTCTGGGAAAGAAAGAGAGAATTCTGAGGGATGTCAAGAGATAAACATGAACCGACAATGACAGCATGAACTATTCACATATTGTCTCTCCAAATTTTCATCCACCAAATTGTTTACTGAATCCTGAAATATCTATTTGTAGTTCCGACAATATGACTAACTTCCAAAAGGACCGGTTCCTACTAGCTGCCGTTTGCCTCTAGCAGTAGTATTTCTTGGTATTTTATCTAAGCCTAGCGGTATAAGTTCATTTTGATGATAGATAGCCTAAAGCAAATTTTAACAATATTTGCTGCAGTTTCAGTATAAAATAGCATTCACTGTTCAGATGATAATTTCTATGATTATACCCCAATTGATAAAATATTTGCCACAATTGTAATTATAGGAAATATGGTGGAAGAAAAATGCTACATGTATGCCAACAGGTTTAAGATAAAGCACACCATTTAGGAATTACCCTATTGTACCTAAGCTATGATGATGATGGCTGTGATGCTCAGGGTCTTTGGTATGGCAGTCTGAAGGGCAGGTTTCCCTCCACTGAACCTTGATCCAGCCATAGAGCCTGACACGCAGCCTGGCACATAGTAATAGTATATATGGACTGAGTGATGAATTTACTGAGTGAAAATGATGCCTCTTCTGGAAGCCCAGGTAAGGTCTGAGAATAAAGATCAGCAAGTAAGTTTCAACAGTGAAGAGAAAGGAACGAGTCCAAGGGAGGATTCTAAGTCAGGCAGTATTGGGGCAGATGGGACTCTTTGTTACTGAAACTGAGGATGGCAGTGATGGTGGGTAAAATTAATGATAGGGGTAAATTTTTGTATCCTTTGGGTGATAATAATAGCTAACACTAACTGAAGGATTAATAGGTGCCAGGTATTATATTTCATAATTTATATATAATTCTACTTACTTCTAAAATTGATTGTGAGCTAGGTATTAAAATAAGTTTGTTGGTAAGAAGATTAGAGCTCAGAGAAGCAAGTGTGCTTACATAAAACCACTGGCTCTCAAGAGGTATTTGAATCCAAATCTCATACTTGTCCACTGATTCATGCTCTGATATGATACCTTGCAAAGCACTTTTAAAACAATTTACTAATCAAAAGTCCAACTGACTAACTGATATATTGGCTGGTTATGAGCCCATTTTGCTATCTTCGTCTGACTCTATTTTAAGTCTGTGTCCACTTTGGCTTTGATTTGATCACTCACAGTCTCTGGGATCTGCGGAATATAGCTTTGAATCTTGCTCATTCATTACTTAGGTTTTCATCTTCACAGCCCGTTTAAATAAGGCTCTGAGTACAAAAGATTATGCTCTTTCTGTTAACTTAGGACATACTGGAAGTCATAAGAACGTCTTGGCTGTTATTTAAAGATATAAATATCCTGAGGGGTCTAATTAAATTCTAACAAACCAGAGATGACCACGTTGGAGCTGAGACCAAAATGAAATACAACTTAATAAGGGTTAATTTATCACACAAAGGGGACATCTTTGTAAGTAGGTGGTTTTTTGTTCTAACAGTAAGTTCTATACTCTAGATATTTTCCACCCACTACGTCAAAAAGTACTAAAGAATTTTTTTAAATAAAAGGAAAAGAGCTTTATGTTAAAATAAACTAATCTGTAATAATTTGTAAGTTATGATAATGAAAAGCATAAATGCTGACTTTAGAAAGTAACCAAAGATAAAAGCAACAAATTACTGATGCAACATATTCTAGTACAAAACCATTTCTAGCAACTACATGAAGCTTCAAAATTGTATGTAGAAGCCAGTAAAGAAACTCTTTAAAAATCTGATGATAATGACTCATATTTGTACAGCAAATGACTGTTAAAGAAGCGACACTTTATCATTTAGATTCTGAAATGCTGAGGCAAAGAATGCCTTAGAGTTGAAATAACTACTTATATGAAAGAACTTGGAAGTTTAAAATTTGAATTTTTAATCTAGTCCTGTTTCTGATTTCTGAATTTCCTTATAATGTTCCCTAATGAGTGCAGTCCCTTTCTCTTTATTTCTTTACCCCAAATTCTCCACCTACTTTCAGAGCAATTCCAGCTGGAGTCTTTCACAGAGCCTAGGGGAACTAGCAGTGGGTCAGAGGGCACCTAAGAGTCCTCCATCCCTCAAGAGCACTAAGATAGTTTTAGAATTAGTGATGACAGCGACAGGAGACAGGCAAATTCCTAGGCAGACAGGGATGGGTCCCTGGTGAAAACCAACCTTCAAGCCAAAGACAGTTTAAAGCCTGAAAACCAAGCTGCTGGTTCCAGATAGTGTCCACAAACATAGTGAAAACTTTTGTGTCCGTCTTACCCTCTCTCTATACATAATGATGCCTTTTAACCAATCGAATGATGCTTTTTTCCAAAGACCAGCCATGGACCAATCAGCACATAGTCCCCCCATTTTGAGCCCATAAAATCCCGGGATTCAGTCTCAAGGAGGGCTACTTGATTTCGGGTCTTCTCTTACACAGAGGGCTACCCACTTTGGGTGCCCTCTCGTGTGGAGAGCTTTTCTGTCGCTCAATAAAATTTTTCTCTGCCTTGCAGAACCCAGAACTCCCTGAGCTGCAGGTGGCGGGTGTGAAGAGAGTCGTAACATGCTCCTGTTTGCTGGGCTGCTGGTGTCAGGCGTGAAGAAAGCTGTAACACACACCTCTTTGCCGAGCTGTGGGTGGTGGGAACGAGAGAGTTGTAACATGCCGCCGTTTGCTCATCTGTAGGCACAAAGAACCGAAGCCATTGGGCGCCATTCGCTCTGGCCTGCTCACTGAACTATGAAAGCTGCCACATTTTTTGGGAACTCAGACCTCAGGACTCCCTGGGTGAGAGCCGTAACACCCCTAGGAGCTCTGCTGTTGCTGGCACATCTGAGTTTTTGGGTGCCACCATGCTCCCCTTGTCTAGACGCTGACGCCCAATGTGAAAACCGCTTGCAGCATGCCCAATGCAGCTGTGGGCTGAGTGCAGAGTCCCTGTTGGGGCATGGGATCCAGGCTGCGTCACGAGCTGAGTGCAGCCGGCTGGGTGGAGTGAGCCTGGTGGACTGGAGTGAGGCTGCAGGCAGTGGTCATGGCAGCCACAGAGATTTCTGGCTGGTAAAGTGGTACCAAAAGGAATCCTGTAACAGTAAGTTCAACTTTGCCCAAGGTGTGGTCCTTCACATTATAGGCTGAGAAACTTGATATTGTTAATGTTCCAGCAATGAACTGACTTTGAGGTGCCAATTCATACTAAAAAAAAAATCACCAGAATGTAAGGTATTAATTTCTAACGAGAAATAGTGCTATCAAGTGAATTGGATGCTGGCCCTGACCTCACTAGTATATCGGAAGGCTAACTGCAAGCAGTCTTCTTGGTGGGCATAGGGAAGAGTTGGTTGCCTGGCTCAAAGTTTGAGTAATTTCGGGTTCTGAAGCATGCTCTGCCCAGGGAGAGAATTAATTCAGGATGGTTCTGATGTCCCCAGAGGCCGTCTTCTCCCATATTCTGTGCTTGAATGGAATCTTTGGTCTACCATTTCTATCCAGCCAGTTTCTTCCCATTTGTAGTCTTTCTCCAAGAAGGATATAAGTATAATCAATTAATTTCCTTATTAATAATTGCATCTTTGTCTCCCTGAAGTTAAATCCAGGATACACTGAGGTTTGAGATGCAAACTAGTAGGATGTGTGTTTAGAGACACAAGTCATTAATGTCATATGTTTTGTGTGGAGATTTACAGTATGAAATTCAAAGGGAAACCTAATTTCCAAGTGCTTAGGGCTTCTCATAGGTACAGACAGTGAAAGCATAACCAAACAGGAGCCACCACTAGCTCACAATATCACTTTCTTCTACAGCATTTTTAACCATCAGTGTTATATTTACCTATATCTGTAAGTTATGTGTTACATGGAGAAATGAGTGAAAATGCAGGTTATTAAGGAATAAATTGGGAGACTTCCTTGTAGACGTTTTATGATGTTGGAACCTGGACACTTTATGATTTGCCTTGTTCCAATGTGAAATCTGACCTGCACATTTAGCTAGTATCAACAAGAAAACATGCCCCATTGTGTTTTTAATTTTTTGTGCCCAAGAATTTGGAACACTTTCCACAAAACAGAAATTTTCAGTGTCACACTTTTTCATTTTTGCAATTGTCTTTATACTTATCAACTCTAATTATCTTTTCTATATACTGTTGTGACTGAAATAATGACTTTATTCCATTAAGTCACCAAAAATCAAATAGAAGATTCTATCAAAACATAGCTGTCAGGTAAAATTGCATTCTGTGGAAGGATAAAAGCTATTCTGTTTTAATAATTTTAATTTGTTTCTGCCACAAAGATTCATTTGTGATAATTTCCTTTAACATTTAAACAATATTTTAAATGATTCCATTTAATATTTCTTTTCTGACTGATTCTGTTATCTGCTGTCACATAGATTGTGTAGTCTAGGAAACCTGAAGCCAGCCCTGATGATATAAAGTATCTGAGTTCTCCTTCTTATTCCATTTCTGACTTATTTTATGAAAACTGGTAAGTGACTTAACCACTTTCTGCCTACGCACCTGAAAAATAAGTTAGATAACTACTGTCAACAAACAATGCATGCCTTTTATCTGCGGTGCATCAATTTCATCACTGCTGCAGCTCAGCGGGGGAGGCAAAAATCAAAAGACAGAGAACAACTCAGCAGTTGATGGTATTCTTCATGTAAATACACCTTCTATATGTCATGTCTTCAGAACAATGCTACAAATGCCAAAGGTTTTTAACATGCTGTTAAATATCAGGATCAACATTATTGTTTATTTTATTGTTTTTCAGGTAGGGGTTAGTGATGCTTCTTGCCTTCCTAGTTTTATATTAGCCCCTGCAACCAAGCTTTCAACCATTGCGATGCAGAATTCCAAGACTGCCTGTCTTCGCAGAGCAGTGCTGCACCTCACACCCGAACCCCAGATTGTGAACTGACAGATGTGGGGCTATGCCCCAGACTTAGGAATACAGATGGAACTGAGTTCAAATCTCAGCTCTGCCTCTTATAATCCTTTGACCTTGAGCAAATTCAATAGTCTCTTTGAGCTTCAGTTTCTTTATTCACCAAATGAGGGTAATTAACAGCACTGACTTCATGGAGTTAATGTTAAATAAAAATTAAATAAGATAATGTATATACCTAATACAACATTTAGCACATAGTAGACATGAAATAATGATAAGTATAATGGTAGCTATAAGTTGCGGAATAGAAAGATCAAAGCCTTTTGGCATTTATTTCTACCAGTGCCTTGAACCACAACCCTCTTGGAAGCTATTGGTCCTTGGCTATGGATGGACACTGGCAATGCTCTGTATCTTATAAAGTCCCTGGAGAGTGAAGCCAAGCAGCTATCTCTCCATCCCTTGCCAAAGGCTTCCTCAATTTCCCCGCCATCACTCCCTTCTCTTTTCCACAACATCAAGATTTTTAGTTGAAAATGGTTAAAATTATACTGTCTTCAATGACTTTATTTTCTGGCTCCACCTACCCTGCCCTGATTTTCATTCAATAGCATAAAATTAACTTTCATTTATAAGGTTAAATCATCATTTTTGATGATACATTTGTATAGAAAAATTCCAGGAAAAAAGCTTTTACTGACCTTCTAAAAGCTCGAGATAGCTGCTTAAATAACTAGTTCACAATGTCTTTTCTCTTTCAGCTAAAAATTAAGTGGATATAGATTTTTCTTGGCACATAGTAATATCCTGGGATAAAATGGGGTGAGGAAATCATTTTCACAATGTATTTATAAAATAAAGCAGAGAGGAATGTCTTCTCTTGTTTATTTTTCTCTGAAATGCCTCTATATCATGGCCTAGGTTGAGATGAGGACTGAAAGGAGAAGGAAGAATGGCTGAGGTTGAAACAAGACTTTTAAGAGGGGATTAATATCAAGGCAGTGTGGTCTACTAGAGAGAAAATCAGACTTGGATCTGGAGAACCTAATGTCCTTTTCAGATAAAACGTTGCATCTTTCTCAGTGTTAATTAGAAAATATTTTTGTTTCTGTGACATGTTTTCCCGATGTAAAAAAGTCTACATTTCCTCTATGGAAAAATCACCCCTTTATTCCATTAAACTCCTACCTGTGGAAATAAATGAGCACCAACACAATGAGAACAAAGGCTAATTATTCAGAGCTTGTTATAGCAAGGAAGTCAGCCACTGTCATTGTGTTTTGGCAGAGACTCAAAGTCAGGCAGAGAAGGGAGAACACTTTGTAGTGGAAGAAAAGGGACGGCTTCAGGTATGCCTTGAGCAGAAGCTATTGGCATGGGGGAAGCTGGACACGGTTAACTAAAAGCGGGACATGCTATGTGATGGTTAGGAGGGCACATCTGGCTTTCTTTGGTTGGTCCTAAGCTGGAAGTGGGAACAAAATTAGGGAAGCTGTCAGTTATTAATCATGTCCTCATCATTTTGGGCTGATTTTTAAGGGATTACTTTTTGGCTTTCTGGATTGTCACTAATAGTCTGACCTGTGTTTAGCAGGTGGCTTCCTGCCCTGTCACTGTGGATAAGGGGTTAGTTTCCTGAGTTGGTTGCTGCAGATTATGAATTAAAAGGTCTATTTTTATGTATGGTCTGGATGCTCTTTGTATATTCACTCTTTCATACCCGTAGGGTGATGTTGCATCCTTAGGGAACCAGCGAGGGAAAAGTGGGCTTGGGTTGTCTGTGTTCTAAAATTATATAAGATTTCCTGGACAATAGATGCACGTTAAGCATTATTTCAGCATATGATGTGGGGAGGAAGAACATGGGGGTTAGGCCAAGATCCAGGGCCCAAGAACAACATCCAGTTTATACAGACAGATTATAATAATGGGCCAAACTGGCAAGAACAAAATGGAAAATGTGTTCCTGCAGCAGAAGGAGACTCATGGGGGATATAATTGGCATTTTCAGATATTGAAAAGACTACCATAAAGAAAAGACTGCCAGTATACCCCACTAGATCAGTCAGCAGAAATAACAGGGAGTTAAATTTAGTATAAATATAGGGAAGGTCTTTCTAAATATTAGAGCTCTCTGACAATACCATGAATGGCATCCTAAAGAAAGTTTCTTCCACTTGACAGGCTCAGTAAAGATGATCATCTATGAAAACTGTTCTGGAGGTGGTTTATGCAGAGGACAAAGGATGGCCTCTCACTCTGGGATGATATGAATCTAAAAGTTAAGGTGAGTCCTGACATTCACAATAAGCAATGAATAGCCCATATCAAATGATAAATGGCAAGACAGAAAATTTGGAAAATCTAATAAGAAACTAGGAAAGAGGAAGAGGTAGGAAAAAGACAAGGATAGAAAAGGAGAGGAAGTAAAGAGAGAGGAAAAATGAATTTAAATCAATTGTGTGAAAATGAGAAAAGGCACAACTGAAATTAGACATATTAAAGTCAATGGCTACAAGGAGCTACCCACCAGCTCTCTCCCCCTGGGATTTCTGGGTGCTTGGTCACCTCTCACACAAAAGGAACAGTAGAAATTCGAGTAGGTAATTATACATCCCTGATTCATGAGCCTGGACTTTCCTGTGGGCTGTTATTGATATAGATTTTAGGGGGAGATGCAATTCAAGAACTCTAGACACAAACATCATGGGTTTTTACGAACTATAGAATTAATTTCTGTATTGAATTACTGACATTCTGCAAACCAAATGTCTTCAGGAATTTTGTTTATTCTGATCTTACATTCCTTAATTACTTATTATTCTCCATGATTAGTTGGAAAAGGAAATGCATATCTTAGGCATCCTATTTCAGGATGCAATCTGAACAAGGTAGAACAGTCTTGCCTCAGCAGATAGAAGGACGGAGAGATCCTAATCTTTATTGTGCATTGGACCAGGCATCACGCCATATTACAAATATTACTTCACTTAATCCTCTCAAATCCTGTAGAAGACTATTATTATCTCAATTGTTTAAGTGAAGAAAATGAGACACAGTGTGGCCTAGTAACTTACAAAGGTGGGTTAGTTAATAATGATCAGAACCAGGATCTATTTTTTTTTATTTTTTAAGTTCTGGGACACATGAGCAGGATGTGCAGGTTTGTTACATAGGTAAATGTGTGCCATGGTGGTTTGCTGCACCTATCAACCCATCACCTAGGTATTAAGCCCTGCATGCATTAGCTATTTATCCTGATGCTCTCCCTCCCCCCACCCCGCCAACAGGCCCCAGTATGTGTTGTTCCCCTCCCTGTATCCATGTGTTCTCATTGTTCATCTCACACTTAGAAGGGAGAACATGTGGTGTTTGGTTTTCTGTTCCTGTGTTAGTTTGCTGAGGATGATGGCTTCCAGCTCCATCCATGTCCCTGCAAAAACATGCTCTCATTCCTTTCTAATTCCTTTCTCATTCCTTTCCTGCATAGTATTCCGTGGTGTATATGTACCACATTTTCTTTATCCAGTCTATCACTGATGGGCATTTGAGTTGATTTCATGTCTTTGCTATTGTGAAAAATGCTGCAATGAATATACACGTGCTTGTATCTTTATAACAGAATGATTTATAATCCTTTGGGTATATACCCAGTAATGGGATTGCTGGGTCAAATGGTATTTCTGGTTCTTGGTCTTTGAGGAATCACCACACTGTTTTCCACAATGGTTGAACTAATTTACATTCCCAACAACAGTGTGAAAGCATTCCTATTTCTCCACAGCCTTGCCAGCATCTGTTGTTTCTTGACTTTTTCATAATTGTCATTCTGACTGGCATGAGATGGTATCTCATTGTGGTTTTGATTTGCGTTTCTCTAATGATCAGTGATGTTGAGCTTTTTTGTGTTTGTTGGCCGTATAAATGTCTTCTTTTGAGAAGTGTCTGTTTATGTTCTTTGCCCGCTTTTTAATGGAATTGTATGCTTTTTCTTGTAAATGTGTTTAAGTTTGTTTTTTCTTGTAAATGTGTTTAAGTTCCTTGTAGATTCTGGATATTAGACCTTTGTCAGATGGATAGATTGCAAAAATTTTCTCCCATTCTGTAGATTGTCTGTTCACTATGATGGTAGTTTCTTTTGCTGTGCAGAAGCTCTTTAGTTTAATTAGATCCTATTTGTCAGTTTTTGCTTTTGTAGAACCAGGATTTAAAATCAGGATTATGTGACACTAAATCCACAGCATAGACTGCCTCCAGCAAACAACAAACCACAGACAAATAAATAGAATAAATATTTTTATATATCTTAACTAATATTTAGAAATAAAATATGATGAGTAAATGAAGTCAAACATACAAATTTTATTTTTGTATTTCACTGATAAAGAGAGGAGGATTATTTTTCAATCAAAATTTGGTAGTATATTCTAATATTGATAATAACTGGTAAACCTTCATATGGCAATTTTATGGAGTTTTGAAAAAATGTGCAGAAGGTTTATTGAGAATTTAACATGGCTAAATACCCCATTGAGTTATTAATTATGTTTGTTTTCTAATTCACAGGTTAATCATGAAGGTCGGGTATTCCAGGTTTGGTATTTTATCTGACCAGTATGAGTATTTTTGTGGACAACACCAGGTAAAGTCCTTAAGATGACTCTCAAATGGTCTAAGATGGGTCATGTGGCAGTTCCATAAAAACCACCATGGTGTTGTGTGGCTAGACCTGGATCATGCACTCAAGCCTGAAGTTTTAGATGGGAGCCCAAGGTGGGCAGATATATCCCACCCAAAATAGATGAGGTTCTGTTATCAGAAAAAGGATGAATAGATACTGGTTGGTGAAAATATCAGATGTTTGCTATCACTTTACAACCAGCACATAGTACAAGTCTAGTACATTAGAGCTGCCATTGTGATTGTTTTTGTTGTTAGTGTTATAATACTATTAATTGAATCTGAGATGTTTAAAATATGTTGTGTGTCCACTTTTGCTTCATTTGTCCTGGCTTCTCCAAGATTTGTCTGCAGTTGGCTTTAAAGCCCCAGGTTCCAAATCAGTCATTCTTGAGACAGGAGTATTTTGATGCACAATGAACACTAAGGAAAGAGATTTTCTGCTAGATGGGCCCAGGGATTAATTCTGAATATGCCATGTACAAGCTTGAACATGTTATTAAATCTCATTTATCCTTTGCTTTCCCATCTAGAAGATGGAATAATAATAACAATCATACAAGGTGGTTGTAAGTAGTAATAATACATGGCAAATTCTCAAAACAGTGTCTGGATATGAGGTAAAATATGCCCTTAAAGCATGTAGCCTAATTCCTGGTACATAACCAGTTCTTAATAAATAGTGGCAAACATTGTGGCTAGCATTTCATAACTTGCAGTTCTCACTATTCTTATTGGAAGTTTATATCATGACCTGGTAGGAATCAGTGCTTTAAAACAGATCACTAGGCTACTTATATTGCTTCACGAATGTTCTGACAACCAATCATATGAATAAAAGTTCCACTAGGTGGCTGCATGGTGGCTTTTCAAAGCCTCTTGCCTGACCTGTGTTCACCTAGGCTTATGAGACAACTTCTATCTTGGCATCCATGCTCCGATTTGAACAAATTTCCTTATCATTGTACTTATTCCTTGTACTATAGTGGCTTTTCTCTTTCACCAGACTGAAATCTTCACAAGGCAGGGTGGTGATATCCCTCTGCCCCTAGCATAATGTCTGACAAATAGTAAGCTTGTTAATGACATCTGCTGAATGAATGATTGAATGTTTCAACCAATGAATTAATAAATTATTCTTCAGTGAAGATTTCCTGCTGTTGCTGCCACACAAGTTTTTGGTCTCCTACAGCCAGTGATTTGGAGACCCCCTTTGGGCATTCTGTGTCCTGCTAGCTGTGGCCCTTGCCTCTTATCTGGGGACTGAGCTTGGGTTGGGTTCATCATCTTCCTCTGTGGATGAAGAAGCTTTTTGCTTCACGTGAGATTATAGCAATACGTGCATGCCTGTTGTGTACGGGTTTTATTTATTTTAGAAACCACTTTGGAAAAAACCTTTCCCACTGTAATTTTAAATACCACAGGAATTTGTCACTGTGCCAAAAATGTTAAACATAATTAGAGCAGCTCTTACGTGTTTAGTATTATGCCAAGAACATTTTTTCCTCAAAGGTATTTTGATTATGATACCTTTCTGAGTAAATGTAATCAATATCAAAGTTATATCTGTTATAGTCAAAACCATTTAAATTACTAACTTCTCTTTAAGGCCTCTTTCTAAGGAGGGTGGGTTTAAGAATAATGATCTTGAAAATAACTTTTGAGATAACTTATATATAATGAGAAAGTTTCCAACAAGTTAAAAAATAATACTGAATGATGTTATAGAAAGGATGATTGCTTTGTTGGAGTCTGTAAATATGAAATGTGTTCTTTTAAATATCATTAATTATATCTGCATGTGCTATTTACATTTGGCTCCAATCGTGAATATCCAAAGACCTTTAAGTTTAGTTTTGCAGATTTTATAAAGTTGTCATAGATTAGTTCTGTATTTTTATATATGGCCTGCATTTGCATATATTTATTTACATATTCACTTCACTGTTGTTTTATATTTAAATAGTAAGTTTCTCCTCAATTCTTTGTAGAAAATGCTCATTCTCATAAATGTAAATAACACAAGAAATTTTAGACCAAAAATAGAGTCCAGATCAGGTAACATATTTTCGTGCAAAGCTAGTAACATCTGTCAAATAATACTTTTTATTTAGTTTACTTTGTTTTCCTGAAAATACCCATAAATGAGTTTTACTGATTATGCGTGGTCTGGAGGCAGTATAAGAATGCTTGCCCTATGTCCCATAAAGAACTTACTCTGTCCAGACCCTAGACTGGGGCCTGATTTGGTTCATCTGGATTCATCAGAAGATATGCGGCACCTTTAAATCAGGACAGGCTAGCACTGTGCCACCTGCAGGGGGCCAGAAAAGCAGTCCGGCTCTCATTGCCACCCCTGCCCTCTCCCTGGATTCAGCAGTGACTGCCTCTCGGCCCAGCTTCTGATATTTACCTTCAGATCTCCATAACTACCTAATGCAGGCACCATGACCAGAATTTCACAGTGAACTAGCTAGTTGCAAACACTTGCCGTGACTCTCATCTGGTTTAACTTCCGTGTATCTCTTGAAGGAATGGGTATGGAAATGGCTTCCTAGATATATCTGAAGTGATTCTTTAAATCTAAAATCTCAGAGGAAAAAAAGAGACTATCTGAGCCCTAACCCAATATTGAATAATAAATATAGTTTTAACAATTAACTTAAAACAAATATATGCTAATATGTCATACATAGATATGTATATGTATGTGTGTGTGACATATATTACATAAACACAAAACAAAATAATACTATAGGTGTGGCTTATAGTAATGATTCTTGAACTTTGGTTAAAAAAAAACCCTTTTTAAAAATCTGATGAATGAGATGGACCTTCTGTGCAGAAACACTTTTATTTACACAAACTTTCACACACAGGGGATTCACAAAATCATCGATGCTGAGAAAAGAAATAATAAGTATATGCATATGCATATTATCACATATTCAGTGTTCCCAGTGGAAGATATAATCACTAGATTAAACACCAAGATAAATGCTGAAAATGTCTTCTCCTTTTATTTTTCTGTTAATTGCCTCTATTCCCAGTTGTATGACATGGAGTGTTAGTGGTGAGGTAGGAAGTAGAAGAGGGAATTGTAAATCTGTTACACTGTGGAGAGAGACTTTGATTATATAAAATTTTCAAAAAGCTGAATATGAGACTTATTTCCTATATGTACAACGTTGATGGGCTTCATGATGTCAGAAAATTCTGATTAGGCTCTCCTATCTGAACAGTCCTCTAACTGTCCCTTTATCCCAGCTTCAGAAAGAGTACAGTAGCTGAGGGGACCCTGCATCAGGATCATCTATGGGTTCACAGTTCACTTCGTGGGCTAAAGGTTCTGGGGCAGGAGTATGTAAGAGGAACTTTTTCCACTGGATTTCCTAACCCTTCTAATGGAGACGATGCTACAAGAAACTCACGCTACAATGCCCATCTGATATTTAAGACTTCTGAGAATTTAGCTTCTTCACCTACCTCGTATGCACATTAGTCCAGCCCCATGTGCACTGAGTAGGCTAATTGCATTAAAGACTTCTGACAACCAGGGTCCAACAAAGCAAACACAATGATTTTCCAATACAGATGCAGTAATTGTGCCTTAGGGGAAATGGCAGATTAGAAGATCAAGTGATCACACTCTCCATTTCCTAGTTTTGTCCAGCTCCAGAGTCCACAGCTCTGAAATAGAAGTGTCTGGAATGAAGGCTTCCTGATGCAGGTCCCTCACTGGAGCTTTAAAACTGTGTGGGCTTTTTTTTTTTTCCAGGAAATGAAAATTGCACTTTAATTTTCCCTCACTATAATACACTGGCATATTTTTATCCTACAGCTTATCAGAGGAGACCAACCCATTGATCACAAAAAAGGATAGTACAGAGGTATAAAACTCAATAAGATTTTGAAAAGGAGTTATCTGGTGAATGCAGAAAGTTTCCAAAGTTTTGAGTTGCTTTTTCATGGCAAAGTAAAATAAAGAATGCTCATCTTTCCAAGTATGTATCCGTATCATAGGATTATGAACCTGACTTTCTGTTTTAGAGGGATTTCCTATAGAGAAACTCATAATGCAATTTAAATCCCACTCTTCCATTTGCACCCTAGGAAGATATTTTTCTGTATAGTCATTCAATTCTCATGAAAAATGTATAACTCACTGTTGCAATGCATGAAGGAAAATGAAGATAGACATTTCCATTTTGTAAGAGGGCTCCATGATAAGAAAGTGCCCAATTATTTCATGTCTCAATCTGGTTTTCCCACCTCCTGCAATACCAATATGCTTATTACCAACACATCCTCTACCTGGCAATGCCTCTGACTTGGATGTCATGAAATGCAAGCCCTGCCTGAGAGTTGTTGCAGCATTTACAGTTAGGACTCATTTTATTTGGTTTTACCAGGTTTTTGAGGAATGGCCTCCTCCTTTTCCAGGATCCAGTTCCGGACACCACATTTCATCCAGTCATCATGTCTCCTTAGTCTCCTCTGGTCTGTGACAGATTTTCTATCTTGTCTTTCCTGACCTTAACAGTGTTAAGGCATACTGACTAGGAATCCAGAAAATCTGGGTTTGTCTGATGTTTTCCTCAAGATTAGACTGGGGTTGGGAATTTTTGGAAAGAGTACTACAGAGGTGAAGACTCTTCTCATTACATAGTATCAGGGGGTACATGAGACCCATGCAACATCCTTGGTGACGCTGACCTCCATCTCTTGGTTAAGGTGATGTCTGCCACATCTCTCCACTGCAAAGTTACCATTTTGCTCTTCCCTACTCTATTATTTGGACAATCTCTAGGTCTAGCCCATCCCCAAAGGGGTAAGGGTGGAACAAATTAAACTCTGTCTCCTGAAGAAGGAAGTATTAGGAATTTTTCTATAAGGAAGGGTTGTCTCTTCTCCCCCACTCATTTGTTTATTCAATCTTTATTTATATCAGTGTGGATTCATGTATATTTATTTCATACTTTGAGTTTTAAGCAAACTAAGTTTAAATGTCCCAAAACACAACCCCCATCCCCTAGGATTGGAGCAATCAGAGTCCTGGGGCAGAGCTTTCACGTGGGACCGGGAACAGGAGCGTGACCATGGAAGGCCCCTCACCGATACAGTTCCCGCCCCAGCTCCACTGATGATACACTGATTAGGGGAGACTTAGTCACAGCCTTTCCCGCAGACACGTTTTACTGCCTGCCCGCCCACACAGCAATTTCCTTCATTACCCAGTGCTGAGTGTTGGCTGGCGAGCCACAGCTCAGCCCAGTAATGAACAGGCTTCTGTTACTCACAGAGCCATGCTCGCCTCATGTCTCTGTTCATAGGGATCCTGGGCATCATCAAAAAACCAAGCCACTTGCTTTTCTTCTTCTTTTTATTAGAAAACAAAGTACTGCATCCTTGGCTTTTATTGTACAGATAGCCCAAGTCCAGAAATACGTCTCTTCTCCAAAAAAACACTCGAGTCAAATAATGACTGAAGTATTTAACTGCACATAGAGCAATTTCAAATGAGTTTCATTTTTTAAATAATGAAAGGACATAGGTTTGTTAGTATTTCACATTTTCCTTTTTTTCCATCTAAACTCTTTTTATTTTATAACTTTAACTTTAGAACTTTAGAATGTTGCCAATTACTAAAATGTGATATTTAGTGCTGACAGTAAGAGGCGTTTATTAAGTGCTCGATGCTTGCTACGTAGAGGTCTATTCTGTGAGTCAGAATGTACTGATTTACTGGTAGAGAACCTGAGACTAAGAAGAGAATGATTGTGTTTAAGTAATAGAATGAGGCTGCACAAAAAACTTTTTTTTCTTATGGAAATTTACCCTAAGAATTTCCAAGGACCCAATAAATAAGGAAATGGATTAAAATACAGGACAAATTGTGCTTTCCCTCTGGGGAAGAGAGAACACGCAGTAGAGAATCCCATTCCCCACCCACTTCCCTCATCCACTACCCCATCTCCAGGCCCATGGCCTTCCTGCAGATCGACCTTGGGAATGTGGGAGTCAGGCAGACCTGGAATGAATCCTGCCTGTCTCTTATCACAGGAGAGCTGGGGCAAGTTACTTAAAAACGTGGAAGCCTCAGCTGCTCCATCTATGTAATGGGGGTCATGGTATCCCTGTAAGAGAAGCTTGTGTGGAAATTAAGTGAGCTGATATACAGTGCTTTGCAGGGGGCCTGGAACATAATAATTGCTAAACAAGTGGAAGCTGAGATTAGGTTAGGAAGAAGCAAGAGGCTTCAGGCTGTCCCTGGGTGTCAGTAACGAATATTAAACATCTACACATTCCAAAGAAAGGGCTCTCACAGCATCAGTCAGCAAACTCATATTCATTAACATTGTTTAGATATTCAGTCTTGACTGAAGAAAAGTTCTCTGCCTCAAACTGCAGTCTTCTGTGCTACGAGTTAGCTGATTTCATCTTGTGAAGTCCCCATAGTGATGAAAGTTAAACTGACAGAGGAAGAAAATGGCAAAAAACTGCCAGGGACTGTGGGATCCAATTTCTCATAGTAAATTCAGGGCAGAACACATGACTGGCTCCTTCCCTGAAGCCTGCCTGAAGAAGCGGAGTCTCGGGTAGAGAGGGTGATGGGCGTGCCTGGAGAAGAAAAGGGAGAGCTGAGGGAAGGTGAACTGGGCCCCTGAGAGAGGGATGTATTCTCTATCAGCAGAAGCAGGGAATAAGACACAGAGCTGGCGGGGCTGGGGAATTTGGTGAGAGTGACAGAGAGACAGAGACAGACAGAGAACCCTTGGGGCGAGGGAGGAAGAGCCAGGGCCACCTTGCCCATTGTGCTCAGTGCCTCAGGCCCCTGGTACGTTTAGGGGCTCATGGGACACTTTAATTTTCATTTCTTTTAAAATTGGGATAAATAAATGAATATAATAATATATAATAATAAATACAGATGGATTATATTAGCCCTTATACCAACACAATTGTAAAATATAATTATTAATATTTTTTATGGAGAAAGAGGTCCATGAAGGGAAACACGCCCAGGGCCCATTAAAGTCATCATCAAGCCCTGGAGAGAGCCACAGAGATGTGAAAGCTGCCTCGAGGAAAGGCATTTTAGAGAAAGAGATATTTAAAGAGGATGTTTAATATAACTGCCAACAATGGTCTAATCTGAACCTAATTATGGGGGAGAAGCTGTACAAATACAGACAAAGGGACATTCACAAAACAGCAGGCCTGAAGTCTTCAAAAACATCAGCAATACGATCTACCTAACAGTTTGAGGAATTGTTCATCAGTCATGTGAATACATAACAGGTCGAGAAGATTGGATAAACACGACAACTAAATGTAATACAAGCTCTTTGATTGGAAAGAGAGAGAAAAGTGGGAAAAAAGGAAGAACCTGAATATGAACTGTAATGGTATTGAAGCAATGTTAATTTCCTGAGAGAGACATTGTACAGTGTAATATGGGAGGGCATTCTTATTCTTAGGAGATGTGTGCTGAAATATTGTGATATCTGGAACTAATTGTCAAATGGTTCACTGAATACCCATGCATAAACACACACACACACACACACCACATACACACACACACACATATATGTGCAGAAAGAGATTAGTGAATCTAGATGAAGGGTATATGACTTTTCATCATGCTTTCCCTATAACTTTCCTATAGGATTGAATTTTTCAAAATTATAGATTGAGGAAAATAAAATGAGAAAGTTTGAACTAGAAAAAAAAAGAATTGTAGAGAGTTGTGTGGAGTAGTGTGAGAAATAACACAGTAAAGACAGCTGTACTGACAAGCTAGTTTAGACTTCCGTGCTTTTGGAGTTGAATTCACGGAGTTTGTTTTTGGGACATCCATTTGCCTTAGGGCAATAGGAGGATACCTTAAAATTGCCCTTGTTCATTCGGGTTTTACTCACCTTGAGCTTTATTTTAAATCAAGGTGGAGATTTAATGGGACACCTGGCCCAGCTGTTACTTTTTAGAACTTTGTTATTTTTTGAGGTTGATGTCTTTGCTGCTTGAAGAATTTCTTCAGTGGGACCCACTTCAGAGGGAGACACTCAAGATGATAAATACGTCATGTGATGCAAAAGGAAGGAAGTGCTTTCTGATAAGAAAGGAAACAATGCTAGCTGATGCTCCCTCCCTGAGACCCAAAGTTGGAAAACTGTATTGGGTTTACCTGGAAGACTATGGGGTAACAGACACCAAGTGGTACAAAAGGCAATGGGAAACAATGCTGAGCATCTATTCGTAGACAAAGATCCAGGTGTGAGTCACCATCAGGGACTACGTGGAACGTCATGGCCAAGGGACTCACTTTTGCAAGACTGACCAGGACAGTCCTTTCACGTATACCACGTGGCAACAAGAGGCAGGAAAGAATCAGAAGCCTGTACTTAGAGGCGGAACTGCAACTGTCCCTCTTCAACCCAAACTAGCAGAGTGTAGACTCCCAGGGCCTTTCCCTCCTTTTCCCCCTTTGGCAACTGGATGTGGTGTTAGTGTAGGAGAGGTCTTAAAAAGAATTCTGTGTTTTCTACTAACAGTTCAGAGGATTTAAATGATAATCTGAGGATGTAAGAGGTGATGGTATATTTGTATCCTGAGCTGGTAAAGTCGTTTATAGGAGTTATATGTCATATGAATATTTGAAGTGACATCATTCACCATGACTTATGGAAATACCCATCCTTTCCTCAACATCTGCATTTGCTTTCTCTCTGGCCTCCGCAGCATCTATCTTTCTCATAGTCCTGATCCCCTTTCTCCGTCTCTGTTGGTGGAGTTCACATGCTCCTCAATCAATCCTCAGTACTACTTCCAGACTGTGATCAGGATATGTAGACATAACAGAGAGACTGGAACTGAGAATCAAACTGGTATAAGCCAAGGATAAGTATTTTTATCAAGGGAAGGAACTGGCATTGTTTCCTGGAGCAAAGCAGTTCAGCCTCAACTTAAGTCACTTGCACCAGCTCTGTTTAGTTTGGAGCATCTATGATAGGCTATACACAATGCTATCTTATGGGGGTGCAATGACAATCATATGAGACTCTGCCTTTCTATTCAACATGCTCCCCATTTATGGGATAAAGATAGTCATTATAATAATCGGGTTTCAAATCAGAGGCAGTGGGACTGTCAGCAGGAATAAAACACCTACTAGAGAGCTTCTTGCCTCATTTTTCAGCTTTCTTTGAATAACTAGAATTTTTGCAAAGTTCTTTCTCATAATGTGCTAAATTCTGCCTCCCTGAAATGTGCAAAGAACTCCTCAGGAGCAATGCAGAAGTCTCTTTGCCTTTTCATGTAACTGACTTCTAATACTTGCAGGTCACTGTCATCTATGTTGTAATGACCTGTTCACCCACTATGATTTCAGATCTTTATTTCCTACACCTTGTTTCATTTTCCTTTCTATCAGCCTGGTCCTAGATTCTAAGACACACTAATAGAGGAAATTTAGGCAGTCTTAGCATAAGAAACTGTCAATTCAGCAATAGCTCATATGATAATCTCGTGGTAGGTAAACACTTTAATGAGGGGGTGATTGGGCCCCCAGGTAAACACCTGCGCAAGTTATGAACAAGAAGGAGTTCAGGCCTTAGGCCAAAGTCCCATGGCATACTTGAAACCATCCAAAAAATATTCTCAGGTCGATAGTTACGTTATCTTTGAATAAACCCAAGTGTCAAAGCTTTCTCTATAATAAAATTAATATGCACTATGACTATTACCATATATGTATTAATCATCCACACAGCACTTAAAATTTACTGTAACATGTCATAAACAAAAACGTGCAACTAACATATAGGTACTGTGAAAAATAATAATAAGCAGGCACTCATATATCTATCTCAAGCCTAAGAAATAGGTCAGTGCCAGTATATTTGATGCTCTCTGGGTACTACTGTTCCATGATTTCGTTTCCCACCTTCCCCCAAAGATAACACCTGAATTTGGTCTGAATTTGGTGTTATTATTAACTTTCCTTTATTTTAAATTTTTACCACATATGTATGTATGTATTCAGAAATACTATTGTTAAATTTTTCTTTTTCAGAATTTATATAAATGGAATCACAATACCCCATGTGTTCTTATGTGACTTACTTTTCTCCCCATTAATATAATATTTTTAGATCCCTCCACATGGGTTTCATTCATTTTCATATACTATTTTTATATCAATTTAACTTTTTACTTGTATCTAGTTCTTTGCTATTATGACTAACTTGTATCTAGTTCTTTGCTATTATGACTAACACTATGAACATTCTCGTACATGTGCTCTGTTGGACAAGAGTTTCTCTAGGGAGCATAACTAGGAGTACAGTTGCTGCTAATAGTGCGTTTTCATGTTCGGATTTACTAAGTAATATTAAAAGGATTTTCACAATGATTGTATCAATTTATACTCCACAGCAGGGCTTAAAGGTTCCTGTTACCCTACAAACCAGTCAAACTTTGATGCTTTAAATCTGTGCCACCATGGCTGATGCAGCATGGTACCTCACTGTGGTTTTACCTTGGTTACTAACGTGACTGGGCATTGATAGGTCTTTGTGGTTCCTTTTCTGTGGAATCCCTGTTCATGTATGTTTCTCATTCTTTGATTGGGTTGGTTGTCTTCTTATTGATTTTTAGGAGTTCTGCGTATATTCTAGACATTGACCTTTTGACAATAATGTGAGGAAATGCCATTTTTCCAGTTTTTGGCTTGTTTCTTCATTCTTGTTGTAGTGTCTTTTAATATAAAGAAGATCTTAATATACTTGAGTTTGCCAAAATTTTCCTTATGGTATTCATTGTCTTTAAAAGAAACAACTCTATCAACTAGGTCATAAAGCAATTGTCTTAGATTTTTTTCTTAATAGATAACCAACTGCCTCAGTGCCATGTATTGAACATCGAGCTATGACAGCAGCTCTGCATTCATCAAAGCTCAACATAAGTACAAGTCAATTTTTGGCCTCTGTATTCTCTTCCATTGACCTATCCTTGCCTCAGGATCACACTGTCTTTCTTTTTTTTTTTTTTTTGAGACGGAGTCTTGCCCTATCACCCCAGCTGGAGTTCAATGGTATGATCTTGGCCTACCACAACCTCTGCCTCCTGGGTTCAAGTGATTCTCCTGCCTCAGCCTTCCGAGTAGCTGGGATTACAGAAACCCACCATCATGCCGAGCTAATTTTTTTTGTATTTTTCTAGAGATGAGGTTTCACTCACCATGTTGGCCAGGCTGGTCTTGAACTCCTGACCTCAGATGATTCACCTGCCTCAGGCTCCCAAAGTGCTGGGATTACAGGTATGACCCACCACACCCGGCCATACTGTCGTAATTACCAGTTATTGATTCCCAGAAGGCTAAGTCCTCTCTCCACCTCCGTTACTATCTATTCTTCTCATTAAAGGGAGTTTTGGCTATTTAGAGGTCTTTGCTTTTCCATATCAATAGAATTAGTTTATCAAGTTCCATATAAAACCCTATTGGGATTATGCTTGCAAAGTTCATTGATTCACCAGTTTGGAGAGAATTAATATCTTTACAATATTAAGTCTTCCTATCATAGAACATGAAATACCTTCAAATGTCTTTCAAGAATGTTGCACACTTTTCTCCCATAAAAGACTTGGGCATTTCTTTTTTTTGCTGGATTTCTTCTAAGATACTGAATCTTTATTTTATTTATTTATTTATTTTCTAATGTCAGTAAGTTTATGGGAAACTGGTGGTGTTTTGTTACACGAATAAGTTCTTTAGTGGTGATTGCTGAGATTTTGGTGCATCCATCACCCAAGCAGTGTACACTGCACCCAATGTGTAGTCTTTTATCCCTCACCCGCCTCCCACCCCTTCCCCTGGATCCCCCAAAGTCCACTGTATCATTCCTATGCCTCTGCATTCTCATAGCTCCCACTTATGAGTGAGAACATAAGATGTTTGATTTTCCATTCCTGAGTTATTTCACTTAGAATAATAGTCTCCAATTCCATCCAGGTTGCTGCGAGTGCTATTACTTTGTTCCTTTTTATGTCTGAGTAGTTATTTTAAATGGTATCTTTTTCAATGTTGCATTTTCTAAATGTTCTTGCATCTTTATCTTGGAGAATACCTGTGACTTATGTTTAGAGTTGTTCCCATTGAGAGATTGTGTTCCCCCAGCACATAGGGCCACTTTAAACCAGATTTTCCACTGGGAAATTTCAGGCCACACATGTAGTTGAAATTCTGGCTGCAAATTGTGCACATGGTGGCTTGTGATTAAGAATTCAGAGATTTCACCTAATCCCAAAGTTCTAAGGCAGATGCATGGTGATATCTGATCTGATCTCCTTCCGGGCTTGGGTCTTAGGCTTTGTCTTGGTGCCCACCCACACCTGCCTCTTAAAGCCCAGATCTAGGCCATCAAACAGGCAGATGTCCCCAGGCAAACACAGCTTTTTCCCTACTTATCCACGTACAATCCTGCTTTCTGGTATAGATTGTCTTCTTTTACTCTCAGCTCAGCCAAGCCTAAAAATGACATTTAAAAATTTTTAAAAATAAATCTAATATTTTATTCTATGAGGATTTTTCCTGTTCATCTACTCTGCCATATTGCCAGAAATAGAAGGTCCCCCTCTTTTTTATGTAGAAAAGAAATGACTTTTTTTGGCATAGTTGTATCTTAATGAACTTATGTTGATTCCACATTCTCTTTAATGGCTCATAAACATTTTCTTTAATTATCTTTTAAAAATTGTGTGCCAAAGTCATCTATCTGTACTTTCTATTTCTATCCTTTGATTTTCCCCTTAAAAGTAAAGACATTTGTTTTTTTCCAGTCTTGGCATCTCTCCCAGGCTCCATGCTTTTCAAATAATTACCACAGTGACTTTGATGTCACACCTGCCATCTCCTGCAATACCCTCAACATAGCTTATTTGAGCCTAGAAACTGACAATCCAGTGTTCTTTACTATCTTCTCAGATAATATGGACATTTCCCCCAACTTTTCCATTTTGAAGCCTGGCATAAGATTTCAAGGCAAGCATGAGGAAGTATAGTAAAGATGAAAATTTGAACAGGATTTCAAATCCTGAACAAGTGTGTATGATTACCCCAGAGTTCTAGGTTCTAGGACAAGCCTTAGTTGCTTTTGGTGCAGTAGTCCTGAGAGAGACAGTGGGGCCCAAATAACTGCATTGTAATAGACCCCCATGTGGTTCTTATCACACTAAAATTTGAGGACTTCTGTTCTAAAAAGATAGATATAATGAAATTCCAGGCAGTAGATAAAAGTGGAAATCACATTGCTTATATCTCTGAAAGCACGCCATCTCTCTGTAGACAGCTCTACCTCCTCCACACCTTCTTTTCACTTAGGCTGTTGACAACCTCAGACAGAGAAAGAGTGAAATCTTCAGAGGAGCAAACTGTGCTCTCATTACCATGCTGGAGACCCACAAAAAGTATGACATTTAAACTTCCCAGTACTTAGATGGTGGGTTTTTCCTACCAACATATAACAGCCTAAGGGTGTGGTCAATAGTTTACCTAAATCACAGGGCCAGTATCACAGTAAGAACATGACTATATTCCCTGCACCACTTCCGTTACTAACTGTTAACATTCTGAGTTTGCGCAAAAATTATAAGCAATTTTTTTTTCAGATCAAATTGCACTTTTTAATCTAAGAGGCTTAAATGTCTTCTGATTATAGCAAAATGTCTACTTGGTAGTGAAGATTTATGCAGCTACAATCTCTCTTCAAACCTTCTTATCTTCTATTCTTTTCCCCTTTTAAGAATAGCCAATTAATAATAGGAAAATTGGTAAAAGTGGGCATTTTCAAAGGATGCTTGAAATGAAAAGTGACACCTCTGTCCATTAAAGAAGACATGCCCTGTGAGCTGACTCAGATGCCTCTTACCTTTCCATTCACCCTCTGCTGAAGCAACCAGTTGTATCCTAAAGCAACTCAAGCTAAATTCCTCACCACACACTCAGAGTTCTAAACCATTCCCTATGGAAGCTGTATGATGGCTGCAATAGAAAAATAAATTATCTAACAGCTACGCATTGCTACTCAGTTTAATTCACATTTAATCTTTTTTGATTTTGAAGTTTTTCTGGTAGTCAAGGCACACACTACTGTATTAAACGAAATTGAATGATGTTTTACAGTGACATGCTACACATGGGACATAGAATACATTAGGATTGAGGGGAGGAGCTATACTTTAACTTAAAGCCATAACAAAGTCATTTCTATTTCTTTCAAAGTTCCTCTCTCATCTTTCACAATAGTGATTCATATCCTTGATCTGTAGCACCAGAGTTTCTTTCCATTGATCCCTAAAAATTTCTAAAATCACATTAATTTCAATTACTATTATTTAGAAAACTAAATGTATAACATTGTAACAGGTGCTACTTTGCAATATTAAACCAACAGATGTGACAGACGCCAATGTTTTCAAACCAATGGTTTCCTTGTGTTTTGTTTCAAGTGTAATGATAAATGCTGACAAATGCTGATAGATGTTTCCATTCTATTGAGTAACTTGCTTTCTTTGCTGTTCTGTTGATATTGGTTTTTCTATAAAGTGTTTGATTCTTGTAAACCAGATTGAGATTCATTATAGTTGTATTTTAATTATATTAAAGCATAAATTTTATACATAGATCTTTCTTATGTCCTTTGGAAAATTGGCTATTGAACAGAATCATTTTGTCCTGGTTAGTCTCTTAACAGACTTACTTTATGTCTCCACTACTGAGATGGCTTTCTTTTTGTTTGTTTGGGTTTTTTGCCATGCTGGATACTCTACTCAAAAAATTAGTGGAACCACTTTAATTATGCCATTTGGGGAAGTAGGCCTAACTCCCATGTTTTTGTTTAAAACTTCTATTAATTTCAACTACTTGGTTTAAAAAAAAAATCTAACTTGAGTCTCATTATGCCAGAATCTTAGGCCACAGTGGAGTAAAAGAGATGCTTAAAATCACAGCTGGACAGTCATCATTTAAGAGGAAACTTACTAGTCTTTTTCCCCATGCTCAGTCTCCAAATCTTATCAGATTTCTTCTTTACTATCCCTTCACCTCTGTAAATTTCCGTAAGGACTCCAGCCATTGAGCCTCTTTTGGCACCTCTGGTGTTAGGAAAGCCATTTCTGTCTTGCCTTGTGGATGCCTGGGAAAAGGGACCTTGATAACTCTGCCGTGGGGCCTTCTAGGCTGAGTATCTGGCCTTCCAGTTAGGCATACAGCTCATATATATTACTCATCTCTATGATATTTGGGGCAGAGTAAAGATTCAACATCACTGAAATAAGCTTAAAAATGGATGATGAATATAATTTGACTTGTCAAGTTACGTAGAAAGCCTCATTAAAAAAAGGCTGACAAATCTTAGAATACATTTATACTTCTTTTTCCTATCCCAGTGGACAGCGCATCCAGTTATGCAATGATTTGTTGATTCATGTCTTTCCACTCTCTCCTTTCCTCTAATATTCATGAATGAGACCACCAGTCCCCCATACACAGACTCTAAGATGGATCCTGTATCTGGAGAGAAGGAATAGTACACACTTCTTGGACCCCTGAATCACATCAGGTTGATTTTGCTATGTTTTTCTTCTCTGACTTGGTGACTTAATTCCTGCAATTAGGTCATTTGACTGTGACTAAACTCCCACTCTGTGCCCAGTTGTAGCAAATGGGTCTGTCCTTAGTTCCCTCATTGACTCTTTTGTTATTTTTTGACCTGGACCTTCTTTTTTTTTCCATGACCGATTCTCCAATCTCAACAAGTCTGCCTCAGTTTACATAAGCTTCCTCTACTTTTTCATTCTTGACCTGTCCCGAGTGTCTGAATAGCCCAAATCATGATGGTCATTTGCTAAATGTCTATCCAGGAGTATACTCTCAATGTGATAAAATTATATAATCAAACAAACATTATATAATATTATTAAGTACATGCACTACTCTTTGTCCACACATACTCTAACATAAAGATTATGTTTAAGAAATATAATGGATTTCAGTTCATGTTTAGAGACTCAATATGCTTTAAGCCTATGGAACTATCTGGTTAGCTTGGTACATTGACTGAAGTCATGAGCAAAACACGACTTAAATTCTTGGAACAAAAATTATTTACTCTAAGCCAGTTATGACATGATTTTTCTTAAGATGGTTCCTTAGAGCCTTGTTCAACTAATGAAGACAGAATATAACTGAAATATTTTGGATTAGTTCCAGTTGATGGCCATAGCATATGACTTTTCTGGGCACATGCAGTGGCTACGAAGATATGCCACTCTAATCTCCATCCAAAAGAACCTCCTGCAAGGTGCACTGTGAGCTGTTATACCTTTAATCTGCTATGGCTCATGCCAAGGCCATACTTCCCGTGGGCTGCTCCCAGAAAATACCAGAATGAGATAGAGTGTCAGAGCCAAGCCTTTTCCTCCTGACATGATGCCCTTCTAAGCTCAGGGGCTCCCCTTCGGCCTGGCTAACACCTTCTCAGGGAAGTGTCACAATCTGATGCTTACATGGGTGTCCACCACCACTCTCCCCACCTACTACCTCTCTCTCCCCCCTTTACAGGCACCTCCCCATAAGTGTTTTGCGTGTTTTGAAATTCTGCCTTAATGTCTGTTTCTCAGAGGACCTAAGCTGTTACATTACATTATGTCTTCACCAAACCAAAACTCTTGAAAAACCAACTCTAGCACAGAGTGAAGCAAATCATTAATCTCTTCCTTCTATGGCATACTAGAAAGGAATCCCATGCACTTAGAGAAAAATAATTTGAAAACAAACAAATAAAAACCAAAAGCTAAACTCATCTTAAGGCCAACCATATTTTGATAAGCCAACACATATGCAATTAGAAAATGACATATCAAAAATTTTAATGTCATTAAAAGGTAAATTATTTACTCTGGTATGTAGATCAAGGTATTAAATCTATAGTATATCTAAATCTAGAAACACAAGAAATTGAGGGGAGAAGCTAAAATTTACTTTGGTCTTTATAATCCCCTGCTTTCGGTGGGCAAGAGAAAAAGTTGGGGTTACATGTCATCCTGTTAATTCTGAATGATCTTTGTTTTGGGAGCTGTCTGAGATAGTGTTATTATCTCCCATAGAAGCAAAGTTTTCGCTATGACTGAAAGAGTAATCAGGGAAAAGTGGAAAATCAAGATAGTGTTCTACTCGTAAATCATGACAATTGATTCAGAAAGGACAGCCCAAGGGAGGCCAAAGTGTTAATAAATATTGTCATTTTCACTCAGTGTAACTGTCAAAAAGAGGGAGAAGGCACACTCAGTTTCATTTTGTCTGGAAAATCATTTTGAGAAATAAACATCTAGAAGAAAAAGCAAGCCCCCAAAATATAATTTTTATGAAAGAAATTTTCATCAGAGCAATTTTAAAAAGCTAATTTCTTTGGTTAGAGTCTAATATTGCAATTCATTTATATTGTCTTTTAAACATTAATTTTTTAAGAAAAACTATATTTTTTCGCAGTAAAAAATTAATTGCTGCATTAAAATCTCTCTAAATTTATTCTTGAAAAGAAAGAGTGCCCAATTATTCAAGTTAAGTTTAGCAAATTGATGCTTCATCTTGAATTTGGTGAATATTATGAGAAATTACTTGAATAAAGATGCATTTAAGATAAATCATGATTGTGATTTTTTTCAGAGTAAATGCTTCTGTGAAGGGTCTATGGGAAGGCAAATTATGGAAATTAAATCTGAAGTCTAAAAACTGGATTTTCTGGATTGCTAGAATGCTTATTAATTTTACATATATTCTGTATTTTAAAAAGCATTTATGAAACCCTGAGAATTAGAGATAATTCTGATTCTTGGCAAATCTGTCACATGACAGGAAATAGAGATAACTGTTATTGGATTTAGGTGCTTGACTTTATGAAATGACTTAGGAGCTTGAGTATTATCCTGGGCAGGCAAACTAAAACCCAAGAAGGATTCTCAGCGGGAGAAGGTCAGGAGGATCCTCAATGTTAGGATCTCAAAATGGTGATTTGGGGGTGAAAAAATAGTGGCAGGCCTGGGGAGATCCTCTTGCAAGACTAGAGCTGCTGCTGTAGCATGAGTGTGCAGTCCCAGGGCCTGAATCTAAGGAAGGAAAATGGAGCATTGGGCATGTGGTCAATTGTTCGGACTCTTCATGGCAAGTCTAAGGGACAGAGAGAATTACTTTATTTTCTTCATACCACTCTTAATACCTGTTATAATAGCAACAACAACAAGCAGGTGACAATTGTAAGGTGTGATTTATTTATTTATTTATTTATTTATTTATTTATTTATTTATTTATTTTTGAGATGGAGCCTCGCTCTGTCACCCAGGCTGGAGTGCAGTGGTGCGATCTCAGCTCACCGCAACCTCTGCCTCCCCGTCTCAAGCAATTCTATTGTCTCAGCTTCCTGAGTAGCTGGGATTCCAGGCACTTGCCACCACTCCCAGCTAATTTTTTGTATTTTTAGTAGAGATGGAGTTTCACCATGTTAGCCAGGCTGATCTCAAACTCCTGACCTCAAGTGATCCACCTGCCTCCACCTCCCAAAGTGCTGGGATTACAGGTGTGAGCCACCACGCCCAGCCTATTTTTAATATACTTTTAAATATATTGCAGGGAAGCACAACAATTATTATTTCCTTCAATTTTGAATGATAGGAAAATGGACTCACAGAAATTTAGGGATTCATCCCAAGAATTATAACCAGTCAGAAGCTGAGTTGAGACAAGACACAGGTCTTCTTATTTTCGTTTCTCTCTCTCTCTCTCTGTCTCCCTTCCTCCCTCCTTCTGTCTCTCACGTCATCACAGGGCATTCCATGATGAATCAGGATAGATGTCTAAGTGTGATTCAGCCACACACTGGCAAAATCCCATGGAAGAACAGTGTATGATGAGCTCAGAGAGAAAGTTAACTGGACAACACAGGATTTGCCATACAGCAACAAGGCAAAGCAACAGGATATGATGTGTAGTTCACCCTTAACATCTGATTTTCCAGGAAAAGGTTAAATCTCCCATCAAAATTGGCACCCACTCCCCGTGCTGTGACAGTGACTCTGAAAACCTCTGAAAACTTCAAAACAACGTCAATATACCAAAGAGAGCTTCCTACTCTCTGTTATTCTTGAACCATCTTCTTACTTTGATTACAGAAAAAAAAAAAACTTTGCTTTTGTCAATTACTGTTTTTCTCCTCTTTGGTCCCAATCAGCAGTCTTCACCTGTGGTAATCATTCCACCATTCAATCTGTGCCCGAATGGGAAATGGCAGCACTTGAGGTTATGGTGTCATTGCCGACAGTCTAATGGCAGGTTCGTTGGTCAGCCAGACTCACGCCCTGAGAGGCAAGATGATTCTACCTCATTACCTTGAACAGCAGGAATTCTAAATTCTGCCTTAAAAAATAGGTCAGTGTTGGAGACTTAGGAGAGCACTACAAATGAAACCATCTGGCTGGTGATAAAGAAAAAATAGCTGTGTTATCACTGAGGGCACAGCATTTTGTACCAAAGGTGGGTTATTAATTTTTACATATTGATATTTACGTGTAAGGAAATATTGACCAGGAATGAATTTTTAAACTTTACTGCATAATTTACACACAGTAGAAGTTACTTTATTGGGATATAGTTGTGAGTTTCAACACATGCATAGTCATGTAACTGCCACTGTAATCAAGACAGAAAAGTTCCCGCAACTCTTGAAATTTTTTTGTGCTCCCCATTTGTAGTCAAACATCTCCCAGTCCCTAAGCCACTTGCAACCACTAATCTATTCTCCGTACCTAAGTTTTTGCCTTTACCAGAATGTTGTTTAAATGGAATCATACAGTATGTAGCTTTAAGTCTGGCGGCTTTCATTTAGCAAAAGTCAGCAATGATTTTGAAAATATGTATACAATAAAACAATTCATAGATTTCTGAGAATGAAGTATTCTTCATCCTCACATGTATGCATGAGTGAGCTGAGCTGCACAAGAGAGCTTGGGAGAACTGATACAGTTCATCTCTTTGCTCACATTGGCCTCTCTCGGGGCAGGAAGTGAGCTCCCAGGCCAATTGGTCCAATCCCGTCATTGTAGAGTTGAGGAAGCTGTGGCACAGGAAATGGCCACAGGCACAGAAGTGGTTAGTGGCAAAATCAGTTCATGAATTCACATTTCTGATCTAAATGCAATTCTCTTTTACTTCTGGCAATGCAGCAATATAAAGCTTCTTCTAAAATGAAAATAAAATATAAAGCTTGTTATGTATAATATATTTATTCTGTAGACTTTCTCTTAAATTTCAATATGAAGTAAAAATACATCACTAAAAAAATAAGCCAAGCCCTGGCATGATTGCCCTCTAAATATATAGTATACTTACTTGATATTATGCATAGCATAAGGGAGGGAACTGCTATGGAATTTGAGCAATCTTTCTAAGTTTAAGAAAAACAAAGCAGATTGTGTTTTAAGCAAAGAACACAGAAACCCAGTATCTCTCTCTCTCTCTCTCTCTCTCTCTCAATATTGGCTAGAACTTACTAATATAAAATAACAAGAAACAACACCCAATACTAGCTTCAATTTTGTATTTAAACCTAAAAGAGGTTGACTTTGAAGCAAATTATGATGATGTTAGGATGACATATGTTTGCATGAGATTGAGCAGCTTTACTTGTTTCCTGTTAGAATTCTTTGGCTTCTTTAACTAAACCAGATCTGTGAGACAGAAAAGTTTAATGTTTCATTCTTAGTTACTCAATATTTCTGTTGTTGTGCCAAAGATGTCAATCACTTTTCAGACTAAACTCCATTCCAAGTCAAATAATCTCCACCCTCTACTAAAAAGAAAGCCCTATAAAGGCCAGGGAACCCTTACTTCCCATCACCCAGAGTCAAGTTGAGTGTACCAGAAATAGACTTCTCACACAAGGGCTGGCTGTCAGTAGAGTATGCCTGAAAAACAAGATGGGACCTGGTAGAGAATGATTAGCAAAACCAAATACATTTTTTCTTTCAATAATTCAAATTAAAGAGAAAAAATAGACGAGAAGTTAGCATGATAGCAAGAAGAGCCTATGATATAGACGGGAACTAGAGAAGTTGTCATGTGGAAGCTGAAGTGATGAGGAAGTAGAAACCATGAAAACCAGATGCAGGCTGTGGATAGAGGCTGAGAATTTGAGCCATCTCATTAGAGTGTAGCTGAGGCCCATGACAGTGGAGCAGTTGAATGTAGAGCCATGGTGTGCTTTTCCTAGGACCTTGTTGTTTGGGATTTCCTTGGTCCTGTGCTCATATCATCTCCCATTAACCATCCTCCTGCTCCCATTGCTTGAGATAACTTGACTGAGTCTCTCTAGTCTTTGGATCATGAGCTTTAGATTCTATTCCAACAAAAACTGATAGCAAGGACTCGCTTTCCTGAAAAAATTTGTGGTAGAGTATCTTGAGCACAGGTGGAAAAATTCCTCTCTTACTGAAGTCAAGTCTTACTTTTCTTCATAATTTCAAATTTTATTTTAGATTTAGAAGGTACATGTGCAGGTTTGTTACATGAGTTTATTTCGTGACACTGAGGTTTGGGGTATAAATGATCCTGGCACCCAGGTAGTGGGCATAGTGTCCAACAGGTAGTTTTTCATCCCCTACTCCCCTCTTATCCTCCCCCATCTAGTGTTCTGCAGCGTCTATTGTTCCCATCTTTATGTTCAATGTGTACCCAGTGTTTAGCTTCCACTTATAACTAAGAACATGTGGTATTTGGTTTTTTGTACCTGCATTAACTTGCTTAGGATAATGGCCTCCAGCTGCATCTGTGTTGCTGCAAAGGACATGATTTCTTTTTCTATGGCTACACAGTATTTCATGTATATATGTACCACATTATCTGTATCCAGTCCACCATTGATGGGTATGTGGGTTCAGTCCACGTCTTTGCTATTGTGAATAGTGCTGCAATGAACATACAAGGGCATGTGTCTTTTTTTGTAGAACAACTTGTTTTCCTTGGGTATATGCTCAGTAATGAGATTGCTGGGTTGAATGATAGCTCTGTTTTAATTTCTTTGAAAAATTTCCAAACTGCTTTCCACAGTGGCTGAACTAATTTACCTTCCTACTAGCAGTGGATAAATAACCCCTTTTCTCTGCAGCTTCTCCAGCATCTGTTGTTTTTTGACTTTTTAATAATATCCATTCTGACTGATGGGAGATGGTATCTCATTGTGGTCTCAATTTGCATTTCTCTGATGATTACTGATGCTGAGCATTTTTTCATGTTTTTTGGCCACTTTTGTGTCTTCTTTTGAGAAGTGTCTGTTCATATCCTTTGCCCTCTTTTTACTGGGGTTATTTGTTTTTTATTTGTTGAGTTGTTTAAGTTCCTTGTAGGTTTTGGATATTAAACCTTTGTCAAATGCGTAGTTTGCAAATACTTTCTCCCATTTTGCAGGCTGCCTGTTAAATCTTACTTTAATTTACTGAGCATGTGAAGAAAAGAAATATGGATTAATGAAATGCCTGAATAAGAATGTCTTAAATAAGTAAAGAGCTTTCTCTAAACTTCCAAGTACAAGCGATAAGTAAATAAACAGCAACTAACAGACTGTTTCCAACTGGGATTCCAGATAAAACTGCTTTAAATAAAAGAATGGACGTATTTATAATAAGCACATTTATAGAACATTTCATCTTAAATATTTAAGAACAGTTTCACTTATATATATATATTCTCCTAGGAGGCCTTATTTTATCATGTCCCATTTTCAAACTCCTATTCATTTTTCAAAGTATAAGTGAAATAATACATTTCCTAGGCAACATTTCCCAAGCTTCCTAACCTTAATTAGTTTCCTATTTTAGGGTAATTGAACTTCTTTTTTAGCATTAATCCCTTTCTTTGTTTGGCATAGTTGTTTCTGTGTTTGTGTATTGTCCCTTCTAGCCTGCAAGTCTTTGCAGATCAGGTTTTTTTTTTTTCTTCCAAGTATTAGAAGAAAGGAAATAACATATTCAAATATACTAAGGTACTATTTTTATTCACAAATTCTTGATGGAGAGACTCCCTATTTTTAGCCATAGGCATGTGTTGGGATGGGGAGAAACAGTATTGTCCTAGTAGAAATGCAAAAAGAAAGAGTTGGCTGGGCAAAAAGAAAGAGTTGGCTGGGCATGTGGCTTATGCCTGTAGTCCCAGCATGGTGGAGGCCGAGTAGTGCAGATTGCTTGCTTGAGCCCAGAAGTTCAGGACCAGCCTGGGCAACATGGCAAAACTCTTGTCTCTACAAAAATACAAAAAAAAAAAAAAAATTAGCCAGGCATGATGACATGTGCCTGTAGTCCCAGGTACTTGGGAGTCTGAGGTGGGAGGACTACTTGAACCCAGGAAGTCAAGGCTGCATTGAGCCAAGATTGCACCACTGCACTCCAGCATAGGTGACAGAGTAATAACCTGTCTCAAAAAGAAGGGTCAATATTCATATGAGAGACAATATAATATACATCAGAGATTTTCCAAATTACAAGAGAGAGCCTCTTTTTAGAGAAAAGGTGTATGTGTTAATTAAAAGATAATGCCCTACAAAAGCACGTGTCACATACAGTTAAAAACAAACAATAGTTAAGAGAATTGATAGAGAATCAGATGATTCTGGAGGAAGGGATTAGGGTTGGCCAGTTTGGAAGGGTTGGGAGATGAAAGAGACAAGAGGAGAGACCAAGCCACATGTGGATCATGAGGGACCTCAGGCAGAAAAGGGCATCAGCATCAGAGACTGTGCAGCTCTGTGAGATAATCTATGGCCAGCACCCACCACTTGGGCTACACCAAGAAAATCATCCATATATCTATATTAGTCTTCTGGGGCGGCCATTAAAAAATACATAGGCTGGGCAGGGCGCAGTGGCTCACGCCTGTAATCCTAGCACTTTGGGAGGCTGAGACGGGCAGATCACAAGGTCAGGAGATCGAGATCATCCTGGCTAACACGGTGAAACGCCGTCTCTACTAAAAATTCACACACACAAAAAAACAAAACTAGCTGGGTGCGGTGGCGTGCACCTGTAATCCCAGCTAATCGGGAGGCCGAGGCAAGAGAATGGCGTGAACCCGGGAGGCAGAGCTTGCAGTGAGCCAAGATCGCGCCACTGCACTCCAGCCTGGGTGACAGAGTGAGACTGTCAAAAAAAAAAAAAAAAGCATAGGCTGGATAGTGTAAGCAACAGATATTTTCTCATGGTTTTGGAGGCTAGAATTTCAAAATTAATATTCCCATGGATTTGGTTTCTGGTGAGGGCTCTTTTCCTGACTTCTCACAGGGCCTTTCCTCAGTGTGCATGCATGGAAAGAACAAGAAAGAGCAAGCTCTTTTATGTCTCTTCTTATAAGGACACTAATTCTATTGGATCAGGGCGTGCTGTAAACTAAATTGTGTCCTCCCAAAATTCTTACGTTGAAGCCCTAACTAAATTTGACTGCATTTGGAGATAGGGCCTACAAGGAGGTAAGTAAGGTTCAATGAGCTGATAAGGATGTGGCCCTGAACTAATAGGACTAGTGTCCTTGGAAAAAAAGAAACACCAAAGCTTTCTCTGCCTGCCACATGAGGGCACAGTAAGGAGGTGGCCATCTGCAAGGTAAGAAGAGAACCTTCACTAGAAATGGAATCAGCTGGCACCTTGATCTTGTACTTTCCAGACTCCAGAACTATGACAAATAAATTTCTGTCATTTAAACCACCCAGTCTGTGGTGTTTTGTTATAGCAGCCCAAGCAGACTAGTACAGGGCACTGCTGTTATTATCTCATTTAACTTTATCTCCTTAAAAACTCCGTTTACAAATACAGTTGCATCGGGGGGGGTTGCAACTTCAACATATGAATTTGGGGGGTGGACACAATCATTCAGTATCCATTGTAGTGAGTTCCACAGCAGTCCTGCACTGCAGAGCTCAGTTAGGAACTTGCTTCACAGCCATCTGTAGAGGACATACCGTCTACAGATGCCCACATCTTGCCCATTGACTGTCTTGTAGGAAGATGCCTGCCTTTGCCTTCAGCTGTGGCTCAGCCCATCCAAACCACCCCATGCGGACAGCCCCAACTTCAGTGGCAAAGGACTCAAGTCCATGAGTTGAGTTGCCCAGAATCACACTGCTAGTCAAAGAAAAGGACTAATTCCTTGATCACTTCAATGCTACTCTATCGCTTATTACTGTAAAACAATTCTTAATTATCAGAAATAATGGAGAATATGAATAAAAAATGAGGAATTGAAACTGAAGATTATCCCACATGTTCATGTAGCAATGTAGCTCCATCTGTGTCCCCATTAAAACTTTCACAATTATACATCCATTTCCTGGCTTCAACTCTTTTTGTGAGATGTGTGAAATAGTGGACAAAACCAGGTTTAAAAATGGGATTGAATAATTCACAAACATCTGTTGATGTTTGAAAATTAATCGCATGCATATTTCTCTCTAACCTTGGAAGCACCATTCATTTTAAAGATGTAAAAAGAATTTTAATAAGAATGTTGAGTTTGGCTCAACCTGAATTAGAATAAATGATATAGCATTGTTTTCCTCTTTGTTTGCAAAGATCTCTCAGTTTTTCTTGTTCTTGTCACTAGTGATGAGCCACATTCTTATCTGGGCAGGATCTGTTTTGTGCTTCAGTTTAAGTGTCTCCGTTTTTACTGGAACTTTGCCTCCTAGAGAGTGAGGGTGACACTAAGGACTGAAAAGGGACATCTGTGGCCACTTCATCAGCCACACACTTACTCATTAACAAGCCACACACTTACTCATTAACAAGAAAGTGTTTATTGTTTCATTGTGGCTCTAAGTCCTACATTTATCTAAATTCTCAAGAGAATTCTTTTTGTTAAATGAAGTGCAGCACTCCATTCTTCTTTCCCTGCCTTCCCTTTTCCTTTCCATCCCATAGGTTGACTTGAAGATGAGAGACTGAAGGCAGGAGGAGGAACTGGGAGCACGGAAAATGAGAACAAAGGAAAAAAGCAACTGAGATCTGCTGTGCAGGGAATAGGGCGTGGTGGCTGAATGAAGAGCAAAAGAGAGAGAAGAATCAAGGATAGCTCCAATAGTGCCACCTGGGAGATTGGAATTGTCTTCCTATCCTTGGGAAAAGGTGTCTAAATGTTCAAAACATATTTCCAGGCTCCCCAGTGCACTGAAACATTAGGGCAGATTTCAGTGGAAAATGGTGTTGATGTAACTTACAAGGCTTGTGATGTGTGATAGGTGACAAATAGAAATTGGGAGGGCCACCTCTTTTCCACTCTTCTACAATAGATTAAAGATTTTATTTAGTTCAGCCACATCACAGGAGGTCCATTGGCCTCAGGTGAAGCACACACTGCTATGGGATGGAAGGGATTGTGATCGCTTCTGTTTCCCACTCTTCTCCATTACAAAGTAATGAAAAATAAAGTAATAAAAATTCTAAATCTGGAGAGCTAAAAAATTAATAATAGCAAAAAAACTAAATTAGGACAGACCATCTATTCCCATTTTTCACTAAAATGTTTATTTCAGTAGAAACAGGCATTGTATGATATTATTGTTGACGTTAATTATATAATTTGATGCAAGCTAAAATTTTGAAACTTTATAAGAAAAAAGATCCTAAGTAATTATAACTGATTGTGTTCATTGCTAAGGAAAGGTTATGTCAATAAATTTAATGAAAAAACTCAGTAATGATAAACAGTATTTCTCAGACACATATCATTAAATGTGGCAAAGGAAGGCATTATGTTGCTTCAGTTCTGGAATAGAAAGTCAAATTTAATCATATTAGATGGTAAATTGCTATTAAGTTACTGTATTCTCCCTGGAGTCTGGCAGCATGACTCTGTATCCTGACCCCTTGCCGTCAATTAATATTTAAGCAATTGCTTAAGAAGATTAACAATCATAGCATGAGTTAACTTAATTTTGCCTATGGTTGAAGTACAATTAGCTGTTCTCTGTTATTGTAAAAACCATGAAACCTTATTAGAAATATTATGTTAAGCAGAGATGAACACAGCAATGCTCTCCTGTAATTCTTTATGGATATTAGAAAAGTAGTATTTTGTCAATTCTTGTCTCAGAAGTCACATTTTTATATCAAATTTTTCAATTTTCTTTATAAATTAATCCTGCTTATTTTTCACTTATTTACTTCTATCTTTTTCTACTAGAGAGTAAGCCTTATTACATTCAGGGAGTGTCTGTCTTGTTTACTGCTATAACTCCAGTGTCCCAAGCAGTACCTGGTTGTAACAAGAGCCAAATAAATGATGAATGAAGAAATAAAACTGCAAAAGAGAACTAAAATAATCCAACAGGGGCAAGAAAATAATTGCAAGTTAAAGGTTTATAAAGAAAACTTCTACATAATATAATTCATTCACTCCTCTGAGTGATGAGTTAGAAGCCAAGGTTCTGGATTTCCATGTAATCAAAAGCACAGCTTCCTCTGGCAAGGATAGGTGAGGCTGCCCTGCATTTCCTGCTCGCCTAGTTAGAGAGATGCCCCTGACACCATACGACACCAATATTTATCAGTTTAGATGCCTTTTCATGGTAAATTTCAGGACAGAGCCTGACACATTGGACACACTGATTACCATTCCATTGTAATCAGCAGAAGCATGTAAAAGAATTCCAGATCATTTAGTTTATGAACTTAAATTTACTGAAAGCCACCCTCTCTCTGTAAATGCTAGACCTGTGCATTCTCTAATGTGTTATTTTTTCACTTGTTTTAAAAGCCACTAGCTATACTTAACAGGGCTGAAAATCCCCAACACTGATTCTACCTAGAGTATCAGCTGAAATATTTCCTGTCCATAGTATAAGTTTTGTGGTGCTAGACTTTAGCTCACTTTTTTTTTTCTGAAAAAAATTTTAACACCTTAAGTCTGATCTTTAATAAAATCTCTTACACCAAATGTATAGATGAAGGAAATTCACTGCAGAGGTGAAGCAATCTTGGGATTTTTTTTTCTATAGTAAAAACAAACCTTGCCAGGGTTTCACCCAGGATTAGCCCTGAGGACAGGCATTATTCAATCATTTACTGTCAAGCATTTATTTAGTTCCTAATATGAGTTTGACCAGTACTCGGCCTCAAGGGTGCCAGGAGAAACAACATATGCTTGGGCCCTCTTTGCCTCACAGAGGAGAGGGGAGAGATTTTGAATAGGCAAGTTCAGTGATATGTAAAGAATATTAAATTGGGCAAATACAAGGAGGAACCATTCTGCAAAGCAGGGGAACAGAAGCAAGTTGAGGGATAATGAAGCCCTTCCTAAGGCAGACACTTAAACTGCACTATTCCATTAGGCAACATAAAGACAAGCAGAAAGAAAACGATCATGATCATCAGCATTTCTCCAAGGTCTAACTGGTAGATTCAGCCTCTCAGCACCCTCATTCAAATTTGGGGGAAGAAAATCTGATGGACCCAGCTTGAGTCAGGTGTCCACCCTTAGGTCAGTGAGCTGCGGGCAGTTCATAGTGGTAGGACTGCCCAAACACGCCCCATGGGCAAGCCTTTTGCCGGGCCTGTTAGAGGTACAGCCACTTCTATTAGCAGGGACAGAGGATGGGGAAGTAGTGACTATCTGGCACATAAAGTTTTCTTCTTATATATGAAATTCCAAAGATGCTTTGCCAAATATAAAAACGTAGCTTCTCAGAAGCCTAAATGTCGTAGTGGGCCATGGGTTCCCAAAACACCCCCCAGGTTTGATGATTTGCTAGGAGGACCCACAGGACTCAGCACATAGCTGTACCCATGGCTAAGATGGATTACAGAAGCAGGGCTCAAGGAAAATCATCAAAGTGAAAAGGACATTGGGGGAAAGTCGGGGGAAACCAAGTACAAGATTTCAGGGTACTTTCCCAGTGGAGTCACACAGGGTGTGTTTGACTCCCCAGAAATGAGCTTTTAACACTACGTGGGAAATGCTGCCAATCAGGGACTCTAATTTGAGACTCAGAGCCCAGGGGTATTTTATCAGGGCCTGGGCTTACAGCCATCCCTTGCCTAGGACATAACCAAATTCCAGACTTCCAGAAGGAAAGCAGGTGTTCAGCACAAACCACCATCGTCTGTATAAACAGCTTAGGCACATTGAGCTTGTTGGTATCATTTCAAGAATGGTAGGAACACTCCCAATTCTCAGTTCGCAGACACAAGGCAAGGGCCAGCCTTGCCAGTGGGCCTTTCAAAGGAGAGACATTAGCCCTGCCATGTTAACTCTCCTGCACACATGCTGTATCTACAAATGCTCTTACTCTATCTCTAGGCAGAAACAGGCCAAATTGATATTCACACTGTGTGGTGCAGCTTATATGATGTTTAGCCATGAGCAACACGTTTGCCTTTTATTTGTATGGTTGATTCTGTATCTTAAACATGGCTAGTTTTCCCCAAGCATCAACTGTCTTATTTAACATAGACCATCTCCACAGAGTGACCATTTGTTCAGGTGATTGTAGGTTTACCCGCTTCTTTAATATTTCCAAGTTTTTCAACCGCAGCTTGTCACTGGGAATTAATGCATTTTATCCATACAGAGATCAGTTGTCCTTCATATCAGTTTGAAGTTCAGACCACAGGGATCATTACCTGTTTGTGGGCAGGATTGTAAAGGATGCTGTAAATGTAGCTCCTCAGTGATGCTCTGCAGTGTCTGGAAAGGCATTCAGGCCATGTCTACCCCGAGAGAAAACCAGCTGACTCTGAGTACTCCAAGCACAGAGGAGGTCCCGAGGTTTCCTTCCTTGTCTCAGGATATCTTTTGGTTGGATGGTCCCTTGCCTGTCTTCCTCTTCCTCTTCCTCTTCTCACCTTCGTTTGCTTTGATCTCTTCTATTTGTCAGTTCGCTTCTCCAGGGTCTTGGCTCTAGCCCAATGGGGTTCTAAAAAGTCTTAAAATCATGTTGATTGTGGTGCCAGATCCATGAAGAAAGGGCAGCTGTGAAAGGCAGGCCTTTTACATTCTTTGGCATGGCAGGTCTAAGATACAAACAGGCCTCTCACCTGCTAACACTGCCTGCCTCTCACAGCATAACGTCAAAGCATAAATTGCCCCAAAGTCGCGGTTTCTGTGTTCTATATTACAAACACTCTCTTATCACTAGAGAAAAGAAGAGAGAGAACTAAGAGGCCAGCAGGGCAAAAAATTTCTTTCTGCCACCTATCATCTCACCATTTCTAATACACTCACCATGTACACTCTGCCTTTTGACATCTGGGTATAATCCTCACCCAGTTTGGGAAGTCTGTCTTCAAGGAATTGTGGAAGACAAGCACTGCTTCAGCATAGGAAGGCGGGATTCCAGTCTTGACTATTGCTGATTTTATCCTGATATTTCGCTCTGGTAAATGACTTTCCCTTGAGTAACTTGGAATGGGATTGCGTTTGAAACCATAATGATTAAGTTTGAATTGTAGAGTGGCCTTCCTGAATGCTTGTGGAATTCCTCTGAGAAGAAACTCTACGGTCACTTTTTTGCACGTCCTTGAGAAAAATAAAATATCTAACTGCTTCTGCTGTTTTTGTTTAACTCACTAGGAAGCTGAATGTCACGGTGTCTGAAAAAATTAGCTAGCTACACTTGAATAGTCATTTTTAAAGTTACTTTGCAAAAATTTTTAAAGCTATGCAGAAAAATATTCCACTTTCCCCAAAATTATGCCTAATCGTATTCTCTATAATGAATGCCACTTACCACTAGGGAAGGAAATGGAACAGAGGGAACATAAGGGAGATTGTCATTTTTACTTCACATATTTCTATATTGAATAGAATATTTTATATTTTAACAACTAATATATATACATATTTGTGGTGTATTGTCTATATATATTAATAGTTCCATCTTTCTCCAGTTTTTTTTTTTTTTTTTTTTTTGAGACAGAATCTTGCTCTGTCCCCAGGCTGGAGTGCAGTGGTGCGATCTCAGCTTACTGCAACCTCCACCTCCCGGGTTCAAGCAATTCTTCTGCCTCAGCCTCCCGAATAGCTGGGACTACAGGGGTGCGCCACCACACCCAGATTATTTTTTTATTGTATTTTTAGTAGAGACGGGGTTTCACCATGTTGGGCAGGATGGTCTCCATCTCTTGACCTCGTGATCTGCCAGCCTCGGCCTCCCAAAGTGCGGAGATTACAGGCGTGAGCCACTGCGCCCAGCCCTTTTTCCAGTTTTTCCAGAACAGTGCAGGGCAAGTTAGAAGAGTATCTCTTAAATTTAAGAGATGGTGTGGTGTAATGACAGCCATAACAACTCTTATCTTTTATTCAGTATTTATTACTGAAGGCCTTACTAATTATCTTTAACTTTTATTGAGCACATACAAAGAGCCAGGCACTATGTTAGACATTTTATGTGCATTGTTGCATTTAAGACTAGAAATTACACACAAGATCAGTTTTATCATCTTCTGCTGTACCCAGCTGAGGATACTGACCTCCAGTTAGTCGGAGAAACTGACTAGCTGTACAGCTACTGAGAAACAGAGCCAGGACATGCCAGCAGACCAGCCTACATGCAAACCCTGTAGAAGGGAGGCTATGTAGTAGAGTGGGCACACACAGGCGCTGAAAATTGATGGGATTCACATCAGCCTCTACCACATGGAAGCTGTGTGAACAATGGGCAAGGAATCTCATCTCTCTGTGCCTCAGTGTTCTTGTCTGGGAAACAGGCCCTATTTGTAAAATGAAACTAATAGTAGACATGCCTCATGTTATGGACTGAATATTGATGTCTCCCCACAAATTCATATATTGAAGCCTCTTATAAAAGGAGAGTTTTCTCTCTCTCTCTCTCTCTCTCTCTCCCCCTCCTCCTTCTCTTTTTCCCCTCCCCCTTCTCTTTTTCCCCTCCCTCTCTGCACCATGTGAGGACACCCCAAAGACCAAGAATTGGGCCCTCACCAGGAAGCACATCTGCAAGTGCCTTGTTCCTGGACTTCCAAGACTACAGAATTGTGAGAAATACTTATGTGTTGTTTAAGCCACTCAATTTATGGTATTTTATTATGGCAGTCAGAACAGACTAATACACCTTATGAGGTGGTTATGAAAATTAAATGAGTTGATCTTAGGAGGCACCTAGTGAAATTTCAGGACATGTTAGCTACAATTTGTATCTAACAAATATTTATTTATTTAAAGAACTAAGTTTTTAACTTAGGTTTCACAAAAATACTCAGAGGAGTATTTCACAAAAGTTCATCTGACTCGACGTCCAAGCTTTGTCCTCCATGTCCCCTGGGAACTGAAACCAAAGCGGACACAAATGTGGTCTCCAACCTCTGTGACCTGAGCTGAGTCTCTGGATCTCTGCCAAGATCCTTTTACTTGGCTGCAGGCTATGGTGACACCAGTGCCTTCCTTGGAGGGGACTGCAAGGTCATGGACCCCTGCTTGGAAGCGCTTCTCACTGGCTTGACTGCTGAGTGCCAGCACCATCACTGCCTGACCAGCAGCTGAGATGCTCAGAACCAGCATGTTGCTGGGTTCCGGAAACTTCCTTTGATCACGTAGATGGTGATAATGATTGCATACTGCTTCTGAAAGTTAAACTATCCCGGACAGATAAAAATCTTTTTGTGTGTCAAAAAACCATACGCTAAATGTATGTTATTATTACTACTAAGATCAAAAATGCATTTTCTTGTGAAGTTATAACTATTCGCAGTATATATTGGGATTCCTACAGTACCACCCAAAGTGTCCCAAGATGAAACTTGCTCACACTTCAACACCCTTGAATCCCACAGCTATTTGAGATCTTTTATGCAAAGTACTATGTTAAGTGCTCTAGATGCATTCTTCCTGCCAAAGATTTTCTGTGCGATCTATTGTTCCATACCATATTTCTTTCATCATGATACAACCCAACTGAGTGATACAGAATAGATTTTATAAAATGAAGAGTAAAGAAAAACAACTTCCTTAATTTCCCCTAGCATTTGGAATCTTTCCAAAATAGTATATACAAACCTATTTTCCACAGTGAATTATATATATATAGTTTAATTTGGAAATTAAGGCAAAGTTTATGAAACACATGATTTCACAAAGTCTTTTTGAAAATGAAAAACCATCCAATTTTACATATTAAAGAACATTAGAGAAAAAAAACTGAAGAGTCACTAGGGCTTAGGTAGATTTTCTTTTATGCAATTGGAAAAGATGGGAAGAAACTGTTTAGGTGGTGGAGAATAGGTTCATTTTTTTGTTGGGGAACCGGGTGGGAGAAGAAGATACTTGTTATCTCAGAGGCCAGGAAGTGCATCTGGGAGGAGACCAGGGGTAGGCAGCAGATGCCAGGGTGCCCCTCGCACATCTGACATGGCAAAGAAAAGTAAGGGGCAGGGACCACTTTAGAGAGCCACAAGCAGTGTGAAAGCAAATGAACAATGAGGAATTGCCATAATCCAGTTTTTAAAACATTGATGTTGTCTACTGCGGACAGAGTACATTTTCCAGTTTATTTTTAAAAGACTTTAACTCTAACATATCTTTGGGTTGCTGGAGGAGATGACAACATCTAAGAAATGAGAATATAAAGTTACTTAAAATTTTTCCTTAAGCAATTCCTTTCCTTAAATTATAATAAAAGCAAACTGATGACACCAGTCATATTTTCTATCTGAAAGTTTCTCTCATTTGTGTAGAAAACATGTTTTCTTCTACTTTTTAAAATTCATGTTCCCCTCACCCTAACTAAGCTATTAGTTTTATAGTTTTGGTGTTATATCATTATTAGATAACCCATTATTGTTAAACATTCTTTCGTAACCTTCATGTCATCATCAAAACCATAGTCCTTCTCCATCCTCTTTTAAGATGAAGCAACAACAACAACTATGTCTTATTATGATCTTTTTTTGCAAGATTCAGTGGAAAAATAACTAAAAGGGGGGCATATACAGTAATTAAATGATGCTCTCTTTATCTTGGACAACAGCAGAGAGTTTTGGTGACCTCAGTGACCAAAAAAATGTCAGTCAGCAATGGTGCCTCAGACAAGAATAATGCAAGATATTGGTGTTGTGGAATTCTCTCTTTGGTGTTGGTGTTTGATTAGTAACTGTCCTCCAGAATGGAAACGGGCCCAGGATCTTAGACTTTCTGGTTTGAGCACTTTTTGACCTACCTGGCATCTTTCTGTAATATTGAGCCACCAATTTTGATAAAATCCAAAAGATATAGTAGGTCTTGATACAGAGTCTTAATGATGTATTAAAGATTTGGGATGAAAGTCAACTTGATTTTCTAAAGAAGTCATAATGCTGTCAACATGATACAATAGAGCTGAATGATATATACTATAGGTTTTATAAAATGTAGAGTAAAGAAAAACAATTTACCTTAATTTCCCCTAGCATTTGGAATCTTTCCAAAATTGTATATACAAACCTTTTTACCACAGTGAAAAAAAAAAGAAATTGAAAGTTTGGGGAATATTCATTGTAAAAAAATAAAGAAGTAATACAGGATGGGCCACATAAACTATGAAAATGTGATAAATTAGAATTTCTACCATCTTGGAGAAGTAGCAAGTAAAGAAGTGTGTTTGTGTGTGTGTGTGTGTGTGTGTGTGTGTGTGTGTGCTTTAGGTGTGGGTATTAGTCTAGCACCAATCCAAATATCTGGGATATTTTTTACCTTTTGGATCTGTCCTTATATTAGCATTGAGGCCAATCTCACTCTGTGTAAAGGGGAATTTTAGAAACCCTGAGTTCACTGACTTCTAATTCTAGTAACAAGGCTGTTATCTTTTTGTCATGCTTTTGTTTATATAGTTGAAGCCAACTTTTATGCCTATAGACAGGGATGATGTGATAAACACAATATACAACAACTGATATGGTAATATAAACTAATTTATAACATCATATGCAAATTAAAACTAAACACATGCATTTCCTGCTCTGATCATGATGAAGTGGCTTGCATTAAATAGCCTTTGTACAAAACACAACTAGAAAAACTGTACAGAATACATGAAATTATGATTGCTGTTGAAAAGCATGAGAGCAATCCAGTTGGCAGGACTGAAAATGCTGTAGTCCCTGAGAGCAGGCAAACATAAGGAAGCGAGCTCCATTCACCCCGCTTCTTCCTTGAGAGTACTTGTTAATTCATAATGCCATGGAAGAGTTTTGTCAGAAGTTTGCAGTCCTGATAGGTTGAGGGGAGAGGTTGGATCCAGGTTGTCAAAGAAGCTGAGCCTGGATAAGAAAAATACAGGGAAAGAGGGAACCCCAGCTAAGTGAGCCCCCAAATCTGTGTGCAATCTCCCATAGAGGTGTTAACCAACTCCTAAGCTGTTCAATTTAAAACTCCAAGAGAGCCTGCAGAAAACAGTAATTGGGCCAATAAAGTACTGAGCAGATATTTTAGCAGCCACAAGGTGCTTGGAGGACAGAGGTACAGTTCAAGTTCTCTTAAAAATGGAAGAACCCTGGTCAACACCCCAGGCTCTCGGTTGACATCACGGAAGCGCCACAGAAATAGAACAACCCTAACAAACTTAAAGCTAGTAGGTAATCTGCTTGTTGTTTATCTGCCTCTCAGAATAAAATGTAATCATTTTAGAAGAAAGAAAACACATTTCATTTCAGAAGATCTACTAATTTTAATACATAATGTCCAGCATCCAGTCAAAAACTACAAAACATGATACAAAGTGGAAGCAAAGACTCAAACACCATTATACAACTCAGGGCTTCCAGTAAGCCTGCCTGGAAGGGATACATCTTAGTTCATGCTCACAGGAGGATTGAGAAAATGTGGGAAGGGCAGGGACATAGGGAACAGCACTGACAGAAGCTGAGAGGCACAAAACAACACAGTGTGTTCAGGAAGGTATCAGCCCTTCCATGGGTGTTACTAGTGGGCAGTGGGTGCATGAGTCAGAAAGTGGCGAGGACAGGACTAGGCCATGGGTTCCTGAGGGTATGTACTTCAGCCAGTAGCCACGTCCTCAAACTGTTTTAATCTATGTAACCAATTCTCTTCAGTGAAATTTTAGATATAAATCACAAAACAAAAAAAGAGGACTTCTTCAAGTCAAAGGGGGTCTGGGGTATTCGTGGCCCCCAGCTGCCACCCCCAAATCTTGATTTTTTTGAAGCCCAAGATGTTCTTCCCAGAATCTTTTAAGATTCCAAACATTTAAAAAATTACTCTGTGAGTGACAGGCCAAGGAGATTTAATGGTTGAATGAATTAGCCAGGTTTCTGCTTCAGCCAATAACTCTGGAAATTGAGTGGAGATAAATTTAAGACAATCATGATGGTAAAAGGGAAAACAGATAAGGGGCTATTGCAATTATTAATGTGATGGCACTGAGAAAGATGTGGAGTAGGGGAAGTGTTAGAGAAACTTTTACATGGGAAATTGGGATAGATTGGATGTGGGTGGTGACAGATAACATCTTTTTAAGAAGAGGCATATCAAAATGAGTGACCAAGGGGTTTGGAAGAGTGGAGGCACTTGAAGAGAGACTGCATTAAACCTCTTGTATTTGGAAGTGATTTCAGAGGGGAGAGTGGCAGGAGTGTGTGTATGAGGGGATGGTGTGGGGAGGTGGGTAAGGAAATGGAGAGGAGAGGGAGAGATTGTTTAGGCTGGCATTCAGAACATAAACAGATGTCATCAGAGAAGTTATAAAGAAAGTATATTCACTGGAGACATCCAAAATTGTTTAGAGTCCAGAATAATTCACAAAAACTATGTAATTGAGGACAACCATGTCTCAGCTAAAACGAATAAGCCTTTGCAAAGTGTATATTAAATGATTCAGGTTCCAAGGCTATCAAGACTATGGTTGATGAACTGCAGAAACAAATTGCTTCATAGGCAAATAATTACCTTAATTTTAAAAGAAAAAAATACACCAATATTACCAAAAAGATGTGTTGTTTGCACTTACATTTAATCATTTGTTTTGCAACAGACCAAGAAAATGAAACTGGTCCAACAGAATTCTAATTAGGTACATTTCCACTGCATTATACAGGTCTTGGCTGAGTTTCAAAAATTTTCTGCTGGGCACGGTGGCTCATGCCTGTAATCCCAACTCTTTGGGAGGCCGAGGCGGGCAGATCATGAGGTTAGGAGATCGAGACCAACCTGTCCAGTATGGCGAAATCCCGTCTCTACTAAAAATACAAAAAATTAGCTGAGCGTGGTGGCAGGCGCCTGTAGTCCCAGCTACTTGGGAGGCTGAGGCAGGAGAATGGCGTGAACCCGGGAGGTGGAGCTTGCAGTGAGCTGAGATTGCGCCACTGCACTCCAGCCTGGGAGACAGAGTAAGACTCCGTCTCAAAAACAAAAAAAAAATTCTTGTAATTATGAAAGGAACAGGAAAAAATGTGTGTTTGTCAGAAGAATATACACATTACCCTGGAAAGTTGTGGTTTGGGCAAATAGTTCAGATATTATTCTTTTAATTTGGGGAATACTTGTCTACCTGAAAAGAGCAAGGCCTCTAATATTGTAGGAAAACGATGGAAATGCTGAATATGAAAATTTTTCTTTTTTTTTTCTTTTTTTTTTTTTTTGAGATGGAGTCTCACTCTGTCGCCCAGGCTGGAATGCAGTGGTGCAATCTCAGCTCACTGCAACTTCCACCTCCCAGGTTCAAGTGATTCTCCTGCCTCAGCCTCCCACATATCTGGGACTACAGGTGCACACCACCATGCCCAGCTAATTTCTTTGTATTTTTTAGTAGAGACGGGGTTTCATCTTATTGGGCAGGCTGGTCTCGAACTCCTAACCTTGTGATCTGCCCACCTCGGCCTTCCAAAGTGCTGGGATTACAGGCGTGAGCCACCGTGCTCGGCCAAGAATTTATCTTTTATATGGGAATTATATTCTACCCTTAAATTACTCAAGACACAATAATGATCCAGCAACAAAATTACCTCTGACTCCATATGTAATGAGTTTATTGGATAAGGTAGTTCCTTGGGACCCTCTTCTAACTGTGCTTCTAACTTTGAGATGCAAAGGTTATCCTGGATTATCTACATAGTGGGGCAGACAGTGTTTAGGAGGCAGACAGACTGGAAGGGAAGCCAGATCTGCCCCTTAGCACTGCAGTTTAAGACTTGACTTCCTCAATTGCCAATGGTTAGTGACAACCCCAGCTGATGTCTAGTGTGAAAGCAGATGTGAAAATATAGGCAAGGTGTTATCACAACACCTAGCCAACTGTGGATGGTCGGTAGGTTTTCATCCCCTTTCTCCTTCTCCCCTTTTCTTGAAATGTGTCTCAGTGCTATAACTTATTCTAAGCCAAGTTGTGGGAATAGACAAGTTTGTATCTTTCTGAGTATCTCTCCTCTCCTTTGGCACTCCCGTTTTTTCTGGGAGGCAGGGGGAAATAATATTGTCACTGTTAGAGAGCTTTATAGTTTACAGGACATAACACAAATAATGTCTGCCACACACTTCATAGATGTCCATTTGTTATGATCTCATTTGTGCCTTGCTATAGCTCTGGAAGGTAGATGATATTCCTTTACTTTATATGAGATACTGAGGTGCAAAGAAGATAAGTAACAGCCTCAAAGTCAGATAGCTCTACCCGTGAATATAAGTAATGCTCTACCTGGCAGAGCAAGGATTTGTGCAAGGGTTTTGGCTTTGAACTTTACCTGGCAGTCCTCCACTGCACCTGGATATTGGATATTTGCTTCTCCTACGTGGCTTCTGCCCAGGCCTGCCTTTCCCAGGTATGTCTCCTGATGCCACCTCCTCCAACACAATCTTTTCCCACCCCAGGCATTTCCCCCGATTCTTGACCTCAGCTTTCAGTAAGCCCCTCCAGATAAAAATATCTGTTAATCTATTTTATTATGATGCTTTAAAATTTATTCTTCTCAGGTGGGCAGAATAATGCCCACTACCCAAAGCTGCCTATGCCCTAATCCCCGGAACTTCTGAATGTGTTACCTTACATGGCAAAAGAGACTTTGTAGATGGGATTAAATTAAAGACATTGATGTGGAGAGATTATTCTGGATTACCTAGATGGGCTTACTGTCACATGAGTTTTTAAAATTGGAGAAGGCGTTCTGGCTGTGGTTAGGGGGAGATGCAACTATGAAAGAAGTCAGAGAGATGCAATGCTGCTGGCTCTGAAGATGGAGGAAGGAGACAAAAGCCAAGGAATGTGGGCAGCTTCCACAGCTGGAAAAGAAGAGCGTATTAATGTTCTAGGGCTGCCGTGACAAAATATTACAAAATGAGTGGGTCAAAAAAGAGAAGTTTATTCTCTCTAAGTTCTGGAGCCCAGAAGTCTGAGATCACAGTGTCTGCAGGACACTAAGGAAGGATCTGCTCCAGTACTCTCTCCCAGTCTCTGGTGTTTCCCTGGATGTGGCAGCATAAGTCCATTCTTCACATGGTGGTCTTCCAGTGTGCATGTATCTGCTCCCAAACTTTCCCTTTTTATAAGAACACAGTCATATTGGATTAAGGCCTATCCTAACAGGCTCAACTTAACTTGATCATCTGCAAAGGTTCTATTTCCAAGTAAACTCACATTCTGAGACAGGGAGTTAGGACCTTAGCACTCATTTTGGAGGGAACACAATTCAACCCATGACAACAAGGAAATGAATTCTTCCCTAGAGCCTCCTTAAAGAAATGTAGCCTCTCCAACACCTTGGTTTGAGCCCAGTGAGACCCAGTTTGGACATCTGAACTACAGAAATATGAGATGACAAATCTGTATTGTTTTAAGCCACTAACTTTGAGCAAATTTCTTATGTTAGTAATAAAAACCCAATAAATTTTCTAAAAGTAATTTCCAGTGGAAAAAAAAAAGGGAAAAAAACCCAGAATGCTAAGTGAGGGGGTGACAATGACAACCCACCTCAAAAATCTCAAAAAATATCTACTAACAATGAGCTATCTACCACAGCCTCTCACTCCTGGTGTTTTGGAAGGCCATTTCCCCTTTGGTCAAACTTAAGAAGGGAAACAGGTCACAAGACAGAAGTCAGTGCTTTCTTCTTTCCTTGAAATAATCATATATCAAGAACTAGGCCTTCCCTAGTTGATGATAATTACCTCCCTGTACAGGCTTCCTCTTGCTTCTTCATTATATTATTGCATTAACTTCCTCTGCTTCAGCAGAGCCAGCTAGCCAGTGTTGAATGAATGGAAAACGTGACAGGCGTGTACATTGTTTATCAGTGACATTAAGGCTGACTCCATCCAGGTTGTCTTGAAACAAACGTAATTTTGAAAGCAGGAAGCAAAATAGTAAGCACACAAAAAGAAGTTGAATCTCTGAATAGATCAATAACAGGCTCTGAAATTGAGGCAATAATTAATAGCTTACCAACCAAAAAAAGTCCAGGACCAGATGGATTCACAGCCAAATTCTACCAGAGGTACAAGGAGGAGCTGGTATCATTCCTTCTGAAACCGTTCCAATCAATAGAAAAGAGGGAATCCTCCCTAACTCATTTTATGAGGCCAGCATCATCCTGATACCAAAGCCTGGCAGAGACACAACAAAAAAAGAGAATTTTAGACCAATATCCTTGATGAACATTGATGCAAAAATCCTCAATAAAATACTGGCAAACCAAATCCAGCAACACATCAAAAAGCTTATCCACCATGATCAAGTGGGCTTCATCCCTGGGATGCAAGGCTGGTTCAACATATGAAAATCAATAAACATAATCCAGCATATAAACAGAACCAAAGACAAAAACCACATGATTATCTCAATAGGCACAGAAAAGGCCTTTGACAAAATTCAACAACCCTTCATGCTAAAAACTCTCAATAAATTAGGTATTGATGGAATGTATCTCAAAATATTAAGAGCTATCTATGAAAAACCCACAGCCAATATCATACTGAATGGACAAAAACTGGAAGCATTCCCTTTGAAAACTGGCACAAGACAGGGATGCCCTCTCTCACCACTCCTATTCAACATAGGGTTGGAAATTCTGGCCAGGGCAATCAGGCAGGAGAAGGAAATAAAGGGCATTCAATTAGGAAAAGAGGAAGTCAAATTGTCCCTGTTTGCAGATAACATGATTGCATATCTAGAAAACCCCATGGTCTCAGCCCAAAATCTCCTTAAGCTGATAAGCAACTTCAGCAAAGTCTCAGGATACAAAATCAATGTGCAAAAATCACAAGCATTCTTATACACCAATAACAGACAAACAGAGAGCCAAATCATGAGTGAACTCCCATTCACAATTGCTTCAAAGAGAATAAAATACCTAGGAATCCAACTTGCAAGGGATGTGAAGGACTTCTTCTAGGAGAACTACAAACCATTGCTCAATGAAATAAAAGAGGATACAAACAAATGGAAGAACATACCAGGCTCATGGGTAGGAAGAATCAATATCGTGAAAATGGCCATACTGCCCAAAGTAATTTATAGATTTAATGCCATCCCCATCCAGCTACCAATGACTTTCTTCACAGAATTGGAAAAAACTACTTTCAAGTTCATATGGAACCAAAAAAGAGCCCACATTGCCAAGACAATCCTAAGCCAAAAGAAGAAAGCTGGAGGCATCACACTACCTGACTTCAAACTATACTACAAGGCTACAGTAACCCAAACAGCATGGTACTGGTACCAAAACAGAGATATAGGCCAATGGAACAGAACAGAGCCCTCAGAAATAATACCACACATCTACAACCATCTGATCTTTGACAAACCTGACAAAAACAAGAAATGGGGAAAGGATTCCCTATTTAATGAATGCTGCTGGGCAAACTGGTTAGCCATACGTAGAAAGCCGAAACTGGATCCCTTCCTTAACCTTATATAAAAATTAATTCAAGATGGATTAAAGACTTACATGTTAGACCTAAAACCATAAAAACCCTAGAAGAAAACCTAGGCAATACCATTCAGGACATAGGCATAGGCAAAGACATCATGTCTAAAACATCAAAGGCAATGGCAACAAAAGCCAAAATTGACAAATGGGATCTAATTAAACTAAAGAGCTTCTGCACAGCAAAAGAAACCACCATCAGAGTGAACAGGCAACCTACAGAATGGGAGAAAATTTTTGCAACCTACTCATCTGACAAAGGGCTAATATCCAGAATCTACAATGAACTCAAACAAATTTACAAGAAAAAAACAACCCCATCAGAAAGTGGGTGAAGGATATTAACAGACACTGCTCAAAAGAAGACACTTATGCAGCCAAAAGACACATGAAAAAATGCTCATCATCACTGGCCATCAGAGAAATGCAAATCAAAACCACAATGAGATACCATCTCACACCAGTTAGAATGGCAATCATTAAAAAGTCAGGAAACAACAGGTGCTGGAGAGGATGTGGAGAAATAGGAACACTTTTACACTGTTGGTGGGACTGTAAACTGGTTCAACCATTGTGGAAGTCAGTGTGGCGATTCCTCGGGGATCTAGAACTAGAAATACCATTTGACCCAGCCATCACATTACTGAGTATATACCCAAAGGATTACAAATCATGCTGCTATAAAGACACATGCACACGTATGTTTATTGCGGCACTATTCACAATAGCAAAGACTTGGAACCAACCCAAGTGTCCAACAATGATAGACTGGATTAAGGAAATGTGGCACATATACACCATGGAATACTATGCAGCCATAAAAAAATGATGAGTTCATGTCCTTTGTAGGGACATGGATGAAGCTGGAAACCATCATTCTCAGCAAACTATCGCAAGGACAAAAAACCAAACACCGCATGTTCTCACTCATAGGTGGGAATTGAACAATGAGAACTCATGGACACAGAAAGGGGAACAGCACACACCGGGAAATGTTGTGGGGTGGGGGGAGGGGGGAGGGATAGCATTAGGAGATAAACCTAATGCTAAATGACGAGTTAATGAGTGCAGCACACAACATGGCACATGTATACATATGTAACAAACCTGCACATTGTGCACATGTACCCTAAAACTTAAAGTATAATAATAATAATAAAAAAATTAACTGCACTTGAAAGTCTGTTAAAATGGCAAATTCGGAACATAGCAAATTTGACTTTATGCGTCTATGGGATCTTGCCCTGTTCCTGAGGTTGAGTGAGTCCTTCCTGCTGCCCAGTCTCCATCAACTGTTGAATCTCCCAATGGATGGTGCCCATGCACACTTGTTCACATTCGAGCTTGAGATTTTTGTTGTTTTTCCTCTGTAATATCCAAATACTGTTTTATAAATATCTTCAAGCAATCTTAGCAGAATTTTCAGTCATTTACAGGCTGAAAGCTTGGGGCTGGATTGGGTCACACTATTGGAATTGAAAATTCATCAAAAAATGTCAGTGCACCTCCTAAGACTCACACAAGCTAATGGCGATGGTACTGGCCCTCCCCAGTCAAGTACTTGAGTGGGGAATATTTGACTGTCAGACAGAGGGATACCGTATGTTCTAAGTTAGCTTCTCATACTTACTGTGTCCGTGCTCTGCTTCCTGATTTCATCCTCTGCCCCCTCACTTCCCTCCATGTCTTGCCTCTTCTGCAATGTTTTGCATCACAGTTAATGGCCACCCAGGTGGCTCAGGCCTAAAATTTTGGAGTGATATTTCACTCTTCACTTTCCTTACACCTTACATCCAATTTACTAAACAGTTTTTGTCCTTTCTACATTCAAAACTCATCCAGAATCTAAGCACATTTTGCTCTGTTGCCCAGGCTGGAGTGCAGTGGCCCAATCATGGCTTGCTGCAGCCTCAAACGCGTAGGCTTAAGCAATCCTCCCACCTTAGCCTCCCAAGTAGCTGGAAGTAGCTGGGAAGACAGGCATGTACCACCATGCCCAGGAATTTTTTGATTTTTTGTGTAGACCAGGTCTCACTATGTTGCCCAGGCTGGTCTTGAACTCCTGGGCTCAGGCAATCCTTCCACCACGGCCTCTCAAAGTGCTGGGATTACCGGTGTGAGCCACTGCATCTAGCCTATTTTTGCTTTATTTTACTTTTTATTTATTTTTTAGATTTAATTTTAAGTTCTGTGATACATGTACAGGATGTGCAAGTTTGTTACATAGGTAAACGTGTGCCATGGTGGTTTGCTGCACCTATCAACCTATCACCTAGGTATTAAGCCCCACATGTATTAGCTATTTATCCCATTAGCTATTTATCCTGATGCTGTCCCCGACAGGCCCCAGTGTGTGTTGTTCCCCTCCCTGTGTCCATGTATTCTCATTGTTCAGCTCCCACTTATGAGTAAGAACATGTGGTATTTGGTTTTCTGGTCCTGTGTTAGTTTGCTGAAGATATTGGCTTCCAGGTCCATTCATGTCCCTGCAAAGGACATGACCTTATTCCTTTTTACGGCTGCATAATATTCCATGGTGTATATGTACCACATTTTCTTTATCCAGTCAGTCTATATTTAATGGGAATTTGGGTTACTCCATGTTTTTGCTATTGTGAATAGTGCTGCAGTGAACATACATATGTATGTATCTTTGTAATAGAATGATTTATCTTCCTTTGGGTATATACCCAGTAATGAGATTCCTGAGTCAAATGGTATTTCTGGTTCTAGGTCTTTGAGGAATCACCACACTGTCTTCCACAATGGTTGAACTAATTTACATTCCCACCAACAGTGTAAAAGTATTCCCACTTCTCCACAGCCTCACCAGCATCTGTTGTTTCTTGACTTTTTAGTAATCGCCATTCTGACTGGTGTGAGATGGTATCTCATTGTGGTTTAGATTTGCATTTCTCTAATGATCAGTAATGTTGAGCTTTCTTTCTTATGTTTGTTGGCTGCATAAATGTCTTCTTTTGAGAAGTGTCTGTTCATGTCATTTGTCTACTTTTTAATTTTGTCTTTTTTTTTCTTGTAAATTTGTTTAAGTTCCTTGTAGATTCTGGATATTAGACCTTTGTAATATGGATAGACTGCAAAAATTTTCTCCTATTCTGTAGGTTGTCTGTTCATGCTGATGATAGTTTATTTTGCTGTGCAGAAATCCTTTCGTTTAATTAGATCTCATTTGTCAATTTTTGCTTTTGTTGCAATTGCTTTTGATGTTTTCAATGAAATCTTTGCTCATATCTGTGTCCTAAATGGTATTGCCTAGCTTTTCTTCTAGAGTTTTTGTAGTTTTGGGTTTTACATTCAAGTCTTTAATCCATCTTGAGTTTATTTTTGTATAAAGTGTAAGGAAGGGGTCCAGTTTCAAATTTCTGCATATGGCTAGCCAGTTTTCTCAGCACCATTTATTAAATAGGGAATCCTTTCCCAATTGCTTGTTTTTGTCAGGTTTGTGGAAGATCAGATCATTGTAGATGTGCAGTCTTATTTCTGGGACCTCTGTTCTGTTCTGTTGGTAGAAGTCCCTCCTTTTCAGTTGTCTGGAATAGTTTCAGAAAAAATGGCACCAGTTTCTCTTTGTACCTCTGGTAGAATTCAGCTGTAAATCCATCTGGTCCTGGGCTTTTTTTGGATGATAGGCTATTTATTACTGCCTCAATTTCAGAACTTGTTAATGGTCTAATCAGGAATTCAACTTCTTCCTGGTTCAGTCTTGAGAGGGTGTTATGTGTCCAGGAATTTATTCATTTCTTCTAGATTGTCTGGTTTATTTGCATAGAGGTGTTTATAGTGTTCTCTGATGGTTGTTTGTATTTCTGTTGGGTCAGTGGTCATATCCCCTTTATCATTTTTTATTGTGTCTATTTAATTATTCTCTCTTTTATTCTTTATTAGTTTAGCTAGCAGTCTATCTATTTTATTAATTTTTTTCAAAAAACCAGCTCCTGAATTTATTGATTTTTTGAAGGGTTTTTCGAGTCTCTATCTCCTTCAGTTCCACTCTGATCTTGGTTATTTCTTGTCTTCTGCTAGCTTTTGAGTTTGTTTGCTCTTGGTTCTCTAGTTCTTTTAGTTGTGATGTTAGGGTGCTAATTTGAGATCTTTCTAGCTTTCTGATGTGAGAATTTAGTGCTATAAATTTCCCTCTTAACACTGCTTTAGCTGCATCCCAGAGATTCTGGTATATTGTCTCTTTTGTTCTCATTGGTTTCAAAGAACTTCTTAATTTCTTTCTTAATTTCATTATTTACCCAGGAGCCATTCAGGAGCAGGTTGTCCAGTTTCATGTAGTGGTGTGGTTTTGAGTGAGTTTCTTAATCTTGAGTTCTAATTTGATTGTGCTGTGGTCTGAGAGGCTGTTTGTTATTATTTCAGTTCTTTTGCATTTGCTGAGGAGTATTTTACTTCCATTTATGTGATTGATTTTAGGGTAAGTGCCATGTGGCACCAAGAAGAATGTATATTCCGTTGTTTTTGGGTGGAGAGTTCTATAGATATCTATCAGGTCCACTTGATCCAGAGCTGAGTTCAAGTTTTGAATATCCTTGTTAATTTTCTGTCTTGTCAATCTATCTAATATTGACAGTGGGGTGTTAAAGCATCCCACTATTATTGTGTGGGAGTCTAAGTCTCTTTGTAGGTCTCTAAGAACTTGTTTTATGAATCTGGGTGCTTCTATATTTGGTGCATATATATTTAGGAGAGGGATAGTTAGCTCTTCTTGTTGAAATTGATCCCTATACCGTTATGTAATGCCCTTCTTTTTTTTTAATCATTGTTGGTTTAAAGTTTGTTTTGTCAGAAACTGGATTGCAACGCCTGTTTTTATCTACTTTCCATTTGCTTGGTAAATTTTCCACCATCCCTTTATTTTGAGCCTGGTGTGTCTTTGCATGTGAGATGGATCTCTTGAGTAGAGCACACCAATGGGTCCTGGTTGTTTATCCAACTTGCTACTATGTGTCTTTTAATTGGGATATTTAGCCCATTTAAATTTAAGGTTAATATTGTTATGTGTGAATTTGGATCCTGTAATCATGATCCTAGCTGTTTATTTTGCAGACTTACTTATGTAGTTGCTTCATAGTATCATTGGTCTTTGTACTTCAGTGTGTTTTTTGCAGTGGCTGGCAATGGTTTTTCCTTTCCATATTTAGTGCTTCCTTCAGGAGCTCTTGAAAGGCAGGCCTGCTTGTGACAAATTCCCTCAGAATTTGCTTGTCTGAAAAGGATTTTATTTCTCCTTTGCTTATGAAGCTTAGTTTGGCTGGCCAGATATGAAATTCTGGTTTGGAAATCCTTTTCTTTAAGAATGTTGAATATTGACCCCCAATCTCTTCTGGCTTGTAGGGTTTCTGCTGAGAGGTCCACCATTAGTCTGATGGGCTTCCATTTGTAGGTGACCTGGCCTTTCTCTCTGGCTTCCCTTGACATTTTTTCTTTCATTTCAACCTTGGAGACTCTGAGGATTATATGTCTTGGGGTTGATCTTCTCATGGAGTATCTTGCTTGGGTTCTCTGGATTTCCTGAATTTGAATGTTGGCCGGTCTTGTTAGGTTGGGGAAGTTCCCCTGGATGATATCTTGAAGTATGTTTTCCAACTTGGTTCCATTTTCCCAGTCTCTTTCAGGTACCTCAATCAGTTGTAGGTTTGGTCTTTTTATGTAATCCCATATTTCTTGGGGGTTTTGTTCACTCCTTTTCATTCTTTTTTTTTTTTTTCTAATCTTGTCTGCCTGTCTTATTTCAGCAAGATAGTCTTCAAGCTCTGAAATTCTTTCCTTTGCTTAGTCTATTTCATTATTGATACTTGTGGTTGCATTGTGAAGTTCTTGTGTTGTGTTTTCCAGCTCCATCAGGTCATTTATGTTTCTCTCTAAACTGGTTATTCCGGTTAACAGCTCCTGTAATGCTTCATAATGGTTCTCAGTTTCTTTGCATTGGGTTAGAACATGCTCCTTCAGCTCAGTGAAACTTGTTATTACCCACCTTCTGAAGCCTACTTCTGTCAATTTATCCATCTCAGCCTCCACCCAATTCTGTGCCCTTGCTGGAGAGGTGTTGTGATTATTTGGGGGAAAAGAGGCATTCTGGCTTTTCAGCGTCTTATCATTGAATCTTTCTTATCTTCATTAGTTTGTCTGCCTTTGATTTTTGAAGCTGTTGACCTTTGGATGGGGTTTTTGTGGGGACTTTTTTGTTGATGTTTTTGTTGTTGCTTGCTGTTGCATTCCCCTTGCCCTGTGTGGCTCCAAGATGGGCTGTTGCACCACCCTGTTTTTCCTCACTCTCCATGGGTCATGACAAGTGCCCACTCAGCCCCAAAGAGAGAGCCTGGATACTTCAGTTGCCAGTGCAGGATTCACTTGCCATTTTTGTTATTCTCGGTGGGAGCCTCTGAGCACAGCTGTTTCTAGTCCAATTTTACTTTTTAAAATTGACAAATAATAATTGCACAGATTTATGTGGTATGTAGTGATGTTTTGATACATATAATGTTCAGTGATCAGATCTGGGTAATCAGCACATCCATCATCTCAAACATTTATCATTTGTTTATGTAGGGAAGAGTCAGTATCTTCCTTCCAGCTATTTGAAACTATTATTGTTAACTGAAGTCATCCTACAGTGCTATAGAACATGATAACTTATTCCTCTTATCTGCTGTAATTTTGTAGCCCTTAATAAAAGGATAAGGAGGATAGTCTCCCTATCCTTCCTTTCTTTCTACACTTTACAGTTTCTGGTATTTTCTTTTCTAATTTTTACTTCTATGAGATCAACTTTTTTTAGTTTCTACGCATGAGTGAGAACATGTGGTGTTTAACTTTCTGTTTCTGGCTTATTTCACTTACCATAATGTCCTCCAGGCTCATCCACATTGCTTCAAATGACAGGATATCATTGTTTTAATGGTTGAATAATACTCTATTGTGTATATATGCCACATTTTTAATCCATTCATCTGTTCTTGGACATCTAGGTTGACTCCCTATCTTTGCTATTGTGAATAAAGCTACAATAAGCATGAGGGTGCAGATGTCTGACACAATGATTTCCTTTCCTTTGGAAAAATGCCCAGCAGTGGGATGGCTGGATCACATGCTAGTTCTATTTGTAGTCTTTTGAGGAACCTCCTCATATGGTCTGGCTCTGTGTCCCCACCCAAATCTCATCTTGCATTGTAATCCAAATTGTAATCCCCACGTGTTGGGAGAGAGACCCCATGGGAAGTGAGTAGATCATGTGGGCGGTCCCCCCATGCTATTCTTGTGATAGTGAGTGAGTTCTTATGAGATCTGATTGTTTTATTATAATATAATAAATATAAATATTATATATCATTACATATATTTATGTGTTACATTTATATTTATATACATATAAATTATTATATATACATATAATATATATTATATACTATATATGTGTTACATTTATATTTATATATAATATATAAAACATATATATGCTATATATAATATATATTATATAAATATAAACATAACACGTATATAATATATAACATTATATATAAATATAAATGTAACACATATTATATATCATTATATACAATATTTATATTATTATATTATATATTATATAATATATGTATTATATATATTATATATTATATATAATATGTATTATATATATATTATATATTATATATAATATGTATTATATATATTATATATATAAAAATATAAATGTAACACATAAGGGGCTTTTCTCCCTTCTCTCATTCTCTCTCCTGCTGCCCTGTGAAGAAGTGCCTTCCACTATGATTGTAAGTTTCCTGAGGCTTCCCCAGCCATGCAGAACTGTGAGTCAATTAAACCTTTTTCTTTATAAATTACCCAGTCTTGGGTATCTCTTCATAGCAGCATGAGAGAACAGATTGATACACCTCCATACTGTTCTTTATAGTGGCTATACTAGTTTACGTTCCCACCAACAGTGTGTAAGAATTCCCTTTTCTCTGCATCCTTGCCAGCATGTGTTATTTTTGGTTGTTTTGATAATAGCCATTCTAACTGGAGTGAAACGATATTTCATTGTGAACCACATTTCAACACCTTCACAAGTACCACCCTGCTCCCACTAGATTAAAACAAAAAAAAAAAAAACCCTAACCTGTTTTTCTACTCTGCCTTTGCCTCCTTTAGTTGATTGTTAATACATAGTCAAAGGAAACCAATCAAAATGCAAATCAGCTATTGGTTGCTCAAAACTTTCCCTAGCCCTCTGTTTAACCATGGCCTCTCACCGCCTGCCTCCTGCCCCTCTCCCATCTGCTCACTCCCCCATCCCTTATTCCTCTCTAGTCAATCTGGGCTCCTTGCTATTCCTTGGATGTTCTCAGCCTGTTTCTTCCTCAGGCTTTTGCACTTGGTTCTCACTCTGCCAGGAAACTTTTTCTCAGACACCCTCCTGGCTCTTCCTCAGCAGCTTCCAGGTCCTACTAAAGTGTCACCTGCGTAGTGAGTCCTTCCCTGACCGCCATACCTACTTTACTCTCCTCCAGCATGTTACCCACCCCACACACTACCTGCTTTGCCTATTCCTTTTGTTTACTGCCTGTTTTCCCTCACTAAGAGGTGAGTACCATGAAGATAGAAGCTTCTCCTGTTTTGCTCCCTACTGTATCTGAAACCCTAGAATAATGCCTACTCACAGTTATTGATGTGGCACTATAGGAGTAAGCGAATGAATGAATGAATCTCAGAGGAAGGTACAGGAGTGTCCAAAGTGCTAGTGATGTTAAGAATTCCTCCTCTCCTACTGATGCCAAGATGTTGGTCATGGTCTGCAATCCTCTGAGGGAGTTATTAGCTATTTCAAAAGTCAGCATGCCTATGATTTAATAGCTAATCATTTTTTTCTAAGTCGGCACTTTTCTATTTCTGCAGTTGTGGATGGTTTGAGGTTTGAGGTTTGTTCAGAGGCTTGAACAATAGAGCTGTGCACTGGAGAATATACCTCACTTCTAGCCTGACACCTCTTATCTCAGACAGCCCAGAAGGGCAGAAGTGAGAATTACATAAGGGAAACCAGACCTTGTGCTATTAGGAGCAGGCTTTGGGCATGGAGATTTTTTGTTGTTGTTGTTTGATTATTTTAAAAAAATGCTTTATGGGAGTTTTTCCACAATAACTAATGGATTGGAGATTTGCCCAGGAGTAACAGCTCTGGGCACAGTGGTGGTCAGAAGCAGGGTGGCATTTGAGTGGTTCATTCACCAGTTTGTTCATGCATTTTCTGAAGATTTACTATGTGCCAGATGTTGTGCTGGGCACTGCAGTTACCATGAGGGACAAGATCCTGTCCCTGTTGTCAAGAACTTCTAGGCTGGTTAAGTACTCAAGTGTAATTCATAAGAGGGACGCATAGGAGGAATTCGTAGGCCTCTTGCCCTGGGTGGGGCAGGGAAGATGGAAAGCAGGTGCTGGCTGAGCGAATGATGAGCACCAGTAAAGCTAGCCAAGTGTAGAGGAGAAAGTCAGGGCCGAGGCCCACAGGGGACCAGAGTCGTTGTGCTCAGGACCTGAAAGTGGCCCAGAGTGGCTGGAGGCTGGACAGAGGAGAGAGCAGAGGAACCAAGGGGGTCGAAGGTGTGCCCGTGGATGGCCTCACCTGCTGACTTTTTCTGCAGTCCACGGAGACCACATTGCTATTTTGGGTGGCATCTGATAACAAAAGTAACCATCATAAAACTGTTTGATGAAGGGAGAGAACATTGGCCTTCTTGACTTAGACAAATCAGAAGATTAGAGTGGGAAGCAAGTGATTAGAGTCATCTAATTAGGTATTTTAGAAATCCAATGCCCAGAGAGGTTGAATTGCATTCTGGGGTCACACTGTGAGTTGGTGGTAATGCATAACTTGCTTCTAAGTTCTTTTTTCTGTTTTCATAATGATAGAAATTTTATATTAAATTTCACCAAGAAGTGGTGAATGTATAAATGCAAAAAATAATGAATAACACCATTGGCAATGTCCTTTCCAGTGAAAGGGAAGCAGATCTGACTTTAAAGAGATTGTTCACAGAAGTGAAGAGGGGGAGGGAGCCTGTTGTCCCCCAGACCTGAGAGGTTCCTGGCTCTCCCTGGGCACCCGATTTGTCCCTTTTAGTGGCTTGTTGCCTTGTCCTGTAAAATGGCACCTCCAGGGATCAGGGCAGGGAAGACACAAGATACCGCACATAAAATGTCCACGATGCCTGATACTGAGTGAGCACCTGTGAATATGGGAGCTTCTAATGATGATAATGATACTGGCAATAATAGCGAGCACTGAATACTAATAAGGCAGGTGGCAAGAATTCACAGTTGTATCCTGACAGAAGACTACTCAGGTACTTAGAGACCTCAAACCAGGACTCATCTTAGGGGAGCCTCTGGCTTAAAGAGCAAGAGAGCTATTCAGAGGCCAGTGAAAATATCAGGAGAAGTCCCTTGATTCAAAAGTTGCAGGCACAGGGGAGGGAGGGGGCTCACTGTCAGCCGGGAAGAAGGATGAGACCTGGGCTGTGTCTGCACGTGGCTTTCGTTTGGTTTATCTTTCTTCCATATATGTATTATATATTAAAAATGATATACAGTGTCACCTTCACACTTTCTTTGGATAATCAATTTCCCTGTCAGTATGTTCCAGTGACTCACAGTTCAAACTCTGATAATGACTCATAGCAGGCAAGCCTTTTTCTCAGGTTATGAACATAGATAAATACTTTTATTTAATAACAAGACTCAGCCACAGAGGAATAAAAACCTGACCTTTTCTATGCAGTTTCCTTTCTCAGATATAATAAAAGATACAAGGGCTATATTAACAATGAGCTTCTGAAAAGGCATTTAAGAAGCTTCAAATACTGTTTTTGTTAAGTTGAAAAATTGCATGAAATTGCATTTGAATTGTTATATGACCAATAGCAGGGAAGCAGGAGAGAGAAATAAATGCAGGATATTTTTGCTGGTGTGTAACTGACAAAGCTGAGGCTAGGATATGACACGGACAATCTAAGTAATAAGTGTATTCACCAGGAAAACTGTAATTTTAAAATCAACTCCTATATTTTAAAAAACACAGGCTCAAAAGTTTTGCATAGTTGTCTATAATGCATTTTAAGTTTTTCATATTTCTTTTTTCTATAGTAAAACTCTGCACAGTGAAACCAAACTTCAGAGACATGTGGTATAAAATGCCATTTTCTGCCAATGGAGGGTATGGTTCTACCAAAATACTTACGTGTCAGTTCATAAGGCACTCTTGCAGTTTCCTGGGCTTGGCCGTCTTGCTCTCACTTTATGAGAGGATAGTGTGACCTTAACAGAAAGCGGCAGGTTGAAGCTGTGACCTCAGTCATATTCTACCACCTGGAAAGCCCATTCACTGTTTTTTGCATTTGTAAATGTTTCTGATTTCTAAAAGCCCCGCTTAAAAACTTCCTTCGCTATGAAGTCTGCCTGTCTTTGCCCTTTTATGGGTGAACCCTGTCTCCTGGGAAGCCTGCAAGCCTTTTATCTCCACTTCTCACGGGCACCAATTTTCTGTCTGAAAAAGGTGGTGTGATTTAATGGCAAGAGCATGGTGGTCCTGTGCTTCAGGTCTAAATCCAGTTTTCTCATTTAGCACCTACTTGAGCTTGAGAATGTATATACCTTTCCAGTATTTTTCTGTAAAATGAAAAGATAATATTTTTTAAATGTCAAAAAATTCTGAAAGTCACAGATTCAGCACTGAAGAGTAATAATAATGGCAGCAGCTACTGCTTAGGGGGGACTTTGCTATTGATGGGTGCCTTAAATGAACTACTTCATTTAATTCTCACCTGGTGTTAAGGTAGGTTCTGCTATTATCCCCTGTTCCCCCCATAAGGAATCCAAGACACTTGCCTAAATTTGCCAAGATTATCCACTTCTGCCACACTCCTCTGTCAGTGCCCCTCACTACTATTGTTCTGCTTCTGGAGAACGTTATTTGTTTTATAGTTACTTAGGTGCTTTATAATTACTTGCATACATTGTATTTAGCTATGTCTATTTCAGATAGTAAGTTTAGAGTTCGTAGTTTTCAACTATAGCACCCAGCTTGCACCAGAGGAAAGGCTAACACAGAGGTCCCACCTACCTGGAGTATAGAAAATCAGCTTCCCCCAACCTCAGCTTTCTCCCTCTTTCCTTGAAACCTTCCTGCCTTATAGGGAGCCGGCTTCGAGTCCACTTTGGACATGAAACATCTCCTTTCGGGGACTTAAAACACTAAATGTCTGGAAAGACTTGTTAACTGACTCAAATTCTTTGGGATCCCAAAAGAAGGATTTGAATCACCATGCAGGGAGGGAGAACCAGAGCCCTTGAGGATCCAATCCATGGACTGGCACATTGCAGGCAGAGAAGGAGGCCTGTGGCTGCTCTTCCATAATGCCACTGGTTTTTTAGATAAGCCAAACCAAACCCCTTGTGTCTGTGTTGCAGTGTTTCTACAAAAACCGTGTAGATTGGTGTCTTTAAAGTCTTGAAGAACTTTTGGTTCTACCATGATAGAGTAGTCACATCCCTTCAGGTTGTCCTGCTGCAATTAAAAAGCCCTTGACAAAACACAATAACAAGCAAAGGAAGACTTCAAACTATGGAAAGAAGAAGGCAGGATGCCTGGGGACTTTGGGATTCAAGGAGACATAGTGGTGACTTCCTAGAGTTTCCTTATTGCTTCCCATATATCTTTGACAGGCTGCTGCAAAAGCCTCTATCAGACAGACAAAAATATCTCCAAGAAAGCCTACGTCCCCTCATGAAAATACCAGGAAAGGCATGGCCTAACAAGAGAAAATTATTTGGACAATACCCATCCTACTCCAACTAAATATTCACGGATAAAACAACTCCCCCAAACCCACCCCCATAGTTTCATGGGGCCAATCAAGGGAGAAGTTGATCTCTTGGCCCATCCGACTCCCAACCCCACTCTGCAGAGCCTAGTGTGGGCTGAGCACTCCAATTCCCTGCCTGGCGGTATCTACAGGGACAGCATGCAACTGACCTTCCATTACTTGTCCAGAAGAAGCAGGCAGTACTCAGAATCCCCTGCCAGGGACCAGCTGCAACTGAGCCTCCGCTCCTACTTAGCATCAACTAGACTGACGGTGGTGTTAGGACTAGTAAGCAGGTTCCTGTACCCCATCTCTGGGTCAGCAAGGCACAGTGGTGAGCTAAACTTCCACACCCACCTATTATGAAGGAGGTAAACAAAAGGCAGTGCCAAGAATGGCTAGCTGGCACTCCCATGAGTAATTAACATCAAATTTTGAAAATCTCTTATAGAAAGTACTGGTGGAAGAAACACTGCCAACTCATTTTACATGTTAATATTTATTTCTCTGAAACTGAAACCAGGCCAAGACCACAAAAATAAAGAAAGCTACAGGCCAATATATCTCATGAACTTACAGGTAAAAATTATCACAAAATACTAGCAAATTCAACTCAGCAGTGCATAAAAGAATTATATACCATGGCAAGTGGACTGGATTTTATACAAGGCTACTCTGACATTCAAAAGTCAATCAGTGAAATCTACCACATCAACAAGCTAAAGAAGAAAAAATCATACAATCATATCATTTGACAAAGAGAAAACATTTGACAAATTTTAATATCCATTAATAATAAAAACTCTTAGTAACCTAGGAATAGAGGGCTCCTCATCAACTTGATAAAGCACATTTGGCAAAAAAAGTACGGTTAACATCACATTTAATGGTAATGGAATGATTGCTTTGTCTCTAATATTGGGAACAAAGTAAGGATATCTGCTTTAACCCCTTAAACAACAAACTGAAAATCTGGCCACTACGGTAAGGCAAGTAAAACAAATCAAAGTCATACAGATTGGAGAGGAAGAAATGAAACGGTTCCTATTTGCCAATGCCATGATTATCTATGCAGAAAATTCCAAGAAATCTATCCCCTTCCCAAAAATAGACACTTCTAGAACTAATAAGTGAGTTTAACAAGTTTGCAGGATACAAGATCAACACAAAAAAATCAATCACATTTCTGCATACAACAATGAACGTGTGGAAACTGAAATGAAAACACAATACCATTTACAATCACAGCAAATAACGTGAAATATTTAGTTATAAATCTGATAAAACATGTACAGGATTTGTGTGCTGAAAACCGCAAAATGCTGGTGAAAGAAATCAAAGAATATCTAAGCAAATGAGGAGACATACTGTGTTATGGATAGGAAGACTCCGCATAGTAAAGATGTCAATTCTCCCAAAATTGACCCAGAGATTTAGTGTAATTCCTTTCAAAATTCCAGAAGATGATATTTTCTAGACATAGATAAGTTTAACCTAAAATTTATATGGACAGGCAGAGGTCTTAGAATAGCTAAAACAGTCTTGATAAAGAAGAGGGAAGTAGGAGGAATCTGATATTAAGGTTTAATAAAATAGGTACCTACAGCAATCAAGATGTAAGTGGAGGAATAGACACAAAGATTAATGGAACAGAATAGAGAAAAATATATACTCACACAAGTATGGTAAACTGATTTTGACAAAGATGCAAAAGGAGTTCAGCGGAGGAAGGAAAATGTAATATTTTCAATAAATAATGCTGAAGAAATTGGATTTCCATAGGCAAAAAAAAAAAAAAAAATAACCTCAACTCAAACCTCACATCTTATGTAAAATTTAACTCAAAATTGATCATGGACTTAAATGTAAAATGTAAAAATAGAAAACTTTTAGAAAGGCTGGACATAGTGGCTCACGCCTGTAATCCTAGCACTTTGGGAGTCTGAGGCAGGTGGATTGCCTGAGGTCAGGAGTTCAAGACCAGCCTGGCCAAAGTGGTGAAACCCAGTCTCTCCTAAAAATACAAAAATTAGCTGGACATGTTGGCGCGCGCCTGTAATCCCAGCTACTCTGGAGGCTGAGGGAAGAGAATCACTTGAACCCGGGCAGACAGAGGTGGTAGTGAGCCGAGATGCCGCCATTGCACTCCAGCCTGGGCAACAAGAGCGAAACTCCATCTCAAACAAACAAACAAACAAACAAACAAAAAAACGAAAACTTTTAGAAAAAGAAACACAGGAGAAAATCTCTAGAATGTAGTCTAGAGCTAGAGCTAGGCCAATAGTTCTTAGACATAACATCAAAAGCATGATCCATAAAAGGAAATTTTGATAAACTGGAATTCATAAAAATAAAAACTTTTTTCTTTACAACAGGCCTATTAAAATGATGAAAAGACAACCTATAGTCTGGAAGAATGTATTTGCAAACCACATACCAGATGAAGGACTAGTATCTAGAAGCTACAATTCTCAAGACACAACAGTGAAAAAAAATCAAGCAATCCGGTTAGAAAATTGGAAAAAGATTTGAAGAGAGATTTCAACAAAGAGGATATATGGTTGGCAAATAAGCACATGAAATTATATTTAGCATCATTAGCCATTAGGGAAATGCAAACTAAGATTAGGATGAGAGAGTACCACATACCGGTCAGAATGGACAAAATAAGCAACAGTGACAACACCAAATGCTGGAAAAGATGCAAAGAAACGAAATCATTTATATATTTTGGTGGGAATGTAAAATACTACAGCTAATCTGGAAAATAGTTTCAAGTTTCTTACAAAACTAAACAAGAAACTACTAGGAGACTCAGCAATTGCACTCTTAAGCATTTTCCCCAGAGAAATGAAAACCTGAACATGAATGTCCATAGCAGCTTTATTTGTAATAGCCAAAAACTAGAAAGTATCCAGTGGATGAAGGTTAAATAGCCTTGGGTACATCCACACTACGGAATGAGCTGTTGATGCACACAGCTTGGATGAATCTCTAGGGAGTAATACTGAATGAGTAAATCCAATCCTAAAAGGTCACACACTCTACGATTCCATTTATACAATACTCATATAAAATGACAAATTTTAGAGGTGGAACAAAGTTTAGTGGTTGCCGAGGGTTAGGAAAGGGGAGACAAGGAAGGTAGATGTGGCTATAACAGGACACTAAGAGAGATCCTTGCATGATGGAACTGTTTTTTAGTGTGTCAATTTCAATTTTCTCATTCTGATATTGTAATATAATTTTGCAAGATGTTGCTATTGGGGGTAACTGAGTAAAGGACACAGGGGATCTCTCTGTATTATGACTTACAACTATGTGTGAATCTGTAATTATCTCAAAATGCAGTTTCATTTTAAAATGAATTATTGTAAAATTCACAGCCCTGTATTCTCTGTCTCTTCTTCTGGGGTTATGATTAAATGTATGCACCTCTTACATACATGTCTTACCCTCTTCTGTGTCATATCTTTTCATTTCTCCTTTTCACACTTTGAAGAGTTTGTTCACACTTATCTCCCAGCTCACTTACTCTCTTTTGAGGTGTGTCTAGTCTGCTCTTAAACCTGCCAATTGAACTTTTACATATTTTGTTTGCTTGCTGTTGTGGTAAGAGGGTAAGTCCAGTTCCTGTTACTACATCTTGGGCAGAAGCTGAAGTTTGCCCATTGAGATTTTTTCTAACAGTTCCACTTAGTTCTTTTACTAATCTTTTATGTTCCTCTTTATCACTTTCTTTTCTCTGCACATATCTTGAAACTTGCTTTTTATTTCCTTGTACATAATCAGCATAGTTAATTTACAGTCTGAGTCTGATCATTCCAATTCCTCAATATTTTAAGGATCTTTTCTGTTACTTCTGCTGGTTCTCACTCATGGAATTTCCTCTTGTGCTTTATTATTATTATTATCCTGTAAGAAATGATTAAAATAAAATATATAGAAATAATTTCAGGTTTAAAATGAAGATATTTTTCTCCAGAGAAGATTTACGTTTGCTTTTTTCCCAGAGCTTGGTTTCTCTATAAACCAGGTTGAAGGCTTGAGACAGTTGATTTGATCTTGGCTGTGTTTCCTATGATTTGCTCCACCTCCGGTTCACCTTCACCCTGGGAAATAATATTGTAGAATCCTAGCTTACTGTTCGGAGAGTCTTCTGTACCCTCTGCCAACCCTCCATCCTGTTCTCCCATAGACTGTCAAAGCAAACATTCTACTAATTCCTACACTCACCCCCGCATCTGAAATGTCCTCAAGGCTAAAGCATCTGTGCACCCTTATCCTTCTGTGTTTGATTTTTTTCCACTTTATTTTGGCCTGGTAATTCTTCTTTTGCCATATAGTCAATGCTTCTACAAAAAATTTTAAAATTTTACTCTTGTTTTTCAATTGACTTCCAGGGCAGGGTTGATTTAAATTGTCTGATATTCCATTAACCGATATAGACAGTCACAGATCTACTTTTTTGAAATAGGAAAGAATGAATTATTTTTTAAAATCAAGGCTCAAAAAGTTTTGATGGTATCATTTCTAATTTGATCAACAACTGGAATGATTATTCCAATTAGTTTAAATTCTGCAAACATCCATAAATATTATAAATTCAAGTCTAATTGGAAATTATGCAGACCATTTACATGTACTACAAGATGACACATTACTCATTAAAAATCTCTTTTAAATTACACCAATGATATGTGAGGGATGCTTACCTATTTTTGTAAACAAATTAGTAAATTTTTTAAAAAAGAAATTGAGTCAAAGTTACAAAACTGAAAGGACATTTTAAAATTTACTTTGATAATTTTAAATACACTGGTTGTGTCATTTAGCACACCTATGAATACTGATGATATAAACACTTGAGAAACAGGTCTCAGGTTCATTTAAAGAAGTTTGTGGGGGGAAGGAGGAAGGCATCTTACTTATTTTTAGCTTCTTGATTTTCTATTTAGTCACAATAAGGTATAACAGCTGAGCATTGTTCTGTGTTCCTAGAGGGTTTTTTTTGTTTGTTTTCTTTAGACAGGGTTCACTATGTTGCCCAGGCTGGAGTGCAGTGTGGCATGATCATAGCTCAGTGCAACTTCGAACTCCCAGGCTCGAGTGATTCTCCCACCACAGTCTCCTCTGGAGCAGCCAGGGCTAGAGGCATGTGCCCACCACACACAGCTAATTTTTTTTTTACACTTTTGTTTACGGATGGGATCTCACTATGTTGCCCAGGCCAGTCTTGAACTCCTGAACTAAGTGATCCTCCCATCACAGCCTCCCAAAGTGCTGGGATTACTGGCACAAGCCACTGCACCTGGCCCCTAGAGGTCTTTTGGGGGCCTATTCTTGTGATTTCTAAGCTCTTGAGCTCCTAGTTTTCCTGGTAATCCCAATGTATAGCCTGTATTAGATGCTACAGATAGGCTCAGAGTGTTTTATTTCCTGGAAAATCTAAGGCAAACGTTTGGGCCAGATTTAATAGGTGGTTTGCTAAATGAGTACAAATTAAGACCTAAATCTGTATCTGCAGTGTTCAAGTGCCTACCTCTCAATGACCAAAGAAGTTCTTTCCATGCTTGGTAGACAATACTATTTCCATCATTAAAAAAATAATGATAAAAGAAATCATACCATATATTTGAACCATGATTTAGAATTCACAAAACATTTCCATGCACATTACATTATTTGATTGTCGTAACAGCTGGATGAGTTGGTTGAAAATAAGAAGGAACATTGGTCAACGTGCAGGGGTAACTTTTTTGTTTTTTTAACCTTCTCTACAATCGCCACTTACTCTACAAGCCACATCTTGTAACATTTTTCCTAAAAGTTTCCATTTAGAAAGCATACATGAATCCACATAAATTCTCATATATATTTCTAAGAATGTTTCCATATAAGTAGCATATTTCTTTTATTTTCTACTTCCATATAAGTAGCATATTTCTCTTTTATTTTCTACTTTTATTTTCACAGCTCACATTTTTCTGTCAATGTATAATATCGTCCCTTTCATTCAGTATTGTCTTTCTTTGAAATTTATCGTAACCTAGTTTTACTCAGCATTTGAGAAAACAACTGATTGAGAGTCAAAATAAAGCAAAGTTGACATTCAATTCTGAAAGAAGGATCACTCTCCTAGTACAAATAGGCTTTAAATTAAAACATATAATTCTAAAATCTATTCCTTTTTGGAGCATTTTAATTTACAGAAAGTGCTTAAAAACTTGTATACTATACCTGGGTAATACTAAGTATGCCCATAGAATTTTCAAAGTAAATGATTTGATTTTTTTTCCCCTGAACAATAGCCACACCAGGGCCTTGGATGACAGAGAACTGAACAGTTCCAACATTTATCATCATTTAATTTAAGTGGTAGAATAGCTTTCCATGACAGACCTCCCCTTAGCTTTAGTCATAAGTATAAAGGTCATGTTGAAATTATACATATATATTTTGTGGCTTAAATACAGTCAATAATGAGAGTTTTAAAAGATGGTGCCTGATGAAAGATGGTGCAGCTTGGTGGTAAGTGTAGATATACCAAATAGAGTGCAGCCTCCAGAATGCAGTATCAAACAGCAATGATAGGGGACTTACCTGAGACAGCATCAGCCTGAGGGAGTTTGCCTTTTCTAGTCCTGTGAGACAGGGCTGAGAGATGAATGACAGGAAACCTGGCAGGCTTAATAGCCTGAATTAGATTCATAGCCTTTGGGGAATATCATAAGATGGCAACTTCTGCCCCTTTAGTTGGGTAAATGATTTTGATTTCTTACCTTTGAGAGGTCCAGAGAGTGTGAAATAAAGAAGATAACTCTCCTCATGAGCAAGAGAGACATCAGCCAGCCACACAGTATCTATTAATTTAACCAGCCTAATGGGCAATGCATTGGCTGTAGACCATCCTGTAGACAGTTTAATTCCACATGCCATTTACTACCTCTCAACAGGGCATTTTGCTTTTCAGAATCTTTTTCTGCCCCTAGAAAACTTAACCTACCTTCTGCATAGCTACCAAATCTTTCTTTCTTCAGATCACTAACTTTGTTGCCTCCATTTAAATCAGAAATAGCCATGGGGACGTAGTGAGAGAAGACCCTTCCTGTCCTCTGAGAATATTCCAGTCTTTTATTTCCTTTGCCCAAGTTGGAGCAATAGAGTGATAATAGAATACTATAGTTGGAAAATATAGTTGGGAAAGCTATATAGTTTTTGGAATATATAGTTGGAATATAAGAGTTGGAAAAACTCTTCATGATCTTTTACTGCAGTGTTTCCCAGTGCAGAAACATGAACCACGACTTTTAGCTTATTTAAATCACATAGAGAAAAAATTATTCCCTTTGCAAATATTCTTTTAATCCTCATAAGATAGAGAAAATGTCTTGATGCAAAGCTGTTTTTGACACCCCTCCAATATATTAGTTTCTATTTTTCATGAAAAGAAATCAGGTCTTATTTTGAAAGCCTTTGTCAGACAAGAAAACCTAAGTAGGATTTATTGGCACTGTAAAAATATTTGTTTTCCAGTTACCATCTATTTATAAAATGTCATAGTCGTTATTCACTTATAGAAGCAATTAAAATTATATTTAAAATAAGTTTAAGCAGAACGAATCACTATAAAGGGCACTGTTAAATAAATAATACTACAGGTGGGATGTTGCTCTGGCAAAAAATTCATGAAGGTGGGAGGTACTCAGAAAATAGAAGCTTGGGAAACACTCTCTATGCAACCCTATTCTTGGATGGATGAGAAAACTAAAGACAAGGAAGCCAGGTGATCTGCCCAGGTTTACCCAGAAGCCTACTGCACACTCAGAACTAGAACTCACGTCTTTTTTCTCCCAACCTGATGCACGTTCAGCTGAGTCACATGACATTTTCCTGATAAAGACAGCCAGGCTGAGTTGTGTTTGCCCATAAAAGTAGAAAGATTATAAAAAGGGATCTTCCATGTTATTTTAAAAAACCACAAATTTTAAGGCTTAATAAGCATTTACAAGATCACTGAGTCATATTGAAGAGTCTAATATCAGTTTTAAGATAAATAAGAAGATACTGAAGCCCATATTTGGGAATTTCTGTAGCAAGATGCCACTTGGAAGCCCTGTGGCTAATTTGAAACAATCAGACAATTCACTGGGTCTTTACCTTGACTACATACGGGGCGACTTGGGGTTCTTTTTAAAAATACTGATGCCTGGAAGTTACCACCTAGAGATTGTGATTTAATTGGTATAAGATCAATCTGTGCTTTGGGAGTGCTAGCAGCCCACCTGGTGATTCCAATTCGCCATCTAGTTTGAGAACCACTTCTCTATATAAACTCAGGTAGCCCCTGGGCCCCCACCATCTGTAGGTAGAGCAACTTCATGATGCTGCTCACTAGCTTACTTCAACGGTCTAAAGAGCAAGGCTTCAGGGATTTGGAGCCTAAAAAGGAAGAGCAAGGTAGCAGTAAGCAGAGGTGGGACTGTGACTGTTCCCGTACTGACAAATGAGGATAACATATTTGTGCTCTGCAGTTAGTACAGAAATATGTGTTTACAGAGTATATTGCACCTGAATATGTGTTCCTAAGGATCTTTTTGCCTCATCTATAAAACTAAGTATTTGTATGTGTATGCATTCCTATGAGTCTCTGAGCCCATCAAAGAAAGCCAGTATACTTTAATTTTAGTCAGCAAAATAGTTTTTCTAAAAAAACAACGCTAAGTTTTTAGAGCATTTTAGGTTCACAGAAAAATTGAGAGGAAGGTACAGAGATTTGCCATATATCCCCTGCCCCCATACATGCATAGCCTCCTCTATTATCAACATCCTCCACCAGAGTGCATTTATTATAATTGATGAACCTACATTGATACATTATAATCACCCAGAGACCATAGTTTACATTATGGTTCACTCTTGGTGTTGTGCATTCTATGGATTTGGAAAAATATAGTGGCATGTATCCACTATTATAGTGTCATACAGAAGAGTTTCGTTGCCCTAAAAACATCCTTGGCACTTGACCAATTCATTGATTCCCCCACCCCCCAGCACCCTGCCAACACCTGGCAACCACTAATCTTTTACTGTGTCTATAGTTTTGCCTTTTCCCTGCCACTTAGTTAAAAAATCACATTTTAACTTCAAATTATCCAAACTAATAACACAGTTTTATAATAACAAATTTTAAATATTACAAAATAATAAAAATACAAGTAATGCAGAGTGGAAATGCAAAGCTATGTGTGCTAGATGGCTAACATTCAATTAGTCATAACAAACAACAACAAAATTAAAGAACAAGATAGTTGTGACTTACCTTGGTCAATTACTTTCCACAGTAATTCAAGCCATTCAATCCAGGATCTCATCTCTGAAAATGAAGGAAAAAAGCAACAAAAAATAGTGCAGAGGTCTCTGGTGTTCAAAGAATAGGCGCTGGAGGGAGATGTGGGTGCCTGAGCTGTGCCCAGTCACTCAAATGGCACACCTGATGCTACCTGTTCACTTGGGGCTGAGGAGGAGAGAGGAAAGACATGTTTCCCCGGGCCACTTCCTGTCTCCTGACTTCACTTCTTGCCTGCCTATATATCGCCTTTTCACATTCGCTTCCTTCACCTAATAATATGCACTTGTTTCCTTCATGTCTTTTCATGGCTTGATAGCTCATATACTTTTAGTGCTGGATAATATTCCATTGACTGGATGTACCACAACTTATCCATTTACCTACTGAAAGACATCTTAGTTGCTTCCACGTTTTTGTAATTATAAGTACAGCTGCCATAAACATCCATGTGCAGGTTTTTTGTCAGTATATGTTGCCAGCTTCAAGTAGCTACCAAAGAGCACAACTGCTGGATCATGTGGTAAGAACATGCTAAGTTTTGTATGAAACTGTCAAACTCTCTTCCAAAGTTGCTGAACCATTTTGCATTCTCACCAGCAATCAATGAGAGTTTCTTTTTCTTCGCACCCTCATCAGCATTTGGTGTTGTCATTGTTGCAGATTTTGACCATTCTAATAGGTGTGTAGTGATGTCTCATTGCAGTTTTAATCTATATTTCCCTGATGACATATAATGTGAGTGTCCTTTATATGCTTATTGGACATCTGTAAATATTCTTTGGTGAAATGTCTGTTAAGATCTCTTGCTCATGTTTTGGTTAGGTTGTTTCTTATTATTGAGTTTTATTTGTATATTCTGGATAACACTCCTTTATAATATGCATCTTTGCAAATATTTTCCCCCAGTCTATGAGTTGTCTCTTCTATCTATGGACATTGTCTTTCACACAGCAGAAGCTTTTAATTTTAATGAAATCCAGTTTATTATCAATTAATTATTTCATTGGATGTGACTTTGGTGTTATATCTAAAAATTCACTGCCATAGCCAAAGTCATCTAGGTTTTCTTCTATGTTATCTTCTAGGAGTTTTATAGTTTTGCATTTTACATTTAGATCTGTGATCTTTTGTGTTATTTTTTGTGGAAGGGGAAAAGTCTGTGTCTAGATTCCTTTGGGTGTGTGCATGTGTGTATGTCCATGTGTTCCAGCACCATTTGTTGAGGACTATCTTTGCTCCATTATATTGCCTTGCTCCTTTGTAAAAAATCAGTAGAGTGTATTTATGTGGGTCTATTTCTATGCTCTCTATTCTATTCCATTGATCTATTTGCCTATTCTTTTTCACCAGTACGACACTGTTTTGATTACTATAGCTTCCAATAAATCTTCAAGTCAGGTAGTGTCAGTCCTCTAATTTTGTTCTCCTTCAATATTATATTAGCTATTCTGTTTCTTTTACCCTTTCATAAAAACTATAAACTTTAGAATCATTCTTTCTATATCCACAAAATAACTCAATGCAATTTTTGTTGGAATTTAAATTGAATCTGTAGATGAATCTGACATCTTGTCAATACTGAATCTTTCTATTGATTAACATGGAATATCTCTCTATTTACTTAGTTCTCTTTTGATTTCGTTCATCAGAATTTTGTAGATTTACTTATAAAGATTGTATGCATATTTTGTTAGATTTAGTGTATTTTATTTGGGGAGGGATGCTAATGTAAACTGTATTGTGTTTTAAATTTCAAATTCCAACTGTTCATTATTGGTTTACGGCAAAGTGATCAGCTTTTGTATATTAACATTGTACCTTGCAACATTGCTATAATTGCGTATTAATTTCAGGAGCTTTTTTGTTAATTATTTTGTATTTTCTGCATAGATCATTGTGTCATCTACAAAGACAAACAGTTCTATTTATTCTTTCACAATCTGTATCCTTTATTTCCTTTTCTTATCTTGTTGCATTGGTTAGAACTTCTCATGTGATGTTGAAAAGAAGTGGTAGAAGGAGACATCTTTGCCTTGTTCTTGATTTTAGTAGGAAATCTTCAGTTTGTCATCATTAAGTGTCATGTTAGCTGTAGATTTTTTCTTGCAGATATTCTTTATCAAGTTGAGGAAGTTGCCCACTATTTCTAGTTCACTGAGTGTTTTCATCATGAATGTGTGTTAGATTTGTCAAATTTTTTTTCTGCATCTATTGATATAATCATGTAGTTTTTCTTTTGTAGCCCACTGATATGGTAAATTACAGTAATTGATTTTTACTTAATCTTAGCCAAAAAACCGAGAAGCAGTGCATTAACTGATTTTCAAATAATAAGACAGCCTTGCATATCTGGAATAAACCTCACTTGGTCATGGTGTATAATTCTTTTTAGACATTGTTGATTCTATTTGCTAATATTTTGTTGAGGATTTTTCCATCTGTTCTCATGACAGATATTGGTCTGTAGTTTTCTTTTCTTATAATTTATTTGTCTGATTCTGGTATGAGGGTAATATTGGTCTCACAGAATGAATTAGGAAATATTCTCCTGTTTCTATCTTCCAGAAGAGGTTTGGATAATTGGTATGCTTTCTCCCTTAAATGTTAGGTAGAATTCAGCAGTAATCCCATCTGGACCTGGTGCTGTCTGTTTTGGAACACTATTAGTGAATGATCCAATTTTTTAATTAGCTACAGCCCTATCCAGATTATGTATTTCTTCTTGTGTGAGTTTTGGCAGATTGTCTTTCAACGTATTTAAACCAGGTTGCAAAATTTGTGGGCATTTAGTTGTTTATAGTATCCTTTTATTATCTTTTGAAAGGTCACGAGATTTTTTTTTTTCTTAGCCTGGATACAGGATTATTGATTTTATTGATTTTTCATTGATTTCTGTTCTAATTTTTCTTTCTTCAGTTTATTTTTTTTTTTAATTTTCTCTTCTTTTTCTAGTTTCCTAAAGTGGAAGCTTAGCTGATTAATTTTAGATCTTTTTTCTTTTCTAATATACATACTCAATGATATAAATTTCCCCCTAAGTATTGCTTTCACTGCATCTCACAAATTTTGGCGAGTTGTATTTTCATTTTTAATTTAAAATATTTCTTAATTTATCTTGAGACTTCTTCTTTGACCCACGTGTTACTTAGAAGTGTGTTATTTAATCTTCATGTATTTGGAGATTTCCCAGTTATCTTACTTCAGTTGATTTCTAGTTTAATTTCATTGTGGTCCAAGAGTAGATATTTTATGATTTCTATTCTTTTAAATTTGTGATATTTTACAACCCAGAACGTGGTCTATCTTGGTGAATATTTCATGTGGGCTTGAGGACAATGTGTATTCTTCTCTTGCTGGATGAAGTAATCTATAGATGTCTATTATATCTGGTTAATCATTGTGGTGTTGAGTTCAGTTTTGTCTTTACTGATTTTCTGCCTGCTGGATCAGTTCATTTTTGATAGAGGGGTGTTGAATTCTCCAACTATAATAGTGGATTCATCTATTTCTTCTTGAAGTTCCACCCGTTTCTGCCTCACATATTCTGACACTGTTTTTAGGTGCATGCATGTTAAAGATTGTTATGTCTTCTTGAGGAATTGACCCATTTACCATTATGTAATGCCCCCTTTATTCCTAAAACTTTCATTGCTTGAAGTCTGCTTTCTCTGAAATTAATATAGCTACTACTGCTTTCTTTTTGTGTTAAGAGGGTATATTTTTCTCCATCCATTTACTTTAATCTATATGTGTCTTTATGTTTCAAGTGGATTTCTTGGAGACAACATATAGTTGAGTCTTGTCTCTTTACTCACTCTGACAATTTCTGTCTTTCCATTGGTACATTTAGATCATTTGCATTATTGACACAGTTGGATTAATAGCTACCATATTTGTTACTGTTTTCTATTTGCTGCCCTTGTTCTTTGTTTCTCTTTTTGTCTTCCAATCTTTTTCTGCCTTTTGTACTTTTAATTCATCATTTTACATAATTTCATTCTCTCCCTTTTTAGCATATTATCTATACTTTTTAAAATGGTTTTCCTAGAGTTTCCAGTACACATTTACAACAAATCCAAGACCACTTTCAAATAACACTATTACTGTTTCACAGATAGCATGAATACCTTATAATAACAAAATAATCCTAATTTATCCCTTCTGTCCCTTATGTCATTGATGTCATTCCTTGGACCTATATATAAACATACATAGGTACATATATTTATAAGATATATATGTATATATAAACATACATAATGAAATAGATTGTTGCTATCATTTTTAACAAATTATCAACTCAATCAACTAAGAATTTTAAAAATGTTTTTATTTTGCCTTCACTTATTCCTTCCTCCATGCTCTTCCTTTTCTTATAAATATCCAAGTTTCTAACCTATATTATTTTCCTTTTCTCTAGAACTTGTAGCATTTCTTCTAGGCAGTCTACTGGCAGCAAATGCCTTCACATACATTGTGTTCAAACTGTGTTTTTCTTTTAACTTTTTGTATGCCTTGAAATTTTTTCTTGATAGCTCAACATGATGTACTGAGAAAAAGGAACTGCTGTAACTAGGTCTTTAGTAATGTCTTGGTGAGGTGTGGGGCTACGGAATGAATTCTATAGTCCTATGATTAGGTTATAATCTTTTAGTGATCTGGTGCCCCTGAACTATGACTTCACATGTGTTTCTCAGTTACGCCCTCCCCTTAGGTGAGGCAGAAAGGTTAGAGCTGGCTGGAATTGAGTATTTCCCTTCTCCCAGTTCAGTTAGACTCTGATAGTACCCCAGCAGGTGAGGCTCTGGTAAACTGTTCTCTCCTAAGGGTAGACCCTGTTAAGAACAGAGTGCCCTGGCTTATTTAAAACCTTCCTTTTCCTCTTCCCATGTCGGAAGCACAACGGGATATTTTTCTGATATTTACTGTGTGAATTGGTTGAGATCCTGGAGGTAAACTCATTAAAATATTAAGATAGCCCCTATTAGTGGGATCCCTTGAGTTTTTCATCTCTCAGATTTGTTCACACTGAACCTTAAGCAATTCATCAATTACAATTTGGATTTCCCTACTCCAGCCCTGGTTTCTGCAGCAGTTTCTGCTCATGAGTCTCTGCTCTGGTAAGCCATGACTCCCTGTACTTGCCTGTCTATTCTGTCTATTCAGACTTGTGGCAGTGGTTTGCCCTGTGTCTTTGCCTCTCTTACAGATTCAAGAGAGGTTCTCAATTTTTTGTCTGTTCAGGTTTTCACTTGTTAGGAGTGGGTAATGACTTCCAAGCTCCTTACATGTTGAATGAGAAATCAGAAGTCCAATAAAAGTCTTCTGAAGAGAAAAAGGCCACATTTATTTATTCTAAACTGTAAATATCATTTACTTCAACCCAATAATTCTCAAACCTACTATGAATTGAAATTTCCTGAGAAATTATGTCCATGGCAGACATTTTTCATTGTAGTAAGAAACCATGATATAAAATTTACTATTTTAACAATATTTTCAGTGTACAAGTCAATAACATTAAGTACATTCACATTGTCATGCAATCACCAGCACCATCAAACTTTAGAGCTTTTTTAACTTCCCAAACTGAAACTCTGTACCCAGTAAGCAGTAACCTCATTCCCTTCTCTCTTAGCCTCTAGCAACCACCATTTTGTTATTTCTACGAATTTGACTACTCTATAGATACCTCATATAAGTGGAATCATGCAATATTTGCTTTTTTCTTGCCTGGCTTATTTCACTTGGCATAATGTCTTCGATATTCATACATGTTGTGGCAATGTGTTAAGGTTTTCTTCTTTTTTTAAGGCTGAATAATATTTTATTGTCTGTAGATGCCACCTTTTGTTTATGCATTCATCTGCTGGTGGATATTTAGGTTGTTTCCATTGAATAGCTAATGTGAATAATGCTGCTAACAACATTAGTGTACAAACATCTGTTTAAGTTCATGCTGTCATTTCTTTTGGCTCTATACTTAGAAGTGGAATTGCTGGATCATATGGTAATCCTGTTTTTAATTTTTTCTGAAAGCATTGTATGATGGTTTTCCATAGTAGTCATAAAATTTATATTTTCTATAGCATGTACAAGCTATATTTTCCATAGAAGCTGCACAATTTTACATTCTTATCAGTAGCATAATTTCTCCATATCCTAGCCAACACTTGTTATTTTCTGTTTTATTTTTCCATAATAGCCATCCTGATGTGGGAGAAATGGCATCTTGTTATGGTTTTGATTTGTGTTCTCTAACAATGAGTATTACTGACCATCTTTTTATGTGTCTTTGAACATCTATATATCTCCTTTGAAGAAATTTCTATTCAAGTCCTTTATCCATGTTTGAATTGGGTTGCTTATTTTATATTGTTGAGTTATAGAAATTCTTTATATATTTTAGATATTAATCCTTTATCAAACACATAATTTGCAAATATTTTCTCTCATTCTGTATGTCTCCAAAGATAACCACCATTCTAAATTTTTGTATGCATGTGTGCATATATATATATATAAACACATATACACATGCATATGTGTATGTGTGTGTATTTTTTCCTGTTCAAAGATTCTTTCTTTATTGCTAAGCCAAGAGTTTTGTCATTGTTTCTCTTGATCTCAGATGCAAATAAAACAAAATTGGTTTGCTACTGAGACCAGGAAACAGAATTGCAAATTGTAATTGTCCCTCCCTGGCAAGACAAACAGGTTTTAAAACCTCTCAAATATAATATGCTTAAGTTAATTAACAAATTAATTTATTCTTTTACAAAGCCATAAAGCTTGAACTACACAACTTGTACAAGAAGATATAAAATCCATTTATACCTTCAATATTTTATGGCTTTATGAAAGAAAAACATTGCTCATAACCATGCATTAGTTACTTAAAAAATATCTGGGTGCCAAGAATGCCCCAGGAATTACATTAGGCATCTGGCAGTAAAGTGCCATGTCACTTTCTAATGAAATTAGTCAAGGAGAATGAATGACCACAGGATACTATGTGCAAAACCAATAACTCTGCAGACAGTGAATGGCTTTTTGAAGCTACAAAACAGTGATGATTTTCAACTTTCATTTGTATTTGCAAAAGAGTCTTTTTCAAATGACTATCACCTTAAATAGTAAAATTAAAAAAAGCAAAGACAAAATTACTCAAAAGCATATTGTATCAGTCCATTTTCACGCTGCTGATAAACACATACCCAAGACTGGGCAATTTACAAAAGAAAGAGGTTTAATTAGACTCACAGTTCCATGTGGCTGGGAAGGCCTCACAATCATGGTGGAAGGCAAGGATAAGCAAGCCACATCTTACATGGATGATGGCAGGCAAAGAGAAGAGAGCTTGTGCAGAGAAACTCCCATTTTTAAAACCCTTAGATCTCATGAGACTCATTCACTATAACGAGAACAGCAAAGGAAAGACCTGCCCCCATAATTAAATCACCTCCCACCAAGTTCCTTCCACAACATGTGGGAACTGTGGGAGTTACAATTCAAGATGAGATCTGGGTGGGGACACAGCCAAACCATATCATTCTGTCCCTGGCCCCTCCCAAATATCATGTCCTCATATTTCAAAACCAATCATGCCTTCCCAAAAGTCCCCCAAAGTCTTCACTCATTTCATCATTAACACAGAAGTCCACAGTCCAATGTCTCATCTGAGACAAGACAAGTCCCTTCTGCCTACGAGCCTGTAAAATCAAAAGAAAGTTACTTACTTCCTAAATACAATGGGGGTATAGGCACTGGGTAAATACAGCAGTTCCAAATGGGAGAAATTGGCCAAAACAAAGGGGCTACCGGCCCCATGCAAGTCTGAAATTCAGCAGGGCAGTCAAATCTTAAAGCTCTAAGATGATCTCCCTTGACTCCATGTCTCACATCCAGGTCATGCTGATGCAAGAGGTGGGTTCCTATGGTCTTGGGCAGCTCCACTCCTGTGGCTTTGCAGAGTATAGCCCACCTCCTGGCTGTTTTCACCAGCTGGCGTTCAGTGTGTGCAGCTTTTCCAGGTACAAGGTGCAAACTGTCAGTGGATCTACCATTCTGGGGTCTGGAGGACAATGACCCTTTTCTCACAGCTCCACTAGGTGATGCCCCAGTAGGGAGTCTGTGCTGGGGCTCCAACCCCACATTTCCCTTCCTCACTGCGCTAGCAAAGGTTCTCCATGAAGGCCCCACCCCTGCAGCAAACTTCTGCCTCTGCATTGAGACATTTCCATACATCTTCTGAAATCTAGGTGGAGGTTCCCAAACCTCAGTTCTTGATTTCTGTGCACCTGCACGCTCAACACCACGTGAAAGCTGCCAAGGCTTGGGACTTCCGCCCTCTGAAGCAAAAGCCTGAGCTGTACCTTGGCCCCTTTTAGTCAGGGCTGGAGTGGCTGGGACGCAGGGCACCAAGTTCCTAGGCTGCACACAGCACAGGGACCCTGGGCAGGCCCATGAAACCATTTTCTCCTAGACCTCTAGGCCTGTGATGGGAGGAGCTGCCATGGAGACCTCTGACATGCCCTGGAGACATTTTTCCCATTGTCTTGGGGATTAACACTCAGCTCCTTGTTACTTACGCAAATTTCTGCAGCCAGCTTGAATTTCTCCTCAGAAAATGAATTTTTCTTTTCTATCACATTGTCAGGCTGTAAGTTTTCTGAACTTTTATGCTCTGTTTCCTTATAAAATTGAATGCCTTCAACTGCAGTCTAGTCGCCTCTTAAATGCTTTGCTGCTTAGAAATTTCTTCTGCCAGATACTCTAAGTCAACTCTCTCAAGTTCAAAGTTCCACAGATCTCTAGGGCAGGGGCAAAATTCCACCGGTCTGTTTGCTGAAACATAACAAGAGTCACTTTTGCTCCAGTTCCCAACAAGTTCCTCATCTCCATCTGAGACCACCTCAGCTTGGACCTTATTGTTCATATCACTATCACCATTTTTGTCAGTCATTCAACAAGTTTGGAACTCTAGGAAGTTCCAAACTTTCCCACATTTTCCTGTCTTCTTCTGAGCCCTCTAAACTGTTCCAATCTCTGCCTGTTACCCAGTTCCAAATTCACTTTCACATTTTCAGGTATCTTTTCAGCAACGTCCCACTCTAGTGGTACCAATTTACTGTATTAATCCATTTTCATGCTGCTGAGAAAGACATATCTGTGACTGGGCAATTCACAAAAGAGGTTCAGTTGAAGTCACAGTTCCACGGGGTTGGGGAGGCCTCACAATAATGGCAGAAGGCAAGGAAGAACAAGTCACATCTTACGTGGATGGCGGCAGGCAAAGAGAAGAGAGCTTGTGTAGGGAAACTCCCATTTTTAAAACCATCAGATCTTGTGAGACTCATTCATTAACAAGAACAGTGCAGGAAAGACCCGCCCCCATCATTCAATCACCTCCCAGTGGGTTCCTCCCGTGACATATGGGAATTGTGGGAGTTTCAATTCAAGATGAAATTTGGGTGAGGACACAGCCAAACCATATCACATATTCAAATGACACATGGATTTTGTAATTTTTATACATTTATATGTAGGCATTCATATTTGTTCATTATAGTTCCTGCATATGATTCTCAGAATTCCCAGGGTAGATTTTTAAAATGTATTTTAATTATGTTTTATTTTGTCCAAAAATCATATTCATGACTTATAACAACTTTATTTTTTCAGTTATTACTCTACCTTTTCTACAATAATTTATTTCCTCTTCATGCCTCTTGAATATCATCTTATATTTATTACTGTTTATTTTAAATGACTCCAGGAAGCTAATTTGCTTGTAAACAACATAATTATACTTAAAATAAACAATCAGGAAGTGTGAATTAAAGTCATTAAACACAATATTAATAAGAAATTTAAGCAAGGAGTAAGAAAAACAAAATATTCAATAGCTTTTTCAGGAAATATGGGTTGTATTTTTTTAAAACATTACTGTTAAGAACATTAGCTTAGAAAATGTCTTTTATGAGCATTTAAAATTAAAAATCATGTATTCAGGATTTTCACATGTCCAATTTGCATAAAGCAGTTCTTTTGTTAACCTTGATTTACCAAAGCATGAACTGCTACTAACATAGGAGAAATTAGGCAGCCTCATTTTGCTCAATGTCTAAGGCCGGATTTCTAGTTAATGTGAAAAACAGCAGGGGAAAAAACAACAGAGCCATAAAACTGCTTGTGCATAAAATAGCAGACTGTGTATGTGGTCATAGCCAACACAGACTATCACAAATCACAAGGGACTGTATCCTTTAGCCTGCTACTGGAGGGATCCTAAGAGATTATTCATTTATGTTTTTTTGTAAACATTACTCAAACAGGTCTTTTTACTGTTCTTTCTTTTTTCCCTTTGTTTTTCCTGTAAGAAACCAGGGTTCTCAGTCTTTTTGCATTTATTATACAGCTATGAGAGCTTAGGGAAACAGCAAATCCTGAACTCTGAAAGGAGTAGCCTTCCATTTTCCTGAAATTCATTCACATGGAAGCTTTTCTTCCTTGGCAAGGCTTGTGAAGTGGATGCTAGTGTGCACTCTATAGAGCCTATGGTAATGTGGTCCCTGTGCAGGCATCCCTTCAGGGCCCGCAGAGTCCTACTGTGTACCAGAATGGGAGCACACCTGAACAGTAAGCTCAGAAATGCTTGTGTCACCATTTAAGAACTGTTTCCTAGCTGTTACATCCAAACAATGGTTTTACATTCTCAGATTCAGTAGTGTAAAAGAAAAAGGTATTATTCCTATAAAAAAAGGATACACTAAAAGGTAAAGAAGCATCAAAAACAGCTGTTAGAGCGAAAAGCAGAAAGAGAAATTCAGAAAGAGGATGTAGACCCAAGAAGGGGTATATGGTGCTGCAACTCTGTGATTGTGAAAGACCACGGTAGGGCACTGTTGAGATTCTGGAGCTGGGCTTCAGATCTGAAGGCCGTGCATTAGATTCATGACCTTGGGAAGGTGTCTTAACCTATTTGTGCTTCCGTTTATTTATCGACTACATGAGGGTAATGAAAGTACCATCTTCGTAGGATTGTTGGAAAGATTAAAGAAGGGAGGTTAGGAAAATTCCTAGCACATAATGATTTTTCAACAAGAGTTAGCTTTCTCTAAGATTCAAATGTAATTTTTCTCTTATAGAAAAAATATATATAATATAAATATATAATATAATTATATAATATAAATATATATATAATATAAATATATAATATAATTATATAATCTAATATAAATATATAATAATTATATAATATATAATATAAATATATAATATAATTATATAATATATAATTTAAATATATAATATAATTATATAATATATAATTTAAATATATAATATAATTATATAATTATAATATAAATATATAATATAATTATATAATATATAATTTAAATATATAATATAATTATAAATATTTAATATAAATATATAATATAAAAATATATAATTTTTCTCTTATTTTCTTAGTGAAAATTAATGTTTTCTCTAAGATTCAAATATAATTTGAAAGAGACGGCAATAAGACTCAGAAGAGGGTCCCATCTGTTGGACTTTATTGTACATGAGACATTGTAGGCTTTCAACAGGCATTATTCAATTCACTTGATATTGTCTACGGTGCTAGAAAAATAAAGTTACAGGCAATAAAGAAGTTAGTTTAAAAAAGTTTTTGTAAAACAACTTTCATGAGATTTAATTGACATGTAAGAAACTGCACATATTTAAAGTGTATAATATGAGTTTTGACATGTGCATGAATATATACCATGGAATTATTGCCACAATCAAGATACTGAATATATCAATCAGCCTCAGTGGTTTCCTTACTCCTTTTGTAGTTTCTTTCTACATTGCCCCTCTCAGCCTCTCGCACCTCCATCATCACGGGCAAGCACTTATCTGCCTTTTGTCACTATAGATTAGTTTGCATGTGAAGTTTATACAAATGTCGTCATATAATAGGACATCGTTTGTCTAGATGTTTCCCCTCAGAATAAAGATTGTGAGATTCATCCATGTTATTGTTCATTCCTTTGTAGTGGACTAATGTTTCATTGTATGGGTAAACCACAATCTGTTTGTCTATTCAGCTGTTATTGGGTGTCTAGGTTGTTTCCAGCTTTCAGCCCGTGGCTATATTTTCATTTCTTTTGGGTAAATACCTAGAAATGAAATGGCTGGATCATGCAACAGGCTTGTATTAATATTTGCAACTGTATAAGAAACTGCCAAACAGTTTCCTGAAATGGTTGTGCCACCTTATATTCCTGCCAGCATTGTCTGATTGTCTGTGTTCCAGTTCTTTGACATCCTTACCCATAATTGTTGATTTTTGTCATGCTAATAGAGGTGCAGTAGTGTCTGTGATTTTAATTTCATTTATCTGATAATTAATGATGTTTATTCAGCATCTTTTCATCTGTTTATTTGCAATTCATATATCTTCTTTGTTGAAGTGTCTGTTCAAATCTTTTTTTCCTTTTTTATCGGACTGCTTGTTTTCATATTACGGAGTTTTAAAGTTCTTTGTAAATAGAACACAAATATTTTATCATGCATATAATTTGCAAATAATTTCTCCCAGTCTGTGCCTTGCCATTCATTATCTTAATAGTTTTTTTTAAGGAACATAAGTTCATAAATTTGATGAAGTCCAATTTATCAATCTATTCTTTCACAGTTCATGCTTTTGATGTTGTATCTATGAGATCTTTGCCCAACCCAGAGTTATAAAAATTCGTCTGTGCTTTTCTAGAAATTTTATAGTTTTAGGTTTACATTTAGATCGATAGTCTATTTTGTGTTATTTTTGTATATCATGTGAGGTATTAATGTTATTTTTTAAAATTTGCATAAGAATGTTCAATAATTCCAGCACCATTTGTTAAAAACATTATTATTTCTCCATTGAATTGTGTATTAGTCCATTCTCACACTGCTATAAAGATACTACCTGAGACTGGCTTATTTATAAACAAAAGAGGTTTAATTGACTCACAGCTCCACATGGCTGGGGATGTTTCCAAAAACTTATAATCATGTTGGCAGGTGAAAGGGAAGCAAGGCATGTCTTACATGGCAGCAGGAGAGAGAGAGAAGGGGGAAGTACCAAGCAGTCATCAAATAACCAGATCTCATGAGAACTCACTCACCATCATGAGAATAGCAAGGGGGAAATCCGACCCCATGATCCAGTCACCTCCCACCAGATCCCTCCCTCAACACATGGGGATTAAAATTTGAGATGAGATTTGGGTGGGAACACAGAGCCAAATCATATCAAATTGCATTGGCACTTTTCTTGACAATATATAATAGCTGTCAATATATATACAGATCTAGTTCTGGGTTATCTACTCTGTTCCATTAACCTATTTGCCTATCTTGGATACTAATATCACATGGTCTGGATTACTATAGCTTATAATACATCTTGAAATTAGATAGTAGCAGTCTTTCAACTTTGTTCTTCTGTTTCAAAGTTGTTCTGTCTATCCTAGGTCTTTTCATTCCCCGTGAATTTTAGATTATTCTTGTTATTTTCTATGTACATACAGCTGATATTTTAATTGAGATTGCATCAAATCTATAAATCAATTTGGTGGAGTATTAACATCTTAAGAGTATTGAGTCTTCTGGGGCATGGTCTTATTTAGCTTCTCTCAGCAATATTTTATAGTTTTCAATGTATAGTTCTTTCATATTTTATACATTTTGTTTATATTTTTATATTTTTTCAGATTTTCATTAAGCATTTTATATCTTATATTATATGTGTTATCGTGTTTCTTTCAATGTCCAGTTGTTAATTCCTAGCACATATAAATACAATTTATTTCAGCATCTTACCCTTTTGTTTTGCTATTTTGCTAAACTTACTTAATAGTTTTAGTAGCTTTTTTGGTATATTCCATCATTTTCTCTATACACAATTATGTCATTTGCAAATAAAGACAATTTTGTTTCTTTCTCTTCAATATGGATGCCTGCCCTTCCTTCCTTCCTTCCTTCCTTCCTTCCTTCCTTCCTTCCTTCCTTCCTTCCTTCCTTCCTTCTTTCCTTCCTTTCTCCTTTTGCCTAATTGAACTGGCTGGAACCTCCACCACAATGTTGAATATAAGTGCAAAGAATAGATATCTTTCTTTTGTTAATGATCATGGAGAGATAGCACTCTTTCCATCATCATTAAGTATGTTGGTAGATGTAATAAATTTTTTTGGTAGGTGTTTTTATCAGGTTGAGGCAGTTACTTTCTACTCATAGCTTGCTGAGATTTTTTTAAAGCATCAGGAATGGATTTTGGGTTTTGCCAAATATTTTTACTGCATATGTTGAGATATTCATATACATATGTGTGTGTGTGTATATATATATATATATATATATAAATATATATATATGTTTGTTAATATGGTGAATTGCATTGATTGATATTTTAAAATAATTATCCCACCTGTTTTATATATTGTTGGATTCATTTAACAATTTTCTTTTTTTAAGTTATTTCTGCTTCTGTATTTATGAAGTAGATTGGTCTGTATTTTCTTACAATTTTGTTGGGCTTGAGTATAATGCTGACCATGTAGAATGAGTTGGTAAGTACTGTCTTGTCTTCAATTGTCTGGAAGAGTTTACGTAAAATTGGAATTATTTCTTTCTTCAACATTTAATAGAATTCTGCAGTGAAGCCAACCAGGCTCTGAGTTTTTCTTGTGGAAATGTTTTTACTTCAAATTCAATGTCATTCATAGATGTAGGGTGACTCTGGTTATATATCTCTTTGTGAACATGCCCATCTCATCTCAGTTATCTAAATTATGGCCACAAAATTCTTCATGATAATTACTTATCATGTTACTAACTAGAATATGTAGTGATGTCACCTCTTTCATGACTGATATTGGTGAATTCTTTCCTTCTTCTTTTCCTGATTTATCTGGTTAGAAATTTAGCAATTTTTTTATTTCAAAGTGACAGCTATTAGTTTCAGTAATTTATTCTTTTTGAGTTTTTAATTTCATTATTTTTCACTCTGCTCTTCATTATTTCCTCTATTCTGCTTACTTTGGATTTTGTTTGATTTTTTTTTAAGTTTCAAAGGTAAAATTTCAGATCATTGATTTGAAATCTTTCTCTTTTCTCTTTTTTTCCCTCAAATATAATTTTATTTTTAAGACTTTTTGTTTGTTTATTGTTTACATATTTCTTTTTTTTTATTATACTTTAAGTTTTAGGGTACATGTGCACATTGTGCAGGTTAGTTACATATGTACACATGTGCCATGCTGGTGCGCTGCACCCACTAACTCGTCATCTAGCATTATGTATATCTCCCAATGCTCTCCCTCACCCCTCCCCCCACCCCACAACAGAAAAACACATGAAAAAATGCTCATCATCACTGGCCATCAGAGAAATGCAAATCAAAACCACAATGAGATACCATCTCACACCAGTTAGAATGGCAATCATTAAAAAGTCAGGAAACAACAGGTGCTGGAGAGGATGTGGAGAAATAGGAACACTTTTACACTGTTGGTGGGACTGTAAACTAGTTCAACCATTGTGGAAGTCAGTGTGGTGATTCCTCAGGGATCTAGAACTAGAAATACCATTTGACCCAGCCATCCCATTACTGGGTATATACCCAAAGGACTATAAATCATGCTGCTATAAAGACACATGCACATGTATGTTTATTGTGGCATTACTCACAATAGCAAAGACTTGGAACCAACCCAAATGTCCAACAATGATAGACTGGATTAAGAAAATGTGGCACATATACACCATGGAATACTATGCAGCCATAAAAAATGATGAGTTCATGTCCTTTGTAGGGACATGGATGGAATTGGAAATCATCATTCTCAGTAAACTATTGCAAGAACAAAAAACCAAACACCACATATTCTCACTCATAGGTGGGAATTGAACAATGAGATCACATGGACACAGGAAGGGGAATATCACACTCTCTTTTTTCTAATAAAGGCAATAGTTTATATTTTATGAACATAGGCTATACAAATTTACAAATTTCTTACTAACTACTGTTTAGTGCAATTTGTGGATTTATATATGTTATATTGTCATTTTCATTCCACTCAAAATTAGTTTTTAATGTCCCTTTGATTTCTTCTTTGACCTATGGGTTATTTAGAAGTGTGCTATTTAGTTTCTAACTATTTGAGAATTTTCCAGAGATCTTTCTGTTACTGATTTCTAGCTTAATTCCATTATGGTCAAAGCACATACTTTATATAACTTGAATCCTTTTAAATTTATTAAAACATTTTATGGCACAGAATGTTAATTATCTTGGAAAATGTTTTGTGTTCACTTGAAAAGAATATGTATTCTGTTGTCACTGGATGAAATGTTATACAATTATCAATTATGTTCACTTTATAGAAAGTATTACTCTCCTCTATATTATTACTGATTTTCTATTTACTCACCCTATTAATTATTGAGAGGAGAGTGCTGAAATCTCAAGCTATAGTTGTGAATTTTCCAATTTCTCCTGAAAGTTCTATCAGTTTTGTTCCACTTTTTTTTTTTTTGACGGAGTCTCACTCTGTGGCCCAGGCTGGAGTGCAGTGGCATGATCTCGGCTCACTGCAACCTCCACCTCCCAGGTTCAAGTGATTCTCCTGCCTCAGCCTCCTGAGTAGCTGGGATTACAGGAACGTGCCACTACACCAAGCTAATTTTTTGTATTTTTAGTAGAGATGGTGTTTTACCATGTTAGCCAGGGTGGTCTTGATCTCATGACCTTGTGATTTGCCCACCTTGGCCTCCCAAAGTGCTGGGATTACAGGCGTAAGCCACTGTGCCTGGCCTGTTTCACTTATTTTGAAGCTCTATTATTAGCTGCATAAATGTTTACAATTGTCATATCATCTTAACTAACTAATCTTTTGAATAGTATGTAAGATACCCTTTCGTTTTTTGTAATTTAGTCTTGAATTTTACCTTGTCTGACATTAATATAGTTATTCCAGTTTTCATGGAGTGTTAGCATAGTATATCTTATTTCACCCTTTTATCAATTTTGTAGTATTTTTATATTTAAAATTCATTTGCTATATGTAGCATTTTTCTTGCATTTTAATGCTACCTGACAATTTCTGTCCTTCAGTTAGAGTGTTAAGACCATTTACTTTCAATGTGACTACTGCTATGGTTAGGTGTGAAACTATCATCTTGCTGTTAGTTTTCAATTTGTCCCATTTCTTGTTTGTTTCTCCTTTCCTTTTTAAATTCTTTTTCCTTCTTTCAGATCACCTGAGCAAATCTTATTCCATTGAATCTTTTTTTTTGTTGGTTTGTTAGCTGTAACTCTTCATGTTGCTATTTTAGGGGTTGCATTAGAGTTTCTAATATACATTGAGAGCTGGCAGTCTTTTTCTGTAAATGGCCAGATAATAATTTTTAGGCTTTGTGGGCCACATCCAGCCTCTGATACATATTCTTTTTTACTAAATTTTTAAAAATGTAAAACTATTACCAGCTTATCAGCCTTGCAAAAACAAGCTATGGGCCAGATTGATCTGTGAGCTATAGTTTGCCAACACGTGTTATACATCTTATTAAGTCTACCTTTAAGTAATGTTGCACCAATTCATAGTACAGGACTCATATGTGTATACTTTTATTTCTTCCACTCTCACTCTGTGCTATTTTTGTCTTACATTTTAATTTTATGAACATTGTAAGACCCACAATGCATTATTGCTTTTATTTAAATAACTGTCTTTGTAATACATTGAAATTATAGGAGAAAAAAGTTGTTAGCTAATATAGCTGCCATTTCCTGTACCATTTACTCTTTTGTGAACATCCAGATTTCCATCTGGTAGTATATTCCTTCCATCTGAAAGATTTTCTTTAATATTTCTGGCATTGCAGGATTGCTGGTGGTAAAGTCTTTCTTGTAGTGCAAGTTTCCTGGTAATGAATTCTTTCAGGTTTTGTGTACCTGAAAAGTCTCTATATGGCCTTTGATTTTTCAAAAAAATCTGCTGAGTATAGAATTTTAAGTTGACACTTTAAAAAATTTCTATAATATTTTCATATATGTTCGTGGGTGCTTGAAGAGAATGTGTATTATGCTGTTCTTGAATGGTCTGTAAAATTTTTATTAGGTTAAGCTGGTTGATGATGTTGCATTTGTGAAAGAAAAATATAGACTCTTGGACCCCACACTCACTATGCCAAAGGGAAACTTAAGCTTGGGAACTGAGTCATGCAGAAAATTGCCTTCTGTTTGTTCCCAAACAGACAGCTGCAATTTACATGCTCATTTTATCTAATGTAAAATGTAGACTTATTGGATGTGAGACAAATTCATTACTGACTTTTTCCCTTACTCCCGCTTTTCACATGTAAAATATAGATTCACTGAACACTAATCAGAGCCTCACAAGAATGCAGCAACTGGGGGTGGTGGAGCCAAGATGGCCAAATAGGTACAGCTCCAGTCTACAACTCCCAGCATGAGCATCACAGAAGACAGGTGATTTCTGCATTTCCAACTGACGTACCGGGTTCATCTCACTGGGGAGTGCCGGACAGTGGGTGCAGGACAGTGGGTGCAGTGCACCATGCATGAGCCGAAGCAGGGCGAGGCATCACCTCACCTGGGAAGCACAAGGGGCCAGGGAATTCCCTTTCCTAGTCAAAGGAAGGGGTGACAGATGGCACCTGGAAAATCGGGTCACTCCCACACTAATACTGCGCTTTTCCAATGGGCTTATCAAACAGCACACCAGGAGATTATATCCCACACATGGCTCCGAGGGTCCTACATGCATGGAGCATCACTCATTGCTAGCACAGCAGTCTGACATCAAACTGCAAGGTGGCAGCGAGGCTGGGGGAGGGGCGCCCGCCATTGCTCAGGCTTGAGTAGGTAAACAAAGTGGCTGGGAAGCTCCAACTGGGTGGGGCCCACCACAGTTCAAGGAGGCCTGCCTGCCTCAGTAGGCTCCACCTCTGGGGGCAGGGCACAGACAAACAAAAGACAGCAATAACCTCTGCAGGCTTAAATGTCCCTGTCTGACAGCTTTGAAGAGAGTAGTGGTTCTCCTAGCACGCAGCTTGAGATCTGAGAATAAGCAGACAGCCTCCTCAAGTGGGTGCCTGACCCCCGAGTAGCCTAACTGGGAGGCACCCCCCAGTAGGGGCGGACTGACACCTCACACAGCTGGGTACTCCTCTGAGACAAAACTTCCAGAGGAATGATCAGGCAGCAGCATTTGCGGTTCACCAATATCTGCTGTTCTGCAGCCACCGCTGCTGTTACCCAGGCAAACAGGGTCTGGAGTGGACCTCCAGTAAACTCCAACAGACCTGCAGCTGAGGGTCCTGACTGTTAGAAGGAAAACTAACAAACAGAAAGGATATACACACCAAAAACCCAACTGTACATCACCATCATCAAAGACCAAAGGTAGATAAAACCACAAAGATGGGGAAAAAACAGAGCAGAAAAACCAGAAACTCTAAAAATCAGAGCACCTCTCCTCCTCCAAAGGAATGCAGCTCCTCACCGGCAAAGGAACAAAGCTGGATGGAGAATGACTTTGACAAGTTGAGAGAGGTAGGCTTCAGAAGATCAAACTACTCCGAGCTAAAGGAGGAAGTTCGAACCAATGGCGAAGAAGTTAAAAACTTTGAAAAAAAATTAGACGAATGGATAACTAGAATAACCAATGCAGAGAAGTCCTTAAAGGACCTGATGGAGCTGAAAACCACGGCACGAGAACTACGTGACGAAAGCACAAGCCTCAGTAACTGATGCGATCAACTGGAAGAAAGGGTATCAGCGATGGAAAATGAAATGAATGAAATGAAGCGTGAAGAGAAGTTTAGAGAAAAAAGAATAAAAAGAAATGAACAAAGCCTCCAAGAAATACGGGACTATGTGAAAAGACCAAATCTACATCTAATTGGTGTACCTGAAAGTGACAGGGAGAATGGAACCAAGTTGGAAAACACTCTGCAGGATATTATCTTGGAGAACTTCCCCAATCTAGCAAGGCAGGCCAACATTCAAATTCAGGAAATACAGAGAACACCACAAAGATACTCCTCGAGAAGAGCAACTCCAAGACACATAATTGTCAGATTCACCAAAGTTGAAATGAAGGAAAAAATGTTAAGGGCAGCCAGAGAGAAAGGTCAGGTTACCCACAAAGGGAAGCCAATCAGACACAGCTGATCTCTTGGCAAAAACTCTACAAGTCAGAAGAGAGTGGGAGCCAATATTCAACATTCTTAAATAAAAGAATTTTAGACCCAGAATTTCATATCCAGCCAAGCTAAGCTTCATAAGTGAAGGAGAAATAAAATACTTTACAGACAAGCAAATGCTGAGAGATTTTGTCACCACCAGGCCTGCCCTAAAAGAGCTCCTGAAGGAAGCACTAAACATGGAAAGGAACAACCGGTACCAGCCACTGCAAAAACATGCCAAATTGTAAAGACCATCAAGCTAGGAAGAAACTGCATCAACTAACGAGCAAAATAACCAGCTAACATCATAATGACAGGATCAAATTCACACATAACAATACTACCCTTAAATGGAAATGCGCTAAATGCTCCAATTAAAAGGCACAGACTGGCAAATTAGGTAAAGAGTCAAGACCCATCAGTGTGCTCTATTCAGGAAACGCATCTCACGTGCAGAAACACACATAGGCTCAAAATAAAGGGATGGAGGAAGATCTACCAAGCAAATGGAAAACAAAAAAAGGCAGGGGTTGCAATCCTAGTCTCTGATAAAACAGACTTTAAACCAACAAAGATCAAAAGAGACAAAGAAGGCCATTACATAATGGTAAAGGGATCAATTCAACAAGAAGAGCTAACTATCCTAAATATATATGCACCCAATACAGGAGCACCCAGATTCATAAAGCAAGTCCTTAGTGACCTACAAAGTGACTTAGACTCCCACACAATAATATTGGGAGACTTTAACACCCCACTCTGAACATTAGACAGATCAATGAGACAGAAAGTTAACAAGGATATCCAGGAATTGAACTCAGCTCTGCACCAAGCGGAACTAATAGACATCTACAGAACTCTCCACCCCAAATCAACAGAATATACATTCTTCTCAGCACCACACCACACGTATTCCAAAATTGACCACATAGTTGAAAGTAAAGCACTCTTCAGCAAATGTAAAAAAATAGAAATTATAACAAACTGTCTCTCAGACCACAGTGCAATCAAACTAGAACTCAGGATTAAGAAACTCACTCAAAACCGCTCAACTACATGGAAACTGAACAACCTGCTCATGAATGACTACTGGGTTCATAATGAAATGAAGGCAGAAATAAAGATGTTCTTTCAAACCAACGAGAACAAAGACACAACATACCAGAATCTCTGGGACACATTCAAAGCAGTGTGTAGAGGGAAATTTATAGCACTAAATGCCCACAAGAGAAAGCAGGAAAGATCTAAAATTGACACCCTAACATCACAATTAAAAGAACTAGAGAAGCAAGAGCAAACACATTCAAAAGCTAGCAGAAGGCAAGAAATAACTAAGATCAGAGCAGAACTGAAGGAAATAGAGACACAAAAAACCCTTCAAAAAATCAATGAATCCAGGAGCTGGTTTTTTGGAAAGATCAACAAAATTGATAGACCGCTAGCAAGACTAATAAAGAAGAAAAGAGAGAAGAATCAAATAGATGCAATAAAAAAATGACAAAGGGGATATCACCACTGATCTCACAGAAATACAAACTACCATCAGAGAATACTATAAACATCTCTACGCAAATAAACTAGAAAATCTAGAAAAAATAGATAAATTCCTCCACACATACACTCTCCCAAGACGAAACCAGGAAGAAATTGAATCTCTGAATAGACCAATAACAGGCTCTGAAATTGAGGCAATAATTAATAGCTTACCAGCCAAAAAAAGTCCAGGACCAGATGGATTCACAGCCGAATTCTACCAGAGGTACAAGGAGGAGCTGGTACTATTCCTTCTGAAACCATTCCAATCAATAGAATAAGAGGGGATCCTCCCTAACTCATTTTATGAGGCCAGCATCATCCTGACACCAAGGCCCGGCAGAGACGCAACAAAAAAAGAGAATTTTAGACCAATATCCTTAATGAACATTGACGCAAAAATCCTCAATAAAATACTGGCAAACAGAATCCAGCAACACGTCGAAAAGCTTATCCACCATGATCAAGTGGGCTTCATCCCTGGGATGCAAGGCTGGTTCAACATACGAAAATCAATAAACGTAATCCAGCATATAAACAGAACCAAAGACAAAAACCACATGATTATCTCAATAGGTGCAGAAAAGGCCTTTGACAAAATTCAACAACCCTTCATGCTAAAAACTCTCAATAAATTAGGTATTGGTGGGGCATATCTCAAAATAATAAGAGCTATCTATGACAAACCCACAGCCAATATCATACTGAATGGACAAAAACTGGAAGCATTCCCTTTGAAAACTGGCACAAGACAGGGATGCCCTCTCTCACCACTCCTATTCAACATAGTGTTGGAAGTTCTGGCCAGGGCAATTAGGCAGGAGAAGGAAATAAAGGGTATTCAATTAGGAAAAGAGGAAGTCAAATTGTCCCTGTTTGCAGATGACATGATTGTATATCTAGAAAACCCCATCGTCTCAGCCCAAAATCTCCTTAAGCTGATAAGCAACTTCAGCAAAGTCTCAGGATACAAAGTCAATGTACAAAAATCACAAGCATTCTTATACACCAATAACAGACAAACAGAGAGCCAAATCATGAGTGAACTCCCATTCACAATTGCTTCAAAGAGAATAAAATACCTAGGAATCCAACTTGCAAGGGATGTGAAGGACCTCTTCAAGGAGAACTACAAACCATTGGTTAATGAAGTAAAAGAGGATACAAACAAATGGAAGAACATTCCATGCTCATGGGTAGGAAGAATCAATATCATGAAAATGGCCATACTGCCCAAGGTAATTTACAGATTCAATGCCATTCCCATCAAGCTACCAATGACTTTCTTCACAGAATTGGAAAAAACTACTTTCAAGTTCATACGGAACCAAAAAAGAGCCCGCATTGCCAAGTCAATCCTAAGCCAAAAGAACAAAGCTGGAAGTATCACGCTACCTGACTTCAAACTATACTACAAGGCTACAGTAACCCAAACAGCATGGTACTGGTACCAAAACAGAGATATAGACCAATGGAACAGAACAGACCCTTCAGGAATAATGCCGCATATCTACAACTATCTGATCTTTGACAAACCTGACAAAAACAAGCAATGGGGAAAGGATTCCCTATTTAATAAATGGTGCTGGGAAAACTGGCTAGCCATATGTAGAAAGCTGAAACTGGATCCCTTCCTTACACCTTATACAAAAATTAATTCAAGATGGATTAAAGACTTACATGTTAGACCTAAAACCATAAAAACTCTAGGAGAAAACCTAGGCAATATCATTCAGGACACAGGCATGGGCAAAGACTTCATGTCTAAAACACCAAAAGCAATGGCAACAAAAGCCAAAATTGACAAATGGGATCTAATTAAACTAAAGATCTTCTGCAGGGCAAAAGAAACTACCATCAGAGTGAACAGGCAACCTACAAAATGGGAGAAAATTTTTTCAGCCTACTCATCTGACGAAGGGCTAATATCCAGAATATACAATGAACTCAAACAAATTTACAAGAAAAAAACAAACAACCCCATCAAAATGTGGGTGAAGGATATGAACAGACACTTCTCAAAAGAAGACGTTTATGCAGCCAAAAAATACATGAAAAAATGCTCATCATCACTGGCCATCAGAGAAATGCAAATCAAAACCACAATGAGATACCATCTTACACCAGTTAGAATGGTGATCATTAAAAAGTTAGGAAACAACAGGTGTTGGAAAGGATGTGGAGAAATAGGAACACTTTTACACTGTTGGTGTCACTGTAAACTAGTTCAACCATTGTGGAAGTCGGTGTGGCGATTCCTCAGGGATCTAGAACTAGAAATACCATTTGACCCAGCCATCCCATTACTGGTTACATACCCAAAGGATTACAAATCATGCTGCTATAAAGACACATGCGCACGTATGTTAATTGCAGCACTATTCACAATAGCAAAGACTTGGAACCAACCCAAATGTCTAACAATGATAGACTGGATTAAGGAAATGTGGCACATATACACCATGGAATACTATGCAGCCATAAAAAAGGATGAGTTCATGTCTTTTGTAGGGACATGGATGAGGCTGGAAACCATCATTCTCAGCAAACTATCGCAAGGACAAAAAACCAAACACCGCATGTTCTCACTCATAGGTGGGAATTGAACAATGAGAACTCATGGACACAGGAAGGGGAACATTACACATCAGGGACTGTTGTGGGGTGGGGGGAGGGGGAAGGGATAGCATTAGGAGATATACCTAATGCAAAATAACGAGTTAATGGGTGCAGCACACCAACATGGCACATGTATACATATGTAACAAACCTGCATGTTGTGCACATGTACCCTAAAACTTAAAGTATAATAATAATAAATAAATAAATAAAAATAAAAATAAAGAATGCAACCACTGGCCTCATTGCCTATCCTCCCTTCTTGTTTTTCTTTTCTTCTCTTACTGCTTGCTCTTTCCCCTTTAAATACTGAAGTTCCCAAAACCCTCTTTGGAGAAAGCACAGGTCACAGACTCTACAGTGACTTGTGTTTCTTTTACCTGGACATGTACTCGACTTTGGCAAAATAAACCTCTAGTCTATTGAGATATTCCTCAGCCACTTTTTGATTTATACATTCTTCAATTTTGCTGATTTTATGTCTAGTTGTTTTTTTTTTAATTTTTGAGAGAAGAATGTTGAAGCCTCTAACTGTATTTGTAGATTTATCTATTTATTCTTCTTTTTTTTTCTGTTTGTATTTCAGTTATCTTGTAACTCTGTTACTTGGGTGCTTACATACCTAGGACTGCCAAGTCTTTGTTTGTGGGCTGATCTTTTTGTCATTATATAATGTCCCTCTCTGCCTCTGATAATTTTCTTTGCTCTGAAGTCTACTTTATCTGACATTAATATAGCCATTCCTGCTTTGTTTTTAAAATTAATACTTGCATGATGAATCTTTTTCCATCCATTTTCTTTGAGCCTACCCATATCACTATATTTGAAGTGGCTCTTGTAGATAGCATTTAGTTGGGTCATGTTCTCTATATCTACTATACCTATATATCTTTTAATTGGTGCATTTCAACCATTTACATTTCATGAAATTATTGAAATATTAAGGCTTAAACCTGACACTTTATTGTTTTCTGTTTATTGATTCTATTTATCATTTCTCATTTTTGTTCTATTTTTCTGTCAGTTATATGAACATTTTTATTGGGATTCCATTCTATCTATAATATTTTTGAGTGTATCTCTGTGTATAGATTTTTACTGATTTCCATAGGTATTATATTAAATATTTATAATTTATCAAAGCCCACTAATGTTGATGTTTTACTGATTTGAGTGAAGTAGAGCAAACTTTATGTCTCCTCTCTCACTTATAATTATTATAAATATTTCTTCTACATATAGTATCAAAAATCATGTCAGGCATTAGGTAGTGTTAAATAATTTTTGCTTCCGTTGTCAACTGTAGTTTAGAAAACTCAAGAGGAAAAGAAAAGTTTCTTTTATTTTTTTATATATTTGTTCTTTCCATAGTCTCTCTTTCTTCCTGATGTTTCAAGGCAATTTTTTGTCATTTCATTTCTGTTTAGAGAACCTCCATCAACCATTCCTATAGTTTGGGTCTACTAGCAACAAAGTATTTTAGTTTCTCTTTGTCTCAGAATGTCTTGCATTATGTTTAATTTTTGAATATTTTTGCTGAAAATAGATTTTTAGGTTGACACTTCTTTTGCTTTCAACACTCTAAAAATGTTATGCTACAATTTTCTGGACTCCATGGCTTTTGATGAGAAATCTGTCGTCATTCAAATTGTTTTCTTTTATATATAATTTATCATGTCTGTCTGTTTTTTTCTTTAACATTAATTTTCAGAAATTTCACTATGATATTTCTTTGGGCTTCTCTTGTTTGGGATTTGTTCTTTTTCTTCAATCTGTATGTGGGTTTTTTTTTTTGCCTAATTTGGGAAATTTTAAGCCATCATTTCTCCAAATACATTATCAGTCCCACCCTCTTTCTCTTCTCATTCTAGAAATGTAATGATGAGAATGTTAGATCTTTTGTTATAGTCACACATGTCCAGAAATCTCAGTTCAATTTTATTTTAATCTATTTGCTTTCTGTTGTTCAGAATTGGTAATTTCCATTGTTCTATCTTCCACTTCATTGATTCTTTCCCCTTCTCTCTCCATTTTGCTATTGAACTCATCCATTGAGATTTTTAAGGAATAATATTTATTTGGTTCATCTTCATATCTTCTGTTTCTTTGCTGAGGGTTTCCAGTTTTATTTGTCACCACTCTAGTGGTGGTGGTGATGGATGTCTCAATACAGCCTAGAAGGGTGGAAGTCCAGACTCTCCACTCACAGCATTTCCTGGGAATGGGGGACAGATTTGGTAAGGTGGTGCCACTTTTTTTGCTGCCGAATTTATTTCCAGTAGAGCAGTTATTGTCTAAAAGTTTATTACACAGGATTTCAGCAATATTTAGAGAAAATTACTCCCCACTTCATAGTCAGAACTTTGCTAAGTGCTGTACTCAATGTGCTATAAATTAATGAGGTTTTCCAGTCTTACTCATGGGAACAAACACTATTCCCATACTTGTGAGATTCCGTGTATTATTCCCTTGAATCCTTTCAGTTGGTTCTTCCCTCAGCCTCATGTTTTTTCCTCATGCATGAATGTTGATAAAAATCATGTTGAATCATTGAGAAGGACTCTATACAGAGATCATTGGCGTTTCTCTCTGTACAGCTACCTCCTCTTCCAACTCTGTCCCGTCAACACCAGCTGCCCTTTTCTCTCCTAACTCTTAGCTCCATCTGCTCAACTTAAGTTATTTGTCAAACTCCACCTGTCTTCCTTCTGCCTGCATCACACTTTGCCAATTATCTCAAGTTAGTGAACTTGGCCATTGTTCGGACTGACCTCATTTGTTTCCTATTTCAGGGATCAGTAGCATTTAGTACCTTTTGTCCAATATATTGAAAACTGTTGTTTCACACATTTTTATCTCTTTTTAAAATTGTTTCAGGCAGGATGTAATACTATAGACCCTCTCACTTCATTTTGGCAGGAGGTAGAAGTCTAATAGAAAGGTTATGAATATATAAATGACTAGTTTTGAAGACAACTCCAATAGCCCAGTCTTCAGTCAGCAAATGCAATGCAACCATCAAGGAAGTGACCCAGGAAAGCTCCAAGGCAAAAACCTGTGGAACTGCATGAAATCCTTTGTGCTCAGCAAAAGCCAAGGGAAGAGTGAGAACATGTTAACTGCAGGGGTTATGTAAAGTAGCATGTAATAATAATTTTTAGTCATCAGCATTTGTCCTTTGATATTGGGCTACTATTTTTATCAAATTTCTATATAAAGGTACACATAAATCTAAATAAGATATTTAGCAATGAAAGAGACCTTACAAAATATCTAGCAAATCCCCTTTCCTTTCCACACAAGCCTTTACTGTAGAGTAAAAGGAGTCCTAAAATCATCAATTAATCTGTTCGAGGTTAAACAGCTATTTAGGGACAAACAGGATTTAGAACTTGCTCTCCTGCCTTCCGGTTCCTTGTACTTTCTATTATACCACATTAATAAGAATTCTAAATCCATTTTATTTTGTCTTAAATATGTCTTGTCTAGAATTGTAATATTAATGGGAATTTCCATTTTTTCAGTGCTTACTATGTGCTCGGTGCTTTACATGTGGTGTTTCATCCATAATACCAAACTTTGAAGAAACAAAACTTACCGAAGCTGATGCACTCATGAATGATAATGTTGGGATTTAAACCTAGGCCTGTCTACCTTTCAAAATCTGCATTCTTTTCAAAATACACTATTATTACCCTTGTCTTATTTCAACTTGTTTAATTATTTTTTATTTTATTTACCTTAGTTGATTATATAAATCTTGAGGGCATATACATTTTATTTTTTCTTCTTACTGCATGAACATAGTACAATCTATGTTCCTAAATAGCTCAATAATAATAAATTAGACAGTTGTTTAGGAAATTATTTAATTTCCATTTTTGAAGTGGCAATATTATATTACAAATCAATTAATTTGCTCGGGGCACACAGTATATTAATGATAGGACTTACCACTAAAGTTCCCAGATACACAATCTTTATACTTTTTGAACTGGATTTTAGGTCTTTGCTTTTTATTCATTTAAGTAGAATTAGGAATGTGGCAGTTCTCTCTGACAAAGAGTCAGATGAGAATGAGCTGAGAGGATAATAAACAAGGACAATAATAGTCATTAAAGAAAATGACTCTCCTGGGAGCTACATGAAGATATATAATATATCTGGAAATCAATCAACAACCATAAGCTACTAAATGGAACAACTCTAACTTTTGCTGAAAAGAAACTGTTTTGTGGTTTAATTTATTGTTCCTGTTACTACTCCTAATGAAATTGTTTTAAAGGACAATACCAGAGTTAGTTTGGAAGAGTTATTTCATTAAGGATGAATTCTTTTAAAATAGGACAGTGAGTGGAAATACTTGAAATAAATCCTTATTCAAATAAAGGATTTTAACTTGCCTCAATATTATAGAGATATTTGTTCCAAATGTGTTTTCATGAAGTCGATCAGACTCCACTTTAATCCATCATACTCTCATGGATTCTTTAAACCAGTCCAGTTTCCTGTTAAGTGGCTAAAAACTGAAAATATAAATGACTAGTTTTGAAGACAACTCCAACAGCCCAGTCTTCAGACAGCAAATACAATGCAACCATTAAGTAAGTAACCCAGGAATGCTCCAAGGCAAAAACTTGTGGAACTTCATGAAATCCTTGTAGATGTGCCTCTTGAAATGAGAAGCTGACTTGTATTATTTGCCAATTTTTGTGGTGTAAATAATCCCATCATGGCCAATTTCAAGCTACTGGCTCACAAAAGCCCTAGAAATTCCTAACATCAACTGGTTCACAAAATTCCTAAATATACGCTGATGGTCTCTCATGGGTCAATGTGAGGTAGCTATTACATACCACTGTCTTCAACTCAAAGGCAAGATAAACTCTTTTCTGACCCATAGCAGGTTCTCTTTAAGAAAATTTCACTGGTCATTTTTGCAGGAATCAGGGACGCAATGTGGCATAAGGCAAGCTCCCTGCCCTCTAAAGGCTTAAAATCTAACTGGGAAGCAGGATTGTCACAAAATATAAATAATGACATGAAACAACAACTACTCTTCCAATAATTGGTATTTAGAAATAAATGCTAATGGATTCTGTAATGTCAACAATTTATAAATAAAATGTGCTTGTATTCTTTAGGATCTTGGTATAGCATCACCTTTGTTTGATTTTTCAAGACTGAATATTTCAAAACAAAAACAAAAGAAAGAAAATCTAAATATAGAATGGAAAAAGTAAATGATCATGTGTTTCTATGCTGGCACAATCTCAATTTTCTGGACAAATGATACATATCTTTAGGATCTTAAGTTCCATATTTGTTCATTTATAAGTTAATTTTTTGAGCTTGTGTATCACAGACAGTTACTGAATGCCGAGCATACAAAGAGAAACCAAGATACGGTTCAGTATTAGTCATCTATTGCTGTTGTAACATATTGCCACAAACTTACTGGCTCAAGACAACAAAAATGTGTTACTTTATAGTTTGAGAAATCAGAAGTCTGAAATGGGTCTCATTGGTCTCATGGGCTAAAATCAAGGCATCAGTAGGACTGCATGCCTTCTGGAAGGTCTAGAGGAGAAGCCCTTTCTTTGCCTTCTCTGGCTTCTAGAGTTCACCTTCACCCTCAGTCTTTGGCTACTGGCTCCCTTCCTCCATCTTCAAAGCCAGCAAACTCTGGCCGAGTCTTTCTCACCTAACATTACTCTGACACTGACTCTTTTGCACTCTTCATCTACTTTCAGGAACCCTTGTGATTACACAGAGCACATTTGCATAATCCAGGATAACCTCCCAATTTTAAGGCCAGATTATTAGTAACCTTAATTCCCTCTGCAATCTTAATTCCCTTTTGCCCTGTAAACAGTTATATTTGCAAGTTCTGGAGATTCGAATGTGAACATCTTTGTGGAGGGCGCACAAAATGCTTATAATACCACAGGTCATTATATTGAAGGAAGTCAAAATATGAGTTTTTGAAGCAGACACATGAGCATCCATTTAATCCCTAAATGTTGCTGATCCCTTACGATCTCATCCACTCACCTGACTTATGCACTCATGCCCTCTCATGGTTTCTGTTACTATCTCTCTGTAGACAACTCCTAATTCTATATAAATTTATCCCCCTAAACATGGACTATACATCCACTTGCCTCTTACCTATACCACACTTATTGTGAACATGACTGAAAGCATTTCCCTCCCAACCCCTTTCCTTCTGTATTCTATGGTTTAGTCTACACCACCACCAGGCACCTTGTGGAAACCTGTGAGTCAGCCTCAATTCTTCCTTTCTCATTGACTCGTCCTAAATAAATCAGCGGTGAACTCTTTTACCTCTATTATTTCTCAAATTACTTTATTTTCCACAGCCACCACAATGCAATATGCAGAAGGCACCACGAAACTCCTTGGAGAATTTCCCCCCAGCACTGTGCCATTTTATGCTCCTCACCTTTGCTCAAGCATCTCCCTGTCGGGAATGGCCTTCCCCTCTCTGCCTGGCTGACTCTGACTCATACCCTGGGCTGGGGTAGGTTTCTCCCTCAAGGCCCTCACAGAATTCACTGTGTCTATACATTGCACATGCCTCCTGGTCCCTAATGACTCCATTGTATATTCCCCTCTTCTAGAACATGAGAAGCTCCTCAAGAACAGGGACTGTCTTAGCCATCACTTTCCCTTTGTCTAGCACAAGCCAAGATGAAAGGCTCTCAATAAACATCTCTTCTAAAAATACTGAATAGATCATAACCAATGTGTAGCGGCCTTAGAATAACTTACAGTTTTGTCTACTTAGATACTATGCTATAAGGATTTAGCATTTCAAAACACAAAAAAGCATTTTGAGCTCACTGGCCATAGTTTAAAAACTGTAAAGTGCTATCAGTAATGAATGCTAATAAGTTCATCCTGAAGGAAGCAGATTTGTTAATAACAATCTAACTATGCATATCATAATTACATCACTTCACAATTTATTTTAAACTCATCTGTCTAGTGACTGGCTTCTATTCAGTGTGTAGAAAGCAAATCCTAAAGCCTAGTGTATATGATAGAGCTGAGATCAGAAGTGGCTCTGAGATAGTGAGCACCAGACTTCTAGCATACTCCCCCACCCCCTGCCACTTTGATCTCAGAGGGTGGGCTGCAATGGAGAAGGCATGCAGGAGACAGAGTGGCTGGGAGGGTGTTATCCATACTCAGCAGAATAAGCTAGACCAGCTGCAGTGTAGAGTTAGGAGTATTAGAGTTAAGGAAGCTGAATAAGGGGAACTAATTCTGAAACTAATTTGTCAAGACCTGGAGGAAAGCATCTTGACTATAAATGTGATTAGGATCTAGAGTGTGTTACCTCAGGAATTTGTCAAATTTTCAGGCCTAGAACTCATGAATATGAACACTAGGCCAGATATATTGGACACTTATATCTGTCTTGCCCAATTTATTTGCCAGCCTGTAGGCAGAGGATTAGGTACAAGAACTTGGTAATGGAATGTTTTGTCAAGACAGAATGCTTCTTGAATTAATTGAGACAGTCAATAATTTTAAACACTTAAAAGTTCTAACAATGTTTTTTCAATGCAGGAATAAGGCATTGAGTTCAGTCTACTAACATTTTGTAACCTTGAATAGGATGATAACTGAAAACCGAGACACAGTAAATTACATTAGGATGGGGAATAATCACCAAGTACACTGTCCTTATTTTCCTCTGCTGGAAATTAAATGATTGCCCTGCCCACAAGTCATATTTTTGTCATTTTAGAACAGATTGTTCATGAAGGCTCAGTATGACAGCTGCATCTGAGAGTCTTTCGCACCCCCAGGAAATGCAATGAAGGATCAGTCCATTTTGCACATTCTCAATCTTGTATTCTACTGCTTTGAGGGACCCTGAGGAAATTCCATTTCCCTTCCCCATTTCTGGATAACACATTAGTAGGTACTTTAATTTCCTCAAGAAATATTCTACCTCTATTGAATTCAACTTTATCTTAGAATGTTAAACATTTTGTATCTACATAGAAGATCACATGATGGGCAATCAGCTTTCTAATATTATAAATCAGTGTCAGATTATTAATAAATAGATAAAATTAAGATGTATTAATAAGAAGACTAAAAAATTACCAAATCAAATACTATTTTCTTTCTTACTGGATTTTGCATTTATTGAGGCAGTCAAGTGGTGTAACTAATGAATTGTTTCTTCTATGTTAACCAAATTAACAAATGTGAAATACTTAGAATGGTGTCCAGCACATAGTAAGCATTATGTAACAATTTCACTACTCATATTATTATTGTTTTTATTATCTTCTTAAAGTAAACATGGGACATTTTCAGTGAAAATCTACTAGTCCTTTAATGAATTCAATAAGAATTTCTTTAGCGTTCTAGGCAAGATGTGGATGGGCAGACAGACTGGCTACTTGCAAGCTTATCACACACACAATATTTCCTACAATTCATTGAACATTCTCTATTTCCAAACATTTGGCTAAGTGTTTTGCTAAGATATTTCACTCATTTAATTCTCATAACCCAAATAAGAAGATTGGCTTTTATTAGCCTTGTTTTACAGAAAAAGAATGTAAGGTATAGAGAAGTAATGTAATATGCACAGTAGTCAGATGAATTTATAAAGCCAAGACCTTCATACTCAAGACCCATGTTTTCAACCAGGACCTCTTTCATATCTCCATGGTTTATATGAACTCATCCTCAAGATGATTTAAAAACATGGTTGTAAGTGGTTAGTCTACTTCTTACAATTCAATACAGCAAATATTGATTGACCATTTACCTTGGCATATCAATAAAATCAATTCTATGTATCATTTCTATCTAGTCTACCCACATATTGGGATCAATATCATCAGGGACATGAAGGATATGTAAGACTGTGCCACCTAGGGAAACTGAGTAAAGTTTTCTTTGAGGCTTGAGTCTCCATACTAGCTGTTAATCTCCCTTTTACAGGCTATCTGTAATTTTTCTCATTCTTGTACCCAAAGCACTCATAATATATGCATGTTTTCAAATTAGTCAGTTACACTATTATATTAATGACTGCTTCACTGACATCTCTTGGTTTATGATATTTAAATAATTATAAGTCATTGGTAAACTTATATTGAACATGTATGAGAAATCCATTTCCAAGGACCAGCATGTTTGTTAAAAATTTCTGAAAGTGAAAAAAAAATTTTCTGAAAGTGGTCAGAGCTCAGCTAGAAAACAATCTAAGAATTACTTAAGAAATAGTGCTGTTCTCAGATGAAGATTATGGCTTTGACTCAGAATGCAGACTCCTGGGAAACGGAGTTAGCCTGTAAAGTTAAGGCACTTGTTGAACAAATGAGCAACAGCTTATTGGTAACCTGGGGCTGAGCATTTGTGTAGTCCCTGTTTCAACCAATGGAGGACTGACTAAGCAACAGATGTGCTTAGAGCTGAGCTATAAAAATGTGTTGTAATTTAGATTGTTCATCTTAATTCTATCTATTATATATAGTATTGTGTTTGGTTCTCGGAAGTACATTTTATGAAGGATATTGGCAAACAAAGATGTGCCCAAAGGCAGATGGCAGGGATCCACGACTCATGTCACACAGAACGAGACTTATTTCCTTGTGTTTGCTTAGCTTGAGGAAGCAAAGAACAGGGGAGCACATCAGCAATATCCAAATATTTGAAGAGTACCTCATTTCATTTTGAGTAACTCCAAGAAGCAAACCAAGACATAGGGAATATTGAGGAAACATTTTTTGATTCAATGTAACAGATGTTGTCACCAGCAATCCAGCTCTCCAATGAAGATGGTAGTGAGTTCCCCGTCATTGGAATAGATAAAGTCATAGGAACACCAAATTCAAAGAATTTTTCTTTCGCTAGTGAGGAAACAGAACCTCAAAATTACATGGCATGCTTAAGAACACAGATGTTGGTGGCAGAGGCAGGACTGTGTCCACAGGTGTTTCTATTCGAAAGCCCTCCCTCTATAGCCAAGTAACAGCAGGGCAATGTTGGATGCCTCTCAGGTCAATATCACAGAAAAGACTGAATTGTTAGAAGGTTGAAATAAATCACCTCCAAGAAGTCTGCCACTTCTCAGGGTCTGTGCTTTTAATTTGAGGGTTATTTGGTTTACATATTTGTTCTTTTAAAGAACAAATTTTGTTATTGTGAGTATCATTTCTGATCTGAGAATGACTCAGTTATTCATGTCACAAAACTAGCAATGTGCTCTAAGAAGCATCATCAATTTCCCTGGGGCAGGTGAACATGGGTAGAGTACAGAGATGTTTCTAGAAGCCTCTATAGAATTCAAACAGAAATGATCCCTTTTCAGGCTACCAAGAGCTCAAAGTGCTATCACTCTCAAGATATTTACTCAGGGATGACATTCTAATGATATAATTTCAGAATAAAGTAAGGAGAGGAAAACAGGGAAAAATGATATTTGTCTAGATTATTTCTGGATCTTAAAATCATATTGTATACCCTTTTTAGAAGATGTAATGATCAGAAAAGCCTTCATCTTCTTCTTCTCACATACTTTCATTACTTTGTAAATACACGTTCTTACCCTCAACTCACAAGTTCCAGAATAAAGTTTTTCTTACCTGTGAATATATGAAAGATGAGATAATTACAAGCTTAAAGTTTTAGAAATGTGATTCTAATTTGGCTACAAGTAGGTGGTATTCTATTAATACAGTGTTGATGATAATAATAAAAGTACTAATAACATTTATTGAGTAAAAATTGTATGCTAGGCCATGTGATTAACACTTCACATTCATTATGTAATAACAGGTGAGTTAGATACTATTATAATTGCTAATTATATTGTTGCTAAAAATGAAGAATTAGTTTTCAAACAGATTAAGGACTTGCAAATCGCCAAACTGGCATTCAAACCCAGATTTACCTGAGTGAGAAAGAATTTAATGGAGAGAAAATAAGAAAGGGCACCTGACAGAGAGAAAGAAGGGCTATGGAAAAAGAATTGTTTTTGAAAAAATAATTGAATATGACTAAACCTTTTCTTCAGATTTATGATAATATGCTTATCATTCCATTTGCTCAGAGAAAAAAAATCCTCTGATAATCTCAAAAGAATGCTCAAAACTCTTTAGTCACCCCTTACTACTCTGACATGCCAACCATCATAATTAATTTGAGTTTCTTCATTTCTAAATTCTTTCTTTACTAATTCAAAAAGTATTTATTGAGCAGCTGGTATATGCCAGGCTCTGTACTAGCCATACAAATTATAATGGGAGCAAAACAGATGCAGTCTTCGCTCTTCAAGGTCTATCAGCCTAGCAGGAGAAATAGACATTAATCAAACAATTACACAAATAAACATGCAGGTATAAAAGGAAATGCATGTTATAGAAAGGATAGGAGAACATGGTGTCAGGAGAATATATAACAGGTGTGTTGCTTCAGGTTCTCCAAGAGGCAGAGACCAAAATCCTCGTTAGGAAAAAGGAGAGAGAGACAGCAGAAGCTAGGAGAGTCATCAGATCAAAGTGCAGGTGTAAGTGTCTCAGGGAGTACCTGAGCCAGAGTCACTGGTCAGAGGAGTCCCCATCTCCCTGCCGTGTTCTGTTGTAGGCTGGTAGCAGCCTCTGGGAAGGGAGGCATCAGACATACGCACCAACGGAGCTGGTTATTCTCCCTTCAGTCAGAGATCTGAGCAGGACATCTTCATGGCCATGACACTGGGAAAGTGACATGGGACTATCAGAAGCATTTCCCTAAGGAAACCATAGGTACTTGAGTTTGAAGAGCTGGCCCTCAGGAGGTGAATGGGATGAAGAGGCATGTCAGGACTCAATTTTATATGGTTGGAACTCTTTAAAATGATTTGAGTTTTTTTGAGTTTGAATCCCCTGCAGAGGCTCCCCACGAATCCCCATAACAAGATAGTACAAGATGGAGGAGCCTGAAATTAGGTCAACTGGACTATCCTGAGAGATTCCTGGCCCCTAAGGGAAGGCCAGACTGCTTATTAGACACATGTTCTCCAATATTTAGTCCTTGTCCTATTGTTGTCTATAAATTAATTTATTACCATGTCATCTGTAAAGTTAGGATCTTGCCATTTATGAACTTACACACACTAATGATTGGTTGAATAAAGTATAAATTAGGGGAAAATGCTGCATTAATTCAGTTGGCATTAACATTTTTCCTTACCTGTTGTAGTTTCACTGAAATGACCATAGGTTAATCACAAATAGAACTTTGTCCCCTGTTGGATGTAACAGCTATTTTTGAAACCACAAATAATTAATAAGAATCAAATCATCCACCTGGCTTTTCAGGCCCCTTGGTGTGTCGTCCAGTTCTGCAATGTATTCCTTCTGTATGCTCGAGGGCAGGCTCATTTGACTCAATGCCATGGCCAACAGAGTTTGTAACTGATGTTTGACTAGCTTTAAAATGAACATTTTTAGAATGATATTTTATATTTTCAAAATCAGAATGTAAGAAGCCCACATTTCATAATCACAAAACTCAATAGAACCTGACATAGTTGATTAAACAGAAGAGAGTTAGAAGAGTTGGTTGATTAATTACCACATTTCTTAGGTATATGCAATATGAGTTCTTGATTAGCCCGGTAGGTTTCATGGTGGAAGTAAGTTTATCTTAGATGACACATCTAACTGGGGTGTGTTGTATTATGGATGGATGATCACTACCTCTACATTCTTAATTTGGGGGACAATGAGCCCCAGTTCTGAAGCAGTATCTTCAGACCTTACATCTCCAAGACAGTATTCATTGTATTTAAATGTAACAATTGAGTATTTCAATTTTTTGGTTGAACTTCAGGTGTCAGGAATTGGTCTCAGCATGGACCCAGGTGAGGCAGAGGCTCTACTGAAGCACATGTTCATTTGAAGACCTTTGGGTCATGCTTTACTCAAGCCCCTCCCAGACCACAGCGCAGCTCCCTACTTGTCTCCCTGCCTCCTGCTTGATTGGCTTCAGTCCTGCTACAAAAGCGACCATTCTAAGTCTCAAAAATCTAATATGCTATTTCCCTGCTTAAAATTTTTTAACAGCTCAGCAGTGCTTTCTGGCTAAAGTCCTAAATCCTTAGCATGGTAGCAGCCCTTTGAGATCAGGTCCTTCTTTATCCCTTCAACTTTACTTATTGCCACCCACAAGCCGTGTCTCTATACTATGCACATACCCAGCCTACCATAAGCTAGACATGCTGTGCCACCTCTTATCTCTGGCTTTGCACTTGCTGTCTCTTCTGCCTACAATTCTATACCCATTCTTTCTTCACCTTACCCAGGCTAACTCCTAATCACTCTAGGTTGCAGCTCCACTACCCTCTCCTAGAAGATGCTGCCTTTGCTTTGCCTTCTTTGCCCAGCCTTGGCTATGTGCCTAACCATGTGTCTGTACATCTTGACTTCCTTGTTTTTTTAAAAAAACAGATTTTCTGAGATAACATTCACAAATCCCAAAAATCCATGCACTTAAATGTAACATTCAATGGATTCTATTATGTTCCCAGAGTTGGACAGCCATCACCACAATCTAATTTCAAAACATTTTCATTAGCCCCATAAAAGACCTCATACCCACTAATAATTAGTCCTCCTCTCTACACTCACCCAGCCATAGGCAATCACTAATTTACTTTCTGTCTACCTATTTGCCTGTTCTGAATATTTTACATAATGCAATCATATGGTCTTTGGTGACTGGCTTCTCACACTTAGCATAATGTTTCAGGCTTTATCCATGTTGTAGTACATATCAGTACTTCATTCTTTTTGTGGACAAATAATATTCCACTGTACAAATATACCATTATGTTATTTATTCATTTGTCAGTTAATAGAAATTCTGGTTGTTTCCACTTTTTAGCTCTTATGGATAATGCTGTAATGAACATTCATGTACAACTTTTTTGATGACCTATGCTGTGATTTTTCTTGAGTACATACCTAGGAATGAAATTGTGGAATCATACGGAAACTTTATATTTAATATTTTGGGAAACAGCCAAATTTTTCTCACAGTGGCTGCACAATTTTACATTCCCACCAGCAACGTATGAGGATACCTTCTCAACCTCAGCACTTGTTCTTTTCTGTTTTTGTTTGTTTTGTTCTGTTTTTTATTATAGCCATCCAAGTGGGCATGAACTGCTATCTCGATGTGGTTTAATTTACATTTCCCTAAAGACTAATGATATCGAGCATCTTTTCATATGCTTATTGACCATTTATGTGCCTTCATTGGAAAAATATCTATTCATATCCTTTGCCAATTTTAAAAACTGGGTTACTTGACTTTTAGTTACTGAGCCATAAATGCTTATTATATTTTCTGGATACATGGCTTTTATCAATGTATATAATTCCTAAATATTTTCTCCCATTTTATGGGTTGTATTTTTACTTTCTTGGTAGTATTGTTTGTAGCACAAAAGTTTTTAATTTTGATGAAATCTGATTCATCTATTTTTTTCTTTACTTGCTTGCACTTCTAGTGCCATATCTAAGAAACTTTTATTTAACTCAAGGTCACAACAATTTACTCCTACTATTTTTCTAAGAGTGTTATAATTTTTGCTCTTACATTTAGATCCTTGTTTCATTTTGAGTTAATTTTTATGTGTGGTGCAAGAATGGGTTTCAACTTCGTGTGTGTATGTGTGTGTGTGTGTGTGTGTGTGTGTGTTTAGTTTTCCCAATACAATTTGTTGAAAGACTATTCTTTCCCATGTTGAATTGCTCTGGAATCACTGTCAAAAGTCAATTAACTATAAATGCAGGGCATTATTTATAGATACATAATTCTGTTTCATTGATCTGTATATCTTTACTTATATCAGTATCATTAATCATTAATTAATGAAAGTTTGTAGTGTATTTTGATTTTAGGAAGTATGAGTCTTTACTTTTTCTTTTCCAGAAATTTTTTGGTTATTCTTGGACCTTTGTATTTTCCTAATACCAACTGGGATTTTAGTAGGTATTATGTTGAACCTATAGACTAAAATTAACTTACTCTTCTGATCCGTAAACATGGAATGTCTTTCCAATTAACTCGGTTTTCTTTAATTTCTTTCAACAATGTTTTCTGGTTTTCAGAGTTCAACTTTTACACTTTTGTTAATTTATTCCTAAAAGTTATATTATTTTAGATGCTATTATAAATGGAATTTTCTTTTTAATTTTATTTTTAAATTGTCTATTGCTAGGGTATAAAAATACCACTGAATTTTCTATATTAATCTTGCATCCTGAACTCTTGCCTTTTTAGAAGCAAAGTTCAACATCCAAACCAAAATAAATGTCCAGTTTATTATTTCTAGAGGCTTTTTGGTGAATTCCTTAGGATAGTCCATATGCAAACTTTACCCTTCAAATTAAGATAGTTTTTTTCTTTCTTTCCAATGTTGATGTCTTTTATTTCTTATTCTTCCCTAATTGTTCTTGTTAGAACTTTCAAAACAATATTGAACAGCAATGGCCAGAGCCAATATCTTTGTCTTTTTACTGGTCTTGGGGGAAAGCCTCTAGTCTTTCAACACTGCATAGGATGTTAGCTGTAGATTTTCTGCAGATGTGCTTTCTCAGGTGGAAGAAGTTTCCTTCTGTTCTTATTTTGTTGAGTGTTTTTTTATCATGATGAGGAGTTGGATTTTGCCCAACACCTTCTACATCTATTAATCTGATCATGGGGTTTTTGTTCTGTATTCTATTAATATGGTGTATTATATTAATTTATTTTTGTATGTTCAACTAACCTTGAATTCCGGGGATAAATATCACATGACCACGGTGCATAATTCTTTTAATATATTCCTGAATTCAGTTTTCTAGTAGTTTGTTTAAAATTTTTGCTTGTGTATGTATAAGAAATGTTAGTCTGTAGTTTACTTTCCTCTTGCTGTCTTTGTCTGGTTTGTGTATCAGAATAATACTGGCCACAGAGCATGAGATTTTTGAACAGCTTGTGAATAATTTGTTTTTCTTTACATGTTTGGTATAATTCATTAGTGAAGTGATCTGGGCCTGGGCTTTTTTTGTGAGAGGTATTTTTAGTTACTAATTCAATCTCTTTGTTACAGATCTGTTAGAATTGTTTATTTTTTTGTTGAGTCATTTTCAGTTGTTTGTGTTTGTCCAGGAATTGGCTCATGTCACCTAAGTTATCAAATTTTTGACATAGAGTCGTTCATAGTATAATCTTATAATCCTTTTCATTTCTGTAAAATCTGTGGTGATATTGTCTTCTTCATTACTGAGGTTAGTAATTTGAATCTTCTATCCTCTTGGAGGGAAGAGAAGGGCACAAGAGAGTCAGTCTAGTAAAACTCAATTTTGTTGATTTTTTTCGAAGAACCAACTTTTGATTATTCATTTATTGATTTTTATTATTTTTTCATTCTCTATATTTTTAAATTAGTACTTGAATCTTTCTTATTTTCTTCCTACTGTTTACCTTGGGTTTACTTTGCTTTTCTGTTTTTCTGTTTCTTAAGGTGAAAGTTAAATAATTGAATTAAGATCTTTCTTCTTTACAGATATAGGCATTTATAGCTCTAAGTTTCCCTCTAAGAAATACATTAGCTACATGGTTTTGATATGTTGTGTTTACATTTTCTTTTTCTTTTCTTTCTTTTTTTTTTTTTTGAGATGGAGTCTTGCTCTGTTGCCCAGGCTGGAGTGCAGTGGCATGATCTCAGCTCACTGCAACCTCCGCCTCCCAGGTTCAAGTGATTCTCCTGCCCCATCCTTCTGAGTAGCTGGGATTATAGGTGTGCACCACCACTCCTGGCTAATTTTTGTATTTTTAGTAGAGACGGGGTTTCACCATGTTGGGCAGGCTGATCTTGAACTCCTGAGCTCGTGATCCACCCAACTCGGCCTCCCAAATTGCTTGGATTACAGGCGTGAGCCACCGTACCTGGCCCTACATTTTCAGTCATCTCAAAATATTTTCTAATTTCCCTTGTTTGCTTTTCTTTTACTCATTGGCTATTTGGGAGTGTGTTGTTTAATTTCCATATATTTGTGAATTTACCAAATTTCTTTTTGTTACTTATTTCTAATTTTAATCTCCACACCACTGCTCTAGAGCTGAGGATGAGGAACAAGACCCAGTCCTACCACAATGAGGCCCCTTATCTATAAGTGGGGTACCAGGTGGAATGTTAGCCCTTGGCCTTTTTGGCTAACCTCTCCCAGCATGAAGTCTCTGCCCTACAAGTGAGCTTAAGATAGGCCAGTAAGGCTCGGTATTCTCAACCTTCTGCACTTAGTGTAGAGCTTTTATCCCATGAACTGGGAGGGGGTGAAAGGAGACTCAGACCTCTAGGCTGTGACTGCCTGGCAAAGAGTTTTTATATTATGTAGCTGGAGGGACAGATCAAGGATGTTGGTGGCCTGCTCTTCTCAGGAGGGAACTGTAGCCGTAGAGTGCAAACTGTCTCTTGACCATGCCTGCCTGTAGTGGAGCTTCTATCACACTGAGCCGGAACAAGAAAGCAGGGGAATAGGTCATGGCTCAAATGTTGCAGACTCCAGCTCTTCTTACTGCAATTTAGTAGATTTTCCTGAATAAACGTTTCTACATCGGTTGCATGACTCATTTCTGGACAACTTAAATAGTTGTTTTATAATTGCATTCAGTTATTGTTGGGAAGTGTGTTCATGGAGCTCCTTCTACCACCATTCTGGAAGTCAGGATCCTGGGCTCCCTTTGCAATGTATTTGCCTCTGTGTCATCATCGTCTGCTTATGCATTGGTCTTTTCTAGTAGACTATGTGGTCTCTGTGTTCAGGACTCTATCTTACTCTTTGTTGTGCTTCCAATACCTAGCCTGATACCAGGTGCAGCATACATGCTGAATAAATGCATGTGGAATGAATCCAAGTATGCAAACCTTTGGAGTTTCTCAGAGGTATGGAAGTGCACTGGGGAAAGGCATCCTGTTGACTGACACAAGAGGAACTTGTTCAGTCTCCTGAAATGTGATGTTGAATACTCATTCAGTCTGAAAGTCCTACTTAGCCTACTCTATGGACTATGTAGCTCATATGTGAAAGTCCTCAAGTATATTTGAACTGTCCAAGTGACTGTAAGATTGTCTGTCAATCTGGAAAAACTAGAGAGATGGAAATAACATCCATAAACATCATTCCAAGAAAAGGAGGCAGGCCTTAAATCACCTAAATGTCCTGCTACCTGGCTTCAGATAGCAGGACATTTGTCTTTTGTCCTCCAAAGACCCCAAAGGTCTGGAATAAACTAGAAACCTGCTGAGAAACAAGTTTTTCTCCTTGAACATTGCACAATTAGAAGCAAATTTTACCAAAGAGCTAGCATAAAGTTGGAGAAGTTTGCATGCCTCACTTAGGGGCATCTTTCCAACTCAAAACAAATCCCTCCTTTTGAGTCATGGCCACAATACACATGATGCACCCCTAGTGGCCAGGCCCTCACAGCCACGTTCCTGTAGCTGGGACAGCCAGCTTCTCTCTTGCAGAAATTAAAACTCTAACAGAGAGACAACAGTCTCAGTGATGCTGCAACACAGTCATATTAGTATAATGCTCTGCAGAGAAACTCCACAGCCTTGCCTCTGAGGTCCCTGTGGCGCCCAAAAGAAGAGACGTTATTCTCTCAAAAAATTGTCCATTTGGCCTAATACAGCCAGGATCAGATTCTCTCACTAGCATCTTTTTTTTTGAAAACAGGTTTATTGAGGCATCACTGGTACACAAAGAACTGCACATGTTTACTATTTACTACTTGATGAGTTTGAATATATGCAGACACCCATGATACATCACTACAATCAAGGTTATAGGCATATCCACCACCTCCCAAAGTTTCCTGGTGTCTCTTTGTTATTTGTTTGTTTGTGGTAAAAATAATTGACACGAGAGCTACTCTCTTAACAAATTCTGAAGTGCACAACACCGTGCTGTTAACCATTGGCCCTGTGTTGTTCACTAGCCTCTTTCTATATAATATCCTTCTTCTGCCACTAACTGCTCACTAGTGGCCTCTACTGGCCAAAACTGGCTTTATCTTTCCCTCACACTAAACATAGCTGCAGGGATTTGGGAGCCTTAGAAAATTTTTGAGGCAATAAAATATGTTCCCTGAGATCTGTCTGAAGTCTTTATGTCACCGGAACTCCAGAACCTAACAGGCAGGGCCAAAAGAAAGGGAGATGGGCTGCTGGATGAAGCAGCCTATAGACAGATTGTCAGACACCTAGTGAAAACAGAACAAAGAAGACCTGCTACCAGAGGGCAGACCGCATGCAAGACTGCTGCAACAGACTGCCCTTGTCTGTATTTCTCACTGCTTCCTGCAAATTCTCACAGCGCTCTGGCTGCTCCTCTGGTCAACTCATCATGTCCTCTGTCCTGATTACCTTTAGCACCTTCTGTGGGAGGTAAATGGCTCCGTGAAAAGTCTCAGTTGCCACATTTGGACTAAATCTCATTTCCACCACTTACTTGCTATGAGGTCCTGGGGAAGACGAGTGGTCTCAATCATCTCTGGTCTCCTTATCTTAAAATAAAGATACCTTTATCATATGATGGTCATGAGGATTGAATGAGGTCTTGCCAATGCAACAGTTATCAACAGTTTGCACATTCATAAAACAGTATTTTAAAAACGATTAATATTTTTAGTTTCTAGAGTCATGACTGAGACAGCAACAGCCCAAGCTTAATCTATGTTAAAATGGTGATTTGACTCGCAATGTAAAGTAATATTTATTTCAGACTACTTGTGGGATATTGTTCATTCAAAATAATGATTAACATTATATTTTCTTTATTCTAGCTATATTTATAAATACATATGTGCATATTTTAGCTTTGAATGGAATTTTCTGGTGATTAGCAAATCTGGTGTCGAGTACTTATGAAAATTATTCTATGTTAATGCGCCAGTCCAGCCTAGTTTATAGGAATACAGTCAGAGATTTTGCTCTCTCTAGAAAACTACAAAGCCTGTGGGATATATTAATAGTTGGTGCTAAAACAAGTAATTATGTTCTTAATTCTTTTCCAATGGTGATTTCCTCTAGGCATAACCCATAGCTTTTCATATTTGTATCTCCATTAACACTAACTAGCAGGGCTGCCTGTTAAACACATGTTTAATGAATGAAAGACAAAAGGAAGATAAAGGAAAGAAGAGAAAAAGAAAAGGCTTTCTGTGTTGGATCACTTTCTTAAACAACTTCTTGATTTTGGTGCCCTCACCCCAACCTAAAAACTGTATCACAACTTTCCCGTCTATTCCCTCCATGTTCAGCTCTTTGTATGTTATTTTTATAATTGTATCGACACCCATGAACAATTTAATTAGATAACTTGGTGGATAGCATTTCTGTATGAGTAGCATTTATTTACTTTAGAGAAAAATATTATGTCTTAACTCCAAGAGGTCATTAGTGTGAGGACTTCTCATATCCTAATAGGATGTCAGGGACCTATTTCCTAAGTATGGCTTCCCACCTCCCTCTCCCTCCCGCATGGCTGAGGTGAGCCAGGTACACCAGAGCCTTATTGACACACAGCGTAGCCAGACCCCCTAGCCATACCAGGAAGGAAATAATTTAACAGAAGAAACTTGGAAAAAGACATCAAGTTTTTCATAGCAAATTATTCATTCCTACTTAATTGAATCTTAGCCTTTTTACTTTTTCCTCCCTCTTTCTTACCACATACTTTTCCACCCTACAGTTGCTGGAGTATTGATTTGCACCTCCCTTATAGTCATAAATTAGTCATGTCCTGGATATAACATGATCTTATTTTGAGCAAATAGCTACAACAAATAGTTCTTATAAATCAGCTGATGCTTTAGTAGAGAATTTTAAATAATTCATGAATTTCTCTGACTTACATGAAGCTCAGGAGGATGATTGAATCCTGGAAGAAATGGGTGTCTCTTGAGAGTTGTAGTTCGTGAGTAGCTTTCCACTAATTTGAAAATATATACTATAGGAGCTTGGAAACTAAGCATGGCAAGTAGTATGAGACCAGGCTCTTAAAGCACAAGGTTGAGAAAACATTCTTCACTGTAGAAAAAATAATGAGAATTCATTGAGGTTCAATTTTTTCACTTTTTGTTCAAGAATGATGAGAGTTAGTTTCTTCTGTGACTATTATAGTTTTGGTTTTAATTATCCTAAGTATGGTTTATCTGTGTTTTCCAAAACTTGTTGGGATGGTTGTCTAACTTCCTTATATTCAAACCTCAGATATATATCTGCCTTGTTGCATATGAAGAACTCTAATATGTCATTAAAAGTTTTGGTTTTAAATAAATATGGTTTGGGGTACGAGAAATGCTATTTAATGTATATATTTTTAAAATGAAGAGTTTTTATTACTACATAGCAGTGAGACAAAATGACATTAATATATCCTAAATCATTACTGCTATGGTAGGTAGAAAACATGTTGGTATCTGTAGGTTCTATTTTTGCTACGTGCTCAGCATTATATAATCACAGAATAATAGAGTTTAAAATGAAATTAAGTGTCTGCTTATTCAATCCTTCATTACAGCCTCAATAAAGTTAGGTGTTTGCTCCAAAACAGACTCTTTCCTAGGAAAATATTTATTACCATATTACAAGACCAAATTTACTCAAGAAATGACAGAAAGAAATATAATAAAAATTAGAGAATAATAAAAAGTAATAAAAAATTCTTATGCTCCTAAAATAAGCCATCCCATCCAGTAGAAACAGATGATTTCAGATAATTTAAGTTTATTCCAAAGCCAGAAAAGAATAGAGAATTTTGTAACTCATTTCATGAGGCCAGAATTATCCTGGTGATAAAACCAAACAAAAATAGCATAAAAATTAAAAAGATGTCAGTTTTGCTTATGAATGTAGATGTGGAAATCCAAATAAAATGTTAACGCATTAAACATAGCTATGTTTTAAAATAATGGTACATTTTTGCAAACCAGGGTTTAACTGAATAATTAAAAAATGGCTTCACAATGTGGAGTCTATTAATGCCGTTTAGTAGATTATGAGATTAAATGAGAAAATATATGATGATCTTGGTAAATGTAAATTATCACTTTCTAATGGAAAAACCAAGATCTCTTAGCTAGTGTATAGAAAAAAATTTTTTTTTTTTTTTTTTTTTTTTTTTTGGAGACCGAGTCACCCAAGCTGGAGCGCAGTAGTGCCATCTTGGCTAACTGCAAGCTCCTCTGCCATTCTCCTGCCTCAGCCTCCCAAGTAGCTGGGAATACAGGCGCCCGCCACCACTCCCAGCTAATTTTTTGTATTTTTAGTAGAGACGCGGTTTCGCCATGTTAGCCAGGATGGTCTCGATTTCCTGACCTCGTGATCCGCCGGCCTCGGCCTCCCAAAGTGCCGGGATTACAGGCGTGAGCCACCGCGCCTGGCCAGAAAGAAACTTTTTATACATTGATAAAGTATGTTTATGCAAAATATATAAAAGATAAAAAATCAACTGACAAATATAAAAAAATGCTATTATACTTAAGGACAGAATAAGACAATCTGCTTGTGTACCTAGTTTGTAACGTGATAGTTAGATGTAATAAAATAAATAAGACTACAACTGACTTATTGATAACAAGGCTTTTAAAAAAAGTATACAAATTGGAAAAATCAGTAAGATTCTCATTATTGTCTAGAGTAATCTAAAAACCTATTAAAATCAATAAAAATTTTTATAAGTTTGTTGTATTTAAAATTAATCAATAAAAATGAATAGCTTTCTATACATTAGATAGCCTGTATAAGAACATAATTAAATCAGTTTTCTAACAGTGAAAACAAAACAAAACTATCAAATGCCCTTAAAAACTTAACAAATACATATATTTTTGAAGAACAGTATAGCATGTATTGAACTTTTGTAAAAGTATTAAAACTTTTCAAATTACAGTCAACCCTTGAACAATGCAGGGGTCAGGGTACTGACCCCTGTGCGGTTGAAAACCTGCGTATAACTGTTCATTCCCCAAAACTTAACTACTAAGAGCCTACTGTTGAGCGGAAGCCTTAATGATAACATCAACAGTCAATTAACACATATTTTGGATGTTATATGTATTATATACTGTATTTTTGCAATAAAGTAAGCTAGAGAAAATCAAATGTTATTAAGCAAATTATAAGGAACAAAAAATGTACTCACTATTCATTAAGTGGAAGTGGATCATCTTAAAGATCTTCATCCTTGTCATCTTCACATGGAGGAGGCTGATGAGGAGGAGGAAGACGAGGGATCGGTCTTGCTATTTCAGGGGTGGCAGAGGCGGAAGAAGTTTAAAGGAGGTAGAAGAGGATGCAGGAGAGGCAAGCACACTCAGTGTAACTGTTACTGAAAAAATCCAGGTGTAAGTGGACCTGTGCCATTCAAAACCCTGTTCTTCAAAGGTCGACTACAGTCTTATTAATTTAATTACAGTCAAAAACCTCCAATGAGTTTTCTTAAAGGAATTTGATATATGTGATTTAAAGTTTTCTGAAGAGAAAGTCTATGAATATTGCAATGAATATTTTGAAAAAAGAATAAGATCATACTTAAAATTATGTTAATTAAAAGTCTCTGTATTATTTTGATATATCACAAATCAGTGGAAAACAATAGAAAGTGAAGAAGCAGAGATTCATGTAAATATGTGGTGTGTTTGATAAATTTGCTATTTTAAATCAGTCAGGAAATGATCAACTATTCAAGAAAAAATGGCTAACAACCAGCTTTGCTTTGGGAGAAAATAAATTTAGATATATGTGTCATACTGTATACAAAAAGTAAAGTCTGAATAAATTAATGAATAAATATAGAATGTAACAGGATTTTTAAAAAATAATTTGGGAGTAGGAAAAATGTCTTTAAAAAGACAAACAATATTCTCCAGTTTGGAAGCAACCAACAGTTTTGACTATATCTCAAAAGATATCATGAACAAAATTAAAAGCCATGAACTGAAATAACATATTTCATATGTATATATGAAAAAGAAATAACCCAATAGAAAAATTGATAAAAGTTATGAACAGGTAATTTACAAAAAAGAAAATGAAAGTTTCATATGCATATGAAAATATCACCAATGTCACTACTAATCTCAATTGGAATTTAAAACATAATGAAATAATGCTTTTCCCCCATGAGACTGACAAAACTTTGAAATATTAATAATATCCTGCGTTGGCAAGGAAATGGGAAAACAGGCACTCCCATATACTATTGATGAGTATGATTTAGTATGGTGTTTTGGAATGCAATTTGGTTGTGTCTATCAAAAACAAGAATAAAAGTGTTAAGTAAAAATATACCTACTATGCATATCAAAACATCACAATGTATCCCATAAATATATACAATAATTATTTGTCAATTAAAAATAAAATTTTAAAAAGAAAAAGTACACGTGGATATGCATAAATGTATGTGTGCAAAGATGGGTGCATGTTTTAATAGAAAAATATTGGGGGACCAAATACAAATCAATTAAAAAAATGTTTTTTCTGATGCATCCATCTATTCATACTAGAGGATAGTAGTGAATGGTTAATCAGAATGGGATATATCTACATTTCTGATATGAAATTATTTCCATGGTAGAAATATTGACATGAAAAACATAAGTTGCAGAAAATAAGCGTAGGGTGAACCATATAGTTAGAAAGAGAAAACAAAAACAAATTAGGAGTGCATACATATTTAATGTAAATTAAAGAATATATCAAAACTTTGCACATCAAAGTGTTGACTATGGGAAAGACCATGGGTGGAGTGGGACGTCAAAGGAAAACTTGCCTTTTTTCTTTTTGATATCTCACTGTCTATCTCAGTCCATTTACATTGCTATAAAGGAATGCCTGAGGTTGAGTAATTTATTTTAACAAAATGAAGTGTATTTGGTTCACAGTTCTGTAGGCTGTACAGGAAGCATGGCATCAGCCTCTGCTTCTGGTGAGGCCTCAGGCTGCTTCCACTCATGGTGGAAAGTGAAGGAGAGCCGTTGTGCTGAGCTCAAATGATGAAGGAGGAAGCAAGGGAGGGGAGGGAGGTGCCAGGCTCTTTTTAACAATTGGATCTCATGGGAACCAGTAAAGTGAGAACTCAGTCATTACTGCGAGGACAGCACAAAGCCATTAGTGAGGAGCCTTCCCCCATGACCCAAACACCTCCCGCCAGGCCCCACCTCCAACACTGGGGATCACATATCAACATGAGGTTTGGGAGCCAAACATCCAAACTACAGCACAGCACTGTCATTTACAACTTTGCAGTAAGATGAATTCACTTATAGGATTGAAAAAAACAAAAGCAATCAAACTCTTCCCCAGATAAGATGTACTCAATATCTTTGGAATCTTCTAGGGGAAAATGAGTATAGCAAAATTCTAAAGCAACAAGAAAAAGATAGGTAGTGGCAAAGCTTTCAAATAGGAATATGTTAAATAAGGTTTAACAAAAGCCAAACCACTAGCTAGTTTTCTTTGTGCTCCATAATGTAGTTTTTAAAAATTTCAGTATGCACAGATTATAATTATAATTATAATATAATTCAAATATACTGTCATATTTTGCCATATTTGTTATATATGACAACCCTTCATAAGTAAGACCGTCTAGTTAGCCAGAACTCTTCTTTGTAAAATGAGAATCAGCACTGCTACTTTCAATGACAGGTCCCTAAAGTGGAGATGACAATTTGCTGTTCTGTTGCAGCAGAATAGAATGTCAAGTAAAACATATGCTTTGTTTAGTCCAGCAAATTCTTTACCACAACAAGTTAAGTTTCCTCTTGGTGGTCATAATTTTAAGAACAAAGATTAATTTGACATACAAGAAAGAAGAAATACTGCAGCTTTGAAAGGAGAAAATGGAATTCAGCTAAGGAAGGAATAGCAGGCTGAACACTGGCCTCATAACTCATGTACTGTAAGGCAAGACTCTCTCCTCAAGTGTTTTGTTATAAATTAGGAAGGAACACAGTGCTTTTCACTAAATGCCTCAAGAAGAAAAATCAAATTTTTTAAATCAGTGCTGGGAGATGCTTGAAAAATAAGAGCTACAGATTATGAGCAAGGGATATGGTAAGTAAAATCCCTCCACATGCAAATCCAAACTGGAGTGTGAGACTGTGACCAACCTCTTTGGAGCTTTCAGTCTTTTTGTCCCATTCTCTCATTAGATGAGTAAACTAAGGATTTGATAGGTAAAATGACTTGGCCATTGTCATGTGGCTAGCTTGTGGCAGACACTCACAGGCCATAGTATCTTTGAAGCAGTTCTCTGTATTGGTACATGTTTAATGTGTTTTGGAGCACAATGCAAGAAAAGGTCTAGAATTTTTGAGTGAATTTATGCCTTATCTTATCATTCATTCACGCATTCATTAGCAAGTACTTACTACAGGACAGCCACTCTGCTATATACCAGCATATAAAACAAAAAATGAATAAAAGAGTTTTGGATTGCAGTGGGCTCAGATTCCATCAGGAAAGTCATGAAGGAAGGACTGCAGGAACTTTCATCAGTCTATGGGTTATGCTGCTGTCAGATGAGGACACATTTCCTAGTCCTTTCTTCCTCTGTCCATCAAAATAAAACACCACGATGGGGCGTCTTCAACATCCTGTTCTGCACAAGCGCTAGCACTGTGAAGACTGCCCAAGTTTGTTTCTGTATGAAGGAAGGTATACAAAGTATATGCAGCATTATGTTAAATAAATGTCAATTTTCTCCTTTTATAATATCTATTTACCCTATTTTCCAAAGGTATGTGAAAACCAGATATGAGAACTAAAACATAACGAAAAGTTATCTAGATATTATATTTGTCCTAAATTCCAGTAAAAGAATCCCTTTGTTGGTAACCATAAGTAAAAAAAGGGATCTAAGTATTTGACTTTCCTGAGCCATCGAATGAGGCACGCCAGTAGATGTCTGTCTTATTGAGAGGGAATTAATGGTCAATAGTCTGTTAGTATTATTTTCTCTTTAATAGTCAAACTCTTCCTTTAGTCTCTGAATGTTTTTCTCAAATCCCATATCAAGTTCTTCTGCCCTCTCAGTATACGAACTCCCTTGCTCAGAAAACGGCTCCATTACCCTCTTTGGGCTTATTTCAGTCCTAAACAACCCCACCGCCACAGTTCCATCTCCACAGCTCTGTAAAATGATATGGGGCTCATCAATGGGATTCCCTTCCTCATACAGAAAGTTGGGCACTCACCAATGAGCCAGAGCTCTACTGGTCTCTGAGTATGCAAAAAAGCCTTGGTCCAGCCCAGAGTAACTTAGGGTTGAAGTCTTAGGTTTCTTCTACTGCTTCAAAACCCCTGCCTGCAAAAGGGCATAAGAAAATCTGGAGTTCTTTAGCTTTTAGCATGTCATAGGTGCTCAAAATGATAAGAAAGCTCTTTCCTCTGCAGTGCTTCCCCTCATACCCCTCATATTCCTTTTGTAGTAACATAGAATACTTATTGACCTGATGTAGTGGATTGAATGTTACTCCTTTAAAAGATATGTCTACCCAGGATCTGTGAATGTGATCTTATTTGGGAAAAGGATGTTTGAAGATGTAATTAAAGATCTCAAGACTAGCTCATCCTGGATTTAAGATGGTCCTTGAACCCAATGACAGGTGTCCTTATACCAGAAAGGCAGAGAGAGATTTGAGACAAAGAAACACAGAGGAGAAGGCCATGTACAGATTGAGACAGAGACCAGAGTGATACAGCCACAAGCCAAGGAATGCCTGGAGCCACCAGAAGCTGGAAGAAGCGAGGAATATTCTCCCCCAGAGTCTTCAGAAAGAGAGGGGCTTGGGTGCCACCCTGATTTCAGACTTCTGGCCTCCAGAATTTTGATACAAATTTCTACTTTTTTAAGCCACCAAGTTTGTGGTAACTCATTATGGCAGTCCTAAGAAACTGATACACATGAGAACGTGTATATTAACAACATACTTCTATATGAAATCTGCAAGAACAAAGCAGTATATAAAGTTTAATACCATTTTTGTGGAAAAAGCAATACCCACATATACAAATTACGCACAGGAAAAAAATAAAAGGAAGGATGTGCATACCAAAATGTTAACAATGGTTATCGCTGGAGAATGGACTAGAGGTGATACTATGATTTTCTCAATAAATTTTATTTACCTTCCACAGAGTACCTATTATAAGCTATTTTTTTCTGGGTTGTGATTAATTTGATATGATTCTCTTCAGTTTCTTTCATGATATACTCCTCCAAAAGCATCCTTCTAATACAGCTACTGTTATTCTCATTTTAAAAGTAGATGCTACCTACTCTTAACCTGGCACATGGAGAACATGTTTAATTCATGGAATATACTACAAAATATGACACAGCATACATATGGCCATAGGAAATTATTATTTGAATACTATATATTTCAAAATTGCTAAAAGGGTAGATTTTAAATATTCTCACCTCAAAGTGTGTAAGGTGATGAATATGTTATTTAGTTTTATATATGCATTCCACAAATACTTATCTCAAAACACTGCATTATATCCCATAAAATAATTATTGTTGTCAATTAAAAATAATAAATAATAAATAAGCATAATGTGGGATTTATAAAAAAAATTATTATTTGAAGAATTTTGAAATCCTCTGACCAAGAGAAATTTTCATTACAGCAAAAACATCATCATCAGGTTGGGTCTTCTTAACAGTACAGTGTGAAATAACCCAGGATTAGAGTTAAAGAAATTTGCTTCTTTCCCTTTTATTAGCCAGCTGACTTTGAGCAAAGATTAGGTTTTCTTTTTACTAAGAGCTTTGTAGAAGCAAAAATAAAAGATTTTTTAAATAAGATGAAATGAATTTATAGATGTAAAGTGTACTTTGATTTTTATAAAGATTCAAATAAATTTTGGATAAAATTAAAATCTAGTGTGGTAGAAGAATTAACTGACATTAATTTTGTGAAGCACCAATTCTTATTATTTTATATTTTTTCCCACAGGTGTCACATGCCAAAATTGGTAAGCTGTCTAATGCCAATGAAAGGTTTCTAGCTTTTTAATTTTTGTTCTATAAATAGGACACACTTAACTTTTCATGGAACTTTCAGTAAGTGGTGTGTGTGTGTGTGTGTGTGTGTGTTTGTGTGTGTGTGACTTGTGACTCTCAATAACCAATAACATTAGACACATAACAAGAATAATTTTATCTCTCAGAATCCATCCTAGCCTAAAGCTATTTACTAGATTCTTATTAAAAATATAAAGTCGGGATGTTGGTTTTCCTAAAGATAAAACATCAGACGATAGAGAAAAACATCTGCCCGCGTTTTTTGTCCCCAGAGCTTTTCATGCCCCAGTACCATCCAAAGTTTACCTTCTATTTTCTGTTTCCTTATTCTGGAAGGGAATCCCGGGAAAATCTATGATCAATTCATAATTTTAACAACTGTTTACAATCCTATGTGAAATTGAATAGTAAATTATTGTCATATCTAGAAGGTAATTTTATTGTTTAACATCTAGAGGTAAATAAAAACACAATAAAAGAAACAAAAGCATTGATGTTAAGTAAAATATCCTCATATTAGAAAATAAGAGGGATTTTCTGTTTTCAAATTGAGGGGTTTTTTCTTCTCTCCACAAAGTCATGGAATTGAAAAGATGGCTAGAGAGGGGATAAGAAGCATGCGCCAGGTTTGTGGTGACCACACTGCAGATACATGCCCTACACCTGGGTCATTCTGCTGTTTTCTATTCCTTCTCCAAGTGCCCCATTACCTTAGCAAAGCTTCAAGCATAGCTTGATTCTTCAGTAATCATCACAAGAAATATACTTTCAAATTGTTGTCTTTTCTTATTTTTTTTTTTTGTTCTTTACCAAAGGCTTAGATGGCTTCCCTGGTGAATTTCTCCACTGATATATTACTAGCATAGTTTATATGTGCCAGTAATATGCAATATAGTCCCAGCAGAATGTCTGCATGCCAGTGTGACACAAACACCATGACACCCCTCACATTAAAAACCCCTATGCAATGGAGAAAACACCTACCAGATGCTGTTCCCCATCATCTCCACAGTCCCAGGAGAAAGTCTGTTCATCCTCATAGTGTGTTCTGGACACAGGTGTGTTCTTAAACTAGCTATTTTATTATACTCATACAATTTGGTAACAACTATTTTCACCTGTTTGCACAAACTATCTGAGCCAAATGTACCTGGAAATTCCTTCTCTGGCCAATGATGATAACACTATGATCGACCATAGGTAATTTTTCTATTTCTGTTTGGATTTCACTGATATCAAAAACCCAGTTCTCTGACTGGATTTCCTGGCTGACATGCCTAAGTGAGATTATCTTCACTTTCAACATCTTCTTCTTCAGTTTTCCAAATAAAGTCGCGTTCTGAGGAACTGGGGGTTAGGACTTAAACTTATGACACAAATCAACCCATCACCCTCTTCATGTTTTCAGGAACCTTTCTGATGCTCCTTCAATTACTTACTGCCTTTTCCATTCTTCAGTGAGCTTATGCATCCTATGCTGCTCTGTTTGGGCAGGTGCTTATTCCATGTGCCCTACCATGCATATACATATTGAGAGCCCTTATTCTTCACTGAAGACCTAACTCAGCCACACTTTCCATCCCTCCAAAAATATTTAATCATGCCTTCGTCTGTGTTACCATTGTTCCATTCTTTTATAATTGGATTTGTCAAACTGTATCTACTAAAGTTTTATTTTGTATGCTTGTGTTCCATTAGCCGATGGGTGATATACTTAGGGCCAAGCATAGTACCTATTTTATAGGAAGTGATCAATGTGTGTGCTGAATGAATAAATCATAACTCCTGAATGTTTCTTAATATTCTTAATGATGTAATAATAACCTCTTGTTAGCCTAAAGAGCATTTTTGTATGTATCCTCTTAGGCAAGAGACTATTTGGTGTCTAAAGGTATTAAAAAACTTACCAGGGAATTGGCAAACTATGCAGAAAATGCAGGAAAACTCCCCACAAGTTGTTAGAGGTAACTTTTATAGTTTAAGGGAGAAAACTCTTTGAAAGTACATCTTAAACATAAACAAAATGCTGAAGACCATAATGTACCAAACTTCTGGTTAAAAAAAACAAAAAAAAAACCAAAAAACACTGCTGGTAAAATACATTTTCATTTTCTTGGTGGCTTAGGGAAAAATAACACTGGAATTGCCTTAATAGTTTATGGAAATTAAATTACTTAGTCCCTACCTAAAACACTTCCTTAATTATACTCACTCCTAAAGTACTACCTTCTTACCCACAGAGAAATAAATATACCTTTACTTCTTACAATCATAATATGGCACCGTAAATTCCAGAACTATATTACCATTTCTCAGACCTTTGCTTTTCTATTAGCTACAACATGCAGAGAGCTCCTAAAGTTTTAGTGCTAGGTATTCAATTGAAACTTACTACAATTTCAGTTTCCTACTAAATGATAATCTCATGCCCAAGAATTGCCTCTGAGAGACTGCAGTGATAGACACTACTGAACCCCAGGCAGCTGGTGACAAATGATGGCACAATGACATCAGACCGCTCATAGTAAGAATAGTGACATCTATTATTGGTGTATAAGAATGCTGTGATTTTTGCACATTGATTTTGTATCCTGACAGAGAACCAAATCATGCATGAACTCCCATTCACAATTGCTTCAAAGAGAATAAAATACCTAGGAATCCAACTTACAAGGGATGGGAAGGACCTCTTCAAGGAGAATTACAAACCACTGCTCAATGAAATAAAAGAGGATACAAACAAATGGAAGAACATTCCATGCTCATGGATAGGAAGAATCAATATCGTGAAAATGGCCATACTGCCCAAGGTAATTTACAGATTCAATGCCATCCCCATCAAGCTACCAATGACTTTCTTCACAGAATTGGAAAAAACTACTTTCAAGTTCATATGGAACCACAAAAGAGGCCACATTTCCAAGTCAATCCTAAGCCAAAAGAACAAAGCTGGAGGCATCATGCTACCTGACTTCAAACTATACTACAAGGCTGCAGTAACCAAAACAGCATGGTACTGGTACCAAAACAGAGATACAGACCAATGGAACAGAACAGAGCCCTCAGAAATAATACCACACATCTACAACTATCTGACCTTTGACAAACCTGACAAAAACAAGAAATGGGGAAAGGATTCCCTATTTAATAAATAGGAAATCCTTTTTATTAAAAGGATTAAATTGCTGGGAAAACTGGCTAGCCATAGGTAGAAAGCTGAAACTGGATCCCTTCCTTACACCTTATACAAAAATTAATTCAAGATGGATTAAAGACTTACATGTTAGACCTAAAACCATAAAAACCCTAGAAGAAAACCTAGGCAATACCATGCAGGACATAGGCATGGGCAAGGACTTCATGTCTAAAACACCAAAAGCAATGGTAACAAAAGCCAAAATTGACAAATGGGATCTAATTAAACTAAAGAGCTTCTGCACAGCAAAAGAAACTACTATCAGAGTGAACAGGCAACCTACAGAATGGGAGAAAATTTTTGGAATCTACTCATCTGACAAAGGGCTAATATCCAGAATCTACAAAGAACTCAAACAAATTTACAAGAAAAAAACAACCCCATCAACAAGTGGGTAAAGGATATGAACAGACACTTCTCAAAAGAAGATATTTATGCATCCAACAGACACATGAAAAAATGCTCATCATCACTGGCCATCAGAGAAATGCAAATCAAAACCACAATGAGACACCATCTCACACCAGTTAGAATGGCAATCATTAAAAAGTCAGGAAACAACAGGTGCTGGAGAGGATGTGGAGAAATAGGAACACTTTTACACTATTGGTGGGACTGTAAACTAGTTCAACCATTGTGGAAGACAGTGTGGCGATTCCTCAAGGATCTAGAGCTAGAAATACCACTTGACCCAGCCATCCCATTACTGGGCATGTACCCAAAGGATTATAAACCATGCTGCTATAAAGACACATGCACACGTATGTTTATTGTGGCACTATTCACAATAGCAAAGACTTGGAACCAACCCAAATGTCTAACAATGATAAACTGGATTAAGAAAATGTGGCACATATACATCATGGAATACTATGCAGCCATAAAAAGGATGAGTTCATGCCCTTTGTAGGGACATGGATGAAGCTGGAAACCATCATTCTCAGCAAACTGTTGCAAGGACAAAAAACCAAACACTGCATGTTCTCACTCATAGGTGGGAATTGAACAATGAGAACACTTGGACACAGGAAGGGGAACATCACACACCGGGGCCTGTTGTGGGGTGGGGGGAGGGGGAAGGGATAGCATTAGGAGATATACCTAATGTAAATGATGAGATAATGGGTGCAGCACACCAACATGGCATATGTATACATATGTAACAAACCTGCACGTTGTGCACATGTACCCTAGAACTTAAAGTATAATAAAAATATATATATATTAAAAATATATATATATGCAGTTATGATAGGGACAGATATACTGGCCCAGGCAAACATTAATTGTTCATAGTGACTGAAATAGTGGGTCAAATTGGACCTGTGGCTGGAGAGGAAGAGATGGACAAATTACAGTGTAGAATGTAATTTTTATTCTAAGCTGAAAAACCTGTTGAATGTTAAGTGAGAAGCATGATCCAGTTTGTATTCAGGAAACTTTATCTGACCTTCCTAGAAACGATGATACTGGAAAGAAAGTTTAGTGGTTTGGTCTTTGAATCTGAAGCTAAACAAAATTGTATATCCCTATCAAGTGTCTCCAGTACTGTCAGCATCAGTAAATTTCCCAATGGAAAAATAAATGTTAATAAAACTTGAAAAAAAAAAAAAAGAGCTAAGTCTCAAGACTGTGCCAAAGCTTCATGAGATCCCTCCTCATCTGTGCACAGACAAGTGGCCAACTATGGAGCCCAGGGTGTTGCTTCCCAGTCTGGTGGTGAATCCTCCATAGTCTGATGAGTGTAAATATACATATATCTCTTTTCCCTTCTCTGCTTCCCATTGCAACGTGCTTATTATATCATTTGCTTAGTATAACTGCATTGCCATTTATGTGGGATAAAGTTTGTTTACCCTAAAAAAAAAAAAAGAAGAATAGTGACACCAAGATTTTTTCCCCTCCAACTTCCCAATTCTGCACTGAATCTTCTGTAATTCAAAACTAGCTCATTTGGGGGCCATAGCCAAGTCTGCAGTTCAACAAACATGTTGAGGTCTTGCGAGAGCCATAATAATCAGTAACATGGAATCCCATCGCAGCCGTGGCAACTCCCTCCTTAGCTCAGTCTTAAGGTCCAGTCCATTCTTTAGCTCAGGCTAAAATATTTGGAATCATTCTTGAGTCCCGTTTTCTCTCACCAACACTTCCAATCTTTTCAACTCTTTAAAGAAATCCTACTGGTTTTACATTCAATCTATATAGAATCTGGCCACTCTCTTCTCTCTCCTATTCTACCACTCAAGTACTACCTATTATTACCCTATACTTGGATCAATGCAATAACTTCTTAAATGTTACCCTGCTTCCACCCTTTAATTCTCTAAAGAAGAGCCAGAGTATTTATCTTAAAATGTAAATCAGATCAAGTCACTCCTCTATTCAAAACCTTGCCATGGCTCCTCCCCATCTGATTCTGAGTAAACCCCCAAAGCACCCTCCTGCCTTAGTGCTGTCCCGACTGCATCCTGTGACCCAGTGCTCTTCCTCCCAGCTCTTCCTTTATATTCCTTCACCTCCTCCAAGCATATGTTTAGATATTACCTTTGAAATGAGGTTGACCCTGACCACATCATTTAAGTTACAGGCTGTCTCTCCCACTGTACTCTTGTTTCCCTGCTCTGCTCCACTTTTCTATTATTTGTAGCACTTACTACCTTCTAACATACAAAGTAATTTCCTTATTCATTAAGCGATTCTCTATTGTCTATCATTCTCTGCTAACTCTGAGACCCTCTCAGGGCAGGGATCTAAGTCTGTGTTATTCACCGATGCATCCTAAGCACCTAAAGCAGTATCCAGCTCAATAAATATTTATTGAATGAATGCAAGAATTCAAGATAGATATGTAAACTATTATGTGTTAGCTGAATTGCACCTAGAATTCTAGATGCCATTCTCTGTGGACTGAAGCTCTGGACTGATCTGACTCTTTTGACCTTGCACTGAAATCTGCCCCACCTGGTGGTGATTCTCTTTATCTTACTGATGATCACACATCAACTACTAATGTTTTGAGTAGATTACCACCAGATTTTGTGGTAAGTTGTTTGAGTACATCATTTTGTTGAATCTTCATAATATCTCAGCAAGGTAGGTCGTATTAGCCCCATTTTGCAACTAGTAAACTGAGACTCAGGAATGTTGTAAAATTTTTCCAAGTCACAAAACTAACAACACATCTGTGATTCGAGCCCAGATTTATCTGATTTGCAAGCCCATCCTCTTTCCCACTATACTAAACTGTCTTCCTCTCTATGCTAAGTTATTTTATTTAGCAAATGGTACTATTTGAGGTTTAGGAACAGATGTGGTTTGGAGTCAGAAAATCCAGGTTTGAGTTACATATTTGTTGTGCAAATATGTCACTCAGGATCTCTGATCTCATTATTCTCATACAAAAAATGAGAACAAAATGTTTCCTTTGCACCTAAATGGGCCAGGTCACTATGACACAAAACACAGAAAACACATTATAAAATTGTAAAGTCCTATTTAACCTAAGATTTTCAATTTAATAGATGCATTCCTTGACGCCTGAGGCTTGTATGTGACACAGAAAAGAATTGATCACAAAGAACTGATGTCAATGAATACTGATTTCAAGTCAGGTATATAAGAAGCTGGAAAGTAATCACTTTATCCCAAGTCCTAACAAGTAGAAACTGAACAAGCTGAAAAGTCAACAAGTATTCTTAGATCTATTGGAGAAGTAAGGTCAGCGAGCAAACTGCTGATCCCACAATTGAAAAGACAGAAAGGCAAATACAAAGAGTCATAACTTACAGGAGCAGAAACCCCCGAGAGAACAGATGCATGGGTAGGAAAACCTGAACTGTAAATGAGAAATGAATTTCTAGAGACTCAGTGTGGCAAGTCTGAAAGATTAAAACTCCAGGGAGACTCAGTCATAGGTCCACCTACACATTTTTGTGAGCTTTATCTCCAGGAGTTTTAGTAGGTTTTCATAGTAAATATTAAAGAAAAAGTCCCTCATGCCTCCAGCAAAGGAGGGTAAAAGTAATCATTGTAAGGTATGCCAGAGCACTTTTTCTTCTTAATAAGGTCTGCCCTCCACAGAAACTAGCTAACCTGAGACTAACTTCCTGGGGCATTATTAGAACCCAACTGACCTGGGGGAAAGGACGATATCCAACTCTAGCCCGCTCTAGCCTTCCACACAGGGAGTGAAAAATACCCAACTTCAACCCACCCTAGTCATTCTATTCCACCTAAGCAGGGATTGAGAGGGAACATCACTTGGAAATATTTGTGAAGTTCACACTCTAGAGGCACAGGCTCACTAAAAGACTAAAACCTACTCAGAGGACCACGGTACACTCTTCCCCTCCTCAATGCCTTACCACCACATTACTAAAGGCCTATTTACAGCAGTTCCTTTTACCCAGTACTTCATGTATGACTGTCAAGATAAACTACCAAAGCATACTAAAAAGCCAAAAACATAATTTTAAGAGACAGAGAAAGCATCAGAACTAGTCTTAGATATGACAGGGATGTTGGAATTATCAGACTGGGAATTTAACACAACTATGATTAATATGTCAATAGAAAGTTCCAAATCAAAAAATCAAAGAAAGAAACTGGAAGAATGGAGCAGAATATCCTAGATCTATGAGACAACTACAAAAATATTAACATATTCATAATAATGGGAAGATAAGGAGGAGAAGAAAGAAAGAAACAGAAAAATATATGACACAACAATGACTGAGAATTTCCCCAACTCAATGTCAGACACCAAAGCACAGATTCAGGAAGTTCAGAGAACATGAGGCAGGATAAATGTAAAACACACACACACACACACACACACACACACACACACACATCTGAACATATCATATTCAAACTGCAGAAAATCAAAGGCAAAGAAAAAGTCTTGAAAAAAGTCAGAGGGAAAAAACACCTTACCTACGGAGGAGCAAAATTAAGAACTACATCTGATGTCTCAAAAAGTATACAACCAAAAAGAGAGTGGAGTGAAATATTTAAGATTTTGAGAGAGGAAAACAAATGTAACCTAAAATTCTGTACCTGGCAGAATTATCCTTCAAAAGCAAAGGAGAAATAAAGATTTTCTTAGACAAACATTGAAGGAATTTGTAGCCTTGCAGAAATGTGCCTTGCAGAAATGTTAATAAAAAAATTGTATGTCAGAAACTCAGATCTACATAAAGGAAGAGTATCAGAGTATCAGAGAAGTAATAAGTGAATGTAAAATAAACACTTGTTAATGTAAAATAAACACTTTTTAAATCCTTAATTGATCTAGTAGATACAATTTGTTCAAAAACTAACAGCAATGTATTCATATATATATATATATATATATATATATATATATATATATATGAATGATATGGTTTGGCTGTGTTCCCACCCAAATCATCTTGAATTGTAGCTCCCATAATTCCCTTGTGTTGTGGGAGTGACCCAGTGGGAGATAACTGAATCATGGGGGCAGTTTCCCCCATACTGTTCTTGTGGTAGTGAATAAGTCTCATGAGATCTGAAGGTTTTATAACAGCAAACCCCTGTTGCTTGGCTCTTATTCTCTTCTCTTGTCTGCTGCCACGTGAGATGTGCCTTTTGCCTTGTGCCATGATTGTGAAGCCTCCTCAGCCCATGGAACTGTGAGTCCATTAAACCTCTTTCTTTTGTAAATTGCCCAGTCTCAGGTATGTCTTTATCAGCAGCATGAAAACTGACTAATACAATAAGCTTATATGTATAAGGGAAATAAATGACAGGAATTAAAAAGACAGAGTTGAAAGAATTAGAATTATTTTGTTATTATAAAGTACTTGCACTATCTGTAAAGCAGTAGAAGGTTATTTGAAAGAAAACTTGGATTAATTGTAAATATATATTGCAAACTTTAGAGCAACCACTAAAAAAAGCATGACTGGTGGGCTAAGGAAGAAAGAAAATGGAATCACATACAATGCTCAATTAAAACCACAAAAAGTATAAAAGAATGGAAAACAAAGAGGAACAAAGAATAAGGGCAAATAACAAAAAAAACCAAATATAGTAGATATTAGACCTACTATATCAATTATCACTTTAAACACCAGTGGTCTAAGCACACCAATTAAGAGACAAAGATTGTCAGAGTAGATCAAAAAACGCAGCGCAACTTTATGTTGTATAAAAAGAATCCATTTTAACTATAAAAACACATATAAATTAAAAGTAAAGAGGTGGCGATAGTTGTAAAAGATACATTAAGTTATCACTAATCAAAAGAAAGTGAGAATAGCTATATTAATTTCAGGCCAAACACACTTCACAGCAAGAAAAGATGTCAGAGATTAAATGGCATAAATGTATGTTTTCCCCCAAAAATAATATATTGAAGTTCTATACGTGACTGTATTTGGAGATCAGGGTCTTTAATAAAGTAATTAAGGTTAAACGAGGCAATAAAATTGTGATCCTGATCTGAGAGGATTCGTGTTGTAATCTAATCCTGATCTATTCCTAAAGCCGAGAAGATAGCCCTCATCAGAAACTAAATTTGCCACCACCTTGGCCATAGAATCCTAGCATCCAAGACTGGGAAAAAATAAATGCCTGTCATTTAAGCTACCCTGTTTGTAATATTTTTTATAGCAGCCCAAGCAGACAGGGATAAAAGCACTGCATAATGATAAGGGGGTTGATTCTCCAAGAGGACATATAATCATTTTGTACACATGTAAAAATAGAGCATCAAAATATATAAGGTGAAAACTGATAGAACTGTAAGGAGAAAGAGATGAACCCACCATTATAGTTGAAGACTTTAAAGAAACCAGAAATGGACAGATCCAGTAGGCAGAAAATCAGTAAGCACAGAGTTGACCTAAGCAGCAGCATCAATCACCTGTATATAATGGACATGTATGGACTACATCAACCAACAATAGCAGAATATACCTTCTTCTCAAGCTCATACAGAATGTTTAGCAAGATAGACCACATTCTGGTTTATAAAACACACCTTAACAAATTTAAAACAATGTAAATAATTCAATATTTGCCCTCCAAATACAGTGAAATTAAACTAGAATTCAGTAACAGGAAGATGACTGAAAAAAACCCAAAATATTTGGTGATTAAACAAAACACTTTTAAATAGCATATGGGTCAAAGAAATTTCAAGAGAAATTTTTAAATATTTTGAACTAAATGAAAATGAAAACACAACTTACCAAAATATGTGGGAGACAATAAAAGCAATGCTTAGAGGGAAATGTATAGCACTGAATGCAAATAATAAAAAAAAGATTTAAAATTAATAATTTAAGCTTCTATCTTAGGAAACTAGAAAATGAAGGGCAAATGAAATCCAAAGTAAGCAGAAGAAAATAAATAATAAAAATTATAACAGAAATCAATGAAATTAAAAAGAGTAAATCAATAGAGAAAATCAATAGAACCAAAGGTTCATTATTTGACAAGATCAATAAAATTGATAAATCTTTAGCCAGGGTAATTAAGTAAAAAAAAAGAGAAAAATGAATTACTAATACCAAAAATAAGAAAAGGAACATTACCACAGATACCATGAACGTTAAAAGGATAGCAAAATGTATAGGATGAACAACTCTATACCTAAAAATTTCATATCCTAGATGAAAATGAACCAATTCCTTCAAAGGCACAATCTGCCAAAACTCACACAGGAATAAACAGACATACTGAATAGTCTTATATCAATTTTAAAAATTGAATAAATAATTAATAACCTTCTAAAACTAAAGTACCAGCCGAGCTGGGTTTACCGATGAATTCTACAAAATATTTGAGGGAGAGATTATACCAGTTCTCTACAATCTCTTCCAGAAGATAGAAACAGAAGGACTACTTCCTAACTCATTCTATGAAACCAGCATTACCCTAATATTAAAATCAGGCAATGATATTGTAATAAAAGACTAATATCTCTCATAAAACACTCAACAAAATATCAGCAAATCAAATCCAACAACTTATAAGAAGAATAACACATTAAAAGCAAGTGGGATTCATTTCAGGTAGGCAGGTCGGTTTCAACATTCAAAAATCAATTAATATAACCCATTACATTAAAAGACTAATGAAAAAAGTCAAACAATCATATCAATAGATGCAGAAAATGCATTTCATGAAATCTGACACCTATGTATGCTAAAATTCTCAGTAAAGCAGGAATAGAGGGAACTTTTTCAACTTGATTAATAATATCTATAAATCAGCTAACATTACTTACTGGTGAGAAAATAGTAGCTTTCCTGTTAAGATCAGGAACAAAGGCAAGGATGTCCCCTCTTACCCTTGCTTTTCAGCATTATACTGGAAGCCTTAGCTAATGCAATAAAAAGGAAAAGGAAATAAAAGATTACAGATTGGGAAGAAAGAAAGAAAACTTTGTTCATAGATAACATGATGGTCTATTCAGAAAATCCCAAGGGATTAGGAAAAAACCCTCCCGGAACTAATAATAAATTATAGCAATGTTGCAAGATACCAGATTAATATACAATTGTCAGTGACTTTCCTTAAATCAGCAATGAACTAGTGAACTTTGAAATTAAAATTACAGCACAATTTTCATTAGCTCCCCTCAAAAATGAAATACTTAGGTATAACTCTAACAAAATATGTACAAGATCTGTATATGGAAAACTAAAAACTCTGATTAAAGCAATCAAAGCAGAATGGAATAAATGAAGAGGTATTCCATATAATCAATAGGAAGACTCAATGTTGACAAGATGGCAGATCTTCCCAACTTCATCTAGATACAACAAAATTCCAATCAAAATTTTAGCAAGTCATTTTGTATATATCAACAAACTGATTCTGAAGTTTATATAGAGAGGCAAAAGATAGAAAATAGCCAGTATAATATTGAAGGAGAAGAACAAAGTTGGAGGACGGACATTATTTGTCTTCAAGACTTGCATAAAGCTACCATAATTAGAGAGTGTGGTACTGGCAGAAGAAAAGATATATAAACCTATGGAACAGAATAAAGAGCCCAGAAATAGACCCCTATTAATATAGTCAACTGCTCTTAGACAACAGAGCAACGGCAATACAATGGAGAAAAGGAGAAAGGGTATCCTTGTCAATAAATAGCGCTGAAACAACCTGATTTCCAAATGTAAAAGAAAGAAAGAAAGAAAGAATCTAGACATAGACCTTACACTCATCACAAGCTCGAAATGGATCATAGCCCTAAATTTAGAACACAACACAAAACTATAAATCTCTTAAAAGATAACACAAAAAAAGCCTAGATGATCTTTGGCATGATGATGACTTACTAGATACAACACCAGGGCATGATCCATGAAAGAAAAAAATTGATAAACTGGTCTGTATTAAAGTTAAAAACTGTTGCTCTGTGAAAGACACTGTCTAGAGAATGGAAAGATAATTTACAGAAAAGGAGAAAATATTTGCAAAATTTGCAAAATTTACATTTCACAAATATTTACATAATTATATAAAATATTTACAAATTACATAAAAAGGCACTGTTATCTAAAATGTACAAAGAACACTTAAAGCTCAGTAATAAGAAAACAAAATCCTTATTAAAAACTCGGCACAATACTTGAACAGAGACATCACCAAAGAATATTTACAGATGGACAATAAACATATGCAAGGATGTTCTACATCGTATGTCATTAAGGAAATGCAAATTAAAGCAATAATGAAATATTACTACATCCCCATGAGAGTGGCCAACATCTAGAACACTGACAACACCAAATAGTGGTGAAGATGTGGAGCAAATTCTAGCATCCAAGACTGGGAAAAAAGAAGTCTTCTGTTATGGGCTGCCATAACAAAATGCCACAAACAGGATAGCTTTAAATGACAGAATGACAATTAAAATGACAATTTTGTATTTGTGGGAATACAAAATGATACAGCAGCTTTGAAAGACAGTTTGGCAGTTTCTGACAAAGTTAAACATACTCTTAATATGTTATCCACAAATTGATTGCCTTGGTATTTACCCACATGAATTGAATACTTATATCCACACAAAAACCTGCACATGAATGTTTACAGCAGCTTTATTCATAATTTCCAAAACTTGGGAGCCATCTACATCCAGACAATAGAATAGTATTTGGTGATAAAACAAAATGAGCTAATAGCCACTAAAAGACATGGAGGGAACTTAAATGCATAATTATTAAGAGAAAGAAGCCAATCTGAAAAGGCCACATACCATTTGATTTCAACTACATGACATTGTGGAAAAGTCAAAACTAAAATGATAGTAAAAGGATCAGAGGTTGTCAAGGGTTGAGGGGAGGGAGGGTTAAATAGGCAGAGCACAGAGGATTTTTAGGGCAGCGAAAATATTATGTATAATTCTACAATGGTGAAAGCATGTCATTATACGTTTGTCCAAACCAATAGAATGTACAGCACCAAAGGCGTTGTAAACTGTGGATTCTAGGTGATCATGATGTGTTAATGTAGGTTCATGGGATGTAACAACTGCATCACTCTAGAGGGGATTTTGATAGCAGGCAGGACTGTGTATATTTGGGGGCAGAAAATGTATGGAAAAATCTCTGTGCTTTCTGCTCAAGTTTTCTGGAAACATAATGCTCCTGTAAAAAATAAAGTCTATTGGCCAGGTGCCACTGCACTCCAGCCTGGGCGACAGTGAGACTCCGTCTCAAAAAAAAATAACAATAATAAATAAATAAATAAATAAATAAATAAAGTCTATTAAAAAATAAAAGGGCTGAAGTCTATTCCTGCTGTAATAAAAATATGGATGTTTTTCATAACAGATGCTAGTGAGGCTGCAGAGAAAAGGAAATGCTTATACACTGTTGGTGGGAATGTAAATTAGTTCAGCCACTATAGAAAGCAGATTGAAGATTTCTCAAATAATTTAAAACAGAGCTACAATTTGACCCCTCAGTCCCATTACTGGGTATACACCTGTATTAGCCCGTTCTCATGCTGATATAAAGAACTGCCCAAGACTGCGTATATTATAAAGGAAAGAGATTTAATTGGCTCATAGTTCCCCAGGGCTGGGGAGGCCTCAGGAAACTTATATTATGGTGGAAGAGGAGGCAAACACATCCTTCTTCACATAGCAGCAGGAAGAAGAATGAGAGCCCAGCAAAGTGGGAAGCTCCTTATAAAACCATCAGATCTCGTGAGAACTTACTATTACAATAATAACATGGAGGAACCGCTCCCATGATTCAATTACCTCCCACCAGGTCCCTCCAACTACACGTGGAGATTATGGGAACTACAATTCAAGATGAGATTTGGGTGGGGACACAGCCAAACCACATCAACACCCAAAGGAATATAAATTCTTCTACCAAAAAGACACACTTCATTCCAGCACTATTCACCATAGTAAAGACATGGAATCAATAGTGAACTGGATAAAGAAAATATGGTACATATACACCATTGAATACTATACAGCCATAAAAATGAATGAAATCACGTCCTTTGCAGCAGCATGGATGTGGCTGGAAGTCATTATGCTAAGTGAATTAGCACAGAAACAGAAAATCAAATATCACATGTTCTCATTTATGCCTGGGAGCTAAACATTGGGTACTCATGGACATAAAGATGGCAACAATAGACACTGGGGACTACTAGAAGTGGGAGGAAGGAAGGGGGAAGGATTGAAAATCTAACTGTTGTGCACTATACTCACTACCTGGGTGACGGAATTATTCATATCCTGAACCTCAGCATCACACAATATACCCATGTAACAATTAGGTACGTGTACCCCCAAATCTAAAATAAAAGTTGAAATTATAAAAAATGAATAGATAAATAAATAAAATAAAAAATTTCTAAATATTTTTAAATGTCTTTCTGTCATGACATCTCTGACATCTGGTAAGAAGCTTTAATAAGATAAAATCACAAAGCAAACATAAAAACTACAGAGCACGTATCAGTTGTCTAATTTTTTCAGGTGAGATATATATCAAATATCTGGTTTTTTCTCCAAGTATTAGCACAGTATTCTCTAAATCGTTTACTTCTTAGAAAAAAACATTTTGAAAGTGATTTTTTTTTTAAACAAAACACTGGGCAGAGCAACCTAGATACATTTTAGATTTCTTTATTTAGGATTTCTTTATTGCATTCTTAGAGTCTCTGATATGCTAATGTGCACTGAGAGTCTCTAGGACGTGTTTACAATCCAATATTTCCCAAGCAAGTTGGACCAATGATCTTTTTATCACGGAACATCAAATACAACATCACAAGACAACGTCACAAGACAACAGTGTCCAGAGGAAAACAGCTTGAGAATGTTGACCAAGACTAACCATTATTAAAATGCAGACAGACCACAGGAGTTCACTTCTGAACATATTACGGTGCAACTCCAAGGCTTTCTCTCATTGGAAGTAGGATAGTATCATCATTAGCAAAAAAGTAACTCATCAGAAGCAAGAGACAGGAGAAATAGTTGCCGTGATATCTTTAATAGAGGAAGAAGCAGCTTCTCATCTAATTCCTATGTTTTTACAAAGCTCAATCTGGAGGCAGAAATTGACAAGTGACTATAATCCGTAGGGAAGATAAAATAAAAAACTATTCTGTCAAGTATTTTAACTTCTAGGAAAATGTAGACATTATCAGAATTCATTGCAAAAAAATGTTGGTAGTTATAAATATCTGGGATCAAGGCTTCAGCAAAGACTCCTGAGCAGCATTATATTCTGCTCATGACAGGAACTTTAACAATGGCTCTAACTAGTCTCTAGACACAGAATGGTCTCTGTACTGGATAGAATGGGGTCCCCTCAAAGAACCTATCTCCATGAAGGGATGAATGGATAAAGAAAATGTAGTACATATACACAATGGAATATTATTCAGCCATTAAAAGAATGAAATCCTGTCATTTACAACATGGAACTGGAGGACATCATGATAAATGAAATAAGCCAGGCACAGAAAGACAAATATTGAATGTTCTCACTCATGTGGGAGCTAAAAAAAAATGAACTCATGGACATAGAGAGTAGAAGGATGGTTACCAGATGCTAGGAATGGCAGTAGGGAGCAGGAAATAGATTTTTTAATGGGTACCAAAATTCAGTTAGACAGAAAAAATAAGATTTAGTGTTCAGTAGAACAATAGGGTGACTATAGTTAATAATTTATTAGGTGTTTCAAGATAGCTAAAAGAATGGAATTGTATTGTTCCTAACATAAATTAATGATTAGACATTTGAGGTGATGCATATCCCAATTACCCTGACTTGATCATTACACATTGTATGTTTGTATTAAAATATCATACGTACCCCATAAATATCCACAGCTATTATATATCCATAATATTTTTTTTTAATCCTATCTACCCGGAAACTATGAATGTGACCTTATTTAGAAATAGTCTTTGCAGGTATAATCAAATTAAGATGCGGACATACTGGTGTGGGGTGAACTCAATCAAATATGACTAACATCCTTCTAAGTAGAGGGAACTTTGACACACACACACAGAGAACACCATGTGAAGTCAGAGGCAGGGATTGAAGTGATGCATTTATAGGAACACCAAGGATTGCCAACAACCACGAGAAGCTGGGACAGAGGAATGGAACAGATTCTCCCTTAGTGCTCTCACAAGGACCCAACCCTGTCTTAATTTAGGATTTCTGGCTAGCAGAACTGTGAGGGAATCAATTTCTGTTGTCTTAAACCACCCAATTTGTGATACTTTGTTGCAACAGTCCTAGGAGAGGAATGCAATCTCAGACTGGGTTTCAGAAAAACATTCAAACCTGATTGCTGCATTTTCTTTCTACTTCCCTTTAACTAAAATGTGGAGGCCTCTTGGCAAAGTGTGCCCACTATGGCCATTTTTGGTTGTGGTTATGTGCATCAACATCCACCCCACTCATCATCCCCAAAACCAGTCACCTTGGGAGAGCCAGAGATGAACCATTGACTAGAATTTCAGAGCCCTTTGAGTGTGTGTGCCCCGGGGCTCTCATCTGTTTCAAGGTGAGAGGCTCGAGTTTGTTCTGGAACTAAACTTGGATAAAGGAGCTCTATCATAACTGGCAGCACAGAAGATGGACTTTATTTTATGCCAACTTCTGGCTGACGTCTGAGGGGCACTAGTTTGTTGTTTGTTTTTACGTTTTTATTTTTCCTTAACTGAACTGATGACCAGCTGATTTAATCAGCACATGGGCTCTAATATCAATGGCATTCTGATTGCTGAGAATGACATTGAAGAGATAAAGCATTTAAAGGTCAGATTCTCCAGATGCCATGGAAAACAGAGTTCATGGCAGGAACACAGGGATTATGCTCTGATTACCAGGAGAAGCCTGAGGCAGCATAGATCGATTTCATGATGACATAGCTCAGGAATTCTCTTCTCCCAACTCAAAGTTCTCCAACATGTTTGGTCAGAAGAAATGTTTTCAAGGAAACATTGGACAGAACTATTTATGAATCAGGATGCAGTTTCAAAACAATGAAAACCATTTGTTTTATGTTTTCTTCAGTCTGAAAACATGTGACACCAAAGCCTGAGGAATTGGAAGAACTCCCAAAAGTCTAATTCACAAATATCCTTCAGATCTTTGGAGAATTTTGCTTGTGAACAGTGCTTTTGGAACAAAAGAGGAGGTTTTTACATTTATATTTTGAATCTATTATAATGACTCCATACATCATCCCACCTCAAATAGAAATCTCGACTAAATTTCATTTAATATTACAACATAGGAGATTAAGTTGTGGGGCTAGATGGCACATTTCCTTCCCTGTCCATAGACTGATAGAGCCTGGAGAACACAGATAGGAAACTGGCAGGGAACGCGACAGCCTCAAGAAAATGGGTGAGCTCCTTCAAATCCAGCACGTAAACATAAGCCTCTCGCCTGCCCATTGCAGTGTTTTTTTTCTTTCTAGAGCAAGACCGCTGGTGTCTTGAGTTAAAACATTCAAATGTATACTATCTATACCTTTGCTTAAGTCTTCATAACATTGATAAGTAGCAACTCACCATACAGTTCAGAATGGCCACAGTGTCTAGTGTTCTAATTAAAAGTAGGGATTCCTAGTCATTATCCATTTCCATGCATTCTTGAGATCATCTTGGGATCATGAATTCAACCCCAAACATCCCGTTTGGATTTGTTACTGGCTGGTGTGCACAGGGTGAAATTAAGCATTCTACCTCCACCTAATATGCTTCTGGGATATCTGGAATAATTCCAAAAAAAAACTTGATCTCAAGAGACCACAACAAAACAGCTCTCATAGTCCATTTGGGTACTATAAAAAATAACATAGGCTGGGTGGTTTATAAACAACAGAAATTTATTTCTCAGAGCTCTGGAGGCTGGGAAGTCCAAGATCAAGGTGCTAGCAGATTCAGTGTCTGGTGAGATACTGCTTTGAGGTTCATAAATGATTCCTTCTTACTGTGTCCTCACACGGTGAAGTGGGTGAGGGAGCTCTCTAGAGCCTCCTTTATGATGGCACTAATCTCATTCATGAGGGCTCTACCCTTATGATTTAATCACCTCTCAGATACCCCACCTCCTAATATCTTCACATTGGTGATTAGGTTTTGATACATGAATATGTGGGGAAGCAAACATTCAGACCTTAGTGACAGCTAAGAATGGATCCTTCTTCCCATAATTCAGGCCTTTTTTTTCTTGGTTCCAATCCAGAGTTGTCACACAATAGAAACTTCTCCAGTCAGAAATAGCTGAACATAGTTTGGGGTGAAGAAATCGGTGTGCTTGGAAAATGGTTCTTTACTGTGTTTTTCTTAAAACTTAAAACTGTGTCTTTCTTAAAATTTGCTACAAGTGATATATCCTCCCTCTCCCCAAAATCCATAGACCTAAAAAGGTAGTACAAAAATTCAGGGGTTTCTTATATAGGTTTATAGGCTGTAGGCTTATTCACAAAACATCAAAGTCTCATAGACTGCACAGTTAAAAGCCCCTGCTGCTGAAATATCTCCCTCTCTCTTTTCTTGCACCCCACTCCCCTTTCATCTCATTATGGTGCCCAAATCAATTCTCAAAAATAGGCATAAGATATACCTTTTGTCAGCTCTATTTTTCTTTATATTAGGGTCCCAAGTTTGTTAAACTAGAGTCAGATGTGCAAAACTAACTAAATAAATAAATATAGTTAATGATATTGTTTGGCTGTGTCACCACCCAAATCTCATCTTGTAGTTCCCATAATCCCCACGTGTCATGGGTGGGACCCAGTGGGAGGTAATTGAATCACGGAGAGAGTTACCTCCATACTGTTCTCGTGATAGTGAGTGAGTTCTCATGAGAGCTGATGGTTTTATAAGGGGCTATTCCCCATTTTCCTCAGCACTTCTCCTTGCTGCCACCATGTGAAGAGAATGTGTTTGCTTCCACTTCTGCCATGATTCTAAGTTTCCTGAGGCCTCCCCAGCCCTGCAAAACTGTGAGGCAATTAAACCTCTTTCCTTTATAAATTACCCAGTCCAGGGTATGTCTTTATTAGCAGCATGAGAATGGACTTAGTTTCTTGATCTCTCTATGACTATTCCAATCTTTCTCATAAACCTGAATTTTATACTTACACACACAGATGCACACACGTGCACACACATACACATGCACATATATGCTGCAGCTCAGCGCCACTCCTGGTAGCCAGTCTCAGCAGGCCGTTCGCTTCCTGCCAGCTGTCTGCCTGACTCCTTCCCCTTTTTGTGTGCACATAGTGATCTTGAGCTTCCATAAGGCCACCTGATAAGGTGGCTGGGAAGCACAATGCCAGGCTCTCTCTGGCTTGCCAAATTTCCACATCTCTCTTGCTTACTAAATTGATCGTGGTGCAGCCACCCACAGAAGACTGTGTGAGACTTTTTGCCAGGTGACCTCTGAGACCTCCAAAGATGAATACAGGCCCAAGTCATCAGTTTCTCCAAGTCCCTTTGAACCTGCCTCATATATTTCCCCTCTCCAGGTCGATAACCACACAGAGATTTAACACAATACTTGTCTCTTGTCTCTCCTACCTTCATCTCCCTCTTCCCCTGAAAGGCTTGGGTTAGAAGTTGTGGATCTGGGACTTTTCTTCTCTACATCACATTTTTAGCATATCCTGTAGTATCAAATCTCACAGCCTAGCTGCCATAAAAGAACAGCTTCTCCACACAGATTAAAGATTCTATGGTTGGTCAGGAGACCTTTTCTACGTGCATAAAAACTCTGTGGTCTGAGCCCTCCAAGCCTGGTTCTTGATATGCTAAAGCAATTTAACAAATTCACTTTTAACAAAGCCTGACTTTTCAGCAAATTGCTTTCTCTGAACACAAGCAAAAGTCTAATTCAACAGTCAAAGCTGAGAAATGTATACTTTTTCCCAGCAGATATCACCCTAACCTTGAAACACTAAAACTTTGTGCTTCTAAGACTAGGAGCCCTCAGGGGTAACAAGGTTGGCAGGATCTTTCAAACGAAATGTTTAAATATTATTCTCTTTCACTGTAATGTTTCTGTGAAAAAAGAAGACTCAGGTATGGCGACATCTCTGAATCTGAATCAGCAACCTGGAGGAGATGGGATCTTTGATGATCAAAGTGATAAGAAAACAAACTACTGCAAACATTTAAGAGATGTCTATTGAAATGTATGTTGCTGTTTTTAAGAACATTCTTTATTCTCACCTGTGAGGCTCGACAAGATTAGTTACACAGGATTGCCCAGTCTCTGACTGCCTCATTCGAAAGTACCATGAAGTTCACTAAGCTGCACGTGCTACTACTCAGTAATGTAAGTAAAAGTGTAAGTCAAATATGTTCTAAAATGCGGACCCTTACTTAAAGCATTTTCAAAGAATTAGAGCATACCTTTGAATACAATTTTAAATACCCACTTTCTATTTAAGACTTTCTCTTTCATTTTGAGGGTAAGGAAAGTATATTTGTTGATGCTGCCAAATTTTACATACCCTTCAGTATAATGTAAGCCATCTGTGGAGTACCTATAGTTGAATTTCCAAATCATCCACCTATTTCCCTTTCAATTTAACTCTGACTTATAAATAATGAAGAGGGAAAGAGTTAATGTGTTTAAAGTCATAAAAGTAAAGGTTTTGGTAATGCATGCTCAAAAATGCAGTTTGATTTTTTTTTATTTGGAAGCAAACTCAGTATGGACCAGTTTGCTGCTGGCTAGGGCACTGATCTATACTGGACATTAAATATCTTCGTAATAAATGGAATATGGTCCCAGGTAACTGAGTTTTTATCATGGCTTCTTATAAAACTGTAGTATGTAAATTTGTCCCAGACACTATACTTGAGTCAAAACAAAACAAAACAAAAACTCCAGTGGCTATTTTTGCAACAGGATTAGAAAGGTCCAAGCTGCCCACAGGCGTCTCTGAGATCAGCCACCTGGCAGTCACCTAAAATCAGCCATTACAGAGCCAGCATTCTGAAGTCAAATATTAAATGGCAAATCACATTATGAATGACCACTTAAAGCTAAAACCCTTTAATAAGATTTCCAAGAATATATTTGGTTTAGGAAATGACAAGAAAGAACTGAGGAGAAAAATAAAAAATATTTTACAGATATGAAAAATCCAAAGAAACATACATATTTTGAATAATGCTGTAAAATAATATCCATGTAAGTTACTTCTATCCTCCTCATGTTTCTGACACTAATACTATCTAGTTTTAGTGTCAGAAAAACAGAAGCAAAAGAAAACCTTGAACAAAATTATAATGATTTTTAGTTTCAGAAGTAAATCTCCTATTTTAAAGATAAAGAAGAAATATAGACTTTTTAGTCTAGAAAATTAATTTTAGAAATTCAATTTCTCCCATTCCTAATAAATAAATGCTGAATAAAAATATTAAAAATCATTGCCAACAAACGGCTATATGTGTAAGTTCCTTTCTTGAATCCTGGGGAGATAAGAAGGGAGCCCTCCTGTATGTTCTCCCCTGATTTCCACACTGGCTTCCTTGGGAATAGCACCTCCTTTAATCGGGACACTTTCTGTCTATTAATGAAAGCCAAGATAAGTGGCATATTTTAACCTAAGTAAAGTGGAGCTTTCAAGTCTTTTCAATGGAAAGACTGTTAAGCCTCCTACCCTCCCTATATCTTAGAGCAGAGGTCCCCAACCTCCAGTCCATGGACCCATACCAGTCCTTGGCCTGTTAGGAACTGAGCCACACAGCAGGAGGTGAACGGCGGGCAAGTGAGCATTACTGCCTGAGCTCCACCTCCTGTCAGATCAGCAGCAGCGTTAGATTCTCACAGGAGCACAAACCCTATTGTAAACTGCACATGCTTGGGATCTAGGTTGCACACTTCTTATGAGACCTCTAATGCCTGATTATCTGAAGTGGAACAGTTTCAGCCTGAAACCATCCCCTGTTCCTACCCTCCTGTCCATGAAAAAATTGTCTTCCATGAAACTGGCCCCAGCGCCAAAAAGATTGAGGACTGCTATCTTAGAGGAACAATTGTACTATATAAGTTAAAATTGATTGTTGTTCAATTTAGTCTTAGCTCACAACCATAATTCCAGCTGATAGGTCATTTTGTGTCTTGGTTGTCACCTAAAATATCACCTGCGTGTTATTTGCAAATGTGAAAATCAACATGTTGGACTAGAAAGAACATATATTTGGAGGTCATACGAAACTTGGTTTCTATGCTGACTCCTCTGCTTTCCACCTGCTTGATCTTCTATGAGATTCTTATCTTCTCTGGGCCCACTTTGCAGGGTTAATGAGCAGAACAGAGATAATATAGAAAAGTCTTTCATGCCTACTACAGATTAGATGTATCATTTTCACTATCATTCTTATTGGCATTATTCAGCATGCCATCTCTGTATACATTTAATTATGCAATTCAAATATCTAACGAGAATGGAGGTCCCTGACGTTTCACACACACACACACACACACACACACACACACACACACGGACTCTTACATCCAAAAACTTACTCCCAAGGTTAAAAGACTTAACGTTTTCATTTGGCGGTCTTTAGGTATTGCTGCCTTGTCATTGTGGCTCCTCTGAACTATTCTCTCTGTCCACTCATCAGCAGATTCATCTTGTCCAGTAGGATTTTTGTCAAAACTTTGGGAGCATGCATATAACGTGTCAGAGATAGTAACAAGGCTCAACTGGAATGCCTGCTTTTAAAGCAATTGGTTGTGGCTGCCTAGAATGCTGTGCTGAGAAAGAGTCTAAAGCTGCATCTGGACTCAGAAGAAAGGTTGTTATGACTGGTGAGCAATGTCTGTCCTGGGTACGGACCTGCGTGTGCATTCATTCACCTTCCCTTCCCAATACCACTGCACCACCTCTACACGATCCCAAAGACCTAACAGGCTGGCAAAGCGCACAGAAAAATGAAAAGCTTCCGCACGATGTGGAATATATGTCATTTCCACACTTAGGATATTCTTAGAAACGGAGTCACCAGACAAGTGACTCATTGTTTTATTATTTGGTAGTAGATCTATAAAAATTTAAGGTGCAGTCATGTGCATGTGGACAAACAACTCTGCAGATAATTTGTAAATATTTTACACTAAGACTAGCTTTACCTTCTCTCTGACATGCTTCTAAGTTTTATATGCACTGTACATGTGTGCTTGAAGAACCCACACTCATCTTTCTAGAAGTTGGTGTAAAATAAGGAAAGAGGGAAAATGTAGAATACCATGCTAAATCAATCTCAGCTATCTTTGTAAAATTTACTGTTTAAGCCATCACCTCTATCCCTGATGCTAAATTCATACTAAAATAGTTAACATTTAGTGCTCTTTACTTATATTGTCTCTCCTTTTTTCAGGTGGCACATTTAAACCTGAGTTCATTTCAACAGCATCCCTCTTTCCTCCTTTAGAACAATTTCCTCTGCTGCTTAGGCCTTCAAGAAAGTTACAGTCCCCTGTGTTTTTCATGTGAACTGATTTATCTGGTTACAAGTAAAATCTAAATTTCTTTCTATTTATTTTTAAAAAAATCAGAGAAGGCAGATTCAGAATCAGGTAAGCCTTTTTAAGCAAAATAAGTTTTATGACTAACAAATGTATAAAAAATTATGAAAAATAAACAGGAAGAAAAGGAATTGATTTTGCTGCTATGTGATACAATTGAAAGTTGCCCCACTGTGAATATTTCTTTCTTCTTTCAAAGCAATTTTTGCAATTGATTGTATTCTTATTTTGAAAAGGAAGTACTTTCCTTAAATACAGTAAGTTATTTGCAGGGTTTTTTCCTCCTTTTTACAAATCTGAGCCCCTAAACACAGTATTTTCTTACTAATAAAAGAATTTAGAAAGTGTTAATGTCTTTTAGCTCCCCCCTACTTTTTTTTCAGATTTAATCCATCAAGAAGGTAAACAGCACCTAAAACTTTTTCAAATTTCATGCCCAGGGACCAGTATATAGAAGTACATGGAAACTCTGGACTTTTCTATCACATCATTCTCATTTATCCAGTGTCATATTTTGTGAGAGTCCCTTAAAGACTAGGGTTAATGTTAATGCCAAAAAAGCATATACCCTACTTTGGGGGGTGTTAAACAAATTCCACCAATGAGAGCCAGATTTACAAAGGTATATGTACAGTGATTAGTTCCACTGCCCATAATTACTGCCTGCTTAGGAGAGCTCTGAACAGAGGCAATGTCCTAGAATGTTATTGCAGTGAGAAACAAAATATATATTCAGGCCATTTACAGGAATCTTTCTCAGGAGGCTCAGATCCAAGTAAACCAAGACAAGCCAACATTGTTAGGTTCTTTGACTCCTTGATTCTCAAAAGCTTAGGTGGCCGGTATTTCCTGGCTCTTGCTCTGTGGGACTTGGCCCTCAGCTTTTAAAAGAATTGGGTTGTGGAGGAATCACTGGAGCTGCCTGGAAAGTGAAGGCCGTTTCCACCCTGGTAGCCAGACAGGATACCAGGGGATTAGTTATAGCAAGGTTGGTGCTAGATCGAGTCGGCAGAGGCCTTGTCCCCAGGCTTCTAGCCAGACAGGGCTTTTGTGGGGAAAGCATGTTAACGGGAACATCAATAATTTGAGCATTAAGTGTTTCTCTTTACCTTGATGTGACCTTTTGGAGTGACTATAACGGCTACACTGGCTCCATCAACTGGAGGCAGACAACATTCTGACAGTCCCAACATTCCCTCTATACTCAAAAGCTCATGTTTTATCAAACACCTACAACTCACAAATCTAAAGGCAGAAAATCTTCAGACTTTTTCCTTTGCCTCTCAGGAATTTTAAGGTCCTAATTCAAGATCACAGAAAATGGAATGAATGAGCACACCAAAAATAAAACTCAGGATTTGAGACTCCAGGGTTGTAATTCCATCCTCCATGTATATATCCCATTGTAAGGTGACATTCTGATTGATTGATTGTTTGATTGATTAAGTGAATGAATGACCCTAAGTGGGCTCCCTGTTTTCACTTTCCCACCCCAACACACAGTCTATTCTCCTCAGAGCTCCAAGAATAATCATTTCAAAATGCAAAACACAGTGCATGCCTCCCTGCCCCCCAACCCCCACACGCAACAGGAACACACCAGCTCTTCCAAGGTCTCACATTACACTCAGAATAAAATTCTAACTCCTCCCTTGGCTTATAAGGCCTTGTAGATCTCAACCACCTGAACCGTCTTCTATCACCACCTTTGTTCACTGTGCCCCACTCACCTCATTCCTTGGCATTCCCTGGCAGGCAAGCCTAATCCCCCCAGGAGCCTTTTTACATGCTATTCTTCTGTCTGGAGCACTTGTCCCAGATCCTCACGTTTCTCATCACTTCCTGCCCCTCATCCCATTTTCTGTTCTCTGTCTAGCACTCTGCCCCACTGACAGAGCATTGTGTACAGTTGGTGTATTGCCTGCCTCCCCGACCGAAATGCAAACACCCTGCAGGCAGCAGAGACATCCCATATTGACTTGTGTCTCTGCCGTTTGGAACAGTCTTGACATGTGCTGTCGTTTGAGTGTGTCCCCCAGTGATCATGTGTTGAAAACGTAACCTCTGATGCAAAAGTGCTGAGAGGTGGGTCCTTTAAGAGGTGAATATGTCATGAATGCTCTGCCTTCCTGAATGGATTAATGTTGTTATTGTGGGAGTGGCTTCTTTAACTCAAGGGTGGGTTTGTCATGAAAGCACATTCAGATCTCTGGCATGCTTTCTCACCATAGGATGCCTTCCTCCATGTTATGATGCAGCTAGAAGTTCCTTGCCAGATGTGAGCTTCTCAATCCTAGACTTCCCAGGCTCCAGAACCAAATAAACTTCTGTTGTTTATAAATTGCCCATCTGTGGTATTCTGTTATAGCAGCACAAAACAGACTACGACAGCATGACAGAGTAGGTGTCCAACGAAGATCTGAGGAAGAGCGAATTGGAAAGCTCCATCCAGCTTGAATAAGGCTCTGCACATCACCTGGGTGTCAGGTAGCTCCTGATGGACAGAGATCTCTTTAATCTGATCAGCTTTAAGCAGGCGTAGGCAGGGATGAGAATTACTCACTGTGCACCAAACGTCTTTCAGTTCACCCTCCATTGCTAGTAAACTCTATATAAACATCAAGTTCACTTCTTGTGTTCTCTCCTGTTTCTCTCCATAGATTTCCAACCAGTTAAATAAAACCACAGGGTAGAGAAAAATAGGATCATGCACAGCCATTGTGGCAGATCTAATTTTTGGCCACACCCCAGCTGTGAGACTTTAAGGTTATTAAAACTCTCTGGCATTCAGTACCTGCTGTGGGCTGAAGTGGCCCCTCAAAATTTCATATATTGAAGTTCCAACCCTCAGTGTCTCAGAATGTAATTGGATTTGGAGATAAGGTCTTTAAAGAGGCAATTGAATTAAAATGAACTTGTTTGAGTGGGTCCTAATCCAGTATGACTGTTGTCCTCATGAGAGGAGGAAGTTTGGACACAGATAAGTACGGAGGGAGGCGGTACAAAGACACCTGAAAGAGGCCTAGAGCAGACTCTCCCTCACAACCCTCAGAAGAAACCAACCTGCGGGCACCTTGCCCTTGGACTTCCAGCCTCTAGAACTGTGAGCCAATAAACGTCTGTTGTTTAAGCCACGCTGTGTGTGGTACTTCATTATGGCAGCCCTAGCACACTAACAAAATGCCCTTATCTATAAAATAAAAAAGGTAATGGCACATACCTGGTCCCATTATTGTGACCTAGACATTGCTGTACAGATTAAATAACATACATAAAGATCTTATCTTTGTGACAAGCATATGATAATCACTCATTATTTTAACTATTATTAGCCCTATTTTACCTGGCCAATAAAATCAATTCAATTAGAAATATGAGACCTTAAAATGGTCATTTGATGATTGAGGTTAAAAATCTATGTCTAACATGAGTAAAATGTATCTTCTTCACCCAGAAAAACATGACACTTTCTAAGCACGGAGAGGGGAAGGAAAGGTAGGAATCCCTTCTCTGCTCTGTAAATGTCTGTATTCCCTGAGGACAAAAAGCTTCCGTAAGAACAGGCAATCAGCTATTCTGTAACATAAAGTCATAGAACTTAATACAATGGGATGCATGTACAGTTATGTGCCACATAACACGTTTCAGTCCACAAAGAACCACACTTACATGATGATGGTTCCATAAGAATATAATGACATATTTTTACTGTACTTTTTTATGCTTAGATACACAAATACTCACCATTGTGTTATAATTGCCTACAATATTCAGTAGAGTAACATGCTGTACAGGTGTGTAGCCTAGGAGCAATAAGCTGTACTGTATAGCTCAGGTGTGTGGTAGGTGTACCATCTGGGTTTGTGGAAGTGCACTCTGTGATGTTTGCACAATGATGAAATCTCCTGATGATAAATTTTTCAGAAAGTATCCCAGTTGTTAATGACACATGACTGTACACAGAACTAAAACTAAAATGTTAATTTAAGAAATATACCTTGTGAAGACAGAGTAATCTAGTGGGATGAGGGAAAGAGAGCCAGATATGCATTCCTCTCTTCATACTTTGTTCAACATTGATCATGGGAAGAATGGGAAGAGCCCCTAGATACTTCCCTCAACTTCCAGGTGACAAAACCAAACACACATCACAAATTTTGCCTAAGATGATAAAGTTAGTGGTAAAATTCCATTCTTTGATTAAGCTTTCTTTCAGGAGCTCATTTCCACAGCATTGCCTATGTGTGCAAGTTTGAGAACATGACTGAAGAGGTCAGAGACTGGAGCCTCAGTTGAAAGGCAAGATTGGAAGCCTCCAAAAAATTCTGTGACAGAACTACAACCCAAATCTGTACCACTGGAGATGTGTTGTAACCATCAGGTGTAGTTCCAAGGCCACATGCTGTGGCTGTGGCTCCTACCTTGATCTTGCACACGTGACTCAAGTTCACTAATCTGTTTCCACCTTTGTTCCACACTTACACAATCACATCTACCAGATAGGGGTGTTGTAAGAATTAAATGGTGTAATCTATTAACTGTTATAACAATGTTAGCAAAATTGAAAGAAAAAGAAGGCATCATGTCTTTCCTGTAGAAAACAAGTATAGCAGCTTTACAGACACACTAAATGAAGTAATTCTGATCTCCAGAGTTAGAGCCACTGTTCTTATGTCCTATATTTTTAATAAAAACTTGTGAATATTCTTAACACTCTGCAGAGTGTTGATATAATATTTGTGCTCACTTTCATAATCACCGAATAACCAAGCCCTGGGAAAGAGTCTCTGTATTAAACATCCCAAACTAGACACCTACAGGGGCCGAGGGAGGCAGAAAGCATCCTCCACCTTCTGAAGAGCAGTTGGCTGCCTTTGCACTAGGACATCCCCATTAAATTAGAGCACACATGGAGAGTGCAAAGGTCAATGCATCCAAGGCAGCAGTCCCTAACCTTTTTGGCACCAGGGACTGGTTTCGTGGAAGACAACTTTTCCACAGACTGGGGGTAGGGAGAGGGGGATGCTTTGGGGATGATTCAAGCACATTACATTTATTGTGCACTTTATTTCTATTATTATTACATTGTAATATGTAATGAATTAATTATACAACTCACCATAAGGTAGAATCAATGGGACCTCTAAGCCTGTTTTCCTGCAACCAGACAGTCCTGTCTGGGGGAGATGAGACACAATGACAGATCGTCAGGCATTAGATTCTCATAAGAAGCATGCAAACTAGATCCCTCGCATGCGCAGTTTCACAGTAAGGTTCACACTCCTATGAGAATCTATTGCCACTGCTGATCTGACAGGCGGTGTAGCTCAGGCAGTAATGCGAACAGTAGGGAGTGGCTGTAAATACAGATGAAGCTTCACTGGCTTACCTGCCACTCACCTCCTGCTGTGTGACCTGGTACTGGTCCATGGCCCAGGGATTGGGGACCCCTGGCCTAAGGTACCCAATATTTTGCTCCCTAAAATTCTTATTTTCCTTTTGCTCTACCCACTTCTATTGTCTATTGGGCATTTAAAATCACTGGGTATTCATGGTAAAATTATGGAGTTCTTCACTTCAAGAACCTCAAGTGAAATGGGACTGTAGTTATAGCTATTTCATCAATTATATCTCAAATAAATCTAGCATTTAAACAAAAATGTGTTTGATTTAATCACTGCTATCATTGATTTTTCTCATAGAAATCTGTTTTGTGTATGTTGCAGGAATCAGGGCTCATAAATGAGATCTGTGTGTCCTCAGATGTTTAAATGAAAGGAACAGATAAATAGGTGTTCTTTATTTTGGAGGAATGTATTTCAGGTCTTCTAATGAAAGTTACTCTGTGCAGAAGAATGCACATATGTGCTACCCACAAAATTTTCCACACAACTCCAGGGAGTGACTAGAGCTGCTGAAAACCATCCTTGAGCCACTCAGGGCCCAGGGGCCACAGGTTAAGAGGCTTTGCTGCAAAGAGAAGTACTAAAAGGGTGTGCATGTCTGCACCATGGAGTACTGTTGGAACATGTAGACCAGTCTGTGTAAATTTAAGTGGGAAAATAATAGGAAAGAAAAATATGCAAAGTGAATAAACATGTTTTAGGAAAATTATTTTCGAATTCCTTTAATTTATAATACACCCTGAGTAAGTGGAATAATCATACTCTGCTACAAAATAGGACCTCTACCTGTCCCTGTTAGCTGTGCCCCTTCAACACTTCAATCTGAGCTAGAAATCCCCTCCCTTGGAATCAATGCATCAGATGGAACCTGTAAGAAATACAGCATATGACAACTAAATAATTGACTCGATTTACATACATGGTACAGTTTGGTTTAAAATCAACCGTTATTTATGTATTGTGAAATAAAACTTTTTTCATGTTTTATTGATATGTTTACTTTCATTTCATAGAGTTGTGTCATAGTTCTTCCATAAATCTTAAATATCCACCTGTGTGAGTTAGTATAAAATCTTATAAAGAATCAAGGTTTATAAAATGACTCAATCAAGAACTTTGGAAGGTCTGCTGACGGGGAGATGTGAGCACACTTTTTGGTCAGGTAAAAGCACCCTGAAATCTTGGCTGCATTGTCTCTATGGTAATTCCTAACACAACCTCTCCTTGGCTCTATTTTTTCTACCAGAAGCAGGTAATATAAAATTTTATAACATCTCATGCATGCACTATGATGACTCATAAAATGACAGTTATGAAATACTAAGAGTATTTTTGAGAAGAGTACAGGTAGTTCAAACGTAAGAAACCAGAATCAGGAAAAAAAAAAAGAGGTTTTAGAGAGGAATAAAGAAATAGTCATATGTCAGAAGCAGAATAACACAATAAAATATATTTATCTGATGTGCCAAAGACATGTGGAGTATAAATATGGAATTATGGCACACAGAACTGTGGAGACACTCAGAATGTAAATAAATCTGCAGGAGAATTTATAACTCGCATCCATCGGCTAACTCGCAATCCTTTTTTTAAAAAAATGGAGCATTATATTGATATTCTGACCTTTATTTAATGACTTTAGTAAGTGTTCCTCATAAAAACTCTGATTATGTTTTATGGATTTAAGCCTAAAGCAAGCTGATTTCTAGCCAGAGTGAAGAGTATAAGTTTCTTGCACAAATTTCTCATTTTTAAACTTATCAAAAATCTACATCACATCAGACACTAAAGCTAAGGCTCAGGATAAACCATGTATTTATTAGTGGACTCCCCTATATAACTTTATGAATTCTTAGCAGAGTCAACAAGAATTTACTAAAGGGCTATTAAAATAATCGAAGTATTTTTATCTAAACAGTCTTATTTATCTATCTTCTTATATTCTCATTTCACCTCTGTGAGATAACAAGTGATAGATATAATTTAATACCCTCTCTATTATTAAAAAAAATAATGGCAAGAACTGAAGTACAAGGAGGTGATATTCCTTACCCAAAGTCACAGGACAATAGGACCACGTGTCTGGTTTCCTGCCTTCAGCTTCCCTTATGAGCCCAAACTGCCTTCCAAGTTAATGCTTCCTTGAAAATATTTTCAAGCAAATAAATAAAAGGCATCTCACTACAGAGTTCAATAAACAAGCATTTTCTGTTTAAATGAATTTAAAACAATAATTGTAAAATTCTTCACAACATCTGGTAAATAGTAAAAGGAAAAATAAAATGGCATTTCAAAGAATTTGCCCATCTCTAAATATATGAAAAAATGACCTCAACTTTTTCACAATTAATAACGTTGGCATTTTAGAGTGCTGCTTCCTCCTCACTAAAAATAGCATTTTGGGTTATACAAATTAAAGTCATGGTTCCAAGTGTCCTCTGAAAATGATTTCCTCAATTTGGAAAAGTCCGTATTTCTTAGAAAACTCTATGACATTTCTGGCTCACGTCAGTGTCATATCCGATAGGTCTTTTGAGAGTTGAACCGAAATTCCACAGGTATAGAGAAGTACTATAACTGCCAACAGTCTGAAAAATACAAAGCCAACAGAATCGTTCGCTCAGAGACGTGGCTCATGTAATGAATTTACAAACAGTGCCTCGTCCTGCGGACTGTGAAAGATTGAGGTCAGTTCTTGGACATCCCTGAGGCTTTGGAGCTGGTCTATATACACATGATTTTTCCTCAAGTTACAAAAGAATAAAAATATTTCTCCAAGTCTAGAAATGCTGTCTCTTCTCTTGGTTTTATTGCAATCATTAGCCCATTTTGTGGTGCCTGCCTTGTCAGTTTTGCCTACAAAAATCCTAAGTATTCTTCCGTGCTACAACTCAAATATCACCTCCTTCATAAAGCCTTTTCAAAATTATCATTATTTTAATCGGTATTAATTGTATACATTTATGAGCTATGACTGATATATTGATATAGGTCAACAATGTGGAATGATTAAATCAAGCTAATTCACATGTCCATCACCTCACTTACTTATCACCTTTTGTGGTTACTTATTTGAAATTTACTCTCTTAGCTATTTTGGAATATACAGTGAAGCTTTATTAACTGCAGTCACCTCACTGTGCAATATTTCTCAAAAATTTGTTTCTCCTGTCTGACTGAAACTTTGTACCTGCTGATCCCTTTTCTCCCCAGTCCAGCCTCTGGTAGCCACCACTCAACTTTTTACTTTTAGGAGTTCAACTTTTTTGGATTTCACGTATAAGTGAGATTATGTAATATTTGTCATTCTGTGCCTGACTTATTTCACTTAGCATAATGTCCTCTCGGTTCACGCATGTTGGCATAAATGACAGAATTTTCTTCTTTTTAATGCCTGAGTAGTATTCCATTGTGTATATATACCACATTTTCTTTATCCATTCGTTTGTTGATGTATGCTTAGGTTGATTACACATCTCGGTTATTATGAATAATGCTTCAATAACCATGGGAGTTCTTTCATAGATTGATTTCCATTCTTTGGGATAATACATCCAGCAGTGGGACTGCTAGATCACATGGTAGTTCTATTTTTAGTTTTCTGAGGAACCTCCATACTGTTTTCCATACTGGCTGTATTAATTTACATTCCCACCAATAGTGTACAAGGGTTCCCCTTTCTCCACATCCTTGCCAATCTTTTACCTTGTTTTCTTTCATCTTTTTGACAATTGCCATTCTAACAGATGTGAGGTGATATCTCACTGTGGTTTTAATTTGCATTTTTCTAATGATTGGTGATATTGCGCATCTGTTCATGAACCTGTTGACCATTTGTACGTTTCTTTTTGAGAAATGTCTATTTGGGTACTTTGCCCATGTTTTAATCAGATTTTTTTCTTGATATTGAGTTGTTTGAGTTCCTTATATATTTTTAATATTAACTCCCTTATTGAATAGATAGTTTGAAGTATTTTCTCCCACTCTGTGGGCTGTCAATTTGTTCTGCTAATTGTTTCTTTTGCTGTGCATGAGCTTTTTAGTTTAATGTAATTCCATTTGTCTATTTTTGCTTTTGTTGCCTGTGTTTTGGGGGTCATATACCAAAATTCATTGTCTAGACCATGGAATTTTTCCCTTACGTTTTCTTCTGGTATTTTTATAGTTTCAAGTATTATATTAAGTCTTTCATCTATTTTCAGTTGATTTTTGTCTTTCTTGAGCCATCCAGTTGAAATTAATCTTGCCTACCACACTGTCTCCTTCTCATCCAGTTTATTTCTAATAAAAGCACTTGACACATTCTACTTGATATTTAGTTTTTGAAAATGTTTCTCCATCCCACTAGGCTGCTCCTGAAAACATAATCACCTTTTAATGCTTATAACTTTGAAAGAGTTGAATTGAATCCCAACTAAGACCCAGCAGGTAGTTTTCCTTGAAATGCAAGGTAGAATACAATTTGTTATTCATGATCTTTCTACACCACAAATAGCTTCAATGTGAGTGATAATATATTCAAATATGAAGAGAAACTCTATTTAGATCCCATATCTTGGGCCCTGGAATTGATTTCTGCCCCTGCATTATAAAGAGTAAGCTGCTTTCTACACTCCTACCATCTTGCTATCTGGCAACGAATGGCTCTGCCTCACCCACAGAAATAACTAATGTAGCTTCTATAGTGTTGAACAATTTTATCAAGTGTATCAGAAGGCACTTAAAAGAAAGCTAAGAAAACTCTCATCAACTCAAGATGACAGAAAGAAATGATGATTCATTATCATCTTGGTTGTTACAACGCACACTTGGCAATCCTTACGAGAGAGGCTACTCAGAATTTATGGCTAGCCAAGTAGCTTTGATTCAGAAGTTTCAGGCAGAGATAAAAGAGCAAAACTTTTTTTCTATTTTTTCTTTATCCAGTCTCAAGAAACTTCTGAATTTCCTAAAAGCGCAAGAAAAATAAGGTGAGATTACTGTCTGAAACACCTCAAAAGTAAACTATTCATGTAAAGTCCTGAGGAATTTCCACCAGCAACATGGATGCTTTAAAAACACTCAGTGGAGAGTCATATTTCCAGTTTTATTTCAAGCAAAATTGTATCTAAATGAGCTGTGAAGAAACCACCCTCAGATTGTGAGACCACATGTCATTCTATTTTAAAATATCTAGATGCACTGTCCACTTACTATTTTTGTTCTATGTCTCAATATATTTTTATAGAAGAAATAGTAAAGCCTGTCCTATGTGATTTACATACAGTTTTTTCTCAGTTCTAAAGAACAAGAGCCATCCACTCGTTATAGTTTTTTGTTTCTTTCTCTGCAAATCAAGCTCAGAAGTTGGATCACCAGCATGTATGAGTGGCAGTGTGTGAAGCAAGGATTGTGGCAACTTGTAAATTTGCTTTTAGGTTTTAAATCTCCAACACGTGCTTCCAACATTGGCTAGCTAAAGATGCGATTAAAATATCACCTGAATCCACTCATTATAATTAATTTGTAATTATATAGTGCAGTACACTGTCCATAAGGTATTTAGAAAATTACTTGGTTTTGCTTCTCTTTCACTTTATAGTGAATAAATAAAAGATTATGAAAAGAATTGTTTGCAAGTATGATCCACTAGGAGGCTTTGCACAGAGCTGTATTTCTCAGCTAACCTTCCTGAAAGGAAAGAGACCATGATTCAAGTCTTTGAAAGTAGGCATAGGATCAGTGGTTACAGCTGCAGGAGCTGAGCACTTGCAGGGAGTAGGGTAATGCGCCTGGAGCTTAATGCCACCCAAGGATGTAACCATCGCATGGGGAAAGACCAGCACAGGGTAGAGCACTTTGCTTGTTCTGCAGCTTTCACATATTTTCCTTCTATAAGAAAATAGCATAATTAGATTAAAGAAATACCTAGTGACCTTAAAAGTTAACTGTAGAATAAAATCAATTACAAATGTAAAATAAACTCAAAAAGCTAAATAAATGTTTGCGTCTTTCCTTTTTTCATCTTTTGGGAATAATTGCATGTCCATTGAGAACACCAAAATTTACTCCATTATTTCAATCTTTTTTTCAAGGATGCTTCACTGGCAGGCATTTGAACAGAGCAGGGTCCAATCTAAAGCAGAGTCCTTGCTCTCAGGAGATTAGGATTAAAGAAAGGTGACAAACACAGCTTAGAATTGCCAAGGAGAGTAATTTCAGAAATGAATTGATGACTACTGAATTAGTATCCTAATTCAGGGCCTGCCATCACAAAATGGCCACAAACATAGCGTCTTAAAACAACAGAAATGTATTTTCTTGCAACTCAGGAGGCCAGAAGTTGGAAATCCAGATGTTGCAGGGCCACATTCTCTCCTCAAGCTCTAGAGGAAGCCTCCTCCTTGCCTCTTCTTTTTCTGGCAGCTCCGGGTGTTCCTCAGCTCGTGGCAGTGTCACTCCAGTCTCTGCCTCCATCCTTACGTGGTTGCCTCCCTCTGTGTCTTCTCTTCTTCTTAAAGGCATTTGTCATTAGTTTAAAGCTCCCCTGGATAATTCAGAGTGATCTCATTTCAAGATTCTTAACTTACTTACATCTGCAAAGACATTTTTTCCAAATAAGTTCATATCCACAGTTTACATCAAAGAGGGAGCCAAGACCACCCTGTGTGAGGAGCCGAGCATGTTGTGATGGAAGAACAATGGGGGTAGGGTCTGGGAACAGGACCCCGGCACAGGAGGCCTTGATTTGCCCTTTTGACCTAGGCCTCATTCAGGTTCCCCATCCATAAAAGGTGAAGTGATGCCTATCTTATCAGGTTCTGGGAAAACTGAGTGGAAAGCATTTTGTCAGTCTCACACACGTTATTGCCAATAAAATGTATTGACGAATGCTTTCACATATAGAGCCAAATTTCTTCTTATAAATTGTCATGTTTCTAGCCTCAGAGTTTGGCACAGAGTAGGTGTTCAAAAAAAGTGTCCAGAATTGTTTAATGAAAGTGTGTTTGAATAAATGAATTAAATATTTTCTGGAGGCACATTTGCTGGAAGGCGCCAAGCCTCTCATTTTATGAGTTACTCTTCATGCTGCACAAGTAGGGCCTGGCTAGGTACATTTTTCAGGACTCCTTTTTGACCAACACCCCGGTAGACTTTATCTGGGTTGTGGTGTCTTCTACAGTAAATAAAGAATCACAGCCGATTGAAAGATGAAGAATAAATTCAGAAATGAGTCTCTTCCTGGCCATGGCATTTAAATTTAACGTTATCCATAAAAATTCTTTCCCCTAAAGAAGTGAGAAGTTCTTTGTTATTTTTCAAAATAAGCAGCCCATTCCTTCTTGGTTACAACTTTTAGCTAGGTCAGAAGGAGTAATCTTACTCCTCAACAGCTATGTAATTTTCCTCACAAATTATATTTTGTTATTCTTGCAAGTGCATGTTTATATGTTGCATTAGTTTGATTTAACATTTAATTTTTCAGGTAAATATATGTGTTTCCTATAGGAAGAGTTAGTAGGCTTTGCTTTTATATAACTTTACGCCCAAGGAAAGCAAAACCTTACCTCAAAAAATACTGAATAATGCACGTTTTCTGAAGAACAGCAGGCCTTTCTCTAGAATCAGAAACTGCAGGAGTGATTCTGATGCTCTCTAATGTTTGAGAACCAGTGTCTTAGAATCCACCCAGAGGGAGTATTTAAATCACAGATTGCAGGGCCTCACTCTCCACCACACTCCCAAGTTTCTGATTTGGCAGGTCTGTTTGGGCCCAATAATTTGTATTTCTAACAAGCTCCAGGTGGTGCTGATGTGCTGATTCAAAGTCCACACCTTGAGAACCACCGCTCTAGGGAAAGGGGAAAAAATAAGCTAGATTATAAATCGGAATTTTCCTTCCAAACATGAGTCCAGTGAAGCCATATCTCTTCCCTGGTCAGGGAATAAGTTGAAATGGAAGGAGAGGTGGGGAGAGGGCAGTGATGTTACATTAATGGATCTTCCTCCACATGAAAGAAAACCTCAGGGGGTGGAGAATAAGGTTTCCCTCATATAGCATGTCTTGACTTTCGCGTTTAGCGTCCTGCAGCTCTGGGACCGTCAGGAGCCAGCCCTGAGAGGAGAGCGGTAGGCCACAGAGGGCACTGGCAGGGATGGAGCATTAGCCTCAAATCACTTTGCCTGAAGTGGACATCAGTAAGGAAACCAGAACCAAACACACAAAAGAGCAGTTCCTGAACACGTGCAACCTACGGGAGACCCCTGGAAATGACGGGAGACCCCCGGAAATGATGGGAGCAGGAGGTAAGGCTCGAAGTGCTGCAACTATGTAAGTCAGAACCACGGCCCATGAAATCTAAGGAAGAAAGTTTATCTGATGTTATCTGAGCCTGTGGAGAGGTGGTACATTCGGGTTACAATAAAATATCAATGCCCAATGTCCTTTGCTATTTACAAGGGGGCAATCTCTTTGTAAGGCAGAGACCAAATTATTGAATTTCTTTTGTTTCCCTGTATCAATCACAGTGCTTTACTTGGTGCAGACCTTGATCTACCTCAAATATTAAATTGGTCATGTTGTTTTTCATCTTAAAACTTTTTTGTAATTTGTTTTCCCATAGAGCAATTGCTCCAGGCTTCTTAGTTTGGCATGCAAGGTGCTATCTTAGATGCTTGCTACTCAAATTGCTCTTCTTGAACTAGCATCACCATCACGGTCACCTGAGAGATAGTTAGAAATGCAAATTATTGGGCTCAACCCCAACTCACTAAGACAGAATCTGTGTGTCAACAAGAACTCCCAACCTGGTTTCTGTGCACATTACAGTTTGAAAAGCACTACTCTATACTTATGGCTGCCTTTCTTGGTCATCTTTTAGCTATAACTGGTTGTCATAGTTCCATCTGGGCCACAAACACTGATTACAGATGAGACAGTGCAAAGCCTACTTCAGAGCCAAAATGCAGTTCTCAGAAATGTTTATACCTTTTCTGAGTTATTAGCACCAACTGGCTCTTTACAGAAGGCCCAGAGAGAAACATCATCAAAAGCTGGAATGAGAACATGACTATTGCTCAACAGCATAACAGCAATAACCAAAAATGCCATTCCCTAGTCCCTGATTTGGACATCTGTGTCTGAAGCCCTGAGCTACCCCAAAAAACCTTTCTGTGAATATTGATTCCATCTGACTGTCAGCAATGGTTCTTTGGTGGTACCTAGGACAGTGCTTATAAGAAAGTACAGCTGTAAATTTTACCCCCTGCTACTGAATTTAGTGACTATATTGAATACAGAATAAAAACACTGTTAGAAGTACATTAGGTTTTACTGTTGAATTATTTATACTCTGCTGCATTTGTAAAAGAAAGACATTATTCCATGTTTACCCCTGCAACAAAGCTGTGTTGTAAGGGTATATGCATTTTAAGGAGCACAGGGCCCAGAGAAGACTAGGTCACTCGCCTTTCCAATTTCTAATTTTTTACCTAAATGGTTTCGATGATTATCAAGGAAGGTCTCAAAGGTGAGATGAGAAGGCACAAAAATGTAATACATAATCTGAGAGTTGTATGTATATATGTGCGTGCTTTATTCATTTTCCTGTTGCCTCAGGGCATTGAGTAGATTACAAGTAACATTCTGTGAAACCTGAGTATCCTTACCTTTCACCAGCCAGTGAGCACAGGTGGGGCCCCATTAAGAGTGGTGACCTAATGTCACTGGTTCTCACCCTAGCTAATGTATTTGAAATGTCACCCTGGTATTCCTTGGAAGTTTCAAATGTACTGCACAAATCTGCTATCTCTGGTACTGAGAGTGCTCCCTAGAACACTAAGGTTCTGCGGGGTCCCAGGACCCAAGATGCTTGGAAGCTCATGAGACAATGTCCATGATTATGTGGGTGGAGAAGAAGCTGCTGTAGATATTCCACCGAAATTGTTCTTCTGTTTTTTTGTTTGTTTGTTTTGTTTGCTTGTTTGTTTTATAGTTCTCTGTTTTCCATAGAATCCACTCCTTTGCATTTTGGAAGACAAATCTAGTTGATAGGCATCATCCAAATTGAGAAGTTTTCTCTCCCTTCCAGTTACTGAAAACATTTTAATAGGCTTAGACTAATGGAGTTGACTCCTTCCTTCATGTTGAGTGTTTTCTTGGGATGCTTTTTGGTCCCATGTGCAAATAAGCACCTGGACAGCCCACGTGATTCATGCCTAGATGTGTCTTAAACCCACCAGCTTTGAAATGACATGCCAATCTTATGAGTGTCACCCTCAGGTTTTCAATTCTCTTTTGGAAACAGCGAGCAGTGGCTCCAACTAAGTTTACTATCTATAGGAATAACTTTGAAAACAGACAATAAAGAGGTAGAAATCTCCAGTGCTTGATGTTAAAATTTAAATATTATATTTTTATGTAAACATAATTTGGAAGCCAGAAATCTGAATTAATTAAAAATGTTTTTGTTTATCCTATAAGCAATTGTTAAAAAGTGGCAACATACAATTTTGTCACATAGTATATCACATTCAAACAAGAACAAATTAAAGGCAGTATGAAAGAAAAACTGTAATGAAATTCCTTTAAGAATACGTATCATTGTGAGCCGAGATCACGCCACTGCACTCCAGCCTGGGTGACAGTGCGAGACTACGTCTCAAAAAAAAAAAAATACATATCATCAATATCATCACCAACATTTATTCTGTAGCTTTTTGTTCATAAAATTGTTTTCATTGCACCATAAACTTTAAGTCTGGTGCATCTACTGATAAAGATGTATGAGAGAAGAATCATTAAGAATATTCAAATACGTTTGCTTAAAAGATTGGCTTGTTAATAGAGGTGGTTTTGATAAGATGGGAGAAAATAAAATCACCAAAGTAGAGTAAATTGAGAAGTAATTGTTGGGAAAAGTGTTGGTTAAATACATCAACCTGGGGAGGCGGGGAAGAAAGAAAGAAAGGAAATAAAATAAAATGGCCAGTTAAAAAGGATTGTTGTACATGGGGGGTGTTGGTGTGGGTGGGGCAGGCTAGAAAGCGTTTTCACTCAATGACTCATCAAGAAATTTGAAGGAGAGAGGCACAGTAGCTCACACTTGCAATCCTAGAACTTTGGAAGGCCAAAGCTAGAGAGTGACTTGAGGCCAGGAGTTCAGGACCAGCCTGGCAACATAGCAAGAGCCCATGTCTATAAGAAATTTTTTTAAATAGCCAAGTTTGGTTGCATGCACCTGTAGTCCCAGCTACTCAGGAGGTTGAAGTGAGAGGTCTGCTTGCTTGAGCCCAGGAATTATAGGCTGCAGTGAACTATGATCAGTTCACTGCACTGCACTGTACTCTAGCCTGCACAACAGAGTGAGACCCTGTCGCAGAAAAAAAAAAAAAAAAAGAAAACAAAAAAAATTGAAGGAAAATATGCTTGTAGATATAATATTCAATTTGGGTGCCTCTGCCCAGCTTCCTGGAAACTACAAATGTAATATAAAGACAAGAGGAGAAAAGAAATACAAGTAAAAAAAGCAATCCATATGAGCGCTCAAGGCTGCAATTGAGCGGGTCTGTAATCTGCTCACAGGGCTGGTGCCATCTTTCCTTGCTAGAATCCTGTGTCAACCCTGCATGAATGATGCAGCAGGTTGAATTATCCTTGGGACTGAGTGGCATTTCTGGTAATTATTGGGTATGGCAAAACATTCATTCATTGAGACATACAGAAGGCCCTATGGGGATCATGGAATCATAAGAGCTGGCTTTTGCTTGTAGGAGTTCAGGAGGTGGACTAGAACATGTACTTACATAACCTGAGTGTAAAAAATTAAAGTGAAATTAAAAAGATATAGAATGTGTTTGTAGTTTAGAAGGGGAGGTTATTTCTATCTGGGAGATCAGGAGAGCTCTGTGGAGATGACAGCATTTGAGCTAGGGTCTCAAAGAGTAGGTAGGAGGTGGACAATTGCAGATGTGAAAGAAAGCTATGCCAGTAGATGGGAATATTCAAAACTGAGACATGAAATTTGGAAAGTTCAAGGCATCTGGCTGATACATAAAAAGTTGACAGTGGGTCTGGGTATATAGTTGATATATATCAGACCATGGAAGACACTGAATTTGAACTTGGTTGGTATGAACTCAGAAGACACTGAAGGATTCTGAACAGGAAAGTGACTCCAGTAGGACTAAGCTGAAGGCCTTAGGAAGATTAATCTGCCGTGAGTGTGTATGATTAGTGGAAACAGAGAGAGACAGGAGGTCTATGAGGAGCTCTCGTCAGTCTTTTATACCAGACCCACATCAACAACACTGTGGCTGATATGGTTTAGATGTTTGCCCCCTCCAAATCTCATGCTGAAAAGTGATTCCAATGTTGGGGGTGGGACCTGGTTGCAGGTGATTGGATCATGAGGGAGGATCCCTCATGAATGGCTCAGAACTATCCTCTTGGTGAGGAGTGAGCTCTCACTCAGTGAGTTCACGTGAGACCTGGTTTCTTAAAGTGTTCCCACCCCACTATCTCTCTCTTGCTCCCTGCTCTCACCATGTGATGTGTTGCTCCCCCTTTACCTTCCGCCTTGATTGTAGGCTTCCTGAGGCCTCCCCAGAAGCAGATGCTGGCACCATGCTTCCTGTACAGCCTGCAGAAACTAAACCAATTAAACCTCTTTTCTTTGTAAATTACCCAGCCTCAGTTATCTCTTTATAACATTGCAAGAATGGACTAACACAGTGACTCATTCTTTGGTTGCTTTTATTTCTAAAACTAGATGTTGCCTTGATTTTTAAAAATGTGGATTAAAGGGTAAATGTGTTACAAAGTCTTCCTTAATATTAATGTAAACAAACTAATTTTTTTGAAACTTTGAATCATATCTTTAACTTTTCAGATGAGACTTCTAATATTTTTGGTATGTTATTATAAGGAGCCCCTCCTGTCTTTAGTCATTCTAGTTGTTCTTCTTTGTATTTTCTGTACAGTCACTAAATCTTTTCTAAGTTGCAAGGACTGACCTCAACTGTAACTGTGGGTTTTAAATAACCCATAGAATCATTTTACCCAAAGTCCTTTATAGATTCATAAAACTCTTTCTGCAGCATTTCTGATAGATGATCATCTGCCTTTGATTCAGATTATGGGGACCCGCTGTTGCACAAGGGATCCCCATTGTGGCATTATTCCAATGATTTGATAATTCTTTTTTTTTTTTATCTTGAGTCCACATCTACTTCATAATCTTCCTTTTGTTCCCAATTTTGCCTGTGGAGCTACTCAAATTAATTCCAGTCTACCTTTCTACACAAATATACTTCACATTCTGCTACTATAATCACAAATATACACCCCACCCCAAAAAGACTTTCAATCTCTAAAGATAGTTTACATATTCTATTCCCCTTTAGGCTGAACAACCCCAGTTCTTTCACCTGTTCCTTGTATGAGGTAATTTATAGAGTCTGCACAATATTTTGTCCTCTGGATATTCCCTAATTTGTCAACTTTCTCTTCAAAACATAGTATGCAGAATTAAATGCAAGTATTATGTTGTTTGGCTACTGTGACAAGGGCCCACAATGTAGACATAACATTCCTTTAATTCAGACTTCTTTTACACATTGCTGATGTATTATGCAAGGAAAAAAACAAAGGATGAAGTATGTTATATATTTTTTTTTGGTAAAATGTTTTTTTTTAATTTATTATTATTAGACTTTAAGTTTTAGGGTACATGTGCACAACGTGCAGGTTTGTTACATATGTATACATGTGCCATGTTGGTGTGCTGCACCCATTAACTCGTCATTTAGCATTAGGTATATCTCCTAATGCTATCCCTCCTCGCTTCCCCCACCCCACAACAGTCCCCAGTGTGTGATGTTCCCCTTCCTGTGTCCATGTGTTCTCATTGTTCAATTTCCACCTATGAGTGAGAACATGCGGTGTTTGGTTTTTTGTCCTTGCGATAGTTTGTTGAGAATGATGGTTTCAAATCATGCTGCTATAAAGACACATGCACACGTATATTTATAGCGGCACTATTCACAATAGCAAAGACTTGGAACCAACCTAAATGTCCAACAATGAAGTAGGTTATATTTTTAAAAGCAAGCACCAAATAGATGCATAAAAATTTTCTGGCTTCAACTCTAAACATACGTTTCTATGTTTTATGTTGACAAAAAATGTTTACCAGGGATCTCATTGTTTTCATGAATTATTAGGAACTAGACCTAATGATGTAAATATCTTCTGTTTAAAAAAAAAAGGTTAAAGAAAAAAGGGCATGAACAAGGAAAAACAAATAATAATCTTCATGAAACTAACGTTTTTTTCTCTTAAACTAAAAATTTTGATTCTCCTTTCATTACATTTTCTGGAACTTAAAATGATCTAGTAAGCTTTTTCTCTCTCCCTCTCTGCCTCCCTTCCTTCCTTTCTGGGGGTGACACACACTCTGAATTCTTTTTTATGATGTTTCCTGAGGAGTTATATATTCTTCAGAGCCATAATAATAATATTTTTTTATGGTTCTCAATTTAAAATACCAGACACGATTACTGAAATTGTACTATTTTATAGATTGACAGCTACACTTTTTGTGGCAGGGTATAGCATATTTTAATGAAAATGGAAAAGTAACAAAAAAAAAAAAAAGACATGCAGAAATCAGAAATAAGGCAAAAAATTTCAAAGCAAAATTTAGGCCAAAAATGCCCTATGGGTCGTCACTTTTCCACAAGGCAATTGCCAGCTAAAACCAACCATTTCCTTATAACTGGGCCAGTCAAACGTAAAAGAAATAGAGGAGGTAAGGGTTTTCTGTGTTTCTATAATGCCATATGTGGCATTCTTTCAATAGAAATTCACTTCTCCACTTTGAAAATTAAAACCAAAACTGACTTGGAGTTTGCTAGAGAATTACTTCTCAGAATTCTTCTAAGTATGAGTGGTGAAATTATTATGAATTTCTAATAATATCTCACTGGAGGCCTAGGTTAGCCAGCTAAATCAAGCAGAAAGGGCACAGCCCTTGCAGCCATCTTTACAAAGGCAGGCAACCGGATGTCCACTAAGTTTACAAGAGCTCTGTGTCAGTCAGCTTGCTGGCTTTTACTGTCCGTTCAACCTGTGCCCTGGCTCGGAATCTGACTACTTTGGTCAGATCATTTGCTACATTTTAAAATGATTTTAAATATTTCTTCTGTTTCTCTGGCCCTGAATTCTGCTTTCAGTGCAGACCTCAGCCCTCATCCAATAGATGACACTAATTCATAATAAATTTGAGAATGAGTTAGATTTTTTTATATTTATGAAATTCTTTACACTACAATTTCTGGCAAAATAGTGGAATAGATACTTGGAATAACTTCCCACTACAAAACTAATAGTGAATAAAATGCATCTCTGAATGAGTAGAAAATTGAAAATCCTCAAAGAATTGTCTGAATTATCTTTTTCCTTTAGAATAATTTCTCTGTGTTCACTTCTGTTTTTATATGTCATACCAATAGCTTTCCAAAATGTTTCATATTTCATTGTCTTTGTACAATATGGGAAAAAGACTGATTAGCATAGGTAGCTGGCCCGTAGGAAGGTTAGGTCCTTTGTTTTAAGGGCTTCTCCTGAATTAGAGCATTAGGGATAACTTGCTGTTGTATCTGAACCACCTTTTGTGCTATGCTTTATTCAGCTCTTTGAATGTTGTACTATCTGCATTCCAAACTTGTCCCCTAACTACTGGTCCACTTATGAGACCTTTTCTTCTACTCTAGAACCATAGGTATGCATTCATTTTTAATTTAGTATTTTGAATGTCAATAGGTATGGAGCAGGAGAAGTAGAGAGATACACTCCATTTCCTTTACTTAATCTGAGTAGTGAATTTCAAGTTCTATTTTAACACCCTAGAAGACAGTAATTTTATTTAGAAAGTATGGCATAAGACTGATGTTGACTAAAAGAAAGAAATCCTGGGCTTTGATTGTTACTTGACTAAAAAAAATCTTAGAAGATGTAATGGTGTATAAAAAGTCAACATATTTTCTGACATCCCCACTGAAAGCAGCGGTTGGGTCTAATTTTCTTTTGTTGAGTGTAGGTTGAACTTAGTCACTAACTTCTAATGAACAGAATAAAGTTGAAGATATACTGTGAGACTGCAATGTCTAGGTCATAAAAGGCAATGTAATCTTCTCACTCTCTCTATCTCTTAAATCACTCATCCTGGGAAAAATTAGATGTCATGTCATGAGAAGCCCTAAGGGGAGAACCCAGTGGCAAGAAACTGAGCCCTCCAACCAACAGCCAAAAAGGAACTGAGGCTTTTGTCCAACAGTCATCTGGGTGGGCTTTCTTGGAAACACATCCTCCTGCCCCAGTCAAGCTTTCAGATGACAGCGACTCTGGCCAACAAACTGGCCTGCAAACCCATGACAGACCCTGAGCCAGAACCACCCATATAAAATGCTGCGGGATTTCTGAGTCAAAGAAACTGTGTGAGATTAGAAAAAAAAATTGTCCTATTCCATTAAATTTTTGAATCATTTAAAAGGCAGGATTAGAAAAATAATACATAAGACTTAAATAAAAGTCAAAAGACTGGATTGATATGGAAAGAATAATTAGCAGGAAATTACCAAATAAAAAAATTAAGTCAAGAATGCATGTAATGCTACTGGGAAAAAATAGGATATATATAAAGAAGTTAATATCCAAGTCTTATTCATACTCACACAGGCACACACATTTATTTAGGAATATATACATATGTACGTTTTAGCAATTCATAATTTACATACTATTTTGTGAAAGGATTCAAGTCCTCTGTGGAAAAGAGGTATTCAGGCTGAAATATATCATATGCATTTTCCACGGATAAATAATATCCTTTTATATTATCTCTAAAAAGATATTTGTAGAGACAGGAAGTGGTTTATTCCACTGGGTTGTATCCAGAATCTGACTAGTTTCTCTTTGTCATTAATTGAAGTAATTATTGAGAATAACATCCTTTATTTTAAGTTGCCCAAACCTAGTTATAAATTTATTTCTGACTAAGCTAGAACGAATAGCAGTATGTATTTTGAAGATAACTTCTACTGATACTACTCTAAAGAGCTTCTTCTTAATGAAAAGAGAATAAAAATAAAACATTTTATATATAACATATTAAACTATCACAAAACACCTAAAACTATCATCATAATTTCCCTTTCAGCCAGAAAATGGATTTTTTATGAATTTTACAAAAATTTATTATTAGAGTCACAAAAAGCTTTCACTTTTAATACTTGTCAAGATGATAAAAAGATCTATAAGCACCAATGGGAAACAGCCACAGGACCAGCCTCACGAAGCCCTCATCCTTTCATCTCAGGGACAAGGAACATTCATAATTTATAACAGTAGTTGGCTCTGAAATACAGAAATAATGTTCCACATCTACTCAGTGTTAGTGCAGCATTTATTATCTTATTTTTCTCATTTTTAAAATCAGTTCTTTTGTCTCTTGTGCAACCAGCAATTTTAGGATATTTTAGGGCTGCTTTTTTGAGAAGAGCTAGCTACTGTCTCCAGATATCTATCACCAAACTGTTTCTTCAGCTCTGATAGCTCCATCAGTTCCTACCCTACAGCTGAGCACGGCTTAGCCCTGAGGCGCTCCACGTGAATTACACTGATAGATAACAAGGTCTCTTCAGCTTAGACATTCTACAGGGTTAGTTACTTCAACTTGAAAAACAATTTTCCATTTACCTATTCTGAATATATTACTCACTTATTGTGAGTCAAATATAAAGATATAAAGCTTTTTTTTAATGTCAACATGTTGTAGCATTGGATTTTATGTCATAAATACCTATTCATTGATTTTTATAGTACGAATAAAGTGATACACTGGCAATAATCAGGTAAATGTGAGCTAGACAAGTGCTCAGTTCTGATTCTACAAACTTTTTGTTTATCACTCATTTATTTTCAAAGGTAGGTAGGTAAGCAGATGGAGGCTCATTGCTAGTTTTTCATGTACCTCAGCCACCCAATCTTTACTTCAATTTGGTGTCTATTAACCTGCTTTGACATCACTGAATCTCTGGATATCAACCGAGTTTAAGCAAGCGGGCACTTGGTGTATTAGTAACCACACAAGTACACAGGGGCAAATCCACACAGTGAGGGCTAAAAACTTTCCAGTTAAAATTTGGATGACCCAGAATGTTATTTCTGAATATCTTTTGCTGTTTGTTTAGTCTGTCATTCAAAGAAATAAGTTCATTGGTATTTAGTCTCACATTCTAAGGATTAAGTTGATGTGATATAAAAAAAGAAACACTGATCAGAAATGTGAATCTCTGGAGTAAGGGGGTTGGAGAGATGCTAGTCCTGACTATGAAACCCGGTAGCTTTTTTCTCTCATTTGTTTCATTCAACAGAGATCTAGGGGAAATTGAATATTTGTCAGGCACCATTCTAGGCACTGGGGATACAGCGTGAATGAAATAGGCAATGTCCCTAGTCTTATTTAGAAGGAAACTTCTGGCTGGGCATGGTGGCTCACACCTGTAATCCCTACATTTTGGGAGACCCAGGTGGGCGGATCACCTGAGGTCAGGAGATCAAGACCAGCCTGACCAACATGGTGAAACCCCGTCTCTACTAAAAATACAAAAATTAGCCAGGCATGGTGGCGGACGCCTGTAATCCCAGCTACTCAGGAGGCTGAGGCAGGAGAATCACTTGAACCTGGGAGGCAGAGGTTGCAGTGAGCCAAGATGGCACCACTGCGCTCTAGCCCGGGCAACAGAGTGAGACTCCGTCTCAAAAAAAAAAAAAAAAAAAAAAAAAAAGAACAAACCTTCTTTTGCTCCAGGATTCTGAGTTTTAATTGATTAATGTCAGTCCTTCTTACTCTATTAGGTGGGTAGGAAAGTGAAAATGAAATGGTATATAGGAAAGTACTTTGAAAGCACCATAAAAACGCAAGCCGCGACTTTATTACTAGGGATCCGTAGACCCTTAGCAAATTCCCCTGCAAAGGTCTTCCTAAATAACTGATGGCTATTCTCTCTCCCATCCCAGACTTCCACAATTTCAGAAATGCTAAATAAACATCACATTATTGTGATGTTTTTTACTATTGATGTTTCACTGTTATGATGTTATTTTAACCATAGCAACAATTTTTTAAAGGTCACCTGCATTATCTCTCAAGATGAAGCGGAAAAGTGAAAGTGGGCAGCTTTCTGGGGCCCGGTCTGGCCTGCATTGTGGCCTGTGAAGTGGGGTGCTGCTAATATCAAAACCACACTTCAGTCTCAGTCCGCTATGGGGCCAAGAAATAATGAAATAAACACTTGGAAATATCCAGTTCATCCAGCCAGACAAAAGGCATATACATTGTTTACAAAATACAAGTCCCAAGATAAATCCAGAAACCCTAAGGAAAGTGCATGGCAGTGGATGTCCACTTTCCAACACATCTGGACATGTGACTGCTCAGTGAAAATGCAAGGGTACAGGTGTGCCAGAGAGAACTGCCCCCCATCCCACAATGATGAGGGTTGGGGCATCAGCCACGTGTTCTGAAAACGGGAGAGTACTGGCCAGCAAAGCCCAGGAATCCCTATTCAGGTCAAATTGCTCTTTTAGAAGATTTTACATTAGGATTTAGTATCAGTTAAATATCTTTTAATAAAATTAGAGGTAACAATGCAAGACACAGCCAAGTATGTACAGAGGGTCCATGGGATATCTTCTAGGTACTTGGTGCTATAATTTTAACAGCATTCTGAAGCCACAGATTCTTTCAAAGAGTGAATATTGATAAGAGAAACACCACTCCGAGGGAAAATCAAAACCAAATTGTAAAATAAATTGTTTATCTGATATTGATTAAAGAAAATTCAGAGGGAAAATCAAAGCCAAATTATAAATGATATAAATTGTATAAAGATTATTACCTCAAAGTTACTAGATTAATAACCACATAAAAATACTTTGTGTGCTAATTGTGTGACACAGAAGCACAAAATTCCTAAATAAATAATCCTGTACTGAATGAGACTTCTTTGTCAATTAGAATTACCACTTGGATGCATTTCCAAGGACAACTTAAATAAGAAAATTATCTTATGGAAAGTAGTAATTTTCTCTGACCTCAGCAAAATGTTTGAAACAGAAGAGACAATTTGTGGTCTTTCTTCTATTATGAAAGTAAAATGTACTTATAACAGACCATATGGCAAATGTAGAAAATGAAAGAGAAAAATCACCCATATGTCTAAAAGAAGAGACACACTCTATTGTAGAGAAAGTCTCTAATGTGGTGAACATACCATATATTCTTTCATGTATGCTGGGCTTTTCATGTAATACTAAACATAGGGAAAGTATTTCTTTCTGTTTTGATTTTGTTTTTTTCTTCACACATAGCCTTTACCTCTGGCCTTGTGAATCCTTCCATGAGTACTGAGAACTACTGGAGGTCCACACAGCTGACAAGTCATCACACCAAGTGTGCGCATATCCCTCTCAGTTTATTTATAATAAAGCATCACATATTTAGGTACTTACAAATATCCAGTAATAAATATTAGCTTAAAGCTGTACTTTTTTAAACATTAGAAAATTGTTTGCTTGTTTAAACTGAGCTGTGAATGTTTAGTAAGTTATGAGCCTGTTTCCCTATGTCATGTTTGTCAATAATTCTTCTTTTACATAAAATGTTCACAAAAAACAGATATTTTGAATTTCTAAAACTTTTTCAAAAATACCATTTGAGTTCTTAACCTATGATTTTTAAAAACTCCCAATGCAGAAAGAAACCGGTTGAAAAAGAAGGAAATGAATATTCATTTGTTCCTGAATGAAGGTGAAAGTTTGGGTAATATTTTTTTCTTACTTTTTGATTTTGTATATGATTGATCTAATTGAAAAGTATTCTAGTAGATCTTTGCCTTAGTGACAGCAATGGTTGAAAGTCTTTTTTTTTTTTTTTTTTTTTTTGAGACGGAGTTTCACTCTGCTGCCCAAGCTGGAGTGCAGACGTGCAATCTCGGCTCACTGCAACCTCTGCCTCCCGGGTTCAAGCAATTCTCGTGCCTCAGCCTCCTAAGTAGCTGGGACTACAGGCACGTGCCACCACGGCCGGCTAATTTTTGTATTTTTAGTAGCGATGTGGTTTCACCATGTTGGCCAAGCTGGTCTCAAACTCCTGCCTCGGCCACCCAAAGTGCTAGGATTATAGGCATGAGCCACCGCACCCAGCCTGAAAACCTTTTGTTTATTATAGTACAGAGGCAACAATGTTTTGGTTCTAGTGTAACAAAATTTTACTCTAGTAAAAGAATAGAAAATGAAAGTTTTTCTGAAAAAAAGGGTTTGGTTTGTATAAAATAACAAGGTTTTCAAGAATATGTTAAAAAACTATAACACTGCATAATTAGCTGGCACTAAAATACAATCTTTATTCAATACTGGTCTAGACATTGGGTCTGCAAGAGATAATGTCATTAGCCAGACCTACAGAAAAAAAGAGAGGTGACCTGGAGGTAGTAATATTACAAATGAATCATTTAAAAAAATCTCATGAAAATTCAGCAGAACAATTTTCATATAGAAAATTATTTCATGTAGAAAATTTTCTTTTTTATTGTACATATTTACTGTATACTAAATGGTGTATATATACATGGTGACATACATATAAATGGTGAAGTGATTACTTCAGCCAGGTAAATTGACATACTCATCTTCTCACATAGTTACCTTTCTTTTGTGTGTGTGTATGGTAAGAATACCTAAAATCTGCTGTTAGCAAATTACATGCATAAAATTCAATTGTACTAACTATGGTAATCATGCTTTACATCTCTAGATTTATTCTTCTTATATAACTGCAACTTTGTACCCTTTAACTTACATCTTCCCATTTTCCCCACCACACTGTGAGAACCACTCTTCTACTCTCTGTTTCTATGTATTCAATTTTTAAAAATTTTCACATAAAAGTGAGATCAGGCCAGGCGCGGTGGCTCACGCCTGTAATCCCAGCACTTTAGGAGGCCGAGGCGGGTGGATCACGAGGTCAGGAGATCGAGACCATCCTGGCTAACATGGTGAAACCCCGTCTCTACTAAAAATACAAAAAATTAGCCGGGCGCGGTGGCCGGTGACTGTAGTCCCAGCTACTCGGGAGGCTGAGGCAGGAGAATGGTGTGAACCCGGTAAGCGGGGCTTGCAGTGAGCCGAGATGGCGCCACCGCACTTCAGCCTGGGTGACAGAGCGACTCCGTCTCAAAAAAAAAAAAAAAAAAAAGGTGAGATCATGCGGTATTTTTCTTTCCCTATCTGGCCTACTTCACTTGGTACAATGTCTTCCAGGTTCATCCATGTTGTTGCAAATGGCATGATTCCTTTTAAAGGCTGAATAATATTCCATTCTTCCATTCATCTTTATCCATTCATCCATCAGTACACACTTAGGTTGTTTCCATATCTTGGCTAGTGAGAATTACGCTGCAATTAACATGGGAGTACAGAGTACAGATGTCTTTATGAGGTGGTGATTTCATTTTCTTTGGGTATATACCCAGAAGAGAAATTCCTGGGTCATGTGATAGCTCTATGTTTAATCTCTTCAGGAACCTCCACACTGTTCTGCACCAATCTACATTCCCACCAACAATGAACAGGGGTTGCCTTTTCTCCACACCCTCACCAACACTTGTTATCTCTCTCCTTCTCTCTCTCTCTTTTTTTAATAATGGCCTACAGGTGCAAGGTGATCTCTCATTGTAGTTTTGACCTGCAATTCCATGAAGATACTCAACATCACTAATCATCATGGAAATATAAGTTAAACCTATTTTTAATGAAAAAGAAAAAAATAAAATAAAATCTTTAACTCAATCTCTTTACCACAGACGTTTCCACCTTGTTGTCCCCGTGACTTCAGAGAAATGCTCTCAGAGCTGTAGAGCTACCAGTTAGCCCCTGCAGGTCTCGTCCACTTGGCATTTCAGTGAGTGTGTGTGTATAGTCCCTGTGAGGTCATGATCATGGAGAAATATTTGTTTAACCATCCATGAGAATGTATGTAAAACCTAATTTTTAAAAAATGTAGTGTGTGCCAGAGAAGGAGAAGATGACAGCATAACAGAGCAAATTTTTAGTGTGGACGCTGTAGGGAAAAGAAGGCACATCTGTTCAAATGCATCACACTTGTGTCACGGCACAACTTTTTCGCTTAATACCATTATACCCTACACCAGAAATTAAGGGCATTATGCTTGATGTGGGGTGTTTTAAAATAGTGATAAGTATTCAACGTGGAGAACTTAGAAATTGCAAACACATATAAAAGAGACAAAACCATTCGTAAAACCCACGAAGCAAACATGAACATTCCTGGCTTGCCTGAATGTGTGTGAGTGTTTAGGGGGCGGTGGCAGGTGTGTGCCAGTGTGTGTGGTGTGTGTTTATGCTTATCCAGCCTTTCTTTCCCCCTTTATGTATGAGAAAATTTTTTTTTGTTGGTGTTCATACTTGGAATCTTGCTATATTCCACTTATTTCATGAAATATAGTACTTTCTTCTATTAGTAAGAATAATCATCCCATACCATGGAGGTACCACGGTTTATTTCACCATTTCTCATTGTACTTTTAGGTTTACTCCCATATTTTCCCTATTTTAAATAACATTTTGATAAACAACATTACATAAAAGTCCTTCTACAGCTCCTATTATTTGCCTAGTAAAGTTATTAGAAGTGAAATTACAATGATAAATGGAATAATTTTGTTATATTTTACCTAGTTTCTCTATTTCACAAAGAATGCATATTTACTGTAGAAAAATTAGAAAATATAAGTATACACAAATAATAAAAATAACCCCAAATTTGAAACTAATTGACAACTGGTCACCTCATTTTGGTTTATAGGCTTTTGGCTTTTTTTTCTATTCAGCTATGGCAAACAAATCACAGTCTATTTTTTTCTTCTTTTCCTTTTTTTTAAAAACATTTCCATCATGGCTACATTATGGTCTGTAATTTTTTAAAAACTTGATGATATACATAAATGATTGATTCCAATAAACCCATGTATCATCATTTTTAAGAGCTGCATATTATTCTTTGTTATAGATGTACCATAATTTATTTAGCTAATTTTTCTCAATATTTGGGTCATTCCACCTTTTGCTACTATAAAGATACTCTAAAAATCACCATGCATAGTGTTGTATTTTGCCAGTTTGTTCTCAGAATAGATTCCTAAGAAACAGAATTGCTGGATCAAGAGGTATGCTTTTTTAAGTCCTTTTAATATTTTTGCCTAAATGCCAAGAAAATATTGTACAAATTCCTAGTTCCTCCAAAAGAAATTTTCCACATTAACAGCAACTGTATTACCATTCTTTCTAAAATCTTCCATTCTAATAGGTGAAAGATATTTTATCTGAAACATGAATTTTCAATTATTTGATTAGCAAAGGTTGACTATTTTACACATTTAATGATAATTTCTACATCTTATATTTTCAAATTATACTTCAAATATATTTTACACATTTTTCTATAGGAATTTATATTTTTTCTATAAATCATATATGCATATATATACACATAATATTAATTCATTGGGTTATATTCATGGCACAAATCTTCCAATTTATCTTTGGTCATTTAAGATTGTTCTGGTGTCTTTTTTCATGCAGTAGTTTTAAATTTTATTGTAAGAATGATTATCAGTCTTTTCCTTTGGGACTGTGCTTTAGGTCTTGTTTAAGAAACTTTATTTCTGACTTTGCCTCTACAGTTCCTGTGCTCTTTGTTGCTGCCTCCAAACAGCTCCCACCACTACAACTTTTTCTGAAGCTATTGTTTGGATTCAAGGTTTGAGATGATTCAAATACTATTATGTTAGTTACTTTTCCTGTGGGATTAGTCAGTAAGAGGAGAAAATAACACTGTCTGATAAATCATTGCAAATATTTCTCACATCTGATTTGAATATAGAATTCAAAGCCTTCCTTTGAAAAATACTAAAGCATCTGAAAGCACTGCCCATGAATTGCGTTAAGTGTTAGCTTTGCCACATTTGAAAAAGTCATTATGGAGTAGAGGGTATTGCCTAAGAGATGCACTGAGAAGATCTGAACAAAGCCTCCTCACATAATAGATGAAGAAATGGAGATCCAGAAAAATGAAATCACTTACTTAACATCACATGGCAAGTCAAGGGCAACATGAGCATAGAAATTCAAATGAGTACTCCAAGCCCAAAGTTGCTTTAGACATACCAGGCAATGCAAAGCTTTGCTCTGTTCTAAAATTCAGCTAAGAAGTATGAGGCATATCATGAAATCTAGGAAGGTGGTTTCATCATTATCATGCAGCTACTAGATCACAAAATAATGGCCTTCTTGTCTCCAGAGATTCCTCTTTGATATCAAATTCAGAATATAATAAAAGATAAAAAGAACTCACTCCTTACTTTGCAGAATAGTCAGGTTGATTGAAATATATTTCCCAAAAAGAGAAGTCCTTGGAGACTTTTCACATTTATGCTAGCAAATAAATGTTAATTCTTTTGTTCCAAGACTTTTTACCTGTCAGAAGATAAAATTGAACATGTCTCATTTTCAAATTAAAAAACCTGTCTTTTACAAATACAAAAGTGGGATTTTTCCAAAGCTTAAGTCAAACAAATGGTATTAAAAAAAGAAAATGGATCCTGTGAATTGCAAGTGAATGAAAATGTTGCTAACCCAAGATCTCACTGCTAGTAAAAAAATCTTGGGAGAAAGGCATTGTAACGTTCTTAGGGACTAACATCAACCTTCGACTGACCTATTAAACCTGAATTTTCAAAATATTCTACTCTTCTATGTACCAAAAGCAATCATATCCCTACAAGATTTATTTAAGAAAACATCAGAAAAAGTAATTTACTTAATTTTTCAGTTAATTAGCAATATGAATGCAAAGCCTCCACTTTCTTCATTTATAGAAACATGGCTTTTTAAAACTCTGACTTTCATGTATGTGTCCAGCCCAAGTTCAGTTCAGTTCTTTTTCACCTACATAACTATATGTACCAAATCTGATGCTATTTTTAAAAGTGTTTCCTGACTCTGGATTAAAAGAAGAGGAGGTTGGAAATTTTCCATTAAAACATTCCCTTCTCTTTCATATTTCCCAGAAATAAAAACCTCTTTCAAACTAGTCTTTTTTTCCTAAAGGAAGGAAACCAAAGCCCCAATATATTACATTCTTCACATTCCTAAACCAAAACAAACAACAAAAGCAACAGATAATTTTTAAAAAACACTTACGATATGATTATAATACTAAATATTAAATACACAAAAGGTAGCCCTCCAGACCCATGGAAGATAGACAATTCTATCCTACAAAGATTTCAATAAAAATTAACAAGACACCAGGTATAAGACAACTTCTGCTTAATAAAGAGATTGACATTTCAGTCTTGCTTTTTTTTTTTTGAAGCAGACTTTATATTTACTTTTATGTTCCTTGTGGTTAACATCATAACTCTTCACTACAAAATGCAAACTGCAACTTAAATCAAACCAGAAAGTTAAATATGCTGGAGGTTTAGGAATAAAACTTGTCTTTATTTTGGAAATTTTGTCAACAGTGACTCTATTTACTTCTTTTTAGACATTTCTGAAGCCATCCTTAAAATAGACAACTTTATAAAAACTTGAGGGATTTGTTGAATTTTATACTCATGCAAGGCTAGAGAATAATTTCCAGTATTACATGCACAGTAGCAGGTAGAGGGTGCAAGAAATATACACTTCTATCCTGGCTGTCCGTCGAATTTCATCTCCTAATTGTTTAGGAAAGTATTGGGAATTTCACTGTAGTTGTAACTTTGAGGCTTCAGCATTAAGAATTGCAGACCTAGTGAATTAGTCTTTACAGTAAGATAAGTGCCTATGCAAAGTGTTTATCTTGGAGGAAATTTTCCTTTAACACTGCAGAGTGGGTTGGGAAGTCTTATGAGAATAGGCCTTTTTTTTTGTGGGATGACAGTCTTCCTAGGCAATCTGAAATGAATCACCCAAGATTTGCTTCTTTTTGCTAAACATAATTCATTTTTTCTCTCCAACTCCCACCCCCTCCACCTCCATCTCCATCTCTCCTAGGGGGTTGCTTTGGGAACAAGAGAAAAAAATCATCATACAACTATATAACAGAATTTCCCAATTAATTTCCAGGGACTGTATCACTCACTTTTAGATTATATCACTGGCCTGTTGTACATAGGCATAAACTATAACTGTAACTTACAAACTTAACTGGCTCTTTTCTATTCCTCACTGGGAAAAGCAGGAAACAACTATATTACTGTTTTTGAGGCCCACAACTAGAAAGCCAAAATAAAGACAGCAGGAAAAATCAAACAAAAATTAGTAAAATTCTCTTTCCATAAATTTGACAGTAAAGGATAAATGTCCTAACTGTACGGATAGAATTTCACATAGTAAGGGAAACTTGGGTTTTCTTTGCAGATCTTCTCTGTGACTTTAAATAAGCCATGTATCCTCTCTGACACCATTTTTTCATAAGTAAAATGTTAATAATAATTGCATGTATACTAACCTCTAAGGATCAACATAAATAATTTGTCTGATAGCTTGTAGTTAACCATAAAGCACTATCTAAATGTCACACACTATTAGAAAATCCCATTAAAATATGTGTACCAGAACCCTGTGAATGTTGTTCATAAGAAAATGCTTCCAAGCCCTTTATCTTCCACGATATTCAGGACAGTGACCATCACACTTCGGGTTCCTCCTAGGGCAGAACCTAAGCAAAGGACTTGGGGACAGGGAGTTAGGAGATGACCTCAGGAAGCACAGGGAAGAAGGGGGAAAGTATGTTAGAATATCAGAAAAGAGAAAATGCACTATAATAATATAAGTGTATAACAGCAAGTTGGTGACCACCGTGGGAACTGGGATCGATTCTGCTGGGAACCCTCCAAGAACCCTCATGGAACAGTCCTCAGAATCTGCCCCTATGAGTTGGGGAAGGCTTCCTGGGGGTGCTACCCCTCATCTGCTCACTTCACCACCACCTGCCGAAGGAAGCCCTCAGACAGAGAACACACACCAGCGCCGGGCATGGAAAACTCGCCACACACCGGGGCCATCCCACGCGGCTGCGGGGATGTGAGCAGGGCGTCTACACTGCCAGCCATGGCACCTCGTCGCAGAGACGCCAGCCACGTAGAAGAGTGCCCTGAGAAAATGAGGCCTAAATTTTCTGCCTCTAGTATCCTTTTCACTCATACATCTTAATTAGAGAGAACAAAAGGGCCACGGAGAGAAGAGAAGACAAAAGAATAACTGAAGGAAGACAATTTCTTTCCACTTCCCCTCCCCTCCCAGGCATCTTTCCCTTTGCCCGCTTCAAAAAAGGAGAGAAATGAGTTTTTGTCTGTTCAAATAATTTTGAAAGAAAAAGATGAGAGTGGAGGACACACTTAGGATCAAAGAAAATACAAAGGAGGAGGAGGAGGAGAAAGCGGGGAAGAGAAAGGGGAAGAGGCAGAGGAGAAGCGGGAGGAGGGGAAGGAGGAGAAGAAGGAAGGGAAAGAGTGGGAGGAAGAGGAGGAGAAGTAGGAGGGGAAGGAGGAAGGAAAGGAGGAGGAGAGGGAGCAGGGGGAGGAGGAGGAGGAGAGGAGGAGAGAAAGAGAAAGAGAAGGAGGGGGAAGAGGAAGGGAAGGAAGAAGGGGAATGAATGTCTATGAATTCAAGTAATTTTAAAATAAATAGAACTTATATTTAAAAAGCAGAAGAGGGAGGAGGAGGAAGAGAATGGGAAAGAGGAGGGAAGGGCAGGAGGAGAGGGAAGAGGGAGAGGAGGAAGAGAAGAAAAGTCCACCTATATTTGTCAGGTGAATGGGAGTCAGGGTTTCCCAACTTCTAGGAGCTCCCTATGTATGTCTGTTAGATACAATTCTGTTTTGTGTCAATTCTTGTCAACTTTCAGGCAAAACCTGGAAATCCTTTTCTCGTTGGATAGCCATCATTGTATGCAAGTGCGGAGCAAAGTTTGAACTTTTGGCAGACATTTAGGTCATAACTGATTCATCAGATGATGTAAAGTTAGTGTGAGTCATTTTATCCAAAGGAAAGCTGTTGCTCACTGAGGAAGAGGAAGAACCATCATCATTCCCAAGCCTTGAGTCTTTTAGAATAGTTGCCAAGTACATTTATACTGAAAACCTAAGATTTCCATTTGCTTTCAGGAAAAATAATGGGGGTTATGAAACAATTTTTTCCTTTTCAGCTTTTCTTTTCGCTATCTATAATGAGAACGAAATTTCTACATTAGTTTCAAAACTATCAAGATTAAATAATAAATGGAATAAATGTCTTTTTTTCCTTGAGACCTTTTTAGTTTCATGGGATTGTGCTATTGTTTTGGTTTTGTTTTGCTTTTTATCTGTTTGTGTGCCTGCTTTTTCCCTGAAGCACATACAGGGGATATACTGTCTTTTCTGAGAAATACAGAGACTGCCCAAGAGACACACAGTGCTTAGTCTCCAGAACAGCACTATTTTCCTGCAGTAATTCCTTACCTATTGACAAAAATATAGATTTATACTCCTAGAAAGAATATAAATGTTTCTCAACTTCAAACATCTGAACAAGTGAATAAATAAAAATTAATATTCTATGTATTTTTATACATTACATTTTAGAAGCCATATATTTAAATAAACAGTTTAAATCTATTTTCCTTATCTTCAAAAAGAAAATAGAAAACTCATGTGTGTAAATGCACCTAAAATAAACTGTAAACCACCATCACCACGTCAGTCACTATCAACTTCCCCTACCCAGCTACATCTGCTGCATAGATTTGGCCTCCCACCTACAGGAGAACCTTTTTGTTTAAATAAAAAGATCAAACATCTCAAAATACTTATAATTTTCAACAACAGCAATGACTGCATCTCACTACTCCTACAGCCAGCCTGGGGAGCAGACCATGCATGCCTTTGACTGTGCCGTTTCAGTGGGCCCCACACCTGCCCTCGGGAAAGGGTAACTCCAACCTCAAAAGTGTGAAACACAATGAAATTATCGCACCTGCTACTGCTGTACACACAGAGTTTGTCTGCTATACCAAAAAGCACTTGCTTGATGTTCGATTATTTCTTTCAGTTCTCCAGTGTTGACTTGAGTGACTGTGCTGCACATGATACTACATAGCAAACCATCATAGGTACTGTGAAAAATACAAATGCATCCCCTTTCCTTACTCAACACGGGAAGGATTTGGTAGCTATGCAATGTTAGGTTGTTTTAATATAATCATTTTTGATTTTTAGTATTTAGTAGCAGAATTACTTTTTAAATTTTTAGTATTTAGTAGCCCTTTGGGCTGTGTGTGTGTGTGTGTGTGTGTGTGTGTGTGTGTATTTAGGGGAGGGGGCAGTTTGGGGTATTCAAAAAGAAAGAAAATTTACAAAATTAAGTTACAGAGAAATGAACAGAGTTCTTACATTATGACATGATGGACCCACATCTTTACATTATCAGGGATTTAAAAAACATTTCAAAGAAAAAGACAAAATTGCTCTGTAATAATAATACCTGACATTTGTATAATCCTTCATAGTTTACAAAGTGCTTTGAACTATGCATTATTTTGTTTGCTCACTGTAGAAACTCATACTTTTCAAAAGCAACTGTGAGGCTTCATTGCAGTGGAGGTGCATGATGTGGAGATTTATCCTACAGGATGCCTTTTAGGTGCAACTTGGCCATCTTCTTAATCTTCTGAAAAAGCACATTGCCCAACATGAACTAAGGTTTATAGATGCCAAATATTACAAAAGAATGGAAAACAATCTGCTGGCAAACAGGGCATTTTAGAATTTTCCACTCATCTCCCATTTACTACTTAGGAGTTGATAGTTATTTTAAGGGGATGATGGCTTGAATACCAAGATATCATCTAACAGACTTTCTTTTAATTCATTTTTGTTTATTGTTGTTGTTGTTTAGTTTTGCTGAGTGATTCTTCAACCTGAAGTTTTATACAAACAACTGCACAATTTTCACAGTCCTCACTCTAAATCCTGATTCTCAAGTAACATATAACATCCCGTCCTGGGGAAATTACCCCTGTCTAGGTGTGGCTCTCCACCAGAGGACTCAGAAATGGGAAAATGATCATCTCTCAGGACAGAGTCACATTACCCAAGCTCCTAAAACCAATGTAAGAAGACTGCAAGGTCAATTTTTTTTTTTTAACAAACTAACTGCTTTACAATAAAGTGAGCGGGTAGAGGAGTCCACCCTTGGTCCAGCACTCTTCAACCCCCACCATTTGACTCATAGCAGCTGCCCAAGCTCAGTTTCCCTGGAACCAGACTCTACTCCCCATCCATTGGTCTCCCTATAAAGGTTGGTTCTTGCCTTCAGGGAGCAGCAGGGGTGGGGCTGGGGACTGGAATTACAGAGGGTGCTAATTAATCTCAGTGGGTTGCTAGAGGGAACCTATTTACCTTTAGGTATCATGGAAACTCTGCCGTCTTCAAGAAATGGTTTCCAAAGTCACTCTGACCATCAACATCCAATGTTGGACAAGAAAAGAAAAAAAGTGTGAAGAGGCCGCCTTGATTTGCCACAACATCCACCTGCAGGGACGGAGAGCACTCTGCTCTGACACTGCCATTGAAGACAAGTGGCCCAGCCCCTCTGGGCCACTAGACAGAAGTGGGAAGAACTTCTGTGAAGTGCCGGTCTGGCTGGGAACCACCTCATTCTGCATGGTAGAAGGAAAATATGAATCTTTGGTAGACAGTAGCCACCTCTGCCATAAGTTCTTTGTGATATCTCCAAATACTACAGGTTCCATTGTTTCCAGAATACATACATAGAAAAGCACCTCTCACATCAGCAAGGGGCTTATTCTGTAAGTGACCTGATGTTGGAGTTGCAGTTCTGGAAGCAGAGTTCAAAGCTAAAAGCAAATTTCTCATCCCTGTCTCAGAATAGAACTAGTCTTATTAACTAGACAAACAGCGATCAGTCTTGATTTGAGGAAGGCCAATCTAAATCAATGGAAAGCCTAAAATTATTTTATTTTATTTTATTTTAAATTTTATTTTATTTTATTGGTGAGTTCTTGCTTTGTTGCCCAGGCTGGAGTGCAGTGGCGCAATTATAGCTCACTCTAGTCTCGAACTCCTGGGCTCATAAGATCCTCTCACCTCAGCCTCCTGAGTAGCTGGGACAGCTGGACACCACCATACCCAGCCAATTTTTTACTTTGTAGAGACAGGGTCTCACTATGTTGCCCAGGCTGGTCTTGAACTATTTCTTTTTAAATATAAGAAGATGTATTATTTTTACGTAAATGAAGCAACTGAAAGGAGGGAAAGATGAGGAAGGAACTAATATTTATTGAGTATCTATAGGTACCATATGCTGCCATATAATGAAGTAGCTAGATATTCTCTGTGTGCTAACTCAGTCTTTACTAGATCCCCAGAGGGTGAAGAAGGAATTGGGGCACAGAGAAATCAAGTGATTTGAAATCCCTTGATTTACCAAAGCTCACACAGCTATTAAGTGGTGAGCGGGGATTAGCACTGAGAATTCTGTGGCTCTAAGGCCAAGGCACAACTTTCCACAGCATATGTCCTCAATGTGGCCTCAAACATGCTGCTCCTCATTAACTGTTGTAGACTAGAGCAAGATGGAGAGAAACTGGCACATCTGAGATGTGTACATGAGTGGCAGATTCTAAGATACAATTTTAAAATATTCTGTTCTCTTGAACTTTTAAACAGTGTTTTCCCTACTTATTCACATGATCCATTCGTACTTTCTCTACAGAACATTTTTCTTGTTGAATAAAATCTTCAGCTGACTCTCCATCAAGTCATTGCTCCTTCAGTATCCACAGACACGCGGCTGCAGCATCCTTCCCTTAGGTACTGGAGTTCCTGCTTCTAAGGCCTAGTGAATCAGGAAGAAAAAAAAATCGTGTATGGGCTTAATTAGGCATAATTGGAAGCATTCTCTTCTTTTTATGAAGGACCTTAAAAATAACCCCACTTTTATATGTAACTTTGTTAGAAGAAGATTAAAGAATACATTCTGTATATAATTGTATATATTCTCAACTCAGATGACTGTTGATAACACCGTGATCCTTGAGGATTTGGCTGGATTCTTTGAGTTTGTCCTTTCAGAAGGCAGTTAACCATGATCAGGGCTTGTATACAGGGGAAGATCACAGGGCAAACTGGGCAGGAAGACGGTGGAGGTGAGAAAGAGAGAGAGGCTCCACCAGCTATTTCTCAAACCGAGGCTGCAGAACACCCTTGATTCAATAAGTGGAGAATAAAAATAAATAGAACAAGTAAGAAATATATTTTTGAAACATCTCTATGTTAGTATTTTCCCCATCTTAGTCATCTTTTTCTGTTCCTGAATCATCCCTTCTGTCTTTATTGCCCCAAGTGGGGAAGGACAGTGAGGGAGGAAGGGGGCTGAGAGAGAGAGGCAGGTCCCCTCAGAAGTGAAGACTGGAGGGATCGGGGCAGAGAGGGATGCAGACGGCCAGCCCTGATTACCTCTCAGGACAAAATCTTCTGTGAGGAGGAGGACAAAGAGCAAAACCCAGATGGATTACCCAGCCTATGAGAACATGGAGATCCACTTCCTCCTTCCCCAGTGCAGCCTGGGAAGGTGGGCTGTCATTCAGAGTAGCCTCTCCCTTGGCAGGAGGACATATCTGGGTATATTGGCCAGAGAAAATGTCCCCTGAGCAAACCAGTGGCCCAAAGCAGCATGAGTCTGAGGACCCTGTGGATGGAGGCATGGGCAGCCACCGCCAAGAACAGGAGGGTGGCCTAAACTTGAAGTGATGCCAGCACCCTCAGCTGCACCAGTGCAGGGCACCCAGTGACCTGCAGGACGCTGCAGAGGACAGCAAGTTTCCAGAAAGCATGGCACCACGGATCCCTCCCCTACAGCTCCCTGTACCCAGGTCCTTCCCTGGGAAGGAGGAGGGGCAGGAAAGCTGTCTGGGGGAAACAAGATCATCCTGACAGGGAGTCAAACTTTGATTTGAAGAGAGTGCTTTCAACTGGGAGAAACTGGCTTACCGGGAACTGGCAATCTTAAATCCTCCCCACTGTCGCCACTGCAGGGCCTTGAGAGCAATATGAAATCTGCTGGAGGAATAAAGTGACATTGTTGTCCACCTGAGTAAATTCACCTATGTGTTACAATCAAAAGGCAGTTTATTTACAAAAGGAAGGAAGTGAAAGAAAACCCCTTTCTCTCTATTGAAGATATGCTTTCTAGGCATGAACAGAACGTCTCATAGGATCAGAAGAGGCAAGCCAGGCCTGGGGATGTGCGGGTGGGAGCAGCTCTGAGCTTCGATCCGTGGATGGGCCGGCAGGAGAGCACCTATCGGAGGCCTGGTCGAGGAGGGCAGCCTGCGTGGAGGACCAGCTGACATCCGGTAGAGCTGGGGCCTCGAGCAGACCTGACATATAACAAGGCCTCTGCAGGCATCCTGAGCAAGGCTGGAAGTTGAGCAACTTGAGAGCTTTTCACTCACATTCACTTTCCCTGTAAGATTTTCTGTAAATTCATGTTCATAAGCTTTAATAAAAGTACACACAGTGTGTGTCTGTGGGGGGAGCAAGAAGGGTGGAGTGCTGTTCTTTATTTCAATACACAGCTATTGGCCATAGAAACTCTTGATCCAGAGGAAGGCATTAAATGAATTATCCAAAGGACTCTTCTGCTATCAACTGAGTTTACTTTAACCTAACAATAGACTTACCTTGATTCCACACCAATTCTGTTTCCTAAGAGACTTTAGCATCTCTTAACTGAAATAAAACAAGAGAGAAATAAGCAATCAAACAAAATCAGACTTACTGAGACCACTGGCCAGTCTCTGAACTTCTTTCCCACGCGAGTCTTTTCTATTCCAACGTCTAGAATCCTGCAAGACAACCAAATTGTCTTACCTTACCACCTCTAGATTTCCAGTAACATTTTATGATTCTAGCTTCAAAACTTTCCTCCGTGCTCCACAGATCAGTTGGTTCAACTTCTGAGCATTTTGTTATATACTTCAAGGAATTGTCTTTGTCCTTCCTTTACTTCCTTTTTCCACTCTCCTTTTTGGGTCAACTGAACATGTTTTGTATTGTTTTGTTTAGATCCAGTGTCCCAACATTTTCTACTTAACAAGAAGGTAACATTCAAGAGCCTTGGTGAGAGTTTCACTTTATGTGGTTATTCCATTAGGCAGGACAGTTCTATCATCATTCTCAATGAGATGAGGAAACAGCATAAACAGCACCCAACAGCTTTTGTTTATGCTCTGAAATAAACTGTAAATTCAGGAAAGAATAATTTTGGATTCAAACTATCCCACTATTTGCTTTCAGCACTGTTTTTATTTTAGTTTTTTTGAGACAGGGTCTCACTTTGTCGCCCAGGCTCGAGTGCAGTGGCGCGATCTTGACTCACTGCAAACTCCACCTCCTGGGTTCAAGTAATTCTCCTGCCTCAGCCTCCTGAGTAGGTGAGACTACAGGCACCTGCCACCACGCCTGGCTAATTTTTGTATTTTTAGTAGACAGGGGGTTTCACCAGGCTGGTCTCGAATTCCTGACCTCAGGTGATCTGCCCGCCTCTGCCTCCCAAAGGGCTGGGATTACAGGTGTGAGTCACTGCGACTGGCCAGCATTGTTTTTAATGTGAAATTATTATTTTTTATAATTTGCCTCCCGATGTCAGTGGTGCCTACAGGTAATAAGTGAATTGAATTTCCAAGTATATGTAACTACTAAAGAGACAGCACCACAAAAATAAAAGTTATCTCAACACTGTGTTCTCAGTGTTAAATCTGGAAAATCTCAAAGTGATTTCATGAGGAAGAATCCTCGGATTTACAGACAGTCCCCAACTTAGGATCCACTTATGATGGTTTGACTTCATGATGGGGCAAAAGTGATACACATTTAGTAGAAATTATACTTTAAATTTTGAATTTTGATCTCTTCCCAGGCTAGTGATACATGGTACCATATTCTCTTGCAATGCCAGGCGGGGACAGAGCCACAGCAACCAGTCAGCCCTGCAATCATGAGCGTGAACCATTGAGCCTCTAGCTTGCAGTGTTGCCAGATGACCTTGCCCAACCATAGGCTAAGGGAAGTGATCTGAGCACGTGTAAGGTAGGTTAGCTGTATTAATTGCATTTTTGTCTTACAATATTTTCAACTTTCAACTTACTATGGTTTTATCTGGACATAATACCATTGTAAATTCAGGAGCATTTTTGCTTTAGAGGGGTTGTAGACATAGCATTCATCATGAACATCATTTCACCAATCATTTTAATATACTTTATAGAATACTAAACAGGATGAATTGAAAAGGGGGAGGCAAATCATGTGCGTTAGTCACATTTGGGATGATTATATTTTTATCATTGGCCCTTTTAAAAACAAAACTCACATAAACCAAAGCTTTGGAATACATTTCTGCTAACTGGTGTCAGCAACACTTTAATCATTTATTGCTCACCAAGTATAACAACCAGATGTTTGGATTTTAAGGACATTCCACCCACTTCCAAAACTCTCAGTACAATCCTAATTGCCTGCTTTCAGCTACTTGTTTCTTTGCTTGTGGCTGAAAACATTGTAAAACTGGCACCAAAGGGCCATGTGAATAAAACATATTAGTAGAAGCTTATGCTTAATAAGTAGCTATTCTAAAGATGCAATATAGGAATTCCATAGCCAATACTGGATGTGAAATTGCCCTCTTTGAGATCCAAAAAAGATGCCTTCTTAAAAGCAAGTTGTGATTTAGTGGGAAGAAAACTATTTTGTAGTTAGAACACCAATATTCAAGCCCCAGTTCAGCCACTTATTCAGTGTGAAACCTCACATAACCCACTTATTCCTCGGCAAAGCAGGGATGACAATATTTCCCTGTCACCTGGGGACTCAGGAGGAGCAGTGGATCAATGCATGTAGTCATGCTCAGTAAACTAAAAATCCACAGCAAAGTGTAATTGTATGTAAGTGCTATGGAAAGGTTGTGTGTTTTGAATACTAGATAGAAAAATGTACCTAAAAGATGTTTAAGATATAAAAGATAAAGAAAATGAAAGTGTGGTCTCAGCAAACAATGCACCAACTAGCATCTACCAGGTCTAGATAATTTACATAATTATACATAATTTACAAGCCCAGTGAAAAATGTAAATGTGAGGCCCTTTTCCAGAAAGCAGGAAAGAAGGGGACAGAAACTTTTCTTTCGTGGTCTCTCTTCACCTGTTTTATATTTCCTATTCATAGTGTTTTCTGTTTGTGATTTAATATGCTGCTTGAGCAAGGGTTACTCACAGGGTGTGTATAGACCCCCACAGGTGCTGGGCCCATCCCATGACTCGGAGCACAAGGCCAGATCCCACCTTCCCCATGTCGAGTCCCCAACCTGCTGGAGAGGCCACAGTGATTGCTACATGGAGTCAGGGGAGAGGATGGCTGAGAGCCCATCCAAGGGAGGAAAGGAGGTTCCAAGACTTCAGGGTGTGCTCCATTATCCCATCCATCTTCACTCACAAAGCACAGATCCAAAGATAAAATTATGCAGGATTTCAAGATGGTCACTGCAAGGCATTAAACCCATTAAACCCCAAGCACAGGGCCCCCTTCTGGGCATGGGGCCTAAGTGATTGTACTGGTGGCAGGTCCATGAATCATAAATCCCTCTATTACATTTTTGGGCTCTCAATTTTTTTAAGTGGTAACACAGGATAGTAAGTAAAAGAACAGACTCCAAAGCTAGATTGCTATTTCCAAACTGTCTCTGCCTCTCATCAGCTCTATAATTTTGAGCAAGTTATTTTTTTTTTCTCTTTGAGCATCAGTTTCTCCATTTGTAAAACCATGAGAATAATAATAATAATTTGATTTTGTAGAGTCATCATGCAGATTAAGTGAATTAATATATGAATTAAATAAATGAATATATAATCATTGCTTTCATAGGGTGATTGCACAGATTAAGTGAATTAATATGTATGTGCTAGGGCCTAACATATTAAGTACTATAAAATTGTTATTATTTTTCATATGAATCCACATTGCAGATCCAAGATGATTCCAAAAATGAGCATGTTTGGAATCCTCACAGGAAAAGGTTAAAAGAATGAAAAAATAATACATAGAATGCAAACACTAGCCAAAGGAAGATTATGTAACTATATTAATATCAGACAAAGTAGACTATAAACCATGAAATATTCAAAAAAGATGTTAAACACTTTATTAAAATAAAAGGAAAAGCATTATTATCTCAATAGGAAGATATAATAATCCTACATTTTTATGCAACTAATAACATTGCCTTAAAATTTATAAAAGTCTAACTACTTTCCTTAATTACTAAAAACTTCCTCAACGCAATTCATAGGCTATATTTTCTAAAATTTGACAGGCCCAGAATAATTCTTTGTTGAATGAATGAGTACATGAATAAACTAAAAAATTCTAAGAAAATTATAGTGGGATATTTCAATATGTTTCTCACTACCAACATAAACACACACCCAAAAAAATGTAAGGATATAGAAGATTTAAAATGCACAAATAAGAAATTTGTATATGTAGAATTATACAACAAAGAATTGCAGAATACACATTATTTACAAGCTCTCTCATTTAAAAAGTTACCATATGCTGGCCCATAAAGGAAACATCAACAAATTTCAATTGAATAAAGCCATGCAAAATATATGTTTTCTGACCACAGTACAATTTAGCAAAAAGTCAATAACAAAATGAGACCTAGAAAATCAGTATGTTTGAAATTAAGCAATACACTTCAAAGTATCCCATGGATCGAAGAAGAAAGGAAAACAATAGTTTATAATGAAGTATCTTAAGCTGAATGATGATAAAAATATAACATCTAAGACCGGGTGCGGTGGCTCACGCCTGTAATACCAGCACTTTGGGAGGCCGAGGCGGGTAGATCACCTGAGGTCAGGAGTTTGAGACCGGCCTGGCCAACATGGTGAAATCCCGTCTCTACTAAAAATACAAAAATTAGCTGGGCATGGTGGCAGGCACCTGTAATCCCAGCTACTTGGGAGGCTGAGGCAAGAGAATCGCTTGAATCCAGGAGGCGGAGGTTGTAGTTAGCTGAGATCATGCATTGCACTCCAGCCTGGGGGACAAGAGCAAGACTTCATCTCAAAAAAAATAAAAATAAATAACACCTGAAAAATGGGAAATACTTTGAGAGAAATTTATTCCCTTAAATACGTATACTAGAAAAGAAGATTGAAGATCAATGACCTAAATTAAGACGTTAGAAAATAACAAAGCCAAAGGAATGAGAATAAACTAAATAATAAAGAAAAAGCTAGAAATTAATATAATAAAAAAGCAAACAAAATAGAAAGGATTAAAAAAGTCCAAAAAAGATTATTTAAAAAGAATACAATTAATAAACCCCTAGCAAGCATAATCATTGAAAAAAAAGGAGAGGCCATGAACATTAAATATCAGTGATGAGAAAGGAGACGTAAGTACAGGTCTTACAAAAGATAAGAAGGGGGTATTATGAACAAATTTATTCACATGTTTTTGAAATTTTATATAAAATGGATTCTTCATATAAAAGGACAATTTACTAAAACTAAACAAGAAGGAACAGTATACCTAAATTTTCCTAAAGAAAAATAATCTATAATTTAAAATTTTGCACAAAGAAAAGTCCTGGATGAAGTCACTACACAGGTGAATTATTCTCACAGTTATGAAAGAATTTGTAGCCAATCTTACACAATCATCTACTTAATATTTTAAAAGGGACAATAATCCTGAACACATTTTATGTGTTCAAATCCTTACAAGAACATTACAACAAAGAAAAAGTATAGACCAATTGTTAGCAGTGGCAGAGATCCAAGTTATCCCAAGTTACTGGAGGTGTATTCATATGGGTTTGCAGCAACTTCAGTCTTTGCCTCCTCAGAAGAAAGAATTTGACTGAAGGGAATAAAGGAGAAGACACCAAGGCAAGTTTCAGACCAGGAGTGAAAGTTTATTAAAAAGCTTTAGAACAGCAAGGAAAGGAAGGAAAGGAAAGAAAAGAAGGAAAGTACGACTTGTAAGAGGGCAAAGCTAGCGGGCGACTGGAGTAACCAAGTGCACAGCCTGACCTCTTGACTTCAGGTTTTTATATGTTGGCATACTTCTGGGGACTTAATGGGAAGCTGCTGGTCAGTTTCAGGTGTTTTCTATCTATTAGGAGCTTGCCTTGTCCTGGTTTGCCAGCTGTGACCAATTACACTTTAGAGAAACAGTTAACAACCGCCTGACCATCACCTAATGGGTGTCCAACACTCCTGGCGTGTGAGTTGTGGGGAGCCCTCTCCCGCCTGCTCATACCTGACTAGCTACCTGCTGTAACACAATCTTATTCATGAACAAAGATGAAAAATAATTAAATAAATATTATTAAACAATCAAAAAATTAAAAATAATACATCATGATCAAGCTTAGCATGACAAGCATGGAAGGTTAACATTTGAAAACTCAATAAATACAAATTTATCATCTTAAGAGAATAAAGAAAAATCATACAAGCATTTCAATCATTGCAGAAAACATCTGATAAAGTTCAACACCGATTCATAATAAAAATTATTAATAAGAGTTTTTAGTAGGTAACTGATAATAAAAACAATATACAAAAATGTTACTTGACACTGAATAGTGAAATGTTCAAATAAGAATGCCTGCTATCACTACTTCTATTTAACATTTTACTCTAGATACCATTGCAGTATGTCAACAAACAGAAATATCTAAAATGTAAGGACTGGAAAGGAAGAAAAATTGTCATTATTTACAGATGATATAATTTTGTATGTATAAAGTCCAAAATAGTTTTTAGATAAATTCCAAAATTAATGAATAAGTTTAGCAAGTTTGCTGGACACTGATCAGTATATAAAATTGATGTATTTCCATCTATCTGCAGCAAATAATTAGAAAAGAAAATACCTTAAAACATACTATTTACAATAGTACTAAAAAACAATATATAGGAATAAATCTAATAAAAGATATACCCAATTTCAATTTCTTTTTTTTTTTTTTTCTTTTTTTTGAGGCGGAGTCTCCCTCTGTTGCCCAGGCTAGAGTGCAGTGGCACGATCTCGGCTCACTGCAAGCTCCGCCTCCCAGGCTCACGCCATTCTTCTGCCTCAGTCTCCCTAGAAGCTGGAACTATAGGCGCCCGCCACCATGCCAGGCTAATTTTTTGTATTTTTAGTAGAGACGGAGTTTCTCTGTGTTAGCCAGGATGGTCTCGATCTCCTGACCTCGTGATCCGCCCGCCTCGGCCTCCCAAAGTGCTGGGAGATATACCCAATTTCTACAAAGAAAACTCTAATAAAATTTATGAAAAAGTGGTTGTACTATATCTATAATTTGGAAGAGTCAGTATTTTAAGGAATTTTAATTCTCCCCAAATTGACCCCCATAGATTTAAAGCAATTACAATCAATCCCAGCAGATATTTTTTGAAAACTGAGATGTTAGCTGTGAAATATATGTGGAGAAGGGACAAATATAGACAAGATAAACTCCACTAAGAGGAACAAAGTAGGAGAATGTGCTCTATCGCATTCCAAAATATATTATGAGGCTGCAGTAACTGTGACTGGCCATACTGGTGCAAGGACAGAAAGACAGATCAGTGGAATGGAGTAGAAAACCTAGAAACAGATTCACTCACACACGGACACTTGACCTTGACACACAAAGAATAATGAAGAAAGAATGGCATTTTCATTCAATGATGAGTCAGTTAGATAGCCATATGGAAAAAAATGAAAATTTACTCTCCTTTAAACCATAATAAAAATATCAATCTTAGATGGATTATTGATACAAATGTGTAACAGCAACAAAGCTTCTATAATACAATTTAGAAAAACATCTTCATGACTTGCAATGGGAAACTATTTCTTTATACATATTGGGCTGCATTAAAATTAAAAACATTGGTTATTAAAAATGTCTTTCTCAGACAGAGGTGGAAAACTTAAAAACTTAGAGGAGTTATTTGTAATACATACAACCAATAAAGAGTTAATATCCAAAATATATTTATAATGACAACTAAATAAGAAAAGGACCAGAGCCTAAAAGAAAAAATGAGCCAGAGACTTGAGCAAACATTTCACAAAAGAGAATATCAAAATGGCCAATAAACATATGAAGAGATGCTCAACCTCATTAGTCATCAGAGAAATGCTAATGAAAACCCCTATGTGATACCTTCGTAAACTCATCAGAGCAGCTAAAGTTAAAAACTCTGACAAGACCAAGGAATAGCAAAGACATGGAACAAAAGGAACTCTAATTCCCTACTGATAGGAGCATAAATTGGTACATCTTTGGAAATGCATAGTGCCACTTCAAAATTTGAACATGAATATAACCTATTATCTAACAATTCTTGTCTCTTAGATACATACCAACTAAAAATTTGTCCATACTTACACCAAGAAACATGTATAGAAATGTTCATGCCATTGTAACTTATATTTTTTATTTTTTACTTTTTTATTTTTATTTATTTATTTATTTTGAGACGGAGTCTTGCTCTGTCGCCCAGGCTGGAGTGCAGTGGCACAATCTCGGCTCACTGCAAGCTCCGCCTCCTGGGTTCACGCCATTCTCCTGCCTCAGCCTCCCAAGTAGCTGGAACTACAGGCGCCCACCACCACGTCCAGCTAATTTTTTTGTATTTTTAGTAGAGACGGGGTTTCCCCGTGTGCTAGCCAGGATGGTCTCAATCTCCTGACCTCGTGATTCCCCCGCTTCGGCCTCCCAAAGTACTGGGATTACAGGCGTTAGCCACTGCGCCCAGCCCATCGTTTTTTATTTTTAACAGGGTATGTGTTGCCGTTTGTTACTTTCATATTAAAGTAATCAAGATTATAATCATACTGAAAGGGTTTCCAAGGACCATGCATCCTTAGCTGGAAACATAGTATTACTTAAATGGAAGTTCTAATGCTGTAAAGTTCAATAGAGTATGAAATACAAAGATACCAAATGACTGAAAACTAAAGAACTGCTTTTTCTCCTTAATAGTGGTTACTGTCTTGGAATATAAGCTGTATTCCAGTCAAGCTGATTTCCCTTTTTGTTTCTAGGAAAACAATATTCCATCTTTAAGGACAGAAAAACAAGAAACACCTCTACTTTTTCTTTTTCACCGTTTCCACCCCTCAAAGCCTAATTAGCCAGTATACTAAGATTTTGGTCAATAGCATTTGAAAGATGATGTCTTCTTTTCTGATTCCTGGAATAGTCCAGAAAAAAACATCTTTGTTTGGAGGTGACAAAGCTATTATAAATAATAATGCTGTGAACATTCTTCTGCACAAGTTTTGGTGGGGTATTTACAAAGAAATATTAACAGAATTCTGGGTTTAAGGGTATGCCTGCTATGTGAGCTTTAGCAAATAGTGCCTAGATGTTCTCCAGGTTGGTTATGTCAATGGACTCTCTTCAGGTCTATTTCAATTATTTTCATTTTGATGTTGTTGACTGAATAGTTGTGTCTCCCGAAAATTTGTATGTTGAAATCCCCAGGGCGATGCTACTGGGAGGTGGGACCTTTAGGAGGTGAATAGGTCATGAGGGTGGAGCCCTCATTTATATAGGATTAATGCCCTTATGAAAGAGACCCCAGAGAGATCTCTAGCTTTCTTTCCACCATGTGAGGATATGAAGGAAAGGTTTGGCAAGTTTTGTTTTATCCAATTTATTTATTTTTTTTGAAAGTTCAACTTTATTGGCACAAAGCTGTTCATAATTTCTTGTTTTATATTTTTAATTTCTTTAGGTTCTGTAGTAATGTCTGTTTTTTTTCATTTCTAACATTAATTATTTGTGCCTCGGCCTTTTCTTTTAATCAATCGCACCAGAAATTTATCAATTTTGTTCATATTTAAAAAAAACAGCTTTAGCTTTGTTGAAGTTTTCTATTACACAGAATTTTCTATTTCATTGTTTTCTACCTTTTAGGAATTGTTTCTTTTATCTGTTTCAAAAATAATGTGTTGTTTTTCTAGCTTCTTGAGATGGATACTTATATCATTGTCTTTCAGTCTTCATTCTTAATATGTGAATTAAAGGCTATAATTGCTTCTTTAACCACAGTTGTGTTTGAATCTCACAAGATTTTATACATCATGTTAGAATTATCATTCGGTCTAAAACATGTTCTTATTTTTATTGTAATTTCTTTTTGAACCCATGAGTTATTTACAAAGAAATTCCTTAATATTAATAAGAATTAATTAATTAGTATGTATGGATTTCCTAGAAATCATTTTATTATTCCAATTCACATCTAATATGGCCAAGAACTCAAATCCAAATTCTATGTAATTTGTTTTATGGCCCTTTATTAATAAGTGGTCCACATGTGCCTCAAAATATAGGGTTCTCAGAAACATGAGGCAGAATGTTCTGTATATACATTTAGGTCAGGTTTGTTAATTACCTGTTCAAATCCTCTATGGATCTTGCTCCTTTTATTTGTAACTGGGAAGAATATGTTAAAACATTCCATTATGGTTGCAGATTTTTTTCCTTTTAGTTCTGCTGGAGATATATATATATATATATATATATATATATATACACACATATATATATATATACATATATATATATATACATACACACACACACACACACATACTTTTATATACACACATATATATAGCAGATATATATGTGTGTATATAAAAGTATGTATATTTATAAGTGTATATGTATACATTATAATATGCAAAATATATATGTATTATATATATTTTTTGGCCTATGCTATAAGAAGCCTACCAATTATGAAATGTTATGTCTTTCTAATATATTGACCCTTTTATTATTATAGAATGTATTATAGAATGTATTATCACTTTCATTAAAGCCAATTTTGCCTGTTAATATAGTTTTAACAGCCTTCTCTCGGTTATTTTTTAAGACTTATCCATCCTTTTACTTTCCACTGTTCTATGTTTTTATATTTATGTGACAAGCATCATATAGTTGGGTTTTGTATTATTATCCAATTTTAAAATATTGGTCTTTTAATTGGCTTATCTTTGTTTCCTTATCTTTCATTTGCCTAAATAATGTGCTTTAATATTTCTTTTAAAGGCTTAATGACAATGAATTTTCTCCTTGTTTTAATTATCAAAAATATCTTTATCTCTATTTTTAAGGATCTTTTGACAAAGCAAAGAATTCATGATTGACAGTTGTATTATTTTAGCCTTCTAGTGATATAATTCCATTGTAATTTGTCTTCTTTTAATTCTGTGGGAAAATCAGCCCTTGATCTTATTGTTCTTCCTTGGAAGGTTTTATCATTTTCCTCTGCATGCAAAAGAAAAGATTAATCTTTTCTCTTTGATCTTTAGCAATTTACCATGATATGCCTATATGTGAATTTATTTTATTCATCCCATTGCCGTTTTATAGAACTTACTGAATCAGTGGTTTGAATCTTTCACATTTTGGAAGAATTATCTAGTATTTCTTCTCATTTTGCTCTGTCCTTCTCTCCTCTCCAGTTACACCCACTTTAGATTTGTACTTATGTCCTACATGTCTATTACATTCTCTATTTTTCATTCCCTTTTTATGTGTCCTTTAGTTTGAGTATTTCCTCTTGACCTAGCTTCTGCTTCACCAAATACCTTTTCTGCTGAGTCAAATTTCCTCTTAAATTAATCTCTTATTAATTTCAATTAATGTGATTTTCCAATCTAGAATAATTACCATTTGACTTTTTTTATGGATCCCAGTTCTCTGGCTAGTCTTCATTGTATAGTTTATTTTTTGAACATATTTGTCACTGCTATTGCCAGGTCTGAATCCTAAACTTTAATATCTAGATCACATGTAGGCCTATTCCTAATAGATTTTCCTGCTCTTGGTTTTGGTCTTTTGGACATTTCCTGACACATATAATTTTTGCTTGAGTGTTGGGCATTATACAACATTTCAGGGACTCTATGACATGATCTTTCTACAGAAAGGATTGAGTTGTCTTCTGTTAGGCAGTCAGGAGTTGTAGAGCATGCACTGATCCATTGATTGAGATGATTCAAGATGGATTCTGTCCATTGTCAGATTTTGTCCATTTTGGTTTTCCCAGAGTTTATCCTTTCAAGGGTATCTAATGAAAGTCTGGAGTGATTACTAGAAATTCTCTTTTTGGCAAGCTATAAACTCAGACTTTTGTGTCCTTATTCCCATGAGATGACCTGAAGCTCTGCTTGGGCTTTGCCCCTCCACGGCTCTCTCTACCTAATTTTGTCCTCCCATTCCATGCAGTGTAGGAACTGGTGAAGGCTTCAAGGGAAAAACCAGTTGTAAAATGTTGGACTTAATTCTCCAGGATCCAATTTCATACAGAATTTTGGTCCCTCAAGTCCTGGCTGCCTTTACAACTTTAAACTCCCATTATTTTCTTCTAAGGTCACTGAGACTATCAAATGCTGAGCCACTTTCTGCTCAGCCACCATGATCTGTGTGCTTAGGAATCAGTAAATAGAAAAGTATAGTAAATATCACCCAATGCACTTTATGGACTTGGTCCTACAAGGCCTGGTGTCCTTGATTGTCCTCCGGTGCCTTAAACAACTGGATTTTTTGCTTGTTTGTTTTATTTATATTTTGTTCAGCATTTTTCGTTTCTCTTGGTGACAGTGTTGATAGGTTGTTTAATATGTTGATAACCTAACAAGCTACTCTGTCAAAGTTAACAATAGAAGTCCTAATCATTCTCTTATAACATGTATTACAAAAAGTGACCTTCAGAGGTTAATGATATAGAATTGATAGCTGGCAGCCTAGTAGTGTTTTCTTTGTTAGAGAAAGACTTCCCAACTAAAGCAACTCACAGTAGAAATCAAGTGGAGAGAGGAAGAAAAACCCTATATGGTGTCTTTGTGTATATTACCCAAGAGAGGAATGGATCTTATAAATCTTTAAATTTTAATTAAATTCCTGATGTCTTGTTGCATTAGAAGAATAGTGGGGCCACTGAGGCTGGGATATTTCAGCTACATCAAAGAGATTGCCTTGAAATGCTTTCTGTATAGTGTTATTTGATATTCATGTTTTTCTTTCCCTCAAAGGTACGTTGAGCTCAAATGCAGTTCTCTGCATTTAAACTGCATAGACTTAGGAAATGAAAGTTTTCAAATAACTTGAAATGGTTCCTAAAACTGCAGTTTTATTTTGTTTAGAATGGGTGAAGCTAACACAGTTGGATTTCATTTATTCTTTTTTTTCTCTTTTACACTGTATAGCAATGGAGATTCAGGTTACACTATTATTTTAGAGAAAGTAATAAACTGAATGTGACATTTTCTTCCCTATGCATTGATCTTCTCATTTGAAATAAAAATAATTTCTCATGAATTAGATTTTAGGACGTGACACATTAGCTGCCTCCTGGGGACTGTGTACCCAAGGTCTTCCCCTTGATGCATTCTCTCAAATGCCCCTCATTGATCCAGGACCCAGGCAATTTTCTCACTCAGTCACTGCGGATAACAGCCACCCACAGATTCTCTTTTTGGACATTCTGTCAATTTTTTGACTTTTTGCTGCAATCTAAAAGACAGAGTGAACAATGTAAACCGAAAAATTTCAGGGAAATGGAAGAGACATAGGAATATACAGGCCTTTCTCATAAAAGTCAAAGCCAAAATCCTCTGAGACTTGAACCAAAGAAAAGCTCTCCAAAGTGAATAAACAGGTTTGAAGTGTTTGCAGTGCTGTTTATTCATTACAGACTTGGCACAGAATAATAATACTGAAGATGTTTTTGCAGCTGATATATGAAATGGTGTACTAAGTAGACATTGATAAACTTTATTTAAGAGCCTACGGATTACAAATTTAAGCTATTATAACACTGTAGGCTTGATGTGCAGCTATATTACAGAAAAAAATTAAAAATGAGAGCTTTCAGACAGCAAAGAGTCACTGGCCTGGTCAAAATTTGAAATCTACAAAATTTTAGGCAATATGATGTGATTTAAATATCTGAATTGTTCTTGCACATAATTACTGAACCATGAAATAAGAAAAATAAAGTGAAAATTATTTTCTTTTGTAAAACAGAAGATGGAGGAAAATCAATCCTAGTTTCAGCGAGGTTTTGCAGTGCATGTGCAGGCTACGTTAATGTCACCCAGGAGCTTGATTGACAGATGCTCAAATGCCCAGCCCTATCCCTGCCCCATCTACTGAGGAACCCAAGCACCTGAAGTTCCACAAATGCTGCAGGTGATTTCTATTTATGCTATCATTTGAAGAACACTGATTTAATGTGACTGTCTATTAAAGTTTTATGCAAATTGCTTCCGTAAGTTTATTTTTTCTCAGAAAACTAATTCAGGAAATAACCTTTATAAGCCTGGATGATACTCAGTACCTTATCGGACTATGTTTTTGTATTTTCACTTACTGGCTTTGTTTTTAAATAGCCACAGAGTAGGTATGGGACACTGGGGGATGGAGAGCACATGACAGGAAGTAAAGGCAACTGAAGTTTCCACTGAGGTTGGGAGGAAATGGCCCGTAACTGCTTCCTATTCATCGTTTTGTGCAGATTGAGTTCTGTTGCCTTAGTGTGCTGAAGAGAGCCAAGGTACAGCCTGAGGTTGTAGTGGGTTTTATGCACATATTTTTGTTTTTCTTTAACCATATGAATCTACTTGGGGAGTATTTATAGGAAAAGCTCTAAAGGCAGTCAAGCACTTTTAGATTTCAATCTAAGTAGCCTATAAGTGAATGTTAAAGGGCAAAAAGAGTCCTTCAGTTTTTCAGTTAACATCCCAGGCACTGTGCTTGTGTTATGGATTTAAAAAAAAAATAAGTGAAAGGTCCTACTCTCAATAAATTTTGTTAATTTAGGAGGAGAAACCAAAAGCCAGGCAGGCAGTTAACGAAAGTATTGGCAGTATCACCATAAGAGTATAAGACTGATGTTGGGAAAAGGACCTAGCCCAGTGTGGAGGATCAGACAGGGCGGGGTTCCCTGAAGAAGTATAACTTAAGCTGAGACATGGGGGTCAAATAAGAATTAATTCATGAAAAACTTCAGGAAGACCAAGAAAAACCATTATTAATGGCAATATCCATTCATTCATTCGTTTGATCATTTTATTCATTTCATGCATTTATTCATTTAGTGACTTATGCATGTGTCACGTGAAAATCACTGAGCTAGACCCTAAGGACACAGCTGTGAAAATGCCAGACCTGGCAGCTATCGTCATGCAGTAGGAGAGACAGGAGACATCTTCCATTTCTGTTTTCCCCTAGAACTGTCTGCGGCAAAAGAAAGGTTCTCTGCACTGCCTAGTACTGTAGCCCTAACTACTGGGGCTATTGAGCATTTCACCTGTTTCTAATGTGACAGAAGACATAAATGTATAATTTAGTTTTAATATACACATGGCTAGTGGCTACTTTATCTACTGCAAGAGTGAAAAATTTCTAATCTAGATCCCCATAGGAACTCAAAGATGGGAACAAGTGGCATCTTAAAAATGGGCTCAGATGGAAAAGGGGCTGCCATGAAAGGATGGAACTTGGGAGATGGGATGCTTCCCAGCAAAGGGTGGTGGTGTGCATGCTCCTTGTAGTCAAGGTGTGACTTTAGCATTAATGGAGCCATGTCACCCATGGAAGGTACTGCTGTGATGTTATTTTGAAGCATGGATGAACTCATAAGTCAAAATTTTGCCAGAGGGGAACAGGCACCTCTGCTCACCTCTATTTTCATTCCTAGCAGGATTAAATTCATATTGTATTTGCTGAGCAGCCCAGGTGTTTAAGAAAAAGTTGTCATTCAGATTGATGGTACTTTAAAAAAAATCCATCAACATACAAGGAAAAATATCTGTGGTGGAGAGTTGAGTGACTCAGATTTAATAGCATAGCACATGAGACCACTGTGTTCCCTAGTTTTTTTAAAAAATGAATTATTGCCTTTCCCCTGTAAGCCTAGCAATATGGAAAGAGGGAAAGGAGGCTTTTCAAAGGAAACTGCTCTTTGGAATATTAATGCATTTATATCATGTGTCCACTGATTTATCTAACTAATATTTCTCCAATATTTTGTCTTTTGTCTTCAAATAGTTCTATCCAAACTGTACTGACTTAATTTTTCTACTATTTTTAAAAGCATTATCTATGAAGTTTTACTTTATAACTTGGAGAATTGATTTTTCATACAGTAAGATGGGTTTTCTCAGACTATCAAACCTTAAAAGTGGTATTTTGAATTTCTACTAAAGTCAGCATGTAGAAGGCTATAATGACATTCTCCTGGATCTTAAATAGGGGGTAAAGAATCTCTGGGTCTTGAGAACACCCCAAAGGCGAACTCTATACTTAAGCCACAAAACATCTCTCTGGAATAAGATAAGGAGACAAGGTCCCAGGGAAGGGAGGGAGGGAAGAAATGAAAGAACAGAGAAACAGGAAATAGGAGTAAAGGAAAAGGAGGAGGAGAAGGAGGGATGGAGAGACAGAGGGGGAGAGTGGAAAGAGAGAGAGAGAGAGCAAGCGAGAGAGAGAGAGAGCACATCATCAAAACACAACATCAAAAACTCCAGGCTATCTTCCAACCATCTAGAAAGCTAAAAAGTGTCATCAGATGATTCCCTGATTTGGCTGAAATAATCCCCATAATATGTTTTTAGTATTCACGATCATTTTTGAGTACCCTGATATCAGCAGGAGGCTACTTTGGAAGCCAGATGCAAATAAGTGTCTCAGAAATTAAAGACATCTTCCCCCATTGGATATCAATAAATCAGTATTCTAGAATTACTATTCTAGTAATATGTATTCTTGTTTTAGAGACTTGGTTAGTAGTCTGACCCCAAGAGGTCAGTCAGTTCTGTGTGGATAGAAAAACCAAATCCAGTTTCTGAACGGAAAACCTAAGGCCCACAGCCTGCAGAATGATGTATCACCCTGGTTATTACCACCCATGGGGACAGACCACATGACCATGCAGCATCAATCTCAGACTGTTCTCATTCTCGCTCCTTGACTGCAGTGTCCTTTGCTCATCTTTTTATTTTTTAAAATTTCAGTCATTTGAATTACAACCTGCTTATTATAATAATTCAAAAGGCAGTAATGTATTCAGAAGGAAGTTAATAGTGTATATTGCACATCTCCAATACCACTTCACCAGTGGCAGCCTGTGCCTCTCATTCATACCTTTTCTTTGCTGGTACATCTGTGCACCAACATAAAGATTTTGATTTAATTTTTAATACAGATGAGATTCCACTGTACATAGTATTTTGTGATTTGCTCTTGTTGTATTATATGGTTGCTATGAGTTCCAGATCAATGCACATATATCTGCTTCATGCTTTTAAAGACCTTCACAATAGTCTCTAGTATGAGTTTATTAAAATGTAGTAATTCTCTCCCTGATTGAATATTCAAATTTATTTTAAATTTTTGCTACTCCAAATGTGGTGAGATAATATTTTTGATATACTTATGCCTGACTTCCCTTTCTCTTCCATCTCACATATAGTCAGGGCCCCTATATTGACTGCCTCGGCAAGAGTATAGAGAGGTGAAGCACAAATGGCCCAGAAGAACTGTTATAGACTGAATGTTTGTGTCCCCCTAAAATTTATACATTGAAGCCCTAATCTTTAGTGCAACCGTATGTACCTCTAAGAAGGTAATTAAGGTTAAATGAGGCCATAAGGGTGGGGCCCTAATCCCATAAGACTAATGTCTTTATACAAAGAGATATCAGAGAGCTTTCTCTCTCCAAGTGCCTATGAGAAGTTGGCCATCTGCAATCCAGGAAGACAACCCTTACCAGAAATCAAATCAACCAGAACCTTGATCTTGGACTTCCAGTCTTTAGAACTTGTAGAACTTGGAGGAAATAATAGCTTGATGTTTAAGCTACCCAGTCTGTAGTGTTTTACCGTTTCACCTTAGCAGACTAATGTGGACCCCAATTCTCTAAGCCCAGGAAGGAAAATAAGATGTTATTGTAAATAAAATCTCTTGGCCAGAAAAGGAAAGTAAGGTTTCCATCAAGATGAGGGAAAAATTTCCTAGATAGAGCTGGCTAGAAGGTAAGAACCCCAGAAAGTGGCTGGGAAGACATACTTAGGCTACACTACAGGCAGACTCATAATAATGTAAGACAGTGGAGAAGTTCTCTTACCCTAATACTTTTATATTTTCCAGCTTACAAAATGTCATGTCTCCACCTCCTATCTCTGTATTGGTCATTAAAAGTTTCTGTTTCTCAGCTTTGTATTAGAGTGAACAATACTTTGATACCTCAACTGCAGATATTTACTCTCCATTTTCTCTTGATATCGTGTATGATGTTTATTGCCATGCACTTTTTAAATGTTATTTTAAGAAATCAAAAATTATTTCCCTTATAGATTTTAACTTTTTCAGTTAAAAAGCTCATCCTGCACTCAGGCTACACAAATATTTCCTAAATTTTATTCTAATATATTATAGTTTTATTTGTTATATGGAGATCCCACTGGGGTTCATTTATATGGTGAAAAGTGAGATTCTAATTTTACTTTCTTCCACTTGAAAAGGAAATTTTGTTAATATGAGTTATCAATAATTCAGTTCTTTCATTGATTTGTAATGCAACCTTTAACAAATAAATTTCCATGTGTATTTGTTTCTCTTTCTGGAGTAATGTATTTATTTATTGTTCTGCTGGCACCACACAACAATAATGGCAAGTCAATTTAAAAATGAAACAAAAAGCTTTAGTTGGCATTTCTTCAAAGAAGATATGCAAATAGCCACTAAGCGCCTAAAGAGGTGTTCAACGTCATTAGTCATTAGGAAAATGCAAATCAAAACCACATTAAGATACAACTTTACACAAAATATTATTAAAAAGATGGAAAATAACAAGTGCTAGTGAGGATTTTTAAAACTTTTTTGGCATTATGTTTTTCTTCTTTTAAAATTGAGGTATTTTTCATATACTATAAAATTCACCATTTTAAAGTGTACAATTCAGTGGTTTTTAGTGGATTCACAAAGTTATGCAAACTGTCACCAGCTATCTAATTCTGGAATGTATTCATCACCCCAAAAAGAAACCTTATACCCACCAGCAGTCACTCCCCATTTCTCTTTCCCCCATCTCCTGGCAACCAATAGTCTACTTTTTGGCTCTACGAATTTACTTATTGTGAATATTTCGTATATTAATGGATGGAATTACACAGTTTGTGGCCTTTTGTGTCTGGCTTCTTTCACCTACAAAAATGTTTTCAAGGTCTATTCATATTGTGGCACATATCAATACCCATCGCTTTTTATGGCTGAATAATGTTCTATGGTATAGATACACAACATTTTGTTTATCCAATAGCTGATAGACATTCAGATTGTGTCTACTTTTTGGGTAAAAAAAATGTTGCAATGAACATTCATATACTAGTTTTTGCATAAACATCTTTTTAATTCTCTTGGTTATATGCTTACAAGTGGAATTGCTGAGTCATATAGTAAGTCTATGTTTTAACTTTTGGAGGAACTATAAAATTGCTTTCCGAAGCAACTACAACATTTTACATTCCCACCAGCAATATATGAGGCTTCAAGTTGCCTCACCCACACTTCTTATTTTCTATCTTTTTAAAAATAATATTTTGGGTAAAGTGATATCTTAATGTGGTTTTGACTTGCATTTTCCTAATGACTAATGACGTTGAACACCTCTTTAGGTGCTTACTGGCTATTTGCATATCTTTTTTGAAGAAATGCCAATTAAAGTTTCTTTTACAGTTTTTAAATTGACTTGACATTCGGTTGTTGAATTGTAAGAATTCTTTACATGTTTTCGATATTAGGCCTTTATCAGATATATGATTTGCAAATATTTTCTCCCATTATGTAGATTGTATGTTCACTTTCTTGATAGTGTCCTTTGAAATACACAAGTCTTTAAAAATTTTGATGAACACCAATTTATCTATTTTCTTTGATTGCTTGTGCTTTAAATATCACATCTAAGAAACCCTCATTTGATCTAAGATCACTAAGATTTACACCTATGTCTTCTAAGCGTTCATAGTGTTAGCTTCTTACAGTTAGGTCTTTGATCCATTTTGAGTTAACTTTGACTATGGTGTAAGGAAAGACCCCAGCTTCTTTTTGCATGCTTATATCCAGTTGCCCCCTCACCATTTGTTAAAGATTATTCTTTCACCAGTAAATTATCTTGGAACCTTTGTTGAAAATTAATTGCCCATAAATGTATAGGTCCATTTCTGGACTCTCAATTCCATTCCATTGATCTACGTATCTATCCTTATGCCAGTACTACAGTCATGATTACTGTCATTTTTATTGTTTTGAAATTAAGAAGTGAGTCTTCCAACTTTGTTGTTTTCAAGATTATTTGGGCCAATCTGGGTCCCTTGCATTTCCATATGAATTTTAAAGTCTGCCTGCCATCTTTATGCAAAAAAAAAAATCCATCTGGGTTTCTGACAGAATTGCATTAAATATGTAGATCAGTTTGAAGAGTATTGCCATCTTAACAATATTACATCTCCCAATCCATGAAAATAGGTTGTGTTTTCATTTACATCTTCTTCAGTTTCTAGCAATGCTGTTTTGTAGTTTTCACTGTACAAGGCTTACACTTCTTTTCTTAAATTTATTCTCAAGTATTTTATTCCTTTTGATGCCATTATAAATAGAATTATTTTTTAATTTTATTTTTGGATTGCTTTTTGCTGGTGTATAGAAATAAAGTTGATTTTTGTATTCTGAAAACCTTGTATTCTGAAACCTTGCTGAACGTATTTATTAATTCTAACGATTTATGTGTATGTGTGTATTCCTTAGGATTTTCTATATAGATGATCAATATATCTGCAAATAAAAATAGTTTTATTTCTTTTTTTTTCCAATCTGAGTATCTCATATTTCTTTTCTTGCTTAATTGCCCTCCAGCTTTATTGAAGTGGGAGAAGTGGGAATCTTTGTCCTGTTTCTAATTTGGGGAGAAAGCTTTTAGTCTTTTTCCATTAAATACTATGTTAGCTGTGTGTAATATATTGTTTTCACTATAGACATTTTAATATTCATTAGGGCAAATCCCCACCAAGAATTTTTTTAGATTTTTAAAACTTTCCAGCAACATTTATTTTTCCACATAAAGTTTAAAATGAGCATATCACTTGCAAAAATGTGGGGGATTCTGGTTGTATTAAGCAGATATTCAATGTGGTAAGAATGTACATTTTTATAGCGTTAGGGCTGATCATGCAGGAACATGGTATGTATTCTGGCTTTCTTTCATGGTCTTAATTACCAGCTTTGTACTTATCATCATATAGGTCTTATACCACTGTTAAAGTTTGTCATAGATGTATCTATATATTTCTTAATTCAGAATATAAGATTTTAAAAATGTACATCCAATGTATGGAGTTGCTCATTTCTTATCTTCTGCTTTGTCTTGACCAATCCTTGGTCAGGTTTCTTTCTTTCCTACAGGGCCCTGAACTCCTCTTGCTCCCCAAGCCTGAGAAAGCACAAAAAAAGTAGAAAGCATCCCCTTTCTGAGCTTCCCCTGGGAACCGGGAGGCCACACAGAGAGCCCTTTTCCTGTGAGACCCCACTGTTCTCTTCCCTTTGCTTGTCCATCCTTGCCTCTAAACATTCTACTAATCTCTGCTTGCTCCTCCTTTACCCTAGAACAGAAAAATCTTTTTCTGCTTGATTCTGAAGTGCTTGTGAATTTCTGAGACTGGAGTATTCTTCCTATTGCAATACCTTCTTTCTAATTAGTTTCCCTAGTGCATATAAAACCTTGGACCCACCTATCATACTGAAACTTTTATTTAGGTCAATACATTGTTTTAATGGAATTTATTGTGTTATCTCAGTTTACAATCAAATTATCTTCAAATAATTAGAATTTGTCCCTTCTTTTTCAATATTTATACTGCTTATTTCTCCTTCTTATCTTGTGTTAGTGAAAACTGCCAAAAACATTGTTGAATAATAACACAATTAGCAGGTGTCATGTCTGTTTCTCAATATGATGGAAAAACCTATTATGTTGTTCAATTTAATATATTAGTTGAGGTCAGGTTTAAGTTGTGCTGAGTTTAAATGTGCTTAAGAAAATGATTTTTCTTTTCTATTTTACTTAGAGTTTTTTCATCTAAATCATGACTGAAATTTTATCAAAGGCTGTATTAATAAAATGTTTTAATAATTTCACATTTTCCAATAATGTGTTAATATAAGGATTTTTATTGATAGAATCCTAATGATAAAGCCTTCTAGTATATCTGAAATAAAATGTATGTGTTTTTTAATATGCTGCTAAATTTTGTTTGGAAATATTTTATCTAGATTTTTTCCATATTTACAAGTAAAATGGACCTACAATTTTTATTTTTGATATTGTATCTTTATCAGATTTGTGTGTGGGACATAGCTCTACCTTGAGAAGTAGATAAAATGTACTGTAAAATCATGTTTTAAAATCTTTTCAAATCCTGTTGTGTGTATTGATATTGCTCCAAGAAAAAGATCTTAATAAACCATGATAGCAGTGTCCAAATTGTTTAATGTCTAGGATCAGGAGAGGCATTAGATCCTTAGAGTCCATTTTCTTCACCTCCTTTAAATAGCATCCTTCCTAAATCCAGAGCCTGGTTTTCCTACTAGTTCCTGAGTATACCACCCATACTTATTATTCTTCTACTTGAACTCTTTTTTATTTCAGCATTATGTTAGTAAATTGTACTACATTGTTTATCACATATGTATATCATCTCCCAGAAGATATTACTCTCATTGTAATTGTATTTGCAAGACCCCATTTCCTCCAAAGGGCTGTCACCATATGTCCCCTAAATGCTTTGCTGAATTGAAAAAAAAAGTAATTATACAAAAATAATTTATGTTTCATATTCTGTTAATATTAGACCACCTTTCTAGGAAGCATTTTATTACCATCTTAATTCTTCCAATATCATTTTTCAAATGTATCTAATGGCATTTATTAACTGTTTTGTAATTCAAGGTTTGTATATCTGTCTCCCAAATTCAAGGATGAAGGCCAAAGCTTGTTCATGGTTGTGTATTCCATATGCAGTGCAGTGCCTGATTCACAATAGGGGCACATTAAATGTGGTTGTGCAAATTAATAAATTGTTTCTATAAGCCTCTGTCATCAGTTAACTCATCAACATTCATTAATAAATTCAAAAAAGCTGGTGGGTTTGAATACAATGGAAATCATTTACTTCAAATAATCACTCAGCAACTGGCATCATGAGTCCTACATTAGAGATTCCTCGAAAGCATTGTTCAACATCAGCATTAAACCTTCTCCCCTTAATAAAACAAACATTAGTGAACTCAAAATAGTATTCATGTAAGCATTCTAGAAAGATTAGGCTTGTTGACTTCTCATTAAGTATGTTTGATTACAAAGAAATTAAGAATATGTTTCATTTTGTTTTAGAATCTCCATGAATGACATATTTTTCTACGTTTACAAACAGGCCTGCCAGCTAACACTTGAAATTTGCCTAATTGGCTACATAAAACAAGTTTGAAAGACATGTAGTAATGTAGACACACTAGCTTTTTCCAACTTGGAAATTTTATTATATTATTTTATCATATTATTTTATCATCTAATCTTCAAATGCTAAGTGACAATCACAGTCCACATTGCTTTGTCATAATAAATGCTAATTCCAGTGACAATTCCGAGGCCTCTGTTCTTTAAAAAGGGACAAAATTCTTAAAAATAAAATTGTAATTCATTTTAAGGAGGAGTTAAACTTGTCATTCTCTGTATAATCCCTTACAAGGTGTGAATAAAGCATTATTCATGGTTAAAGAAAAAAAATTAAAAGCCAAAAGGGGGAAAAAAGATTCTTCCTTAAGCAAGAGGTAGCAGAAGTTGTATGGATAGAAAAAGATAACTCTGTTTCCCTGCATAAAATGAATCACCTACAATAAGAGGCCATGAGGTCTCCTGCCCTTGAACTAACCTCACATAGGACAGATTCCTATGTTTCTCTGATGTCTTAGCAGCCATCATGTCCAGCCTTGTGGGGAAGGCCTGAGGAAATCTGAGGACCCTATCAACTATTTGTCCTGTGAAACACACATGAAAGGCAAACAGCTCTGAGTATTTTATAACTGATAAGATCCTGGAAGTGCACAGAATCTTGTGTCTACAAGATTCCAAAATCGGAAAGTATAAAGTCGAGTCCGTATTTCCCTCCTTACCTACCTTAAATTCCATCCACTATCAAGCAATGAAATCACTTCCTAGCACACACTCAACCCCCATGCCTCTCCCCAAGTCACATTCCCTGAGCTAAGCCACCATCCACCTCCTCTATGCTCCCACCCTGCCACTGGGTGTGGCTGGAGAAAAAAAACACAACCTTGCACCAGATCATTTTCAACTCAGGACCAGTCACCACTGTGGCTGCCTCATGGCTGCCTGACTGTTTTTGCATCCATTCTTTTCACTCTTTTCCTCTTGCAAGATGAGTGTCACTCTCTGCTAATGACTTCTGCTCCTTGCCCCACTGAGAAAGAGTCTTCCCAAGCATCCCAACCTCCTGCTTTTGTGCTCACAGGCCGGAATTCTCTCCTGCTGCACAGTACCCCTGCCCCTGCTCACTGACATGACTCTGGTAATTCTCCTTCTTTCTGCTGCATCAGCAGTTCTCCTCTCCAGTCCTTTTTTTTTTTTAATCACACTGTAAATACACTATTATTTATCCCAAGTTCAAAAGAGAATCCTTTTGGTCCTATTTCACTCCCCTGCTGATATTCCATTTCTCTCCTTCCTTAAACAGCAAAAGTCTTCAAAAGAGTGACCTATATTTGCTGTCTCTGATTTATGGCCTCCTGTATTCTTTTGACCTCACTCCCACCAGGCTGTCACCCCCACCACTTTAAGCTGACAACTCTGGTTGAGATGACTAATGGTGAATTCTCAGCACTTTCCTTATCTGACCTAAGACCATTTGAGACTACGTTTGACTGCTACAGCACTGACCGCCACTTCTTAGTGTTTCCTTGGCCTCACGTTATCTCTCTGACCCCTCAACACTGAGTGTCCTAGGGCTCGCTCCTTGAACCTCTTCTGTTTTCTTTCTGTGGTCATGCAACCTCATTCTAATCCCATATTTTAAATATCATTATATGCCGAGGCTCTATAATTTATATGGCTATCCAGAAGCTCTACCTTGAATTCCTGACCCCCATAACCAACTGTTTACACAGCTCCACTTAGCCACATTTTGAGCAGCTCAAACTTAATATGTCCAATATTAACCTCTTAATTCCTTTATCCCAAATATGCCCTCCTATTGTTTCCTCCATGTGTGATAATAAGTAAATTATTCTTAGTCCCCAGGCCAAGCACCTTGGAATCACCCTTGCTTATTTACCTTCTGTTATATTCCTCATTCAATTCCTAATGAAATTCCGTTAGTTCTACCTTTGACTAGATCCAAAATCCTACCACTTTTCACCATGTTTTCTGCCACTACCCTCGTTCAAGTGACCATCATCTCTCACCTGGATTATTGCTTAAATAACACCAAGGACTGGTTTATCAAATCAGGCCACCAAATCAAAGGTGTTATTCAGTATCAAGCTACACTAATAATAATAATATAAAGGGTACAAGTACTCATGAGATGAAACAGAGAGAGAGATTCAGTATCAGTGTCTCTCTCTCTCTCTGTTTCATCTCATGATTACTTGGGATTGCCTGATCCTTCCTTCTCTCCTCAGAAGCACTCTAGCCCAGGGTGGCAGATCTGGTTTTAAGTGAGGTCTGCAGTAACCAGATTTTCACAGACGGGAGGATCTTGATCATGAAAAGTAGCATGCATAACATATTCCAGTGAGGCTATGCCTTGTAAATCTACAAATGCAGGTTTGTTTACCACAAGCAATGCTAGAAACCAGATAAATCCTGGTGAAAGCACTCCAGAGATGACGACAGTTCTGCTAGCACAAACTACTTTGCTTTGTGGCCAGGAGGTCTGCCATTACTCTGTTTGCAAGGAGAACTGATTGAGTCAATGCCTTCTTTCTTTTCCAGGAGTGTGATCCCTAATTCCTACCTCACATAAAGGAAGTGAGTGAATTATAGATTTCTTGTTTTATATAAATAAGATCTATTTATTTCCCAGTAGTAATAATCTTTCTCAGTAAATTGATTTTCCTGTTCTTTTCTTGGCCCCCTACTCAGTCTATTCTGAAGCAGCAACCAAATTGATCTCCATAAAAGGTCAGTCAGATCATGTCACTTCTTTGCAAAAGCCTTCAAATGGCCAGACCCGCTTCTGCCACAGGACCTGAGGCTTGCTTTTCCTTCTGGGTTGCATCACCTCCTCCAGATGCACACTGAGCCTACTCCTTACCAACCTTAGGTCACTCCTCAAATATCACTTCTTTGGCCACCCTATGGAAAATTACAATTCTCCCAAAAACAATCACGCAGCATATCTTCTTACTTCCCCGTGTAGTTTTGTTATTAGAACTTATCATCCTTGTGGGAATGCAGGCTTCATGAGGTATTTTTTTTTCTCTGTCTTATTCTCCATTATATACTCAGATCCTACCTGGAAATATGCCTGGCACACTGGCATGTAACAAGAACTCAGTAAACATTTGCTGAATAAATGAAAACATTTTCCCACTCTCATTTTTAATTTCCTTTAAATGTGTGAGCTTTTAACAATTTTTAATAAGGTGAGTGATATAGTTTGGATGTGTGTCCCGACCCAAATCTCACATTGAAATGTAATCTCCAGTGTTGGAGGTGGGGCCTGTTGGGAGGTGATTACATCAAGGGGGTGGATTTCTCCTAAATGGTTTAGCTCCATCCCCTTATTGCTGTCCTCATGATAGTGAGCAAGTTCTTGCGAGAGCTCGTCATATAAAAGTGTGTGGCACCTCCCCCCTTCTCTCTTGCTCCTGCTTTGCTACGTGCCTACCATGAAAGCTCCTACCTCAACTTCTGCTATAGTTGGAAGCTTCCAGAGGCTTCCCCAGAAGCAGATGCCAGTGTTATGCTTCCTGTACAGCCTGCATCACTATAAGCCAATTAAACCTCTTTTCTGATGAATTATCCAGTCTCAAGTATTTCTTTATAGCAATGGGAGAATGGCCTAACACAGTTAGCTACTAATTTAATAGTGTGATTCCTTATTTTCTCAGAGAAACAGCTCTTGGTTTATTCAAAATTTTTTGTTTGTTTTCTAGTGCATTACATTCCATTTTTAATTTTATTCTTTTTTTCAGATCTGTTTCTTAATTCTTAAGATAACAAAATATAAATATATTGCCATCCCTTTTTTCAGATTATATAAGTATTTTGTAATATACATATTATACATATACAATATAATATGCCCATTTCTGTGAGCTTAGCTTTAGACTGTAGACTCTTCTTAATTCTTAAGATAAAAAAATAAATATATTGCCATCCCTTTTTTTTAGGTTATATAAGTATTTTGTAATATACATATTATACATATACAATATAATATACCCATTTCTCTGAGCTTAGCTTTAGCTGTAGACTCTTAGGTTTATATATATATATATATATATATTATATGTATATGTATTTATATACACAGTGTTTAACTATTTTTCTCCAACATTAGTTTTCATTTTCCTTTTAACCAAGAGTTAAGACAGCATGACAAAAATTTCTAGCTTATAAAAAATTTCATTTTTTCTGTCATTAATATCATGCAATCAAGGTCAAATGACCAGAGAACACATATACCACTCAGTAGAGGGAATATCCACTGAGGAAATCTCATGGAGACAGCAGCAGAAACGGGTGCAGAGGTCTTCTTGCCACTGCATTCTAGGACATAACATATGGATTTAGAAGGTTTGGATGTTGACTCTGGGCAAGTGACCCCAACCTTTAGATCTGGAGCTTTTCAGCTTCCTGATTAGGGAAGTACCAGCCCCTCCCCTACTGGGGCCAAGAACCAGGACACAATAGTAATACAAAGTAGCAGAGCTTTGGCTTCAGTTTGGGAGACTCACCAGCCTGTACCTAGCATGGCTGGAGGCTGGAGTCCAAGCCTTTGGGTTGTAGCTGTATGATGTGAAAGAATCAGTGCATCAGCATTCATGGTTAGGAAAACATCAGCCTCTTTCCTGGCATGATTGAGGACAAGGTTTCAAATGTGAGAATGTCCAGGATTGCTTGCCTGGGTACTGGGCTAAAGCTGGATTCCATGGATCTTTTCAGAAGGCCAATCCTTTTTCTGGAATGTTAGGCTGTAAGAAGTTAATCTCAGCCAAGTTAACCCTTACATTTCAATTTTTAATTCAATATTAGTGATTTAAATGTTTGCCTGAATTTTTCCTCTCTTTGTAATTTACTTAAATTCCTTTGGGGGCTATATATGTTTGGTTAAAATTTAATGGCATTTAAATCGAATTTAATTCACTAATTTCAGTGTGTAAAGTTGGATAAGTGTATGTGTGTGGTCAACCCTAATAATAACGTTGCTTAGATTAAGAGCCTTATTAATTTTTTGACTACATGATCTTTTATGGAATAAAAGAATTGAGTTAAACATTCTAACTACTATTTTTTCCATGCCAGATCTTTGTATATTTTCCACAGTTTTGCACTTTCAAATATTTTGCTATTTAGTAGGAAGAAAATAAATGAACATTAGGTCTTCATTTGGGTTTGTATACATTACTTTAACCATTCTTGTTAGGAATTAGTTAATTTTTTATTCCAACTTACCTAAACATCATGAACCCTACTTTATTTTGTTTGCCTTTGTCTAACATATTTTTGCCTTGCCATTTTGTTCCAGGTGTATGTCTTGTAAATAGCCTGTAGTTCACAACTTTTAAAGTCATTCCGAGACTATATTGTTATTGGTGTTTTATTTATATTTATAGTATAATAGTTTAGCCTTAATGCTGTAAATTTATTTTGTAATATAAAGTCTTGATTTTATTACTTCCTCTTCCCAACTATAGTTGCAATGTGTGCTGTGTGTTCTTTTTTCTTTTGTTTGGTGTATTTCTGGGTTTTTTCATTATGCTAATAGGGAAGATTTATAATTACTTTTGGTCCCGTTGGCAAGTTTTTTTCTTTCTTTTTTAATAGTGACACTTTATGAATTTTTTCTCTTTTTAGAAATTAAAAAATAACACTAGGTACATTATTTAAATGTCTCTGTGATGATTCATTAAACTTTTAGACAGCATTTATTTACTCCCAACTATAAAAAGGAGAGTGTGAAGACACTTATAGTTCCTACTATAACCAAAAAATACACTTAATCATCCTAATAATTATTTTTCTTATAACACAGGCCTGTACTATTACCTCATATTATGTGATGATAAGCTCCACAGTTGTTTGGCCCTGTTTCTATTTCTCAGTGGTCTCAGGGTTCATTGCCATTCCCCAACTCCTTTTCAGCTTTCAGCGATTTAGTTCCATTTTTTGTTTGGCTGTATTTTATCTTATCTTCAAGGATTTTCTTTTCAAGAGATTTCATGGTCATTATATTCTTCAAGCCTTTACAAGTGGAATAGATCTGTTGCGGTCATCTATCAACAACAAAGTAACAACTCGGCCATGTAATCCCTGGGTCACACTACCTTTTCCCCTTCTGGGCCCATAGGTACTGCTCTACTGTCTTCTGGCAGTGATTGCTGCCCTGGAAAACTCAGTGGTCTGTGAGGTTGCGCCCCTCAGAGGTGACTTCCTCCTACCATTGTGTCCACAGAAACCCTTGTTTAGTCATTGTTGACATTCACTAACTTTACAAAGATATATTTCATTCTCTATAGTTTTTCTTGGAATATCTTTCCATGTACAGATTTAGTTCCTTATTTTAGAAATCTTTTCCTCCTTCATATCACTGAACATTTGGGAGTTTCATTATCTCTTCCCATTTTCAGGAATGCAATTCTGTTTATGAGGATTTGTTTCTCTCTGTTTCATCTTTTCTTGAAACACTTTTATCTTATTCTTTTCCATTGTATTTTATATAATATTTTCATGTTTATTCTCTGTATCGCTGATTTTGTTTTCAGTTACTCACTGTTTTTTTCTTTCCCTCTTTAATTGTAGATTTATTGCTAAATTCTGTGGTAGTTTCTTTGCTAAATTTTAGTTTATTGCTAAGGTCTGCCAGGTTGCTTTTCAACTCTTTACATGGGGTTTTCTTATTTTATTTAATCAATATTTTCTCTTTGAAACTTTTTTAACAGTTATCATTTCTTTAAAATATTTTGCAAGTATAGAAATAGTCTTTCTTCTAAATTTTATTTTTCTGTTTCCTGGAATAATTCTTCTAATGTGCATTTTTCTTCTGCTCTCTGCTTGTTATGCCTATCCCTAAGTATTGTTTTCAAATAATATCCATGAAGAGCATTCATGTGGATTCTTTCTACTTGCTTCTCATTTTTAAACTAAGACCATTCCTTCTAGGGCTGCTGTTCACTCAAGCCCAGGATGGGGGACTTGGTTGAAAAAGAGATGTCAGTGAGCAGAGAATGTGAAATTTTCTTCTTTTTTCCTTCCTTCCTTCTTTCCTTCCTTTCTTTCTTTCCTTCCTTCCTTCCTTCCTTCCTTCCTTCCTTCCTTCCTTCCTTCTTTCTTTCTTTCTTTCTTTCTTTCTTTCTTTCTTTCTTTCTTTCTTTCTTTCTTTCTTTCTTTCATTTGTGGCCTGATGCACCATGTCTGCTACTTCCTGTGACTGGGTATGTCTCTCTGCAAGCATGGTATGCTGCCCACTTTGGGGTGAGCATTTCACTCAGAGACATCTATGTGGTTCCTGGTGTTGCAGTATGTACATATAGATCTATGTATGTTAAGCACTTGAGTGTTGTTTTCTCCTGTTTCCATTCCCTTATCTCCAGACTATTTCTCATTGTAAAGAGGATAGTTTGCAGGACATTAGGAAAATATGGGATTCCTCTTCTGAACCTTCCCTTCTGCTTTTCTGCAGTAGGAAACTTTACTCATCTCCTCCCCGCCTCACCCACCAAGGATGTGCCCAGTTTTCCCCTGGACTGTCCACCTTCTCCAAATGGTAGTTGCTGCAGTCTACTTAAAATCTGGAACTGTATACCCTGGCTCTCAATGTTTTTCCTCCATTGGGTCAAGGTTCACCATATTTGGATGTATTGTTCAAATGCTGTACTTTGGAGGTTTAGCCACTTCCTTATTTCTTGAAGATGTGGGTTTGTAGTTCTTGTTCTCTTTGTTGATAACTGTGGGTTTCAGAGAAGGGAACAGAAGAAAGAGCATGCTATTTCTTACCAGAAGCATTCCAGTTGTTTTTTTTTTAAGCTAATAAATCACTGTCATTACGCTTGACTACACTCTTAGTCTCTGGTCACATGTCACGTGGGATGGCATCTGTGAACTCTGAGGTGTTCATGAGTTGCTTAGCAACCAGAAGTTCTTTTATTCCTCCCAACAGCCTGCCCCAACCCTATCCCTACATGGCCCAGCCCACCCTGCCTTAAAATAGAACGTGTGGTACCATGAGTCACTTGAAAAATAGTTCTCTCACTAAGAGAAAGCCCTCGGCTTCCAAAGGGTAGCGCTAATCAAGAGGAGATTGAGAGGGGGATGTGTTAAATAGGAGGAGGAAAAGACACCAATATTGACAGTAGATATAAAATGAACTATTAATAAATTAAGGAAATTTATATAGGTCAGCAAGACCTTGGAAGAAAGGCAAGACAAGAAGGTGGAAACAGAATATATGTATTCTTTTTTGTCACAAAAGTGAGATGATCATAGCACATATTTGGAGTTTCTGCACACAAAGCAGAGTCCAGATGAGAGGAAGCTGCATATGCCCAGACACTCTTGGTTGCCTTAATCACACAATTTTCCATACATTAAAAATACTAAAAAGAGAAAAAGTACATGTAAATGAGGTAAATAGCAAATGGGAGGTGGAGAATCACACAGTCTAGCCAGCTCACTTTGGGGTAAGGACTGGAGGGGGTTTGTGCCCAGAGATGATGCCACGAGGGCCAACTTTGACCTGTGTTTAAATGGATCAGGTGGGGTCTGTGCACACAGGGGCTTCTAGGACCATGCAGATGGTGCAGGAAGCCTGAGGCAAAGCAGTGGCATGAGTTTGTGGTCCTGGCGCCCTCTCCGTGCTTTCTGAATATATCAGTCTGCTCTGTAGGCACAGTGGGAGTAGGACAGGGACTCACTAGAAATGTTTATGCCCCAGAAGTGGCTATTAATAGAAAGGAATGGAAATAAGAGCACTTGGGTGAGAACATTGTATTTTTAAAATGTATAATCATTTTATATGCTATTTTATACATAATAAGCAACACGTTTTCCAGATATAAAAGTAGCTTGATTCTCAGGCATCAGATAACTTCTACATGGGATATGCCAAGGTTAAGAAATAAATCTTTTTTGTTTCCAAATTAATAAACATTTTTGTGAGACTTATATAAAACCTGCAAAATAAAAACCAACAACAATGCACATGGGAGGTAGAAAAATTTTAATAACTAGTGCTATTCAAAGGGAAATAGTATCTATATATAATTAACAAAAATATATTTAATAGTTATATTAAAAGTACTCTTATGTGTGAGACTTTAATATTAGCAATTTTCTAAATAGCAATAATCGGATGATTTATTAAGTGTGAATTATAGGTGAAATTATCAACATCTCTCAAATCAGGCAGGATAAATCAAATTTTAATTAAGCTCATTGTTTCATTCTATAAATTTCTTGTTAAATTATTTTTTAGAGATGGATGTCTCACTACATTGTCTATACTGGTCTCAAACTCCTGGCCTCAAGTGATCCTCCTATCCTAGCTGTTCCTGTAGCTGGGACTACAGGCAGGTGCCACCTCTCCCAAATTTCACACACATTTTTAAGACTGCAACATACTTCTTGGTGATAAACCTAAACTAAAAACAGAAATCTTGCCCATTCTGTTTGCAAACATCTATCTCCAAAGTGAGTGAAATTTCTGTACATCTGTTTCACAAGTCGTGGGGACTTCCCGCAGTTGTCTGATTCACAAATTTAACTTCTTTTTAGTTAAAAAAAGTGATTATTGATATTTACAAACAGACTATATGTTTTCCTGGCTTTTAAATAAAATAAGAACACTAAATATAGAGTAGTTAGGTGGAAAAATATAATGGTTCATAAACCATGTCCAGGTTGGCATACCGCTATTGCCACCTGGGCAGATGAAGCCCTCAGGGCTGGTAACTGAGGCATGCTGGACTGTATCCTCCAGGTAATGCATCAGCAATACCAGTCAAATCCCACTCACATTTTAAAGAAATTTATGTTATTTTTGCTCTTTGAAAAAATAATTGTAACAGACTTCTGTGCTCTAGATAGAAATGAAAGAAATAGACCTTTGGCAAGCTGCTTTTAAGCTGTACTCAAATAGAGATGTTATCTATTAATAAAAGCTAATGTCCTGATCAACAGAACTAGAAGACGATAATAATCATAAATATCATCAAACATAGTTCCTCACATTTGACATTATAGGTATAATTTCACCTATATTGTCTCGGGTTAGTATGTTTTAAAATTCTGTGCACAAGTCTCTTTAGCATCCCTTGAAAAAAAACTGTTTTCCAATTGCATGTCATTTAATGCTAAGACTCTATGAGATTTCTCTCTAGCCTCTGAAACAGTGAGCTGTATTAGCTTCAAGATCTATACCAACTCATATAAAGGGTCAAAATTAGAGACATGAAAAATATATACAGAAGGGGCCAGGCGCAGTGGCTTATGCCCGTAATCCCAGCACTTTGGGAGGCCAAGGCGGGTGGATCACGAGGTCAGGAGATCGAGACCATCCTGGCTAACATGGTGAAACCCCGTCTTTACTAAAAAAATACAAAAAAATTAGCTGGACATGGTGGTGGAGGCCTGTAGTCCCAGCTACTTGGGAGGCTGAGGCAGGAGAATGGCATGAACCTGAGAGGCGGAGCTTGCAGTGAGCCGAGATCGCACCACTGCACTCCAGCCTGGGCGACAGAGTGAGATTCCATCTTAAAAAAATATATATATATATGTATATATATATAATTTTATTTATTTTGTATATATAATTTTATTTATTTTATATATACATAATTTTATTTATTTTATATATATACACACACACACACACACACACAGAAGTTTTTATACCTTTAACAATTTTGAAATACTGTTTCCTTCCCTGGGAGTTTGGGCGTGGGATTTCTGCATTATTATTTTATGCTCATTCCTCTCCACTATCAATGACAATTACATGTTAAACGATGGATGAAGCATCTTCTTGGGTTCCATCCATTCAAATTTTGTATTTCTGTGATTCTAAAATGCTTTCTTCATTTGAGGCACATTAGAAAGAAGTGAACTTATGTAGAACATCATTGCTTCAGATTTCTTTGGGGAGAAATATTTACCTTCCTTTGAAAATCTTTTTCCATGTGTAAATTCTAGAATCCTAAAATAGTGACAATATTTGTTTACCAAGTATTTTGGAAAAGTAGGACAGGAAAAGATAACCTCCTTAATTTTTTCCAGGAATATTTCCCTCAAAAGCTACAGATGAATAAATGAACATTGTGGCCTTTTTCTTAAGACAACTTTTTTGTCACCACTTTTAAAGGAATTCAACCTAATTTGTACAGAATAAACCAGTGGGGTGAAATATGGCCATTGTCAAATTTTTAAAGCCAGATGAAATTAATTATATATGTAATAAATTATAAAGTGGAAGTATTTCATAAAGAAAAAAATGAAATTCAGCTCTCTACTATAGCAAAACTATCCATCATATAATTGCTAATTACTCCTGAGAAATGAACCGAAATGTATTAATAAAATTATAAGACTTAAGAAAGTTTTCTTTAAGAGCTGTTTTAATTATCAGCCATTCAGGTGAATTGTCAGATTGCATGCACATGGACATAGGCAAATATGTACAAGCAAGTTGATCCCCTTCCAGGAGAAACAAGAAGTTTTTCATATACTAGAGCAAGGCAAGGCAGGCCCTACTGTGAGATGACATTGGAGTTCTAGTTCTGCTGGCCTCCTCCTGGCCACATTTTCTGCAGCAAAGCCTTGACACCCTGGGTAGCCTTAGCTTAGTGTTTAAAATGAAGATGCCAGTTACATGTGATCACAAACATCCCCTGCACATCTCCCAGGCTATGATCCACTCTCTAGACTGGCTGTGAAGCCACAGAAATACAGAAGAAGCAGGGAACATGCATTTATTCATTTGTTTATTTTTAAAGACAGAGTCTCTCTCTGTCCCCCAGGCTGAGTGCAGTAGTGCGATTGTAGCTCACTGCACCCTCAAACTCCTGGGCTCAAGCGATCCTCTCACTTCAGCCTCTGGAGTGGCTGGGACTACATGCATATACCACCACCCTGGTTATTTTTTTTTAATTTTTTAATTTTGTTGAGACAAGGTCTCACTATGTTGCCCAGGGTGGTCTTAAACTCCTGGCCTCAGGTGATCCTCAAGAACATGCATTTATTGAGTGCCTACAGTGTGCTGGGCACTGAACCAAGCACTTCACACGTGGTAATTCATTTAATCCTCTTAAGAATCCAGTGACTCAGGTATTCTCACTCCTCTGCTACTGAGGCACAAACATGTCCCAACGATCACTCAATTTGGAAGTGATAAAATCAAAATCCAAAAGCCTGTTCTTTATCTGGAGAATGAAGTCAGAAAAAATGGCAAACAGGCACGTGCAATGAAGTTTAGATGTCCCAGGATCAAATAAAAAGTAAATATTTCTACAAATGAGAGAACTGAATGAGAAAATTTCAGAACAAGGCACCAATATCTCATTGATGTATTGATCACACAGCTGCAAGCCTAGAAAATTCCCCCCAGGTCCACCCACCCCGACCCAACACACACACACACACACACACACACGCACATACACACACTTCTCCATTCTTGAACATATGAGACATTGTTACCATTGTCCATTCAGAGTAACACACTTTGATCTCAGTGGGGCTGGAGGCATCTTTCATTTTGGTGGTGGATGTAATGAAATGTCCCTAGTTCCATTTTCACAGAAAGGCTGAGATGCTTGCTCAATCACATATCAACTGACTTTGTTTTCTTTCCAATTCAGTGTATTCTAGGAACAAAAATTGTTTAATTTACAGGTAATATCTCATTATCTGCCTGAGACATACTAGGAGTGTTTGTTCTAAACCACACTTCAAAGTCATATAACAAATCTTCCAACTTTTGTTTGTGTTTAAAAGGGTGAAATTGGACTTCCAGTAGGGAAAAGCAAAATCAGACTCCCAGATTTTCCTCAGAAATTATTTTTTCTTGCTTTCATCTTCTTCCCATATTAGTTTCAGGCCCAATTTTCATGACTTACACAATATTCTATCAATCAGCCTGTGTGCATTTGCTCTTAAAAAAGAGAGCCATGCTGGCCTCGCAAGCTCATGATTCAGGTTACTTTAAGAATTGTTAAATACATGATATATACAAAACTATTCCTAACATATTCATAAGCTATGGAACATAATAATACCACAAACACCCATGAACTCACTCTCGCAATGTATAAAATCTAAAACATTTCATAAACCTTATATCTACTCATGTTCTTTTCCTAGCTCATTCCCTTGCCTGCCCACAACATTATCTCAACTTCAATGTGGATCATGCCCTCCGTTTTTTATTTAATATATCTTTATTAGACACTTTTGTATACTTAAGCAATGTTATTTAGTGCTGTTCAACTTTTAGCTTCATAGAAACGATGTCACACCATATATGAACTATTGCAATCTACTTTTCCTCTTTTTCCAAAAACGACCTAAGTTTTTGTTTGAAGCTGTGGGTTCAAACAAATGAAACCTTTGAAATGAAACAAATGAAAACATTTTCATTTCTGTAGATTATTCCATTTTGTAGATTTATAACATTTGTCCTTTTCCCTAGCTATGATCATTTGAGTTGTTTCCAGGTTTTTCCTACTAGGAACAATGATTCTGGGTTCATTCTTTTTGTGTTTCCCGGGACACATAAGTGCAAGCAAGACTTTCTCTTTGGTAGAAGCCCAGGAGTGGAATGGCTGAGCTGTAGCATATGAGTGCTCATCTTTCCAAGATAATGCCAAATTGTTTTCCAAAGCGGTGTAGCAATTTGCACTCCCACTAATAGTACAAAAGACTTCCTGTTGATACACATCATTAACAACTCATTTACCAGAAATCTTAATTTTAAGCCAGCCAGTTGGTTTTAATTTTTATTTTTCTAACTACTAATAAGGAAGTATATTTTCATGTTTTTGACCACTCATATTTCCTTTTCTATAAAATGCCTATGTCTTTTACCTTTTTTTCTAGAGAGTAGTGCTCTTTAGATTACGATTTTATACACTCTCTATGTATTCTGAATAGTTACTCTTTATTGCTTGTATGTTGAAAATATCTTTCAGTGCATGTGGCTTATTTTTGTTTAGTCTTATGATTTCTTTTGATGAACAAAAATTCTTAATCGTAATGTAATCAGATGTGCCAATCCGTTTCCTTCATGGTTAAAAATCTTTTGCCTGATTTAAGAAATCTTTCCTGACCTGATGTCATAAAAATCTTTCTCTAATTTCTAAGAATTCTGAAACTTTTCTTTTTACATTAAAGTCATTAAAACATCAGAATTTGTGTGCATAATGTGAGGTGACAAATCAATTTCATTTTTTCCATATGAATAAGCGATGCCACCTGCCTCGGTCATATGGCAAGTTTCCTCATATACTTAGGCACATTACTAAGCCCTTTGAGCTGCTGCATTTTCACCCTGCAGATCCCAGTGCTGAGACATGTTGTGCTCATTGTGCTAACTGTAAAATAATTATTGATACCTGATAGGGAAACTCCCCTAACTTCTCAGCAAATGTATCTTAGCTCTTCTTGGACCATTGTTCTTCCCTGTAAATTCTAGAGTCAAGTCTGCTGAGATTGGGAGAGGGATTGCTTGAATCTGTAGAAAAATGTAGAGGAGATGTGATAGCTTAATGATATTGGGTCTCCATAGTGACAAGCATGGTATGTTTCTCTATTTATGTAATTGTTAACATCGTCTGATAAATTTGTATAATTTTCACCATACAGGTTTTACACTTTTTTAGTTAAATTTGTTCAGTTAAACCTTATATTTTCTGTGGCTACTATAAATGCTATTTTTTACTTTATCACACACATTTCTAATTGATTTTTACTGGCGTACACGAATACAATTAATTTGTGTAATTTCATTTCATATCTAGGCAGAGAGGTAGACAACCTTATTATTTCTATTAATTTATTTGTAGATTATTCTGGAGTCTTAGGTAGGTAGATAGATCATCTGTAAATTATATTTATTCATTCTTTTCAATATACATACATTTTATTTTATTTTATTTTATTTTATTTTATTTTATTTATTTTTGCCTTACTGCACTGGCTAAAGTCTCCAGTGCATTGTTGAAAGGTTTCCAGTACATCGTTGAATGTACTGGAGACATTTATCATGTAAAAGTAGTGAGCATGATTTTCTGCTTTCTATTCTCAATAGGTTTACTCTAAGTTTTTAGCAGCTACCCTTTACTGTTTAAAAAACAAATCCATTCTATTCATACTTTGTTTACAATTTTGTTAATTTTATCAAAAAAATTTTAGCAACTATTGAGAATATCATATGTTTTGTTTTGTTTTTTGAGATAGAATCTCGCTCTGTTGCCCCACACTGCACTCAGGTGGGAGTGCAGTGGTGCTATCTCAGCTCACTGCAACCTCTGCCTCCCGGGTTCAAGCGATTCTCCTGCCTCAGCCTCCTGAGTGGCTGAGATTACAGGAGCCCACCACCATGCCTGGCTGATTTTTGTATTTTCAGTAGAGATGAAGTTTCAGCATGTCGGCCAGGCTGGTCTCGAACTCCTGACCTGAAGTGATCCTCCCATCTCAGCCTCCCAAAGTGCTAGTATTACAGGCATGAGCCACCAGGCCCGATTGGAGAATATCATATGAATGAAATAATGAGATGATCATTTTCCCTTCAATTTGTTTATGGAAAGAACGATATATTAATTATCTAATGCTAGATAGACTTTAAAATTCTAGGAAAAAAACCTGAATTTGATCACTGTGTATTATATTAGCAAACTGAATTCAGTTGCTAATAATTTAAGATTTGTATCAATATTCATGAGATTGACCTATAATTTTTCTTTCTCATACAATTCTTCTCAAGGTTAAACTAGCTTCAAAGAGTAGAGAAATATTCCTTCTTTATCTGTAGTCTGGAAAGATTTCTATATACTTTGAAAGTTTGGTAGAATCTGCTTGTAAAATCTCAGGCCTGGTGCTTCCCTCCTGGGAATATTAAACCACTGATTCAAATTCTTTAATGGTTATAGGACTGTAATGTTCAAATTTTCTATTTTTTTCTGGGCAGAATTTGGTGAGTTATATTTTTCTAGGAAGTTGCCTATTTTATTTAAGTCAGTGGTTCTCACCCAGGGGTGATTTTTGTTTCCCAGGGACATTTAGCCACATTTTTAGACAATTGTGGGTGAGTTTTGGGTGCTATTGGCAACCAGTGAATAGAGGCCAAGGATGCTGCTAAACACCCTACAAAGTACAGGGCAGTCCTCTGCCCCACCCACCTTCACACACACACACACACACACACACACACACACACACACACACACTCTCTCTCTCTCTCTCTACCTCTCTCTCTCCAAGAATTATTCAACTTAAACAGCAATATGGCTAAGATTGAGAAAACTGGCTTAAGGTTTTAAATTTGTTGGCTGAGTTGTATAGTAATAGCTTTCTTTAAAATTTTGGCTAGATATTTTTATTTTCCCTTTTTCATTCCTAATGTTAATTTATATCTTCTTGCTTCTTATTTTCCAATTAACATCACTAGTGCTTTTCTGTTTTATTTATGTTATCAAAGTACCAACTTATAGCCTTGATGGTTCTCATTCCTAAATGTCTGTTTGCTCCTCCAACTTTCCTTGTAATTACTAGGTTATCTGATTTTTCTTTCTTCTTCCCCTTCCTTTCTTCTAACATGAAATTTAAACCCAGACATTTTTCTGTAAGAATATATTTGCTGCATTCCATGCCTTTATGAACCCTTTAGGGTTCAGATCTAGGTATTTTTAACCTCAATTGCAACTTCTTTCAATTACAGTTGTGTAGATTTGTAATTTTTAACTCAAAATGTATACAGATTTTCTATTTCTCTTTTGATTCTCAGTGAATAATTTAATTCATCATCATGGCCTATGGCACTGATTTTTTTGAAATTTGTTGTGACTTGCTTCATGAGTTCTTTATATTGTTATTTTTATAAATGCTTCATGTGTTCTTGAGACGACTGTACATTGTTAAGTTCATGGCTTTACATACGTGCAATAAATGAAGTTTGTGTGTTGTATTGTTCAAATAGTCCATACTCCTAGCAATGTTTTGAATATTTGATATCTCAGCAGCCATGACTGAGCATTGTGATCTGTGATCCCCTGGAACAGCTGTCTCAGAACTGAAACATATTTCTCTTCAGAGAAAACAATGCAGTGAGGTGGGTGGGAAACTCAAAATCCCCAAACTTCAATTTAGTTTCCATAGCATTGAAGATGCCAGATCTTGGGGAAAATGATGATGACCATAATCATTATCATCAAATTATGCTTACCCAAAATCCAAAGACTTAGATGGAGGGGAATTGATGTTGATCAGAGGAACGTGGGGGCAAAAACAGAGCTGGCCTTTGCAGCCCAGGTTGTCTTTTTTCTAATTAGTGTTATTCATGAATGATTGAGGAGCTGAAAGGAATGTTTCATTTCTTCTCTGGGGTGCACAAATACTGATATGAATAGCTGCTATACATACATACATACATGCACATACACACACATGTATCAGTTATGTCACTCTCCTCTAATTAGAAAAATTTACTTTTTCATCCTCAAATAGAGGTAAAAGATAGCTTACATAGGCATGCAACCGCCTCTGGAGGAGTATAAAGGGACATTATGGCCTTTGGGGTGACATAACTTTTATAGGCATTTTGTAAAACAAACAAACAAAAGTGTGTCCTAGTCTTTTTGTCTATCATTAAGTAAAACTTTGAGTGAAGATAAATCTCAGAATTCATAGGTTAGTTGGTTAACTTCGGTTTACACAATTTTCTCCTTTTGGAGTTTTTGGATATGTTTTCTTTTTTAGCCTCATTGGTTCACTGAGAGAGGGTTAGAGACAGCTAATATTTATGAACCGTGTGTGTTAGATGTGCACTTTAGAGCATGGGTACATTACATTCTAACCATGTAAAATGGTAAACCTGGGTCCAGAAACCCCAGTTCCCTAACTCTGACCCAGACCCCATCTATTAACTCATCCAGTTGGCCCACTTTAACACTCTCTTCAGGTTTCAGCGATTTCATAGACTATATTTGAATGACTCCATAATTTTCAGTAGATATCTTGAAGACAATCAGCAGTTTCATCTGAAAACATTTCTAATTCTTATCTCAAACTGCCAACAGGATTGAGCTATTTAAGAAATGTCCATAAATGATTGTAATTTTCCAACTCCATTGTATTACTTGGAGTCTTAAGCACTAGCCATAACTCAGACATTAATTAATTTTGAGTTATGAATTTTAAGAAAGACAAATTACTATCATAATTGTCTTCTAACACTTAAAACATTTTCCTTATTTATAGCTTTTCTTTTTAAAAAAAAAGATCTATTGCAGCAGAGTGACTGGGAATTAAATTATGGCAACTGGGAAACTTGGTCATTGTATTTAAAATGCCTCGAAGATAAACCTGCATAGTCTTACAAAGACCGTAGAAGACAAATGGGAGCCCTTCCAATGAGCTCCTGTTGTTCATCTTTCTACCCAGCCATAAGTTTCCTGAAGTACCTAGGAGTCATCCCTAATGCAGCTGTGAAATGCCTGCGTATGGAGCAGGAAGGTAAGTGGGAATGTGGCAATAAATTTGAAATATGGATAAATACTCTTAGGTAAATTTCAGTCAAAAAAACCCCATATACTTTTGTTAAAACATGAATCCAATGTAGTGTCTAAACAGATCAAATGACTGTCAGATGTATGTTCCATTTTGTATTGGAAATACATAAATGAATGTATTAGTTTGCATGTAGGAGCTCTAAACTAGTTGTCAAAAAGTGCTGATGAAACAGGACTAACTGGGGTGGAACCAACACTTTGTTTTACATGTGTCTTCAGTTGTGTGTGTGTGTGTGTGTGTGTGTATGTGTGTGTGTGTGTGTGTGTGTTTGGCTGCCAATCTGTATAGAAGCTGTGCATTAGTCTGCTCTCACACTACTAATAAAGACATACCTGGCCAGGTGCGGTGGCTCATGCTTGTAATCCCAGCACTTTGGGAGGCCAAGGCTGGTGGATTACCTGAGGTCAGGAGTTCGAGACTAGCCTGGCCAACATGGTGAAACCCTGTCTCTACTAAAAATACAAAAATTAGCAGGGCATGGTGGCACACACCTGTAACCCAGCTACTCGGGAGGATGAGGCAGGAGAATTTCTTGAGCCCGGGAGGCAGAGGTTGCAGTGAGTTGGCATCGTGCCACTGTACTCCAGCCTGGCCGAGAGAGCAAGACTCTTTCTCAAAAAAAAAAAAAAAAAAAAAAAAAAAAAAAAAAAAAAAGACTTACCTGAGACTGGGTAATTTATAAAGTAAAAGAGGTTTAATAAACTCACAGTTCCACATAGCTGGGAAGGCCTCACAAGCATGGCGGAAGGCAAAGGAGGAGAAAGGCACTGTCTTACATGGCGGCAGTCAAGACAGAGCATGTGTAGGGAAACTCCCTTTTATAAAACCATCATATCTTGTAAGACTTATTCACTATCAAGAGAACAGCACAGGAAAGACCTTGTCTTTAGGTGCATGTGTAGGGGAACTCACCCTTTATACAACTGTCAGATCTTGTGAGGCTTATTCACTATCACAAGAACTGCACAGGAAAGACCTGCCCCCATGATTCAATTACTTCCCACTGGGTCCCTCCCATGACATGTGGGAATTATGGGAGCTACAATTTGAGGTTTGGGTAGGGACACAGCCAAACCATATCAAACAGAAATCCCATTTGGGTTCTTCAGACTACAAAACGATAATCCTGTAAAAATTTGTAAAGTTGTAAAAATGTGTAAAAATATGTTGATGCGTCTTTCATCTTGGTATCCTGTAGAGGAATTTTATGTTTACTTCTTTCTCCAGCATTCTCTCTCCCTTCTTCTAGGAATGAAATTTCTCATTCTTTTAAAAGCCAGTCTGTCTCCACTCTTCATCCATGTAATCCTGCTGGAACTACACTACCACCACCCAGGGCCACAAGTGAGGGAGTGCAGATCTGGGTTAGGTCTATAGTAATTGAATCAGGTAACATAGAGTGATTGTCTCCCTAGTAAATGAATCAAGGTGATTATGTGAACCATGCTGGGCATACCACAGTAACCATGATCTTCACTGGATCCATTGAGAAAGAGAGGCACACACTTCTCTAAGGTTTAAGACACAGCGAACACTAATGCTGTAGCTATTGGTGACCCTCTCTCTTATTACATAGGAAGTCCTGGCCTCACTATGCACCTGATAGGGTGGCAAGTAGGCCCCAAAGATAGAAAAGTTCGTCTTGGCAACACATCATTTGAGCTTCCAGTTCAAACCATGCATGAGCCATTAGATTCACACTTTGTTTTCAGCTATGAATCACGAAATTCTTTTTTTAATGAAATTCCATTTGGGTTGTATTTCTGTTACTTGCTACAGGACATTTTCAGAAATACCAGAGTTAGTACTAGGGCTAGCATATTTCAAGGGACAGACTCAAATACCTAGAATTGGGTGAGTCAAGATAGGATCAGTTAGTGATGGTCCCCTCATTCTCAGATGAAAAGTAAGCACTGAACATATCTTGTAGCATTTCTGAATATATTTTATCTAAGTTTGGAAGAGTAGTTTCCAGTTTTGATTAGTTTTGTGGAGCCAGCTTTCTGACATGTTTTTGACTGTAAGAAACTACTCTGATCCTTATTCTCTTCTTTTCTTATAATAATTTTATACAGGATTTCACTTTGAAAGTTATCTGTTGTTCATTTTTATGTGAAACTAGTTTTTCTGAACTTTCAGCATGTGCAAACGTGTACATATGTGTGTGTCCAGGAGTGGAAACAAAGACTCTTCTTAGTTGACAAAATCTGAAGCTACTAGATTATTTGACATTAATTCTTTTTTGCATTCTCTTATCACATAAAGAGTGTACTTTTTGAAATAAACAGCATGTCTAGTCTTTTCCCTTTTTAGACCCAGATCTTTTGCCAGATAAGGAATGCTCCAACAGCCATAGTGCTCCCCGATCCTCCTGTTACAAAAAAGAGGTAATTTGCTTCAGTGCACAGTGTAGCCACCTGCTTCAGAAGGCTCAGCTGTCTACAGGCTCTGCCTCTCAGACTTCTTTTTCATGGCTTAATTGCCACTGCACTCAGCAGTCATTCTCCATATCTTGTGTTTACTTTCATGGAGAAGAGGAGGGGCAATATCTTTATTCTACTGTCTCCAATAGTATGGCTGCCTCTGTTTTGGGGAAGAAAATATTTCTGAAGTTGTCTCTAGCCTTGGCTCTATAATTATGCATAATTCAACGTTTATTAAATTCATAATAAGGCCTCCTCTAATTATTATTTGTAAACTCAGATCAGGAAATAAATCTTTTTCATCTAAGATTAAAGAATGTAATTTGGTAAATACAGTGTTTCACAATTTTATCTAGAGACCATTTACAGCAATACATCAAATTAAGTTTTCCTGAATCGATTTATAAACACCTGACCAATATTTATAAAGTTAATGTTAATTTATTATGTTTGAAATTGTATATAAAATTTATCTAAAAGTAATGATTAAATGTTGAAAATTTACTACATATAAATATATAATTTACACAGATTGTTTTAAAACACAAACTTTACATTTAAAATCAAGTACTATTTTTACTCCACTTAATGATTGCATCATTTCAGTATTTTATTTTAAAATGTCTATAATTGATTTGCATTAAATAAAGTTCACTATTTATACACAGGTGTGTTCTTTTTTAGAATCCTTAAAACTACCTGGTATGAAAATCAATTTAACATGCCTAGATTACTGGGAATTTTTCTTAAGTAAATAAATATATTAAACATATATATATAAGATTTATATATTATTATAGATGTATAAGCTGTATTTGTTGCAAAAATGAGTGAACAGAATATCCATCTATGATTCTTACTGTACCTTGGGCTATCATATCATTGAGAGGTAATGTCTTGTACTTTATGCAACAAAATTTTAATTGGATAGTAGACTCACATTTTCCTAGTTAAGTGAATATTTTGTTTTAATCAAAAACAATGAGAAAATATTTTTGTTTCAATGTGTATTCCAAAAAAGTCTTTGGGCAGTGTATACTGATTTTCATTCCTGCATTCATTAATAGAGAATGGAATAATAGATTATGCTATAATATATAGAATATACTATACACACACACACATACATATCCTGCCTGCCCAGCACAGTAGCTAGCATATGGTCTTTGCTCCACCATTCCCTCCTACATTTCACCCTTGCTTCTTCTAATCTGACATTCGAGTAAGAAAAGGAACCAGCCATACAAAGTCTAGGGAGGATATTCTAGGTAAAGGAAAGAAACACAAAGACCTCAAGGTGGAAAGCTCTTTTGTTTGAGAAGCTGATTGGAGGCAGTGTGAGCAAGAGGTGAAGGGTATGAGAGAAAATGGACAGATAGGTAAGAACCAGATCATGCAGGGCGTCATACATCTGGACATTTTTCTCCAAGAGCAATGGAAATCTCCCAAAAGGTTTTAAACAGAGGAGTGACATTATCTGATTTATTTTTTAGAATGTGGTCACTATGTAGAGATGGCTTTGGGAAGGAGGAAGGGAAGCAGCAGGGGCCAGGAGTAGCAGCTGGAGCTGGGTTAGGGGTGGCTGTGCAGCTCAGAAAAGTAGAATGAGTGAGACACTTGTCACTTAGATGTGACTGAGGTATAGCAAGAAGGAGGGAAAGAGGAGAATCAAAGACACCCCATGATTTCTGGCTGGATAAACTTGACAGGTTTATGAAGGCAGCCAACATGAGAAAAACAGATAAGGTGATTGAAAACTTGAAAGTTATTTCAGTCTAACAGATCTGTAAGCCACTTAAGCATTAATGCCAATATCAAATAGTCAATTGGCTATGCGTGTCTAAAACAAGTATGTTGACAAGAGTATTAATACAGTTTAGAAAACCCATTTTAGTCCTGATCTTATACATACATATCATATGATTTAATTACTTATATTGTGATTAAGTGGTATGTTCGCATTCATTTGAAGATATTTGAGTCCCCTGATAACTTCTCACAAGTATTTATAAAGTAGAAAGTCATAAAATCTAATCTAAGATTTCAAAATAATTTTGTGAGGCAATATCCTTTATTTAATCTTGATCATATGAAGGAATCACAAAAGTAATTTGAGATATCAGGAGCTTTTTTTATGCAGATGAAGAAGAAAATACTGGATTTCACTGGGGTTAACCAGCTGGAACGGGTGAAGATGTTAATTGTACTCTTTGCCTGTCGTTTTATCTGTTATCTATCATTCCTGGTGTCTTGAAATAACTCAGGGAAGAAATGAGATAACTTTTTTTGGCACAGTTATAAATAATAGCTGTTTTGCAAGAATGTTCATTTTTGACAGCTGCTCATTTTTTCTAGAAGATCCTTTGACTTCAAAAAGCTGCAAAGTATTCACTCTTGTTTTAGTGAATGTGACAATTGGCATATTAAAATTTTCTCAAAACTGGACCTTAAATTTGAGCAAATAAATAAATAAGTCATTCTGAAATATCAATTGGAAGTCAGGAACTAAAGAAAGATGAATTAGTTGCAATCATTTTGTTCAGTGTTGACTTTAAGATTGTCAGTGTACTTTGATTGCTCGACAGTTTAATTTTATACTACAAATTATTAGAAAGTACAATGATGAAAAATTGGACTCTGCTGTACTTCCAGAAAACCCATAAAAATTATCAAGCTCATTCAAATAAGCTGGAAGGTAACACTACAGAAAAGGGAAAACTGATTAATTTTCTCTCGAAAAGTAGTGCTTTGAAAGTAACTAACTTTGCAAATATTTAATAAAATTGTACATATTTAGTAAAAGAAAAGCATGTATTACATAGAGATAAAGCAGTTGCACAAAAACAATTACACAAAACTAATAATAGAATACCAATCAGTATATACATATAATTATATACAATATGTACACATATGTGTATATTTATATATAACACATGTCACCAATCATTCATTCATTTATTCAAGAAACCTATTAAGAGTTTCTTCTGTGCCAGACATGCAAGTAGACAATGTGTACAGTGGTTTTAAAACAAAGGAAGGCAGGCGAGAAGGAGAGAAGGAGAGAAGGAAAGAAGGGAGGAAAGGAGGAAGGGAGGAAGGGAGGAAGACAGGCAGGAAGGCAGGCAGGCACACCACAATCTCTGCCCTTAAAGTTATGAAAATCTAGTGGATAAAAGCAGACATACACTAATAATCATACAATGTGGGAAACGGGAAATAAAGACGTAGGATAGGACCAGAGAGTGGCAAAGGCTGCTGGTTTCACTTCGAAGACTGATCTGAAAACAACTCTAGGATGGAAACCTAGAGTGTCTGATCCCAGTGCAGAAATCACACTGCAGATGCTGCAAATCAGCACGTCCTGCCCCATTAGCTGCCCACACAAACCCTCTGGGTCCCTCTTCATCATTCATCTACACTGGCTTTTCAGTGTTTGGTGCAAATACTGATTTCTACAATCTCTTTGCACTTCATTTCTCTTCTTTTCTCTTTCATTACATAGAAGATTGAATTTAGTAGTCTCTGTTCAACAGTCCCAAGATTTAAGTACAGCTTCATTGCAAATTAGAAATTATGGCAGGCAGCGTGTCTACTCTTGTATCTTCCTAAATTTGACTATATTTTAACAAATTGCAGAGAACTGGTTGACCTTACAGGCTAACCTCACTTCTTTTGTCAAAGACCATCTTTATTACATAAAAGCTACACTCCCATGTGTACATGGAAACAAACTTTCATTAGAATATCACACACACACATACACAACACCCCCCACCCCGATCCTGATCTTCACTCACTAAATATATACACAATAGATATGGAAGAAAAACAAATTCTACATAATGAAAAACTTCAACTGATGTAAAGATTTAGAGCCCGCTTTGGAATGATGTAAACAGAGACAATACAATATGCTTGTTAACTCGACATTTTCCCCCTCTTGTGCATAGATTGGCCAAGATCTGTGCTTTTAAGGCCATTAAAATGCAGGTACAAAGTGAATTCAAAGACAGAGACAATGAGCAGGGCGTTTTTAGGAATTACTAGAATTTTGTTAAACATTTGGAGACGAGTTTCTTTTACTAATTCCTTTAAAAAAAAAAAAAAAAAAAACCACCACCCTGGGCCGGGCGCGGTGGCTCACGCCTATAATCCCAGCACTTTGGGAGGCCGAGGAGGGCGGATCACAAGGTCAGGAGATCGAGACCGTCCTGGCTAACACGGTGAAACCCCGCCTCTACTAAAAATACAAAAAGTTAGCCGGACGTGGTGGCAGGTGCCTGTAGTCCCAGCTACTCTGGTGGCTGAGACAGGAGAATGGTGTGAACCCGGGAGGCGGAGCTTGCAGTGAGCCGAGATCGTGCCACTGCACTCCAGCCTGGGCGACAGAGCGAGACTCCATGTCAAGAAAGAAAAAAAATTGGTTGAAGTATAATTATGTAAAATAAGCTACATCCATAAAATATTCAACTCAATGAGTTTTGAAAGATGCATCACATCACTGCCAAAATCAAAATACAGAATGTCTCCATTACCTCTAAAGTTTTTTTCATGCCCCTTCACAATCCATTCCTTTCTCAGTTCCTGGCACCAGGCAACAACTTATCTGTTTATGTCACTGTAAATTAGTTTTCATTTCCCAGAATTTAATATATATGGAATCATATAGTGCATACTATTTTGTATTTGCTTCTTTCACTCAGCGTAATGATTCTGATATATCTCCTGATCATTCTACTGATCATTGCTGTATCAGTAATTTACTCCTTTTTATTTCTGAGTCATATCTATTGTATGGATATATCAACTTTGCTTATCCATTTGTTGGTCGACAAAGGCATCAAGAACATACACTGGAGAAAGGACAGACTCTTTAATAAATGGTGTGGGGAAAACTGGATATCCATATGCAGAAAAATTAAACTAGGTCCTTATCATTCACCATATACAAAAACCAACTCAAAATGGATTAAAGACTTAAATGTAAGACCTGAAACTATGAAACTACAGGAATAAAATATTGGGGAAAATACAGGACATTAGTCTGGGCAAAGGTTTTTTAGATAAAAACCTCCAAAGCACTGGCAACACAAGCAAAAATAGACAATTGGGATTGCATTGAGCTAAAAAGTTCCTGCACACCAAAACAGTCAATAGAGTGAACCTGGCAAATGGGAGAAAACGTGTGATGGACATTTGAGTTGCTTCTAGTTTTTGGCTATTATAAATAATGCTGCTGTAAATATTTGCATACAAGTCATTACATGTTAAATTTTATTTCTCTTGACTAATACACAGGAATGAAAGGAGTGGGTCATATCTGAGGTGTATGCTTAGCTTCTTAAGAAACTGCGAAATTGTTTTCAAAGTGGTTTAGCATCTTTCATTCCCACCAATGGCTAAAAGTTGCAGTTGTACCACATCATCACTAATATTGGGTACTGTCAGTCTTTTAAATTTTATTCATTCTAATGGATGTGTAGTGGTATTTCATGTACATTTTCTTGATAAGATGCTCAATATCTTTTCATAGGCTTACTTGACATTCCTTTCTTTTCTTGTGTAAAAGTCTGTTCAAATATTTTACAATCCTTCAAAGGTTTTTGACCTTCTTATTGAGGTTCACCAAATCGTTATATGTTCTGCGTACAAGGCCTTTTTTAGATACATATATTGTAAGTATTTTCTCCCAGTCTGTGGCTTTCATTTTCCTTTTCTTAAAAAGTGTCTTTGATTTTGATAAAGTCTAGTTTGTCAACTTTTCCTTAATGGTTAATGCTTTTTGTGTCCTAAGTAATATTTGCCTATAGAAAAATAACAAATATTTTACTTTCTCCTAGAAGTTTTATAGTTTAAGCGTTTACATTTGGGTTTGTGTGACATTTTAAGTTAATCTTGGAGTCTGATGTAATGTAAGGCTTGATGCTAGCTTTCTTCTGTATGGATATCCAATTGTTTCAATATCACTTCTTTTTCCCACTTAATTCACTGGCAAAAATCATTTGTTCATATACATGTAGGTTTATTTCTGGACTCTATCATTCAATTGATCTATGTTAATCCTTTGATCATTTCTTCATTGTCTTGATTACAGCAGATCCTCTAGCCCCGGTCCAGCCTTCATATGACTGAAGTCCCTACCAACACCTTGATTGTAATCTCATGAGAGATCCTAAGCCACCACTGCCTCACTAAACCACTCTCAATATTTTTGCCCGTGGAGTGAGGGTGATTACGGTAGAAAAGACTACTTAGAAGCCACTGGAACTGCCTCTGTCTACCTAAATAATAAACAAAAAGTGATACCACATTTCAAGAGACTGCAGAGATTAGTGCCAGCACTGAGGACTTGAAATATGTAGGGCTGGTGATTCCCAGCACATCCCCATTTAACTCACTCACTTGGCCTGGGCAGAAGACAAATAAATCCCAGTGAATCATAGTTATCACCAAAAACTTAACTTGTGACTCCAATTTCAGCTGTTTTTTCAGATGTGGTTTTACTATTGAAGCAAATCAACACAACCTCTGGGTCCTAGTATGAAGCTATTGATCTGATAAATATAGGGTGCCTTTTAATATGCCCAGGTCCTGTGATTTAAGTCCGTGAAAAGACTACAACAATTGAATACAGGAAAGACTTCTTCAGGAAGAAGTTTTAAGTTATCCTACATGTAAGAACCCAGGGCTTGCTGGAGGCAAAGGAGATACAGAATGGGAAGTGGAAGGAGGAAGTTTTTAGTCCTAGCTATGACCACACAACCATTTATAGAAATGAGAACTAAATAGTTATGAACATTTTCCTTATTTTAATATTAATATGTTTGCAGTTATTAACAATTTTTTCGTCCTCTCTCCCATTCCTCTACTAGCTATCATAAGGTATGTTAGCAGCAGTTAAGCTTTATATCTCAGTATTACTGGATATCAGAGAAAAAGCATGATGTACAGAAACAAGCATCATCCTTTTTTGGAAGGAAAGACTAGTATGTTTTCTATTGTACATGAGACAGTTGTAATAAGTTTGTGGTGGCTTTGTCATGTGTCACTTTGACTAGACTAAGCTATGGTTTCCAGAATTCCCATCCCAGTATCTTTCTCATTACGGTAGAAGAAAAGACATTTCATGCAATATTTGGAAGGTGGGAGAGAAGCAGGACCCATATGTGTACCAGGGACCCCTGTTGCCCACATGTTTTTGCTGCCCTGCTAGCGCATCTCTTTGGAATGAGCAGCAGCTGGGCCTGCAGTTGTCCCACCTCACCCTGGTTTCTCCCTCATCCTCTTCAAGTTTTGGTCAAGGTGTATGTTTTAGTTCTCTGAGAGAGCCCCATTTTCTCATGAAGGACACCTACAAAACTGAAGTTAGAGTTATCGAGAGACTGACCCAGGGTCCAGTCCATCCTCATGGATTCCAATGCATGTACGTGGGTTCCAGCTCCATCCTCTCTCTCTCTCTCTCTCTCTCTCTCTTTCTATATATATATATATATATATATATATATATATATATATATATATATATTTATCTGTCCTTCCCAATTGCCTTCCCTGCAAAAGTCAATGTCCAGATCAGGCATGAAGATGGCGGCCTCACCAAAAGTGCTTAACTAGCTCTCACAGCTGTGTGAGGTCAAGTCCCTGGAATAAATCCCTTTATATACATATTACACATCATCTGGCTTTGTATCTAATATTATTAAGTATTATATAATCAATAGCGTATATATTAGCACGTTATATATACCTTAGTGGTTCTTCTCTGACTGAACTCTGATATACTACTTGATATAAAAGATTACATTTCTATAAAATACAACGTCGAATAAGAGTTTGGGCTTAAAAGTGTTTTTGCTTATGTCTATGTACAAACAAGATAAGATAACTAGTTTTCCATTTGTTATAGCAAGAATTAGTTTTAAGGCATAATTTCCATCTCAAATTTTCAAAAGCGCAGCTTGTATTTCTATGTGTGAAGTCAATCTTTAAGCATTTTCTGTTTAGGGAGATGCTGACTCAATGCTACCATCAATCCAGCCCATCGACTTTGATATTTGATTGTTTGCACTTGTCATTTGTCGATCCATTTTAACAGGTGAGGTGACATTTTTAGATGTAGAATTGCAGATCCTGAGACACAGCCTCCCCCATTGTGCCATATCCTTTTCCCTTAGTGATCCAGTGAGCTCTGAGTTCCCTCTGACTCTAAGGGGCACAACATGTGCAGATGCAAACCTGCAATGGGAATGCGTCTGACCTCATAATCTTCTCTTTGCAACTTAGACACACTGATATCCCACTGCTAATCAACTGCCACCATCCCATATAATTCAGACCACAGTGCAGATAAGCCATATACATTTAGAGACCTTTTAACACAATCAGTACAAAAAGCATTTGAAAACAAATTGGCATATTATTGATTGTGGACTTGGCAGGGCCTTTTGTGGTTGGCAGCATGCATCATGCTGCTTATGTTTCTCCCCAATAATTTCCTTCCTTGAAGATGGGAGATAAAACACCAGCTGGAATCAAGGAGACATGTCTGACAAGTTTCTTACCCAGATATCAAGACCCAGAATGCAGAGAGTCATCAAACGACACTGGCTCTTTTACTAAATCATCTGTAGATATGTTTCTTTAGTACCACGGGGGCAGTTTCAATGGGTGTGTTTGGTACTTTTAAGAATTGCATCAACTGGCATGACTTTTGGAAAAGGTTTAAACAGACTACATCAAGATAAATGCCAAGAATGCTTCAAATGAGCATTCAGTTACCAAAAATGTTTCAATGATCTTTGTTTCAAGATCATTGTACAATTAAATGATACAAAGCTGCTAGTTTTTAAAAGTCCTAAGTACATTCTTTGAAGGAAAAGGAATGGTGAACATATGTGATGTTTCACCGCATAAGTTGCATTACATCCCTTTGCGCTTATTAGGCAAGCTCAGGTGGTTCTCTCTTTTTTTTTTTTTTTTGGTGTTGTTGTTGTTGTTGGGTTAATACTTTTAATTACATGATTGTAATTATACAATTTCCACTATTCGATATTTTGTATAAAACCAGTTATAACACAAGATTTTCAAATATGACAATATGTATCAAACTACATACATATGCAAAGTTTACAGGCCACTAGGAAGCTTCATCTTAAAAATATCTTCAGGAAAATAAACATTCATTCAACCAGTTCTCTTGGTTTTAAAAAATATGATTAGAAATATACACTGTAAAAAAAACAAGACAATGATTGATCAATACTGATCAGTTACATTTTAAAAATTTTAATAATCTGTACATGAATGCAGGTTAGATAAAAGTCTGCAAATTATTAATAGAAAACTGCAGTACTATCATTGGATGAACATGTCTGCTGACAATTCTAGCAGGTAATTAAGGAGGTAATTCCCTACACAGTATAGGTGAATTGTCCAGTCTTTAAACACATCTGGAGTCATCTCCACTCAGTGATGTGGAGAATACCCTGATGTTGGGAAATGGAAGAGCGGCAGCTAGCCTCTCCAGGGCAGTTTCAGTGGGAGAGAACATTTAAAGGAACAATAAAATAGGTTCTAAAAGTTGCTTTTGATGAGCACTGCTTTCCAACATGCAATAATGATTCTTTTTTAATGTAGAAAGAGAAGCTACGTTAAGAACAGACATCCAATGAGTGCACTGCTTCTGTGGCTCAGACAGTGACTGGGAAAAGGGAAGGCTCCCAGGAGAGCCCTCGGGGCATGCACAAGCCCAGGCCATCCCATCCAGTGAGCACACTGGCCGCCTCATGACAATGCTTGGGAACTCCTCTAAAACTGGCCTAGGCCCAAGAAAAGAGAGAGGTAGCAATCACCCCTGTGAAGCTCACGTGGTTCTCATACACCTGCTATAGGTAGCTCTTTCAGGCCAACCCTCTCCTCTTCTACCACCTCCATTCCATAGAAGCTTCATTTGGCAAGAATGCTGATTTTCAAATCTTTTTTGAATCTCCCCATTCTGAACTTTTTACTATTTATCACTGCTTATTTCTCATGGAGGTGAAACCTCAATTCCAGGAAGCAGAACTGTATTCCTCTCTCTAAAACTCCTCTACTCTCTCCTGTAGAAGGTCCCCAGCAGCCAACTTCCTCCTCAGCACCCATGACCAGGGCATATCTATGTTCAGGTGCTCTGTTTGAGAATAGATGCCATTCATGTCCATTGTACAACTACTGTTGGCAGTCAAATAACACACTTTATCTATCCCTAAATGTTTTCTTCATGGCCTTATATATTATACTACCATGTGATTTTATTTTATTTATTTATTTATTTATTTATTTATTTATTTATTTTTGAGAAGGAGTTTCGCTCTTGTTGCGTAGGCTGGAGTGCAATGGCACAATCTTGGCTCACTGCAAACTCAGCATCCCAGGTTCATGTGATTCTCCTGCCTCAGCCTCCCAAGTAGCTGGGATTACAGGCACCCGCCACCACACCCAGATAATTTTTGTATTTTTAGTAGAGATGGGGTTTCACCACATTGGCCAGCCTGGTCTCGAACTCCTGATCTCAGGTGGTCTGCCCGCCTCGGCCTCCTAAAGTGTTGGGATTACAGGCGTGAGCCACCACGTCCAGCCTGTGATTTTAAATATTAGCACTATCCCAGCCTGTGATTTTAAATATTAGCACTATCCCAGCCTGTGATTTTAAATATTAGCACTATCCCAGCCTGTGATTTTAAATATTAGCAATATCCAAATATTAGCACTATCCAAATGCTTTTTGGAAAAATTACTGTGAACAGATTCTAGCAGTCTTCATATCTGAAGTACTTCTAATCTATCAAGAAGGCCACATATGCACTCATAAAATGACTTTCAAAATAACCAAACTATGTTTTTAAATATGACCCCTGAAAAAATCATTTTATATTATTTGTATATAGATTACTTTTCTTCTTTGCCTACTATTTCCATTTCTGCTGCTTCACCAAAACCAACACCAATTCACTATTCTTCATTTTTTTTTTTGTTCTCTAGAGGATTTTTTATTCTGAATGATCTGAATACTCATTTTATCCTTTTACCCTGCCTGCATTTGTCCCCTCCCCCCACCAAAATAATGCCAGCTTCAAAATAAATGTATGAGGTTAAAAGTCAAGACAGTCATATGGGATGGAAGGTGGGGGATGGCAGCCTAAAAAGGGGCCCAATGGCAAGGTTCTGAGATGCTGGTAATGTTCAGTGACTTGATATGGGTGGATGGGTATTTTCTGTTTGTGAAAATGTATCAGTATATTTGAACATAATTCATTTACCTTTATGTACATTCAAAACATTAACTTAAAGAAGAAAATTAGTTCATTTGATCATCCTTAAACTTTCATGTACTCCATTTCTCCTCTCAGTCTATCTTTCCAGTTTGCTTACGAACTTAGCAAATAAAAAAATACTGAATTCATTATAAACAATCTGAGGCAATCATTATTTTTATAATTGATTTCTTCCATTTCTACAGTCACAATTACATTTTTACCCAGGTAGGCAATATATTTTTCAAGCAGAAGTAATTTATCCTAGAGCTTCTCCCATTGATCATCTTCCCAACATGCTGCCATGTCATGTGGTCTAATTCGATGGTCTAAGAAACCATCCAGTGAGGCTGCATTTGAATTTGCGTGGCAGATGATAGACACTAGAGCACTGGAACACAGTAATGACTCCCATAATTAATACCATTCAAAAGAAGTCACATGGGTGGTGTCATGTCCTTCCTATCAAACATAATCAATAGTCCTCAGCCACCGTAGATGATTCATCCTGGTGCTTCTTCATATCAGAAAAAAATTGGAAAAGTAACTAAAGATGCAATTTTGTTAGGAAGTCTCTTACAAATCCATATGTATTTGCTATACTTCTGTGTGTACACACACACACCATACATGCATGCACACGCACATAATGTCCACACACAGACATGCATGCACACACACAAACATGTACAGCATACACGCATGTGCACACACTCCATTTCTTTTTTGGAAAAGCCATAATATTACAAGCAGCTAGGACAAACTGTGTGACAAATTAGATAATAATAGATAAAATAATTAGAATGACTAAGCTATTCAGTCCTAAATAACCACATTTTGTATGGCATTTTCTTCTATTACTTTAATAATATTCTGATGAAGAGAAAATATTCAGGCCAAGTAACATTTCAGTGGAAATAGAATAAATGATCCATGGGAAAGAAACCTGTCATATATCTGCCCCACAGTAAAGATGGACTGAATTTAACAAGGATAAGCATTTAGAGAGTGCTTCTTGTGGGCTTGGTCCTGTGTTGGGCACAAAGGAAACCAACAGGGGAAAAACACAGCTTATGTCCCTAAGGACTGTATAGTCTAAAGGAGGAGGCAGATTTGTAAATATTTAGTTACAACATAGTATTTGGCAGGTATTTGTTGATATGTACTTTTACCTTGTTTCTAGGTTAGTGAGCCTTATTAAGCACCCAAACATAGCAAGTTGAATCATGTGTTCTCATCTTAGCCAGCAAACCTAAGAGGTGGTTCTTGCCTATGTTTATTTATTGAAATATATACAGAGAGAGAATTCTTAGGCTGATACCCATAGGAAACTTGTCTGTGCTTCATAGATCAACTGGCCAATCTTTTGCTAACAAGGCCCAGTCATTACATTATTTCCAATCCACGTGGACTGTTGATAACAGCCCCTGATGACATTCTCCTGTTCTAACTGGCCAGCCGCCATCTTGCAACATGGAGGATAGATTGCAAGTGGAGCCAAGAACAAAATACAGCTGACTCTGAACAAATCCTTTTCGTGACTTCTGGATAAAGGACAACTCAAGCCCCTCGTTCCAGTGGCAGTGGATTGATGTGCAGCTTCCTATGTGAAGGCAGAGCACACGTCTGTCTCTGGAGCTTCCTAGAGTAAGGATGCAGTCAGGTGATCAGCCAGTAAAGGAAATGGCATTTAGCTGTGGGGTTTTCAGAATAAGGAAGAGGTCCTGCTCCTAATGCAGAGAGAAAGGGGAAAACCTGGAGGAATAAGAAAACCTCTACTGGGGTTTTCCACTTTTCTGTCTCCTTGAGGAATTGACCAACAGAAGCATAGGATTTCTTAAAGCAGTGAGCACTAGAATATAAGCTGGCAAATAAGCAACAATTTTTCAGTAGTGAAACATTTTATAATTTTTATATACTCTAGATAATCATAATGTAGTGCCCAGTACTTCGTGAGTTCTTAACAAATATGTATTGATTGGAGAAACAAATGAATAACACCTTTGGTGCGTTAGATAAAAGGAAAGAAAATACAGAATATATCAGGAAAAGCTGGTGAATGGGGGTCATACCTCTTGATTCTACAGCAGCTCTGTTATCATTGTCATGTGATTTGGGTTGTCTCATTTGTAAAATTGGGTGACTGGTTTACTCTTAGGAACCTCTCTACTTAAACGCTTCTTTTTTTTTTTTTTTTTTTTTTTTTTTTTTTTTTTTTTTTGAGATGGGAGTCTTGCTCTGCAGCCCAGGCTGGAGTGCAGTGGCGCAATCTCCGCTCACTGCAAGCTCTACCTCCCGGGTTCATGCCATTCTGCTGCCTCAGCCTCCCAAGTAGCTCAGCGCCCGCCACCACACCTGGCTGATTTTTTTGTATTTTTAGTAGAGACGGGGTTTCACCGTGTTAGCCAGGAAGGTCTCGATCTCCTGACCTCGTGATCCACCTGCCTCGGCCTCCCAAAGTGCTGGGATTACAGGCGTGAACCACCGCACCTGGCTGCTTCATGTTTTTATTGAGACAACTATGTATACAGTAGGGAACTGTAGAATACAGTGTATATGAAAACGTAAAGGATTTTATGTCTGCAAAAGTAGGTTCATTCTAAAACTGTGGCTCAGATTATGGGTGAAAAAGGCGGTCCTCAGAATTGGTAACTTACTGTGCACAAAACTTGTATATTTTATTGCCTCAAATGTGTAATAGGTAGGTAATTTATTATACAGAACTGTGAATTTAAAAAGAAAGCATTTCTGCATTTGTTAAATGTAGTGGATTAAATGGTGTCCATCTCCTAATCCCTGGATCCCTTACATAGCAAATGAATATCACCTTACATAGCAAAAGATATGATTAAATTAAGGATGGAGAGGAGATTATCCTGGATTATCTAGGTTGGTTCTAAATGCAATCACAAGGATCCTTACAAAACAGACACATGGAGAAGACAGATACAGAGAAGGCAATGTGAACACAGAACAGAAAGAGATGTGGTTACGAGCCAAGGAATGCTGACAGCCACACACATTGGAAGAGGTAAGAAAGAAATTTGCCCCTTGAGCCTCCCAGGTAATTTGTTATAACAGCAACAGAGACTGAATGAGGTGGACTAGGCTACAATTTGAAGAGGAAATATCTAACTACTAGGTCACTTGGACACCTTCTACCAGTAACGGGGGCAGGATGGGGGGCGCGCATCAGGCAGTTGGTTGATATCAGTGGGGGAGGGAGTCTTTCAAAAGGGCTGGTTTCTGACCAGGCTCGGTGGCTCATGCCTGTAATCCTAGAGCTTTGGGAGGCTGAGGCAGGTGGATCACCTGAGGTCAGGTATTCGAGACCAGCCTGGCCAATATGGTAAAACCCCCTCTCTACTAAAAATATAAAGATTATCCGGGCGTGACTGCACACACCCGTAATCCCAGCTACTCGGGAGGCTGAGGAGGGAGAATCACTTGAACCCGGGAGGCAGAGGTTTCAGTGAGCCAAGATCGCTGCACTGCACTCCAGCCTGAGCGACAGAGCAAGACTCTGTCTCAAAAATAAATAGATAAATAAATAAATAAATAAATAAATAAAGGAATAATAAATAAATAACAAATAATAAAAGGGCTGGTTTCTGTTTAACCCTTAAGGAAGAAAGCCTAATGGCGTTTAGCGAGGGAGTTTAACAAGGCATATTGGACCTCCTATCTCATCATGGCCAGTACTCACTTTTTAAGGTTTTTCTCTGGGGTCCCCTTGGCTAAGAGGGGGTCCATTCAGTCAATTGGCGGGCTTAGGATTTTATTTTTATTTTCCAAGATTAATGACTTTATAGTAATTGATAAATCAGTCACAGAGTGCATAAAGCAAAAAAGAAATTATACAATCACAAGTTTAAAGGGAAAGAGAAAAAAAAACTTTGACTCAAAAATTAATAGTCCAATTCTGAATTTACCATTCTATGTGTCGCTGACTATGGGTTCTCAGGCTTTCATGTAACCGAAACTGACACAGGTCTGTGAAGGTTTTCCAGATAAGGCTTTATTGCCTATGCCCCAGCACAGGGGAGCCAGCTGAGGAACAAGAATTCTCAGCTGGCTCCCTGCCGGCAGGTCTTTGTGGTGTTTTAAGAAGGGCGACTTGAGGCCCGGCGCGGTAGCTCATGCCTGTAATCCCAGCGCGGAGGCGGGCGGATCACCTGAGGTCAGGAATTCGACACCAGCCTCGCCAACACGGTAAAACCCCGTCTCTACTAACTAAAAATATAAAAATTATCCGGGCGTGGTGGCACACACCTGTAATCCCTGTAATCCCAGCTACTCGGGAGGCTGAGGCTGGAGAATCGCTTGAAACCGGGAGGCGGAGGTTGCTGTGAGCCGAGATCGCGCCATTGCACTCCAGTCTGGGCAACAAGATGGATACTCTGTTTCAAAAAAAAAAAAAGGTGGGGGGAGTGGGGGGCGACGTGAATAATTTCGAGGTACTGTGTGGGGCAGAGCTGCAGGGTGCGCAGGCGCAGTGAGAAATAATGTTAATACATGCATTGCAGGGTGAGGCTGGAGGTCTGGATTGTCATTCTTCTGGTTTTCTGCGCATGCGAGTGGTGGGGTTAAAGCCCTTGGGTGAGATTTATGATGCGCTGCAGCTTACCTTAGCGTTCCCACACGGGTTGCAAGGTTTTGTGGTCAGCGGGAATGGCGTCAGTGGGGGTGGTGCAAGGTCTGATGGTTAGCGGGTGTGTATGGAAAAATATGTTATGGGATAGTTAAGGCTGGGTCCCATCCCTACTCTGTCTCATATGGAAAGAAGAAAGATTAAAAGTAAAATATATTGAAAAAAGAGTTTCAAATAGTAATTCTTGTTTGAAACAGAATACATTGAAAAATATGTTCTGATTCTTTAATTGGGGATTTAGAGGCCAATTTTGGGATGTGATCCCATGTCCCAGGCCCCTAGTTCCTCTGCTAATGAGGTTGGCAATAGTTCCTGAGCAGAATTGGGACTCCTTACAGAGCACGGCCAGCTGGTCCCCACGTTGCCTCACCCAAATAACAGAAATGGACTAAAAAAAAAATGCCCTGTATTCATTTTCAAGGCTGACATAACAAAGGACCACCAATTAGGTGGCTTACAATAACAGAAATGTTTTCTCTCACAGTTTTGAGGCTAGATGTCACAAATAAAAGGGATGACAGAGCCAAGCTCCATCTGAAACCCACAGGGGAGAATCCTTCCTTGCCTTCCCCAGCATGTTTGTCAGCAGTCCTGGCACTCCCTGGCTTGTGGATGCAGCACTCTAGCTCTGCATCCATGGTCACATGGCCCTCCACTCCCTGCGTGTCCCTGTCTTCTTCCTTTATTATAAGAACAACTTTTATATTGGATTAGGACCCACCCTACTGACCTCATCTTAACTTTATTACCTTTGCAAAATCTCTATTTCTGAGTAATGTCACATTCACAGATGCTAGGGGTTAGGACTCCAACATATCTTTTGGGGAGACACCATTTAACCCACAGCCTGCTCCACTGCCCACATTGCTAGTCTCTGCTTCCCTCGATATTCCTTTTGCCTCTAAGCCTCTCCCAAAGACAGTGCAAAAGATGGAATACAGAAATTTTTTTTCTCTGGTCTGTGAAATCTCATCCCTCAAAGAGCCCTTCTCTTGGACTCTAACAAGAGCAACTTAACACACATAGGGCCAATTCCTTGCTTGACCAAAGGCTCCACGCCACCATGCATGCACTGTGGCCCTGGGACTGCTTTGTGCTGGAAATGGCCTTTGGGAAAATCTGCACTGCCCCTGCTCCTCAACCACTGCCATGGAGAACTCTGCCTGCTGCTCCCCAAAGAGCACTAGCTCTGGCTTGGGAAATGAACAATACCATAGGATCAGTTTTCTGGCTAAAGGGGGTGCAGCTAACCACTAAAATTCAATTTTCAATCTAGAATTACCCACTGAGCTTTTAAAAATTCAAAGATTCTAGACCCATCCCAGACCTTCCTTTTCAGAATCTCTCAGGCATGTGTATTTTTTAAAAGCTCCATCAGTGATTCATATGTCCAGCCAAGGCCCCATCCTTTCTAAAATGGGAGCCACACTGGAGCCAGCTATCCTTCCACCTGCTCACAAGATTGCCCAGTATCATGGATTTCTTCCTGGGGGAATATGGTCCAAATTACTTTCCCGTATGTCTAGCCCTCCCAGCCTGTGGCACTGGACACCTGCCAGAGCCCCAGCCGAGCTATATCCCAGTGGTCTTAAAGGTATCAGTCCCCTAAATGAAGATTCCTTCAGTGTCTGTGGGACTGAGAGCATTCGGGCCTTGCCTCTCAGTGGATGGCAGGCATGTTAGTGCAGAGCAACCACACAAGCAATGTTATAGTTTGGTTTGTTTGACCTTTCCCAATCTTATGTTGAAATTTGACCCCAACATTGGAAGTGGGACCTGATGGGAGGGGGTTGGGTCTTGGGGGCAGATCCCTCATAAACAGCTTGGTGCCCTCCTCGTGGTAATGAGTGAGCTCTCACTCTGTCAGTTCCTGTGAGAGCTGATTGTTGAGAACAGCCTGACACCTTCCCCCATCTTGCTTCCTCTCTCACCTTGTGATCTCTACACATACCAGCTCCCCTTTGTTTTCTGCCATGAATGGAAGCAGCCTGAGGCTTTCACCAGATGCCCAGTTTTGAACTTTTCCAGACCTCAGAATCATGAGCCAAACAAACCATTTTTCTTTATGAATTACCCAGGCTTGGATATTCCTTTATAGCAACACAAGTGGAATAAGGTAGGTCAGTTTGTTCACTTGGGCACATTCATTCAGCAGGATTGTGTGTAGAATGAAGAATGTACAGAATTGGAAGTGTGGCAACTAGAGTATTCCTGGAATACTGTAGGTATGAGGTGATGGGATCAGGAAAAGGAAAAAAAGCAGTAGACTGAACTGACCAAAGTGCAAGCCTGGAAAGATACTGTTGAGAAATGATTGGCAGGTGTTATGGATGGAATGTCTGTGTCCCTCAAAAATATATATGTTGAAACTCTAATCCCTAATATGATGGTATTTGGAGATGGGGCCTTAGGAAGGTAATTAGACCATGAAGGTCTCATGACCTAACAAGATGATAGGATAAATGCTTTTTTTTTCAAGATAGGGTATCGCTCTGTCACCCAGACTGGAGTGCAGTGGCGCCATCTCAGCTCACTGCAACCTCTGCCTCCCAGGTTCAAGCTATTCTCCTGCCTCAGCCTCCCGAGTAGCTGGGATTCTGGGCACCCACCACCATGCCTGGCTAATTTTTGTATTTTTAGTAGAGACTAGGTTTCACCATGTTGGCCAGGCTGGTCTTGAATTCCTGACCTCAGGTGATCCACCTGCTTCGGCCTTCCAAGATAAATGCTTTTATAAGAAGAGACACCAGAGAGCTTGATTTCTGTCTTCTCATTGTGAGGACACAATCAGAATGAGGTGTTCTGCAATACAGGAAGCAGGACACCACCAGACACTGGACTTTTGAGCCCCTTGCTCTTACATGACTCAGCCTCCAGAACTACGAGAAATAAATGTTTATTGTTTAAGCCACCTAGTCTCTGGGATTTTTGTTATAGCAACCTGAGCTGACCAAGGCTGCAGGACATGAAGACAGACCATCTGTGCAAGGCAAGATAGTGAAGCAGGGAGAGAAACTGACTGAAATATGGAAACTCAGGTGCAAATCTGGTCATAAGAAGATGATGGGTTTAGAGTTAGACATATTAAACTTGATGGTGGAACTTTGAAATGTAAAGTAGAGTGTCAAGAATGTGATTCTGAAATTCAGGAATTGGACCTAGGCTTTTAATACATATTTTGAAAGTCATCCAAGAAGAGGTGTGAAGAATGGCTAAAGTTTCTAAATGAAACATGAAAACCAGGTCAGTTTCAAATATCCACTTTGGAGCCATAAGGTTCAAACTCTGAACAATAAGTAGTATCATAAGACAGTGTCAGAGGACTATTAAATGATGGTCCAGGGGCTTCCGAACTTCAGTACTGGAAGAGAGGAGACTAGGGGCAATGAGTGAGTGGTGGATAATATTGACAGAAGCACTCATTAGAATGCCCCATTCCAATCCCCAAGAACTTGGTTTTACGTTGAAGGAAGCTGAAATGACTGATTAATCCATGACATAGACACCACAATTCAAACACATCCCAAACTACACACTTACACACTTAATATTCCTGCTGTGGGTAAATGGGTCCTGAATATGGTTTTTAGACCAAACTCAGCATCAGAACATCCCAGATGAATGAGAACTAAATCAGTATGAGGGGGATGGAATACACAAAAATAGGTTCCGCAGTGCTGCCCAGCTATAGGAGAGAGGTTATTCGGGGATCCTTGAGTGCTGACCTCACTTTCTTGCCAAAGATTAGTAAGAGGTTTGGAGACTCTAAATTGAGTCAAGATATAGAGGCTTTCAATATTTTCAACCATATCTTATGTAAGTACATTGATTATTAATGTCAGTTCTTCAAGGGTGAGGAACTAAGCCTTGAGCACTGTATTGGGGGTTCTCCAGAGAAACAAAACCAATAGGAGAAATACAGATGTATAAGAGGAAATTTATTATGGGAATTGGCTCACGTAGCTACAATCTTCTATGTGTAAGCTAGTCCCACAATCTTCTATGTGTAAGCTAAAGAACCAGGAAGGCCAGTGATGTATTTCAGTTTGAGTTTGAAGGTCTGAAAACCTAGAGCTCTGATGTCTGAAGGCAAGAGATGATGGATGTCACAACTCAAGAAGAGAGAGAATTCACTCTTCCTTCACCTTTTTATTCTATCCAGACCCAGCTGATTGGGTGATGCCCGCCACATTGGTGAGGGGAGATCTTCTTTACTCATTCTACTTATTCACATGCCAATCCCTTCTGGAGACACCCTCACAAACACTCCCAGAAATAATATTTTACCAGCTATCTGGGTATCACTTAACCCAGTCAAGTTGACGCATAAAATTAAGTATTGCCAGTGTAAAATGATGACAATTGCTAACTCACCAGCTGCCAGCCACTGTTCAAAGCACTTTGCTTACACTCTCATCTCATTATCACACCATCCCTATGATGTCAGCATTGTTATTATCTCCATTTTACAAGGAGAAAACAGGCCCAGCGAGGTTGAGAACCTTGCATGGTGTTTCACAGCAAATAAGCAGTGGCTCCAGGACTCTCACACAGGCTATCTGGCTCCAGGGCCTGTGCTGATGATAAGGAAGGTGATGTTCAGTAAGGACTGAGCTACCTCATTTAGCAAGGCCCACCTCATGGTCATGGTGTGGGCCTTGTCAGGCACCCTGGGGCACTCTGTGATGTCCCTGCTCCAGCCCAATGTGGCCACCTTCTTCCAAGCAAATGTTAACCTCCTGGGTAGTTCAGCTATGAGCTTAATGCAACCTGCAGTGGAGGCATAGCATACCTGAGCACTGCTCTTTCCAAACAGTCCCTTTTCCTCTGCAGTCATCACCTACTGATGGTGCCAGCCTCCTCCCAAGAACCAAGACACACAACTGGCATGTTTTCTCTCTTACTCTTGCCCCATTCTTCAAAGTGGTTGCCTGCACTACAGACTTCGTGTCACTGGTGTTGACATCCACTCCTCTCTTCCCTCTTAGATGCCCCCACCCTGATGGGCCAGACCTTCCTAAATGCCACCTCCTTAAATGCCACTCTCTCCTTGCTGCGGTCCTATCGTAATCTGCTTTCAGATGAATCTTCCTAAAGAACAGGCTTTCTCATGCCCCCCTACCCCAAACTCCTCAGGTCTCCACTGGAAAACATCCAGTTCTATAGTATGGTCCTTAAAGGTCTGCGTGGTTTTCAGCCTAAATCCCCAACCTTATTGCTGCTGCTTCTTTTCATGACTTGTATTCTTACAAATTGAAGAAATTGCTGGCCCCAGCCCAATATTTCCTATTTCTCTGTCTTTGCATTCTACTTTTCTACCTGAAATGCCTCCTCTTGCACTAGTTCTCCCACATTCCCCTCTTCACTTATCTAAAAGCTGTCCTTCTTTAAAGGATCAATTCAAGTGCCTCTTCCTCCAGGAAGTCTTTCCAAATTTCTCCTAATTGCAGGTAATGCCACCTCCCACTGAACTCCATAGCTTTTTAGTTATTCCTCTGAGGCGCGGTCACTTTCTCCTTGTTTTGTGCATACTCGTAAAGAGATTGCATCTCCCTAACTGGATTGGAATTCATCTTTTTATTCAGAGAATTTATCAGTTTCCTATACTTTAGTTACCTTGTTATTTCATATTTAGAAAGAATATTTTTAAAATCCTATTGGATTTGTTTATTATGAGATTGTGTGAGGTTTTGGAGAGAGTGAAAAAGCAGAATGTAAAATTTGGAATCTAACTAGGCTGTGTCCCAGCATTACCACAGAGATATACTAGTACCTGACTCACCAATAAGCGAGAGCTGCAGCCAGCCAAGAAATGCAGCCAGCCAAGGTCAGAAAGTGAAGGAGGACGTCCTGCAGAGAAAGAAAAACAGTGGGCATGAAACTTCTGGACAGAGAGCTTTGGTGAGGGCATCCCAACCAGGTGCTTTTGCCTTGCAGCATGTTAAAAGTACATTTAGTCTGTGACCCTGAAACTTTAACCTCAAGACATCCACAACTGAACACCTGCTCTCTCTTCTTGTCCCTTCACAGGAACTCCAAGGCCAGTCTCAGGCCTTCACTCTGACTGTGTCTTCCTTAAAGCGTGGTGTGAATCCACAGATACCAGAATCAGCTGGGCAGCTCTCTCACAATGCAATTTACTGGGCCCTATTTCAAGCAAACAAAGTCAAAACCTTCTCTCTGGAATTCAGAAATCTGCATTCATGACGATCTTCCCCAATAATTACTATGAAAAAAACGAAACGTTGAGCATTCCTGCTTCAGAGCAGAGGTCAGATGGCTGCCTGTATTCTGTGGCCTTCAAGGCACATGTTTACAGATGAACATTTTCAATCAATTTGATGAGAGGGAGCGCTCACTTTACAACCTAATGAAGTGAAATGTTATAGCCTGAAAAAAATTATTCCATTCTTCTCACTAATAGACCTGTATTGTAAAAGACACTGTACTCGATTATGATATCTTGAAGTTGTTCAACAAAATTACTGTAGAAATTTATTTTTGTATTGTTATATAAATACACACAGAATATCCTTGATTTTGCCTCTTTCTTGTAAAGGCTGAAATGTTTACTATCTGGGCTTTTACAGAAAAATTTGTCAAGGCCTGCTTGAAAGCTTAATATCTTAATACAGTAAATCTGTGACAATCAAGGCTTGAAAAATATATCTTATCCACATTGTAAAATGTTTAAAATCTGTGGTCTTGTAGGTATACATAGTTCACTTCATTCCCCTTAAAGAAAAAAACAACACCTGTCATTTTTCTCCTCTGGCCTCTAGAGCAGAGGTTTGGGTGAGTCTGAGGACATAATACAAAGCAGGAGAGGGAACCTTAATTCAGGCTATGCTAGTCCAACATAGAGATGAAAGCCAGTCCCCAAAATCTCACTTTGAATATTCTAATAATTCAAAGAAAGACTCAGCATTTATACAAATATTTTGAAGAAAGTTGCAATTGAAGAATATGTAAATGCAAAAGACTTTATTTTCCAACAAGTAAAAACAAGCTTGAGAAACTTTGAAAGGTAGATACCTGTGGGGAAATCTACCCTATGACCAGGGCTTTTCTTCATAATCAAAAGACTTGATTTTGATTCTGGAAAAATGGTACCTACTGAAGAAGGATTTTAATGTCCAAAACGTGACTTGTTTTTTAAAAGATGCATGTTTAGTACTGTCTTCGTTGTTTTTAAACAATATGTAATCTGTGATATTTGCATTGATTTCCATCACCTTCCCCCACTTCCTGTGAGAACTTGATCTCCAGGGCCTTGGTTTTGCTAATCAATGCATTTTTCTTTTGTTTGTTTGTATTTTTTATTTCTGGTTGGCTAGAGTTAATTGTTGAAAATAAAAGTCAATTCTGCTCTTCCAATGTGATTTATTTTGTTTTTCAATGGTGATGTTATTTATAACTATTTAAAACTATTCGTTATAGCTTTATTAATGGAAGAGAAGAAGCACTATGGAGAAGATAAAAAGTTTGTGTTGCTAGGAAATGACACCCTAAGGACAGATTATGGCTAAGAAGAGAAAACTAAAGGGAGAAGACTTAGCAGTGGGATCCATTTAATGAAGAACCAAATAGTCTTGACTCAAAAGGCCTTGTGAAAATTCCTGCGTAAAATCTGACAACCGCAAATTACCCAAAAAGGTTAGATTATGTTGGTGTATTCTTTTTGAAGGGTATTGCAATGAGCTTTGCATTTTAGAAAGATTCTTACAAAATTCTCAAAGTAAAGATGATTTGGCACTCCAAGGTGAGGCACTTCAATTATCTCTAATGAGAACAGTCAGTGCAATTTAACAAGCATTCTCTAGACAAGTGAATACCCAAAGAAGAGTAGCCTCCCCTTGGATGTGCTCAGGACAATCCACTGGGGAGCAAGAAAAAAATATTAGAGCCTCCATTTGTGTTTACTTTCCTCTCACCCTTTCCTATTCTGTTTTTATATATTTTGTATTGCATACACCATATAGCATTGTGTGTATCAATTACAAATACAGCAGTTAGCAACACTGAGGTGCATGTTCAAAAGTTTTTACAAGTATCGAGGATCATATGGTTTGGCTCTGTGTCCCCACCCAAATCTCATGTTGAATTGTAATCTGCATGTATTGGAGGAGGGGTCTGGTGGGAGGTGACTGGATCATGGGGTGGATATCCCCCTTGCTGTCCTTTTGCTAGTGAGTGAGTTCTCCTGAGATCTGTTTTTTTAAAGTGCGTAGCACTTTCCCCCTCACTCTCTCCTGCTCTGCCATATGAGGACGGTGCCTGCTTTCCCTTTGCTTCCAACATGATTGTAAGTTTCCTGAGGCCTCCCAGGCCAGTTTCCTGTACAGCCTGTGGAACTGTAGTCAATTAAACCTCTTTTCTTCATCAATTACCCAATCTCAGGTAGTTCCTTATAGCAATGTGAGAATGGATTAATACAGAGCACGATCAGAAATGTTTGGAAGCCTCTGCTACGCATATATCAACATGCAGAACTAGTATTAAGTACAATCTTGCATTGTTATTGTAAAATGTAGAGCAAAGTTGCAACTAAGGACCATTGCTTATAGAATGGATTCGCCTTTGCTCTTGGACAGCTGTACATTATTAACATAGAAGTAAGGAAACACATCCTAATGTGTAAAAGAAACAAATAGGAAAGAAAATCAGGCTTCCCCAAAAAGGCTTTTCCATCCTATTTCAGTCCTAAAATTGATGCCTTGTTTTAAAAATTTTCCTATGTACTCAAATCAACATAAACAATGACTATCAATGCCAAACTCTTGCCATTATGTGTGTGTGACATAAAAGGTGACAGTTGGTATTTGTGAATGGAGAACAAAATGGAAAAAAGATGGTAAAATATAATGCACACTCCCTCTTTTTAAAGCTGTGATGGTTAATTTTATGTGTCCACTTTGCTAACCATGGTGCCAGTTGCTTGGTTCAACACAAGTCTAGATGTTGCAGTGAAAGCATCTTTAGATGTGATTAACAGTTAAATCAGTAGATGTTGAGTAAAACAGATTACCCTCCATAATGTAAGTGGGCCTCATCCAATCAGTTGAAGGCCTTAAAAACAAAGACTAAGGTCCCCTGAAAAGGAAGGAATTCTGCCTCCAGAATGCAACATAGAAATTCTGCCTGAGTGTCCAGCCTTCATATTCAAGACTATAGACTGCAAGCTCAACTCTTACCTGAATCTCCAGCTAGCCTATGGGTTTTGTACTTACCAGCCCCCAGAACTGCATGAGCCAATTTGTTAAAAATCTCTCTCTCTCTATATATATATATATACACACACATAAACACATAATATATATATAAAAAATACTTGTATATAAAATATATCATTGTTATTGTTGTTCTGATTCTCTGGAGAACCCTAATACAATAGCTTTCTCTCCCAACTCCCATTTCTTAAAGTAGAGATAAGGTATTTTTACTTTACATGTAGACAAATAAATCTTTCAAAATTAATCAAACTACAGAACAATAGGAAGTGTACAAAATATACTCACCCAATTTGAATTTGTCTCAACTAGAGATAGGTACAGAAACATATTCAAGAGTACTTTATGTGACACAAAAGCTTAACTTGATTAGGATAAATATCTTCTCACTTTCTTGACCAGTAGTTTGTAGATGAAAAGGATTATGTCAATCAGGAGAACTGTTACTCAGTCATTCAATCTAGTACATAAATTGAGTTGCTAGATGACTCTCACCCCAGAACTTAGTAGAGCCCCTAGAATAAGGTTGTATTCTTTCTTTGAATGTCTTTGAATCTAAAATAGTTGTCTCTCCAGGTGTAGTTTATTTCCGCCCAGTTAATGTGATCTCCATGACGTGGTCACTTGCCTGGGGATCACAATCATATCTGAGTGGAGTTTCCTAGCACTGCTCGATTTTCTCTCTGCCCACTGTGTCACTACTGTGGAGAAAGCACATCCACCTTGCTCGTTAAGAATCAGTGAATTTATAAATTGCAATTTCTACTTCACAGTGATCTTTACTATATCCATGCTCAATAACACTGCTTTGTTCCCACCACTTACTCAAATGCTGAACACCATGAGTCTACCTTAAAAATAATGGGGTTCCCATCAGAGACGTGCCTTCTGGATTCCTATATGGGAACACATGAGGCTTATTACAGGTTGACACCATTCATGTGACCCTTGAGAACCTATACCTCTCAACTTCACTTTCTTCATCTTTAAAATGCAAATTATGATTCTTTGATTTCCTTTAAGAAGGATTGAAGATGAAATGTGATGATAATGTATGTAGAAGAAGTCTGACTATAAAAAGCTCTACGTACATAATTTTTGCCTACTGTTTGGGTTTTTTTTCCCCTTAATAAGTATTCTCAGGTTCTAGCCAAGCATATTTACATATCGATGACACCTCAGCTATTATATTGAACTCTATATGTTTCTTACCTTTACTTTGGACATTGGTCTATAGATATTGAACTCAATTAATAGTCTGCTTAACCTGCTTCCTTATTGTTTTCACTTAAAAACTACTGGAAAGTTCCTCAGTTATGATTATTAAGTCTGTATTATTTATTTATTTTAAATCACAGATTTTCCGGACAGTGTAACTGACCAAAATAAAAAATATTTTTATCCAGTGCAAATTCTTGACAAACAGATTATAGTTGAGATTTATGAGTCCAGTATGCATGTAGTGAGTATTAGGAACTTTTAGCCATGACAGAAAAACAAGAATAAGTCCCTGTGGATTAAACAAACAAACAAACAAACAAAACCCTAAGTAAATAATTTAACCTTTTTTCCTCCCAGAATTGAAGTTTCTAAAGCCAATTTTGTTCTTTTCCTTCCCAAATAGATGTTTCCCAATTTCTTAATTGATGGTAGAGGGCTATCACTAGAAGAGAAAACCTCAAGGACTAAATCTATTGGCATTATAGGGCCTGTGGCAGCTCATTATCCTGGGCATGGCTTTTGTCTCCTTTGACTTTCATGGTAACCAAAAAATGCTGGCTCCAAACATGTACCATGTGGTGAATTTTTTGCTTCTTTATTCCCTTGTCTTAATTAAGTAACAATCTAGGATGCCATGTAACCCCAACCAATATGTTTTTATATAGCCATGGGAATCAAAATGACCACAGGTAGCAAAAACCTGTCTATGATATTTTATATAAATGTTTCTCTTTACAAAAATATATACTATATAAATCTGCATATCTGTAATATTTTTGTATAAATGTTTCTCTTTGTATTTCCATAAAAGACTTGAGGTAGTTACCACAATTGTTAGGTCTCTTCTAAGGAAATTATTAATTGAAAAAAAATTTTGGAAAACTTAAGACTAGATATTGGCATATCTCTCTATATATCTGGGCATATAGGGTTTTTAAAATGAGCCTTAATATCAAAAATACATTGGCACAAACCTCAAAGCTGGTTTTCTGTCTGTTAAAAGGATAAAGTTTTCTTGGAGCACTGATATTATTTAAAAGTTTTTTTTAATAACTCTTTGAATGATCTGGCTTGTAAAAAGTTTTTTTATCTTATAAAATAAGTTCTTGTATTTCATGTTTTCTTTTATCAAATATTTGATTACTTAAGAAAATTGCATCCTCTTTATTAAAACAGATAAATTTTTTCAACTTTATAACTTTGTGCATTTGCTTTTGAAGTCTTTAAATTATCACTCTGGATAAATGAATATTGCTTCATAATGACCTATGATTCTATTTGATCAAGTGTCTTAAACCTTTAATATTTCTGACAAACTTCCCAAAATCAAATTCTAAATTAAGTATTTTTGATCTCTAACTTACTTTGAGATATTCTAGAGGGCTCCTTAAAAATCACAAAGGACTTGTCTCTGACCTTGCAAGTAAGGAATATTAAACTAATTAGGTTTATTTAATATGTTAAATTATATGGGAAGCAGTGCCAAACAAGTAATGCTAAACCTTCTTTAAGTTATATCTATGGGAATGTTAGTGACATGAATATTCCAGAGATTATATAATAATCCTAGACACCTGAAATGTCGTGGTATAATATTATCAGTTGTAATTTTCTATTGTGTTAAAATGCTGTATGCCACAGAAATAACCAAATTTCCTTGTCAATTACATCATTATTATAATGAACTCTCATCAGATTTTTGACCATGGCCATTTTAAATCTTGTCATCCACAGAGAGTTAATTGTTTTACTTTAGTACTTTCCTGAAAGCTTTTGTAAGCAACTATCATCCTAAAGTGTTTCATCTTTAATGAGATTCATGAAAAGGACTCTGACAAGTACAGCTTTTTGATAAGTTTAAGATTACATAATTAGACTGAGTAAGAAGTTCCAGAATTCTGATGAAGAAACTGATAGGCTCATGGAACAGTTAATCAAGATCAAGCAGAGTAAGAATTAGTTACATGAGACTGAATAAACTGACGAAGAAGAATTACGGGTTAGGATGGCCTTTTTATTTGAAATTTTGTTGGTCCTTTAATGTTTCATTTTCCAGATTTAAGGGAAACTTTTTTTTTCTCATAAGCTATCTATAGCTTATAGCAATTTGGCAAATTATACCTTTGTAAACAGAATTAAAACAATTACTTTTTCCTCTCTCTACCTGATTCCCTCCAGAATTCAGAAACTATTAGCAAGTATTCTTATTTTCATGGTAATATAGTTATTTGCATAAGTTCAAAAAGAATCTATTCTCTTTATAAAAGGGCACAATAGAACATTGAACACATTAGAACACCATAACATTGATTATATTACCAACGTTTAGACTGGAATGTCATATTTGAGAATGTGTGTAGAATACCTGCCTTCAAGGGTTTTTGAGCCTTATGAAAATTATGTCCAGGAAACTTAAAAATATTTGGGGGATCTCGAAAAGAGAGGAGTTCACCTACATTTATAGATATTGCAGGCAAAATCTGATGATGAGTCCTTGGCATGGCTTCCTGGTCTCAAGAGGCTTTTAAAAGTCTAATCTGAGATACCTCATCGAAAGTTCCAGAAGACTTAAAGAGTCTCTGTGACAATCACTATTCTTGTTACACTTATACAAAAAATTAGGCCAAGTTTAATGAGACTAGACTTACTTCACAAATGATTTAGTCTTACTGTGATTATATTTGATAGAAATGGGAACAGCTGTAGAGAGAAAAAAAATGTTTCAGAAGAAAATTAAAATACATCTGTTATTAGAATAGAGCCCTGTTCATTGTTTTTGAGGTTTCTATTATCTAGCTGTAGACAGAACTAGATCCTGTATCTTCTAATTTCCTCCAATATCTGTCTGTGTCTCTCCAAACTCATGTTGCCAATTTTCTCCTAGATTTCTAACTTGGAATCACTAAGGACAAAAACTCCTATATTCCTGAAGCCCTACAAGCTGGAACTGGACAACTCGATGTAAATTTCAGGAGACAACCCCCATGCCTGATGTGTGGGCCACTAAGGGAGTTTACCAAAACATCCAATGCCATAACCAGAGACATTCAAACTAAACCAAGAAAATGTTTCAAGCTCAAATCCAGAAATCTTGTCAACTAACTGCCCTCTGAACTCAGAGACTGAGTTTATAATTTGTCCTAAGCCATTAACCTTTGTTAATAGCTTTTTTTTGTTTTGTTTATTTTTTCTGGTTTGGTTCATGAGGGCATTTGTTAAGAAGCATACTCTAATCCCTTGGTATATCCTCCTGATAGTTCCCATTGTAATCTCCCAGCTGCATTCTCTCAAGGGTTTTGAAGGTGTATTTGCAGCGATTAGTGGTATACTAGGTGGCCTCACTGTGATTACTGCAACAACTGCAAGATGACCAAAGGAATGTGTCTTCCACAAGGCTGACATTGTGACTTATGAGTTTCATGCTAAGACAAAGACAACCCTGCCATGATGATGACTGACAGTAGTGCTGATGCCATAAATTTTTATCAAATCCCTCAGTACAGGTTGAGTCTGATCAAAAGGGGAAAGCTGTTCAGTAAAATATGTGGGAGGTCATTGTTTTGGATTAAGCTCCTGCACTAGGCCCCAACAGACCAGATCAAACCAGAATGGAGTCACTCATGCCAGATGCCACATTGTCAAACTGAATGTAAAAATAGGTCACTTGTTCAAAAAAAAAAGGAGATTCACAGTAACCAATTGAAAGGGGCCCAGTCAACCTAAGCTCACATGATAAGGAAGTCTCCTCTAGTTTAACGTATGCAAGGAAAGTAGCTTTGAAATCACCAGTCCACTTTTTGTTTCTTCTTTCTGCTTTCTTCAGTCTTTTCCATTATAAAGCCCACACATCTGCTCAGCTCAGTAGGGCACCTTTCTATTTCATAGATGGAATGTCACTTGATTCATGAATCATTAATAAAAGCCAATTTGATGTTTAAAACTCAGTTTGCTAAAATGTTGTTCTTTAATAGTACTATGGACTGAATTATTTGGTGTCAGATAATGTCCAGGAGAATGTCCCCTCTACACTAAGTTCTAAGCAAATGGGCCATAAACACAAGTGTAATGTTGAAATCAAATAACATAACTAGGTTTATTGTTTATCCTTTAGCTTGATTGATGTTTAATAAACTGTACATGGCAATGTGGTATAAACGGTGGGGGAACCAAACTGCATGAAGTGGAGTGCGAAGTGGATTTGATGAAGGAGGGCAAGAAGGAGGTGTTCTGAGTACTGGACTGTGCAAGAGGACAGATGGCACAGGACTGGGTGGGACACCAGGGGCCTGGAGAACAGAGAAGAGTAAGAAGGCCAGGAGGGGTTTTCAGATGGAAGTGGGAGCTGAGTAAGGCATCTAGGCAAAGAAGAATTGAAGACACAAATGTGAGAGAAAAGTCTATGAAAAAAACTATACACAGTTCAAGGTAAGGATTCATTCCAGATATACTATCATTAAGGCACACAGGGAAAATCAGGCAAAAAGAAGTGATTTTTAACGAAGTTTGCTGATGTTACTAATGAAGAGCAGGAAATGAGAGATTTGAATATCAATTCTCAACAAATTTTCTACCCTAAATGCCTCCAAATTCCACCTCCTTGTTCAGACCATTAGGAAACTTTGAAAATGAAAAAATATACTGTTCACATTTATTTCTTAGACAAGTAAAAATGTTTAATTGATAGTACATAAAATTCTAAAAAGACTATGTTCAACCACTTGTAGGTAGCCCATATATACTCCACAATTTTGCTTTAAATTGAACAAATGATTCTTGCAGTAACAGGAATATTTCCATGGCAAACAAACTAAATTAAAAGTGACACTCATTTTACTATGTGGAAAATGTAATTTTCATTTTGTTCCTTTGTAAAATTTTGAAGTTATGAATTAAATAATACAAATTAAAAGCCTGTCATTTCTAATTTATCCAGATTCAACTAAACTATGAAGTCCCTTTTTCTATGCTGAAGTCACTTCCAACTTGAGAAAAACTTGGCAATTTCAGTCAATTGATTATAATTAATTTCTACAGCACTTTAAAAGGCTGACGTTTTGAGACCTGAGAAGATGGCCGAATAGGAACAGCTCTGGTCTGCAGCTCCCAGCGAGATCAACCCAGAAGGCAGGTGATTTCTGCATTTCCAACTGAGGTACCCAGCTCTTCTCATTGAGACTGGTTAGACAGTGGGTGCAGCCCAGGGAAGGCGAGCCAAAGCAGGGTGGGGCATCACCTCACCTGGGAAGTCCAAGGGGTCAGGAAACTCCCTCCCCTAGCCAAGGGAAGCCTTGAGGGACTGTGCCGTGAGGGACATTGCATTCTGGCCCAGATACTACGCTTTTCCCAGGGTCGTCACAACCCTCAGACCAGGAGATTCCCTCGGGTGCCTACACCACCAGGGCCCTCAGTTTCAAACACAAAACTGGGAGGCTGTTTGGGCAGACAACAACCTAGCTGCAGGAGGTTTTTTTTCATACCCCAGTGGTGCCTGGAATGCCAGTGAGACAGAACCATTCACTCCCTGGAAAGGGGACTGAAGCCAGGGAGCCAAGTGGTCTAGCTCAGCGGATCGCACTCCCACCAAACCCAGCAAGCTAAGATCCACTGGCTTGAAATTCTCGCTGTCAGTGCAGCAGTCTGAAGTCGACCTGGGATGCTAGAGCTTGGTGTGGGGAGGGGAATCCTCCATTACTGAGGCTTGAGTAGGCGGTTTTCCCCACACAGTGTAAACAAAGCTGCTGGGAAGATTGAACTGGGTAGAGCACACCGCAGCTTGGCAAAGCTGCTGTAGCCAGACTGCCTCTCTAGATTCCTTCTCTCTGGGCAGGGCATCTCTGAAAGAGAGGCAGCAGCTCTAGTCAGGGGCTTATAGATAAAACTCCCATCTGCCTGGTACAGAGCACCTGGGGGAAGGGGCGGCTGTGAGCATAGCTTCAGCTGACTTAAACATTCCTGCCTGCCAGCTCTGAAGAGAACAGCAGATTTTCCAGCACAGCACTTGAGCTCTGATAAGGGACAGACTGCCTCCTCAAGTGGGTCCCTGACCCCCATGCCTCCTGACTGGGGGACAACTCCCAGCAGGGGTCAACAGACACCTCATACAGGAGACCTCTGGCTGGCATCTGGCGGGTGCCCCTCTGGGATGAAGATTCCAGAGGAAGGAAGAGGCAGCAATCTTTGTTGTTCTGCAGCCTAATAGGGTCTGGAGTGGACCTCCAGCAAACTCCAGCAGACCTGCAGAAGAGAATCCTGACTGTTAGAAGGAAAACTAACAAATAGAAAGGAATAGCATCAACATCAACAAAAAGGACATCCACACAAAAATCCCATCTGAAGGTCACCAACATCAAAGACCAAAAGTAGATAAATCCATGAAGATGAGGAAAAACCAGTGCAACAAGGCTGAGAATTCCAAAAACCAGACTGCCTCTTCTCCTCCAAAGTATTACAACTCCTTGCCAGCAAGGGAACAAAACTGGATGGAAAATGAGTTTGACAAACTGACAAAAGGAGGCTTCAGAAGATGGGTAATAACAAACTCCCCCAAGCTAAAGGAGCATGTTCTAAACCAATGCAAGGAAGCTAAGAACCTTGAAAAAAGGTTAGAAGAATTGCTAACTAGAATAAACAGTTTAGAGAAGGACATAAATGACCTGATGGAGCTGAAAAACACAGCATGAGAACTTCATGAAGCATACACAAGTATCAATAGCCGAATCAATCAAGCTGAAGAAAGGATATCAGAGATTGAAGATCAACTTAATGAAATAAAGTGTGAAGACAAGATTAGAGAAAAAAGAATGAAAAGGAATGAACAAAGCCTCCAAGAAATATGGTACTATGTGAAAAGACCAAACTTACATTTGATTGGTGTACCTGAAAGTAATGGGGAGAATGGAACCAAGATGGAAAATATCTTCAGGATATTATCCAGGAGAACTTCCCCAATCTAGCAAGACAGGTCAACATTCAAATTCAGGAAATACAGAGATGACCACAAAGATACTCCTTGAGAAGAGAAACCCCAAGACACATAATCGTCAGATTCAGCAAGGTTGAAATGAAGGAAAAACTGTTAAGGGCAGCCAAAGAGAAAGATCGGTTACCTAAAAAGGGAAGCCCATCAGACTAACAGTGGATCTCTCAGCAGAAACTCTACAAGCCAGAAGAGAGTGGGGGCCAATATTCAACATTCTTAAAGAAAAGAATTTTCAACCCAGAATTTCATATCCAGCCAAACTAAGCTTCATAAGTGAAGGAGAAATGAAATCCTTTACAGACAAGCAAATGCTGAGAGATTTTGTCACCACCAGGCCTGCCCTAAAAGAGCTCCTGAAGGAAGCACTAAACATGGAAAGGAACAACCAGTACGAGCCACTGCAAAAACATACCAAATTGTAAAGACCATCGACATTATGAAGAAATGGCATCAAATAACGAGCAAAATAACCAGCTAGCATCATAATGACAGGATCAAATTCACACATAACAATATTAACCTTAAATGTAAATGGGTTAAATGTCCCAATGAAAAGACACAGACTGGCAAATTGGATAAACAGTCAAAACCCATCAGTGTGCTGTATTCAGGAGACGCATCTCACGTGCAAAGACACAACATAGGCTCAAAATAAAGGGATGGAGGAGTATTTATCAAGTAAATGGAAAGCAAAAAAAAGCAGGAATTGCAATTGTAGTCTCTGATAAAACAGACTTTAAATCAACAAAGATCAAAAAAGACAAAAGGGATCAATGCAACAAGAAGAGCTAACTATCCTAAATATATATACATCCAATAGAGGAACACCCAGATTCATAAAGAAGTTCTTAGAGACCTACAAAGAGACTTAGACTCCAACATAGTAATAGTGGGAGACTTTAACATCCCACTGTCAATATTAGATATATCAATGAGACAGAAAATTAACAAGGATATTCAGGACCTGAACTCAGCTCTGGACCAAGCAGACCTAATAGACATCTACAGAACTGTCTCTACCCCAAATCAACAGAATATACATTCTTCTCAACATCACATTGCACATATTCTAAAATTGACCACATAAGTGGAAGTAAAACACTCCTAAGCAAATGCAAAAGAATGGAAGTCATAACAAACAGTCTCTTAGATCACATTGCAATCAAATTAGAACACAGGACTAAGAAACTCATTTAAGGTCGGGTGCGGTGGCTCATGCCTCTAATCCCAGCACTTTGGGAGGCTGAAGCAGGTGGATCACGAGGTCAAGAGATTGAGATCATCCTGGCCAACACAGTGAAATCCCATCTCTACTAAAAATACAAAAATTAGCTGGGCATGTTGATGTGCTCCTGTAGTCTCAGCTACTTGGGAGGCTGAGGCAGTAGAATGGCTTGAATCTGGGAGGCAGAGGTTGCAGTGAGCCAAGATTGCACCACTGCACTTCAGCCTGATGACAGAGCAAGACTCCATCTCAAAGAAAAAAGAAAAAAAGAAGAAAAGAAACTCACTCAAAACCCCACAACCACATGGGAACTGAACAACTTGCTTCTGAATGACTACTGGGTAAATAATGAAATTAAGGAAGAAATAAATAAGCTCTTTGAAACCAATGAGAACAAAGACACAACATACTATAATCTCTGGGACACAGCTAAAGCAGTGTTTAGAGGGAAATTTATACCACTAAATGCCCAAAGGAGAAAGCGGGAAAGATCTAAAATCGACATACTAACATCACAATTAAAAGAACGAGAGAAGCAAGAACAAACAAATTCAAAAGCTAGCAGAAGAAAATAAATAACTAAGATCAGAGCAGAACTGAAGGAGACAGAGCCACGAAAAACCCTTCAAAAAATTAATGAATCCAGAAGCTGTTTTTTTTTTTTGAAAAGATTAAGAAAATAGACTGCTAGTTAGACTAATAAAGAAGAAAAGAGAGAAGAATCAAATAGACACAATAAAGACTGATAAAGGGGGCTGGGCATGGTGGCTCACACCTGTAATCCCAGCACTTTGGGAGGCCGAGGCGGGCGGATCACTTGAGGTTTGGAGTTCAAGACCAGCCTGGCCAACACGGTGAAACCCCGTCTCCACTAAAAATACAAAAATTAGCCAGGCATGGCTGGGTGTGGTGGCTCATGTCTGTAATCCCAGCACTTTGGGAGGTCGAGGTGGGTGGATCACGAGGTCAGGAGATCGAGCCCATCCTGGTTAACACGGTGAAACCCCATCTCTACTAAAAAAAAAAAAATACAAAAAATTAACCAGGCGTGGTGGTGGGCACCTGTAGTCCCAACTACTCAGGAGGCTGAGACAGGAGAATGGTGTGAACCTGGGAGGCAGAGCTTGCAGTGAGCTGAGATTGCGCCACTGCACTCCAGCCTGGGCAACAGAGTGAGACTCCATCTCAAAAAAAAAAAAATTAGCCGGGCATGGTGGCATACGCCTGTAGTCCCAGATACTCGGGAGGCTAAGGCAGGAGATTTGCTTGAACCTAGGAGGCAGAGGTTGCAGTGAGCCAAAATTGTGCCACAGCACTCCAGCCTGGCAGTCAGAGCAAGACTCCATCTCAAAAAAAAAAAAAAAAAAAAAAAAAAGAATGATAAAGGGGAGATCACATATCTGATGCCACAGATTTCTGTGGCATACAAACTACCATCAGAGAATACTATAAACACCTCTACACAAATAAACTAGAAAATCTAGAAGAAATAGATAAATTCCTGGACACATACACCCTCCCAAGACTAAACCAGGAAGAAGCTGAATCCCTGAATAGACCAATAACAAGCTCTGAAATTGAGGTAGTAATTAATAGCCTACCAACCAACAAAAGCCCAGGACCAAACAGATTCACAGTTGAATTTTACCAGAGGTACAAAGAGGAGCTGGTACCACTCCTTCTGAAACTATTCCACACAATAGAAAAAGAGGGACGCCTCTCTAACTCATTTTGTGAGGCCAGCATGATCCTGATACCAAAGCCTGGCAGAGACACAACAAAAAAGAAAATTTCAGGCCAATATTCCTGATGAACATCACTGCAAAAATCCTCAACAGAATACTGGCAAACCGAATCCAGCAGCATATCAAAAAGCTTATCCACCATGATTAAGTCGGCTTCATCTCTGGCATGTAAGGCCAGTTCAACATATGCAAAGCAGTAAATGTAATCCATTACATAAACAGAACCAATGACAAGCCACATGATTATCTCAATAGATGCAGAAAAGTCCTTCAACAAAATTCAACAGTGCTTCATGCTAAAATCTCTCAATAAACTAGGTGTTGATGGGACGTATCTCAAAATAATAAGAGCTATTTATGACAACCCCAAAGCCAATATCATACTGAATGGGCAAAAGCTGGAGGCATTCCCTTTGAAACCTGGCACAAGACGAGGATGCCTTCTCTCACCACTCCTATTCAACACAGTATTGGAAGTTCTGGCCATGGCAATCAGGAAAAAGAAAGAAATAAAGGGTATTCGAGTAGGAAGAGAGGAAGTCAAATTGTCCTTGTTTGCAGATGACATGACTGTATATTTAAAAAACTCCATCATCTCAGCTCAAAATTTCCTTAAGCTGGTAAGCAACTTCAGCAAAGTCTCAGGATACAAAATCAACATGCAAAAATCACAAGCATTCCTATACACCAATAATAGATAGACAGCCAAATCATGAATGAACTCCCATTCACAATTGCTACAAAGAGAATAAAATGCCTAGAAATACCACTTACAAGGGATGTGAAGGACCTCTTCAAGGAGAACTACAAACCACTGCTCAAGGAAATAGGAGAGGACACAAACAAATGGAAAAACATTCCATGCTCATGGATAGGAAGAATCAATATTGTGCAAATGGCCATGCTGCCCAAAGTAATTTATAGATTCAATGCTATCTCCATCAAGCTACCATTGACTTTCTTCACAGAATTAGAAAAAAGTACTTTACATTTCATATGGAACCAAAAAAGAGCCTGCATTGCCAAGACAACCCTAACTAAAAGCAACAAAGCTGGAGGCATCATGCTACCTGACTTCAAACTATACTACAAGGCTACAGTAACCAAAACAGCATGGTACTGGTACCAAAACAAATATATAGAACAATGGAACAGAACAGAGTCCTCAGAAATAATGCCACACATCTACAACCATCTGATCTTTGACAAACCTGACAAAAACAAGATATAGGGAAAGGATTCCCTATTTAATAAATGGTGTTGGGAAAACTGGCTAGCCATATGCAGAAAACTGAAACTGGACCCCTTCCTTAAACCTCATATAAAAATTAACTCAAGATGGATTAAAGACTTAAACATGAGACCTAAAACCATAAAAAACCTAGAAGAAAACCTAGGCAATACCATTCAGGACAAGAGGCATGGGCAAAGACTTCATGACTAAAAGACCAAAAGCAATGGCAACAAAAGCAAAAATTGACAAATGGGATCTAATCAAACTAAAGAGCTTCTGCACAGCAAAAGAAACTATCATCAGAATGAACAGGCAACCCACAGAATGGGAAAAATATTTTGCAACCTATCCATCTGACAAAGGGCTAATATCCAGAATCTACAAAGAACTTAAACAAATTTATAAGAAAAAAACAAACAACCCGTCAAAAAGTGGGTGAAGTATATGAACAGACATTTCTCAAAAGAAGACTTTTATGCAGCCAACAGACATGTGGAAAAATGCTCATCATCACTGGCCATCAGAGAAATGCAAATCAAAACCACAATGAGATACCATCTCATACCAGTTAAAATGGCGATCATTAAAAAGTCAGGAAACAACAGGTGCTGGAGAGGATGTGGAGAAATAGGAACACTTTTACACTGTTGGTGGGACTGCAAACTAGTTCAACTATCGTGCAAGACAGTGTGGCGATTCCTCAAGGGTCTAGAACGGGAAATACCATTTGACCCAGCCATCCCATTACTGGGTATATACCCAAAGGATTATGAACCATGTTGCTATAAAGACACATGCACACGTATATTTATTGAGGCACTATTCATAATTGCAAAGACTTGGAGCCAACCCAAATGCCTATCAATGATAGACTGGATAAAGAAAATGTGGCACATATACACCATGGAATACTATGCAGCCATAAAAAAGGATGAGTTCATGTCCTTTGAAGGAACATGGATTAAGCTGGAAACCATCATTCTCAGCAAACTAACATAGGAACAGAAACCCAAACACTGTATATTCTCACTCATAAATGGGAGTTGAACAATGAGAACACATGGACACAGGGAGGGGAACATCATGCACTGGGGCCTGTCAGGGGGCAGGGGGCTAGGGGAGGGATAGCACTAGGAGAATTGCCTAATGTAGATGACGGGTTGATGGGTGCAGCAAACCACCATGGCTTGTGTATACCTATGTAACAAACCTGCACGTTCTGCACATGTATCCCTGAACTTAAAGTATAATTATAATAAAAGAAACAGTTTTATGTATTTCTTTGGGTCTTCGTTTCCTTATGAAGGCTCCTATGTCACACAAAATTTATTAAATAACTACTAAATTAAAAAAAGACAGACTTTCATTCATTCATTTCAGGTTATCTTTGCTATTCAAATTTGAATAGTTTCTTGGGATGATATATAACATAAAATTATATTACCTGAAAGTCATTTACATAATTGTCATTATTGATAATTGCTTATGCTAAAATGAAATAACTTTGAAAACGAATGCATGATCAATGTGCATATGCTATATTTTCTAACTTCTCATAAAAAATCATTAAAAATCTACACTTGTTTTTCTGATGGGACAAGAGTTTTGTCATTTGTGTTGAAAATTTAGATGTCTGAAGAATGAATGAAAATAAATTTTTATTTGTTTTACAAATGAAGCAGCACCACATGTTTTCTCATTTTGTTTTCTCAGCACACGGCTTCTCGATAAAAATACTGGAAATAAACTCTTATTTTCTGTAATTATTTTAATTATTTATCATCCCCAAAGCCCTATAATTGATATTGGATTAGAAATGCAGAGGAATTACCCTAAGAATGGGAAATAAATTTTTGTTGTTTAAGCCTCCCAGTCTGTGGTATTTTATTATGGCAGACCTAGCAGGCTAGTACACACCTATGTAGTTTTAGATTTTTTATGATCCCAATGACTTATTCAACTGACCTTGTTTTAGGGAATATGATATAACATGGCAGAGTTTTTTTTCTGTCATTTCGTAGAGATAGATTCAATGTCTATCTTAGGAGAAATTAGAGAACTTAAACCTCTGTTTTTTTACTGTATTAAATATTTTATCAGATGTATTTCTCATGGTTCTGGAGTAATACATGTCTGTAGGTAAAAGAGAGAACATTTCCCATAATAAGTGTATAATGTTATGATAGTGGAAATACAATGGAGGTAGTTAGTGGAGCTCTTCATTGAGGTCATAGGCCCCAATGGAAATGCTCTCTGGAGTGTCTAACAACTTATAGGCATTTTTCCACAGCTAAGTTCAGAGGGTTTGGCTATCTTCTCAATTATCTATACATCTGTGTATTTTTTTAGCACCTTTGGCTCTGAAAACATTAGAAATAGAGTTCAGCGAGTCTGATATCTTGATCTATGGAAGGATGGAGCCAGGCACCCCCATGAAAGAAAAGTAAAAGAATATTTATTATCTTCCATTAGATTCAGAGCAATCTGAGAAAGTCAATCCACAGGGTCAACAGACGAAAATTACTCTTCATATGATAGTATCCAACTATAAAACTGAAAGAAATAATGATTAAAGATAAAATAGTGTCTATCTCAGCTATATAGAATCATGTAGGAAATCCAATAAAAAGTCAACCAGATTTCACACCATCAGGAAAACTAAATATCAATGAAAAAATACAAATATGAACTAATTTTAAAATGTTCAATTCTTCCTTGTGAGAATATATTTTTTAAATGTATACTAAGTCTTTCCCAGATCAAGATACAGCTTCAAGCTCATATTTCTGTTTTAACCCTAGTTTTGGTTTTGTTTCTTTTTGTTTTTTCCTTGTTGTATTTTCCACAATAATTTTAGAAGGAACCAACTAATTCTGACATTTATACACAGCTAAAGAGTTCAGACATACTTAGGAAATAAAACAGTAGTCCATAGCAGTTTGCAAAGTATATATTGTGTATTTTAACACAAATCCCAATACTAGTTGAACTACAGTCTGAGGTCACGTTATGAATACACTGAAGGGAAACACTTGAATTAGCCTTTTATTAAAAAAAGTGACCAAGAAATAAATGAAATCTAATTGCACATCAGTAGCTGTCTCTACTTAATGTTAATCTGTCCTTGATTGTCTACATATTCATTTTGATTCTGTACTCTGACCTCTATCTTATGCTGCTATATAGAATATTGGAGCCCAATTACAGCAGTGCTTAGTGATGGCATCCTGAGGACTTCAGAGTCTATCCATTGAAAAGGAGGAAGGTGTTTACAGAGAGCAATGGCATAACCAGACACATATTTTGAAAAGACAGCTGGACATTCTCTGGAGGATGAATTTAAGCAGAGAACTGTAGGCAGACAATTTAATTCTCTTTCAGAAAACAAGAACAATAACAACAAAAAAAAACTTAAAAAACTGATAGATTCATTTCTTATCTCAAACATTTATTGAGTCCCTATTTTCATTTCCCTATTACATCAGAAAAGTGGTTTTCCTTAAAGAACATGTTGGTATTTAATTAGAGTTCAGCTGTCTTTTTAGAAAGAATGAAGATAAACTTGTAATTTTTGCTAATAAACCAACACAATTTTTATCATGAGCTTGGCAGGGTACAACATAATATAAAGGACTGAATGTAAACTATATCCAACAACAGATAACGTCAATGAGGGCAGAGGCAATAGAATTGAGAAGGGAAATGCACATAGGTTCTCTCTTAAGCATTCATGGGCTACAGCTTCAGGGGAAATTGTTTGGGACTAATTTCTGCTTGCTGCGATTTGGGTCTACTGGTCTACCTGGGATACCCTGGCTTGAGCCACTAACCTCAGATTCCCATTCCTCAAAATGAAGAGATAAGACAAAATGCAGTTTCCCTATAACCTCTGCATTATCAGTGACTCTGTGATTTTTTTGTTAGTTAAGAACACAACATCTCCTGTAAAAATTCAAAGAATTAGAGAATTATCTTCAATTCACATTAGAGGAAAAATCGTCATTTTGTCAACATTCAGTTATGATTTTTAAATATCCTTTTGACCTTGTTTGTAACAAGGGACTGGCGTAAGCTAGCAATGTTGCACGTAGAATTTATGCAAAATGTCACTCATATTTTAAACATATCAAAGGTAATTTTCCAACATAACTTAAAATCTTCATGAGGAGAAGCAATTTTATTCATGAAATTTCCTTTAATTCTGGTTATTACCTATGCAAATGATTAAGAATGGATGCATAGCATTTGTTATGGTACTTTTTTAGATTGGCCTCTCATTGATGTCTCATTCTTTTCTCAAATCCAGAAAGACAGTCCACGTGAAAGGAGCTATTTTGCCTTGATAATTACTCAGCTGCTGTCTGTATACTACTGCCTCCATGCCTTGTGGTTTAGCAATTTTTTTAAAAAATGTTCCTATTTAAGGAACAGCAAATGAACACAGGTGGGAAATTTCTAAATATAAAATCTGTTGATCTGTAACTCAGAAGTGCAACTGTACAGCACATTAATATTTACATTTAACATAGATGAAAACATAACATTACTTATTTTAAAGCTTTGTTCTAATAAGAAAATAATAAATTCTTTTGTTCTTCTGGAGTCATGAGAACACCATCACTCTGTAGCAACACTAAGCAATCCAAGAGCTAATGTGCTTCTCTATCTTGAGTCAAGGTAACCCAATGAATTCAATACCAGAGAAAGGAGATGGAAAGTGCAATACAGAAAGTGGGGCTGAAATCAGACTGGTAAGAGCAAACTATCCCCTAATAATTTGTATGGAGAAGTTGTTGTCAGAAAAAAATGGTTTCAGTTTTTCATCCTTGTTATGGACTGAATGTTTGTGTCCCTCCAAAATTCATATATTGAAATATAATCCCCAATGTCATGGTATTTGGAGGTGCCGGTCTTTGGGGTCATGAGGTTGGAGCCGTCATAAATAAGATTAGAGCCTTTCTGAGGAGAGACCTGGGAGCTAGTTCTTCCTCCTTCTACCATTTGAGGATAAAACAAGTTTGCTGTCTATAACCCGGAAGGGAGCCCTCACCACAACCCAACCATGCTGGCACCCTGATCTTGGACTCAAAGCCTCTAGAACTGTGAGAAATAAATTTCTGTTGTTTATAAGCTGCCTAGAATATGGTACTTTGTTATAGCAGCCTAAACTAAGACACTCCCTATAAAACTAGTTTATGCTATTGTGAATAATGCTGGGCTTAATACATAGGTCATGGGTTGATAGGTGCAGCAAACCACTATGGCACATTTACCTACGTAATAAACATATGCATTCCGCACACATACCCTGGAACTTAAAAAAATAAAAACTAGTTTATGTTCTTTTTTATGATGGTGTCCAGTGAAGAACCCAATTAGATTTCGAGGATAATCAGGTATCAAGGATGAGGGGTCCTTGACAAACTGACTTAGCAAGGCTCTTGATAAAACTGGATTTTTCAAGGAAGTGCAAAGATGGGCCTAGGAGAAGTTTCAGGAACCTAACTAAAGTTTAGTCAAGCAAAAAATCTTGTTCGAGAAAGAAGAGACATTCTTCTTTTCCTTGAACAATATAGGTCCATTTAACACCTTAACCTCAATATCTGATCATCCTTGATAGCTGACTGGTTTCTCATCTTCCACCACACCTCAGGTGATGTCTGAGCACCCTGGACTGTCTTCAGTAAGAGCCCTGTTGGGTCAGTTTAAGCAGAATCCCACTAATTCTTGATGCTTCCTCTTAGAAATTTTCCATCCACTGTCCCCCACCCTGCTGCTTGGCTAGAGATTCCCTCTTGCCTATTCTGTATTTGGAGTTGAGCCCAATTTCTCTACCATCACTGCAAAACACAATTGCCATGTTCTCTATATGTATTGGGATAGTCTTGAATAAAGGCTTCCTTATTGGGCGTTATTAACAAGTATCATTGAATCATTTTTTTTTCTTTAACAATGTTAAGATATTTATCCAAGATACTTACTTAACTTGTTTCAGATGGGAAAAACAGCCTTCGTTTTCAATTCACTTATAAATTTGTGGAACAAATAATGAAACAATCTTTACAGAAACTATAACATTGAGAAAATTATAACAGGAAAAGAGATCTGACCTAACCAACTCCATCTTCCCTTTAACTTCCAAACTGCCCTTTTTCATTCTTGGGCGTAGGTCAAACTAACTTTGAGATGAATTTAGTTTATAGTTTAACTATGAAACAAAGACGATAACAGCCCCTTCCTGAAACAAACTCCCTCCTTGCCTGGGGACCAGACTGCCTTTGTAAAACTAACAAATTAGCCACAAGATTAGAAATTATAGCTCAGGAGTCATGCAGCCAGAGGCCACAGGATCACTAACCTCCTCAATTGCTCCTATAGATGATGTCATTATTATAAAACCTAAGATTGGTGTTTGAGGTATTTTTCAGACACTGAATTCTGATGGATTGGCTGGCACCACCTATTCCAGTAAATTCGCTCATCTGGTCTTGTGATTCCACCCAGGGACTGGCTAAGTACAAGAAGACAGCTTCAACTCCTTATGATTTTATCCTCACCCCAACCAATCAGTATTTGCCCTTCTCTAGCCCTTTGCACCCCAAACTATCTTTAAAAACCTTAGCTTCCCAATTTTGGGTGAGGCTGATTTGAGTAATAAAAAAAACTCAAGGCTCCAATTTAGTTGGCTCTATACATATTAAACCCTTTCTCTTTTGCGATTCCCCTGTCTTAATAAACTGGCTGTATGTGGGCAGTGGGCAAGAACCCATTGGGTGGTTACAAGAATACAAGAAAAGCTTAACATTGGGTGGGGTGGGAGTGTGGAGGCTGGCAACATTTTAAGTTTGATTTCATAACCATTTAAAAACCAAATAAATCTGACTGTGATTTACACAGAATAAACTATATCCTATAAGTACTTTCTACAGATGTGAGTAACTAGATTTACAAAGACTGCTCATATACTAATTGACAGTTTTTAACATATTCTGCCCTCATAGTTTTAAGTTCAGGATGGACAGCTCTGGATGTTTGAGCCCAAATTCTCTGTGGAATAATGAGGACAATGTGAAGGCCCCAGGACTGCTGAGGCAGAGCACATGGAAATGTATACACTACAGAACCAAGAAAGAAGCTCAGCAGCCAAACAAAACTCATGCTCATGGAAACTCACTGAAATGTCAGCAGTCTGTATCATATACCACAGAGAGAGAATTATGTTTCGTTTTTCAAATTTTACTCCATCAGAATTAAAAAGATGGCTCCTATCACTAGTGGGTGGGTGCCTGTTGGGCCTCATAATCATTAGCTGTGGGAAGGAGAGTCAACCTCCAGTAGTGAAACAATGGTGACCCTGCTCAAATGACCTGTGTGAAATGCAAATGCTGTTTGGATGCATTCTGAACCCACAAGTCACTGAGAGGGTGGATGGAAGCCATCATCTCTCTCCAATCATTATAGCTTTAACCCAGTGTCTGAAGAGGTAGGAGGGAGTCTTCCCAAGGAGACACCTCATCAGGGTAGAAAAAATCAAACAAATATCCATGGGGTGCAGGTTTGATTTGAAGAGTCGGTAGGTTCTTGCCTTTACTTGATTTCTGTTGGAGAGCAGGTCCTCAACCCTTGAGATGTCCATAGCTTTTTTATCATTAGGCTAACCCATTAGGCTAGTCCATCCCACCCTTTCTTCATGCACCAGTTTGGGAAGGCAAACTACATACACACTCACACAGAAGCACCAATCATGCCAGTTTCCCTGAAACTTTCTTTATTGGCTCCTGACTTCCCTTATTTTCACCTTGTGTGCTGGAAATAGCATGGGCTTTGGTGCCAAAGAGACCTTGGCTTAAATCCCAGCTAGAGTATTCATTATCCGTGGAGTTTAAGATAAGTCATCCTCAGAGTTTATTTCCCTCATCTGTAACATGGGATAATCTAGGACTATGTTAGATACTAGATGCAAAGTACCTAGCATAATGCCCAGCATACAGACACAGGTAACATAGTGCTTGGCTTCTACCTTCCAGCTCTGTAATTTCTACCTTAATTACCGTCACTGGCCCCAGGATTTGGTCGTTTGGATAGGATCTCTCCTATATTTAAAACTCAGCACCCTTGGGTGAATTTTTATTAAATACAAGTCTCTCTGTACTTAAATAATTTTAGTTTTTCCCAATCAATCCTAGGTTACTAAGTTGGTTTGTTTTTGTTGGTTTGATAAGTAATTTTTGTTGTAACCCCAAGGAACCAAACCCTTACCACAGCCAGTTGGCTGTAAAAAGTGTACTTGATAAAAATAATGAAGCTCAAGGGTAAACTTTAAAATTTAAGTAATGGAAAAATCCCCCTAAGTAGCTCAGCTTTAATTGAAATTTTAAATCACTGAATGCTTTTAACAGGATTTCTCTCAGCTCCATGCAACTTCTGGGAACCGCAAAACAAAAACAAGGAGGTTTCACTTCTTTTGATGATATCTTTTAACTAGGAGCATTGCATTCACTGTCTTTCTCCCTGTGGCTTTATTCTTACTTTATGGGATTAACTTTACACTTTATAGCACTCATGGGGTTATTCCCTGATGAATACTTCTCCAAAAGTTCAGGTATCTTTCTAGCATAGGGTTAGCAGAGGGAAAGTAGTGTTTTAGTTAAGATGTCTGTGGAACAATTATTTGACATTCAAACAAAAACACAGATAAAATTTGCATGTATTAAAATAATTAAATGTAATATATAAAAACTATACTATTGCACATAATTTTGAAAAGATAATACCTAGTTATAATTTGGTACCCTTTTCACTAGTATTTAATTATTCTGATTTTCCATTCCAACCATATATTTCTGTAAAGAAGTACCAGATTTTCTTCTTTTTTTTTTTCAATCCATAGTTACCCCTGAGAGAGCAGGGAAAGAAAAATAAAAGCACAAATTAATAAAAAATAGCATGCTATCTCCGGTCAAGTGAAACTATCTATTGTCTCCAGACCTAAGAGCCTAGCAAGGTCATTGCCAATGTGCAAGATAAGAAAACCCATCTCTCCATGGGTGAGCACCCATAAGTGATGTCTCAGGATTACAACCTCGGCGAGTGCCTCCTACCAGACTGACTCTTCGCTCCCTCCCCTGCACTGCCCACCCTGTATTCCAGCTCTACTTGGGCAAGAAACTGCTGTGTAGGGTACTGATGGGGACAGAGCTTCTTCATGCTTCACTCTCTTCCCTAACTGCCCCACCACAGATTTCCTCCACTGCTCCTTCAACAGACACCCCCTTCTTTCCAGGGACTCAGTGACATGCACAGGAATAGAACGTGTAGTTCTATTCCTGCCCCTATACCTCCTTCCCCCTTTCTCCTTTTTCTTCCTGGTGCTAAATGCACTGGTCATAAAAGAGATTTCCCTTTAGTGTCTGTGTTTGGGGGTCACCATAGCCTTCTTTGAGGAATAAAATGGACAGGAGAAACCAGAATATGCATGTGTCACCAACCTGTGCATTCTGAGCTCTTGATGCTGATCATGGAAACAACCTAAGTCCAAGAAGTCAAACTCAATGTCCTCAGAAGATAGGAGCTCTCTGAGGAAAAGAAAGAAAGCAGAACACCTACCAGATACCTCGGAGTGAAAAGTGCAGCTGGCAGGACTAAGAAGGGAAAGTGTTCTCTCCTTTTTTGTTTTTGTTCAGACAGTTCATTTTGGGGCTGAGTGGGGGATGTTCATAGCCTAACTCCCAAAGTGCTATGGGAATCATGAGGATGATAAAATCTCACAAGACGCTACAAGCCAGCAGGTATTTACTGTTTGCTACCTTAGAATCTCCAAACCCCATCAATGGGGTCCTCTAACACAGGGGTCCCCAACATCCAGGTTGCAGACTGCTACCGTCAGTGGCCTATTAGGAACCCAGCCACACAGCCTGAGCTCCACCTCCTGTGAGATCAGCTGTGGCATTAGATTGTAATAGGAGGCTAACCCTATTGTGAACTGCGCATGCGAGGGATCTAGGTTGTGTGCTTCTTATGAGAACCTAACTAATGCCTGATGATCTGAGATGGAATAGTTTCATCCCAAAAGCATCCCTGCTACCCTTCCCACACCCACCCCACAACTCCCTGTCCATGGAAAAACTGTCTTCTGCAAAACCGGTCCCTGGTGCCAAAAAAGTTGGTGACTGCTGCTCTAACAGACACCAAGGAATGGAGTCAGGGCTGGCCTGGCACAGAATACCGTGCTTCCATGCTAGCCTTAACCTCTTGGAGCAGGAGGGGGTTTCTCCCGTCCACCCCCAACAGCTCCCATTACTAGAAAATGATATGTAGTCCACTCTTCCCTCTTGCTTCTTCCACTGACACTTCTGTGACGCCCCTCCTGCCAATCCACTGCTCACATCTGCTTCTGCCAGGTCACCGGTCCAGGCAGGAGAAGCCACTTATGTCCCCATGGTGTCCATCACTGTTTCATGCACTCCATAGAGGGTAGAGAGTTTGTTTTGTGAAAAAAAAGGGAGGAGGTGACTCTGCTTGGACTCAAAATGGTGTGATGAGCTCTCCTGTGCCCCTGAACTCAGGGCACAATCTACCCTCCCATCAGATGTCACGGGCAACTTTCACCCCCATCATCCTAATTCTTGCTGCAACACACAATGTTCTTCATGAAACAACAAAATTATCATATGCTTTCATTACAGAAGGAAATTTTTTTTTCTTTTATTATTATACTTTAAGTTTTAGGGTACATGGGCACATTGTGCAGGTTAGTTACATATGTATACATGTGCCATGCTGGTGCGCTGCACCCACACAGAAGGAAATTTTTAACAAAAGTCACATAATAAAAATTATTAAGTTACATCTTCCTTGGAGTTATTTGAAGATTTGGGGGCTACACATTGAAGAATGCCATATTGTTATCTGTATATTTTTCTTCTGATTGAAATAGCAATGTAAGAAAAGTGCTTTGTCATAGAACATTCCAGTCTATGTGTTCATCTTCCAACAGGGTCATGCTGTTGCTCTAAAATATTCACCTGTGCTCTTTTTCATATTGATTTTGAAATGTTCTTGTTTTGAATTTGCACTCACTGAAATGTGGAAGATTCTCACTCTTCATGAAGTGAGTCCCTCTATCTGCCCCCTCTGAAATATTTGATTAGCCTGGTAGGATTGCTCCTTTCACAGGCCTGCCAAGCATCACCGGGTTTCTACAGGAGGTTGTAAATTGATATTTTGATGACATGCGCTTGTACTTTTCCATCCCTGTGCAATTTGGGCTACAGCTTGGCTTTATAATGCTATAATGCTGTCATGCTTTCCATAAAATCAGCATTTGCAATTTGCTGGCCTATAAAATAACAGCTACCTTTTGCACTTAGTATTCAATAATTATTAATTAATGGTACTAGGGCCCAAAACTGGTCAGGCTGTCTGTGTTTCTTTTTATAAATGACCATGTTCCATTCTTATATTTAGACATTACAGAAGGGCACAAATAATGATGTCAAATATTCAAGTAAACCATTACCCTATTTTTTTAAATCTGAGAAAGTTTTCTTCAGTTCTTGTAATGAGTCCATATTCTTTTGTGTTTAGATTTAAAAAAAAAAAGGAAGCAAAAAAATAAATGGGAGAGGGAATTAGTATTAGATAATCGATATAAAAAGGGGATAATTGAGGAAGTACTCTGAAGAACGTTGTCTAATAAGGTTAGAATAATTTAGGAGTCATACATATTAAAAATGGATTTCCTTTAGAAGAAACAAATAACAGCAACAGCAACAACAAAATAATTGGCTTGAAATTTCCAGCCTGCCAGGTGGTCACTCTGCCTACACAGCCTGTCTCTTTGTGGCCAGATGCTCCTGCCTATCAAGATGTCACTGAGCTCACACTGCCAGAGCCTGAGCTTCCTGAGAGCAGCTGGAGAAACACCTACCCCTGTGGCCAGACCCTGAGCCCTCACGCTCAAAGCTCCCTGAGGATAGCTGGGGAGCTGGGGGAGCACTGCTCTCTCCTGAGTTTAGACCCTTCCAGTATGGACTTCTGTGGACCTGCATTCCTCCCTGACGCTCCTGACTGCTTACACAGTACCTTCCTGTTTGTGACTTTCTTCAAAGCCTGACAACAACACTGTAAAGTTGATATTAATCACATTTATAGCTGAGAAAACTGAGGTCCAGATTGCCCAAGAATATATAGCTTCTCCACACTCTGCCTGATGGGACCAGAAGATTCTCCCACTGATATCTGAGGTGGTGGGGCATGGGTAAGACTAAGGCTGGACTCAGACATGGATTGAATATTAAGTTCATAGTTTGCAGGATGTGCCTTTAGGCAAGTTATGAATCTTCTTAATAAAAAGGTTTCTTAGTGTAAAATGGAGATAGTATCCATTTACAATAATGTCTACTTTAAGAGATTAAATAAGATGATCCTGCAAAAGCACTTACCACAATGCTTAACACAGAGTAAACACTTAATAGATGTTAGTGGTTATTATTATCATTAATATTTTAAAATTACCTGTTCCTCCTTTAACTTTTTTCTGCTATAACTGTGGCTCCCAATGCTGCCCTGACACCTTTGAGTTTATCTCACAAACACAATGTCTCACACAACCTGAATAATCCATATATCTCCATTGATTGACTCAACATCTGGTCCTCTGCACCAATGTGAAGTCAGTGTGAAGGTGGAGCTGCCACCAGTGCAAACCCTTTTGCATTGCTCTTCTCCTCTAAATACAACTAAACGCCCTGGGCATTAACTCCCTTGGCATTGCTCTTCTCCTCTAAATACAACTAAATACCCTGGGCATTAACTCCCTTTGCATTGCTCTTCTCCTCTAAATACAACTAAATGCCCTGGGAATTATTCAACATACAACAGTGAAAGGTCTCTGAGAGACAGAAGGAAGAAGGCAGGCTGGCAAGGAGGATCAACAAGTTGGTGAGCAACCTGGGTTTTATTTTGTTCTACTATATACCTCCAGGCTGGATGCCAGACAGTCCTACAGCCAAGAACCACCAACAGTCATAGGAGGAAGGAAGGAAAAGAGGAAAAAAAGAAAAAAGGAAGGGGAGAAGGGGAGAAGGGAAGAAGGAAATGAGGAAGGGAGGGAGGGAGGGAGGAAGGAAGGAGGAAAGACAAAAGAAAATAAAGAGCTGCTTTCTCTGTCCAAATGGCCAGGAAAGGGGAAGCCCAACTAGGAACACCTTACAGAGAGCCCTAACCTCCACTTCACAGAGGGGTACCTGTGTGCTCTCTGATCCACCAGCAATGCAACAGTAAAGTTCAGTAAAACAGTAAAGCAACTTCCCAGCCCCCATCCACCAACAGATCATGGCAGGTGGTCCCATCCACCCACAGAAGCAGAGGTGAAACGCTGTGGCCCCCTGCTGTCCATCTGGTGATATAAGGAGACACAAACCGAGCAACTACTGCCCCAATTCCAGAAGGTCACCTAATGACAACAGGCAGCCCAAGGCCTTCTGTCCCAAAAGAAGATGGTAGCAGGGATTGAGGAAGAGCCACAGCAGTATCAGAAGAATGGAGCCAACCAGAACAGCATTGCAAGGACTCTGAAAACGAAGCTGCCACTGGAATACAAAAGTAGGCCTGACTCACTTGCTAAACCCAAAAAGGGAAACTTACTGCCAAAAGAAGTTATGACTAGATACTTTTCAAACATAATAACCAAAATATTCAGGACAAAATAAAAAATCACTCACCACATTATTCAACCCCGGAAAATCAGTTTGAATGAGAAAAGACAATCAACAGAAGCCAGTACCAGCATGAATCAGATGTTGGAATTATCTGACAAAGATTTTAAGGCAGCCATCACAAACTTTCTCAATAATAATTACAAATTCTCATAAAATAAATTTTAAAAATAGGGTTTTAACAAAAAAATTACACATCATAAAAAGAGCCAAATAGAAATTATACAACTGAACAATACAATAACCAAAACAAACAAACAAATGAACTACCTCACTGGAAATACTCAATAGTAGAGTGAAGATGACAAAGGACAGAATCAGTAAGCAAGAAGGCAAGAAATAGGTACTAGATTAAAATGTTTTAAAACGAAGAGTCTCAAAGATCTGTAGGACAAACACAAAATAACTAGCTTTCATATTAACAGTGTTCCAGAAGAAGAGGAGAAAAGGTATGGTATAAAAAAGTATTTCAGGAAATAATGACTGAAAACTCCCCAAATTTGGTGAAAGATGCAAACCTACAGATTCAACAAGCTGATTAAATCCTAAGAGAAACCCAAAGAAACTCACACCAGGATACATCATAATTAAACTTCTAAAAACTAAAGATAGAAAAAAAAATTCAAAACAGAGAGAAATGATACATACCTATAAAGGGACTGCAATTAGAATGACAACAGATTTCTCCACTGAAACCATAAGGGGTTCTATGGAGAAAACCAAAGGGAAGTGGTATAACATATTTCAAGTGCAGAAAGGAAAAAGGGTCAAATCCTATGTGCAGGGAAATTGTCCTTCAGAAAAGTAAGAATAAGACAGAATGGGTAAAAATAGAAGTAAATTTAATAGATTATTTAGTTTATGAGTTTCTTTAATCATATTTTAGTTGGAAGCAAAAATCAGAACAAGATGTGGTATCCAATGTAAATAAAAGAAATCTGAAGACAATTATATTTTAAAAGTTGGATAGTCAAGAGACACAAATGGAAATACAGTTTCTATACTATGCTTGAGGTGGTTAAATTCAATACCAGTGAGCTTGGTAAGTTACATTTGTATATGGTAATACCTAAAGCACCAACAAAGAAAACTATACCAAGAGACATAGTAAAAAATCTTATAAATAAATCAAAATTAAGCTCTAAACAATATTCAAGTAACCCACAGTAAGGCAAGAAGAAAGAAACAAATTAGAAACATAGAGCACATACAGAAAACAAACGCAGGCGGAAAATGGTATGACCCCTAACAGTTATTAACATAATTATTGTCTAAATATACCAATTAAAAGGCAGAGACTGGCAGAGTGAATTAAAAACCATAAGCCAACTATATGCTATCTTCAAAGAACTCACTTCAAATACAACATGGGTAAGCTGAAAGTAAAAGGATGGAAAAATGTGTATGTTATACTGACATTAATTTTTGAAAAGCAGGAGTGGCTATATTAATATCAACAAAAGTAGACTTCAGAGTAAAACCTTTTACTAAGGACAAAAGGACAAAAGTGAACATTACATAATGATAAAAGGATCAGTCCACCAAGAAGCCATAGCAATTCTAAATGTGTTTACACAAAGCAATAGACATTCAATAACAATGAAGCAAAACCAATGTAGCTGAAATGAGAAATAGACAAATCCATAATTAGTAATTTGGAAACTTCAATATTCTACTCTAGGAAACTGATAGAACTACAAGACACAAGACAAAAAATCTGCAAGGATGCAGAAGGATTCATCAACTAATAGCATCTAATTGACATTTATTGAATATTTACCCAACAACTATAGACTATGCATTCTTTTTCAGTGCCTGTGGTACATTCATCAAGAAAAACAATATCCTGGGACATAAAATCTACCTTCACCAATTTTTTAAACAAATATGTTCTCTAGCCACAATGGAATCAAACTAGCCAGTAAAAGAAAGACAACAGAAAATTATTCAAACACTTGGAAAGTAACACTATTTAGACAATCCATGGGTCAAAGAGAAAAATCTCAAAGGAAAGAAAAAAATAGAGAGAGCTGAATGAAATGAAATCACAACATACAACATTTGTGGGATGAAGTAAAGCAGTGTGGAGATGGAAATGTATGGCACGAAATATTTACATTAGATGACAGGAGGGATCTGAAACAAATAGTCAAAGATTTTACATTGAGAAGCTAGAAAAAAAGAGTAAAATATACCTGAAGAATGCAAAAGAAATAAAATAATAACGAACAGAAATCAATGAAATTTAAAACAGGAAAACAATAGTGAAAATTAACAAAACAAAAAGCTGGTTATAAAAAAAAAATAACATCAATACATCTCTAGCAAGACTGAGAAAAACAAAAAGAGAGAAGATATAAATCACCACTATCAAGAAGAAAACTAGAGACATAAAAACATATCCTGCAGCTACTAAAAACATAATAAAGAAATGCTATAAGCAACTTTACACTTATCAATTTGACAACTAGAAGAAATGGACCAATTTTCCAAAAACCACAAACTACCAAAATTCAGTCAAAACAAAAAAGATAACCTAAACAGCCCTATAACTACTAAATAAATTAAACTTATAAAGAATAACTTCAGAAAAATAAATCTTAAAATTCAGGTGGTTATATGGAGAAGTTTTAGCAATCATTCAAAGTAGAATTAAGACCAATTTCACACAACATTTTCCAGAAATAGAAGAGGAAGGAGCACTTATTATCTCATTTTTATAAAGTCAGTATTGCCATGACGCTAAATCAGACAAAGATAGAAGGAAAAAAGAGAAAGAGGAAGGGGAAGGAGGGAGGGTGGGAGGAAAAAAAGTTTTTTTCTCATAAATTTAGAAAATGTTAGGAAGTGGAATCCCACAGGGCACAAAAAGAATAGTACACCACGACCAGGAGAGATTTATTCCAGATATGCAAGGCTGATTCAATATTCAAGTACCAGTCAACATAATTCACTATATCAACATGCTAAGGAAGAAAAATTATATGATTTTATCCATTGATATAATCAAAACACAAAACCATTTGACAAAATTTAATACTCATTCATGATAAAAACTCTTAGAAAAAATAGGGAATAGGAAGAGAAAATAGAGGGTAAATTTCTCAGTCTCATGAAGAACAGCTACAAAAACCTATAGCTAACATGCATACAGTAAAAGATTTAGTGCCTTTTCTCTGAAATTTGTAAAAAGGCAAGAATGTCTGATCTTACTACTCTTATTCAACATAGTACTGGAAGTTCTAGTCATTGCATTAAGGCAAGAAAAATAAAGCTAATACACATTGGTAAAAAATAAATGAACTGTCCGTAGCTGATATAATTGGCTAAACAGAAAATCCCAAGAAACCTATGAAATGCCTCCTAGAATTAATAAATAATTTCACTAATTTCATGGGATATATGATCACTCAAAAATTAATTTCATTTCTATATAATGACAGCAAATAAGTAAAAACAAAAATCAGAAATACAATACCATTTACAACTTTTTCAAAGAACATTAACTACTTAGGAATAAATCTACCAAGACAGTTACAGGATCTGTATGCTGAGAATTATAAATGCTGGTGAAAAAAATTAAAGAAGACCTAAATATTTGGAAAGGCATATTATGTTATTGGATTGGAAGGCTCATTATTGTAAAGATGTCATATCTTCCTAGATTGATCTTTAATGCAATTCCTATCAAAATATCCGCAAGCTGTTTTGTAGGCATAGACAAGCTTCTTCTAAAATCTATATAAAAATGGAAAGGATCTAGAGCAGCTGAAACAATTTTTAAAAAGAAGAAGAAAGTGGAAGGAATCATTCTTTCTGGTAGTTAGACTTACCATACAGCAATTAAGACAATGTGGTATTTGTGAATATACAGGCCAGTGGGGCTGAAAATAGTGAACCCAGAAATAGATCTATATAAATATGTCCAATTAATTTCGGGGGGGAGGTGGGGAATGGAGTCTTGTTCTGTCATCCAGGCTGGAGTGCAGTGGCGTAATCTCGACTCACTGCAACCTCCGCCTCCCGGGTTCAAGCGATTCTCCTGCCTCAGCCTCCTGAGTAGCTGGGATTACAGGCGTGCACCACCATGCCCAGCTAATTTTTGTATTTTTAATAGAGATGGGGTTTCGCCATGTTGGCCAGGCTGGTCTTGAACTCCTGACCTCAGGTGATCCACCTGCCTCAGCCTCCCAAAGTGCCGGAATTACAGGCGTGAGTTACCGCACCTAGCCAACTAATTTTTAACAACGGAGCCAAACAATTCACTGAAGGAAGTATAGCCTTTCCAATAAATAGTCCTAGATCAATAGGACATCCATAGGCAAAACAAAACCAAAAAGAAACATACAAAATAGTGACCAAAATCTTACACCTAAAAAAAAAGACTCAAAATAGATTATGAACTTAAATGTAAAACATAAAACTATAAAACTTCTAGAAAAGAATATAGGAAAAAAATCTTCAGGACTAGGGAAAGAATTCTTCAACTTGACATCTTCCATCCTTTTCTTCCCTCTCTCACCTCACCCTTCCTGCTGGAAAGTTTTGCTCTCACTAAGTCATCACCTGAGAGCTTGCTGACTTTTATAACTAGCCATACAGGGCACTTCTGAGACTTAAAGGGATGTTTATGGTGCATCTTAGCCTCTTTAGTCTATTACAATGCAAAGTTTGATTGTTTTATGTTTAACTGTGCATTTAAAAGCACTAAAACCTCTCTGCTTACATGAAGACAAGAATTAAATCTTCATTTTATAAGACAATTTCTTTGCTCTCTCAATTTTGATTAGAGACATGAACAGTATTTTCTTGCTAGTCCCTGCTACAGTAGTCTGTTTTAAGTATCCTCCCTTCAAAGTGCCTGGTGTGTTTGCCTACCTGGAGTAGCAGATCCTGTGACATCCAAATTGTTTCTGTGAGTGGACATCAATGAGAGGCTTACATAGTTATGAAAGATGCTCCATTATAGCAGCCCCTTCAGGACCCACCCTCTAGTCGAACAAGGATTGAGGATATTCAAAAGAAAATGACCTTCCCTTAAAGGGAAAATACTCTACATCCAAGAACTCAACAATACATATGAAAATAAATTGGAAAACATGTATAAGTTCAAAACAAAAAATAATATTTCTACCACCATAAAAACTATATATAAAATAGTATCTGTGATTTTTGGAAGTTGTTTATATCCCAAGTATGGGTTTTCATTCCAAATGTAGAGGTAGAACATATAATACTACAGAACTGGCCTTCCAGGGGAGCTGCTGCCTCTGCCACAGTCAAATGGGGGAATCAAATGCCATGGTGAAGGGACTGGGAAGCTGCGTGCAGAATGGTTGGCTCCAGAACTGTACTGCTAGACCAGAATGAGCAAAAATCAGGTGCCCCATAGCAGCCTCACATCACCGATGAAACTAGCACATGGCCACCGGGATGTCTGGTACTATGCACAAAGATACAAACACCTGTAGGACCCTCCCTGCCAGAAACAGGAGAGAATGCAGCAAAGACACCTGCAGTTTCACTCAGCCTCTCCACACTCAGGGTGTGTGATTGTTGAATCCCAGGAGCCTTAGTTATAAGGGAGTGCAAAAGATGAAGGTGCAAGAGCAGAAAGACACACAGAAAGAACGACTCTGAGGCCATCCCCTGTGTCCTCCACACTCACCAGTGTATTCCCCGTGGAACTAGCCAGGACCTATCGTATCATGTCCCTGTTGATGGAATGAACACAGAACAACTGAATGAGATCTTATCTTCCTGGTGTTTTTCCCAAAGGAGTCAGACATGGAATTTCATGAGACATTGTACCATTTAAAATATAATACTTTGATAATCCTCTTGGTTTTTCCTAAAATTATTAAGGGCTAAGTTGTTTTCCTCAACAAAACGAATTCCTAAATGCTTGTTGGTCTGTTCATATAACAAAGGATCAGACGGCAGTGGCCCAGCCTGGAACAGAGGGTGGCCAGTGATGACAGGCAAGGGAATGGACAGTCTGTCCCTGCGCAGGAAACAGTGGTCGTCTGATCAGTCTGATTGCTTTATCCTTGTGCTGCCTCCCTTCGAATGAGTACATTCAGTATTAACTTTCCTCCACACTTCCCAGGGGCAGATCACACAAGGGGCCCACATCAGTCAAGGCTTCCCTCTGCTAAGAAACCAGATTGCTCTTTTGTTGAAAAGCTCAGTACTGAAGAACTGAATCAATCATTTCAGGCAAATAGTATCTCCTCTTGCTCACAAAGTTCTTCCCGGGAAAGCAATTTCACAACCTCCATTGATAATCTGTTCTATTCTTAACCTCCTGCTGCCAGAGAGACTCCCTAGTTACGGCCAGCTAAAGAGATCTGTCATCTGGGGTTAAAATGGAAACTTTCTTGTTAATCCTAAATACAGTAAATTCACTAACTTGGAAAATCCTGAACTTGAGAAGAAAGTCTAACAAAATAATTTCTCTCTAGGAACTCAGCATTTAATTGGCATAATTCCTAGATTAAAACTTGAGGCCGGGCGCAGCCTGGACAAAATGGCAAAACCCTGTCTCTACTAAAAATACAAAAAAATTAGCTGGGTGTGGTGGCACGAACCTGTAATCCCAGCTACTTAGGAGGCTGAGGCACGAGAATTGCTTGAACTCAGGAGGCAGAGGTTACAGTGAGCCGAGATCGGGCCACTGCACTCCAGCCTGGGCAACAGAGTGAGACTCCGTATCGAAAAAAAAGAAAACAACAACTTGAGATATAAACAAGCCCCCACCCCCTACCATAAAAACCCACTAGCAGCCTTTATCTTTTTAGGTGATAACTGATATACTCTTTAAATTTATCCTTCTCCTTGTATGGCTAGTATCAAGGATTTTAAGTTGTGAAAAATTAAATGAGAATGTGTTATAAGAACGTGAATGTACTTAATGCCCCTGTGCTATACGCTTAAAAACAGTTAACGTGGCTATGCTGAAAAACTAGCAAAATGCACACTGCTAATATTACTGTGACCTCATTAGTACCACAGGCTGGTGGGCCTGGGGAAACTGATTCATACACAGGCTGTCGAAAACCACATATCCTACCCTTTACCCTCAGTGCTGGAAACACCCTCTCTTGTCTTCTCTTTTTAAATATTGCACATCCTCCCAGATCCAGCCCAAACACTGCCTCCTCCTTGAAGTCTTCCTGATGCCTGGAGGCAGCATAGGTGTCTCCTATTCCTGGCCTTCCATAGCAACAGGAGGTCAGGTACATTTTAGCATTTGATTAGCTGTTGTTCATTCTCATATGTGTAAACCAAGAAGTGTCTGAGACAGGTCTCAATCAATTTAGAAGTTTATTTTGCCAAGGTTAAGGACATGCCCGGGAGGAAAAACATGGAATCACAGAACCAGTCTGTGGTCTGTGCCTTTCTCCAAAGATGATTTTGAGGGCTTCAATATGTAAAAGTGAAAAGTGGGCTGGAGGGGCAAGAGGGAGGATATGGTCACAATCCTGAATCCACATTTTTCAAGAGAAAAGGAGCCAGTAGGAGAATAGTCAACTATGTGTTCGTCCAGTAAATTAGCATTTTTACATAAGGTAAGGTGAACATAGAGTAGCTACTTGTGGAGATATTTAATCTTTTATCTGTAGCTCTCTGCTTAAGAACAGAAGGAAAGATAGCTCCGCGCAAGACTCAGGTTTCAGCTTAATTTTTTCCTTTGGCAGAGTGAACTGGGGTCCTGAGTTTTTATTTTTATTTCACATATGTGTAGCCTCACATGAGCAGAGAGAGAACAGGAACCACACCATAAACTCAGTCTACCTGAGACTGAGTACAGAGGAAGGGCTTTAGGAAGTACCATTCAAATTAGACTGATATATTTAATAGCCTCAAAATGTCAACGCCATCATTGTCCTGAAAGATGGAAATACCGTTATAGACCCAAACTTGCATGAACTTTTTGAAAGAATTAGAATCTAATACTGCCGTGAAAGCCACTTACAGGATATCCAGTTTCTGGCCTTAGCAGAACAGCAAGGGCGAGCCACCAACTTATCACAAATAATAACAAGCGCATAGCTGTCAAATGCCCTTGTGACCTTAGAGACCAAAATAGATGTCTCTCTGTCTACTAAGATGGGTGCTAAGGATAAGGAAGCAAAAGTTACTTACAGGTTGGGGGTCTAGGGTTTGGTTGGATGGCAACTTCCTAGTCCTTATGGCCACAGGAAAAACCATACTCTTGCTAAACTCCCTAACAACAGGAGCTATCAGGCAGATAATCAAACCCCTGCTAACTGTGATTTACAACCTAGACCATTACAACTCTGACTGGACAGAGAACTGGCCTTACAAACATCCTTTTCTGATAAGCAATGTCAGACCTTAAGCTGGTTTCAGTAGCTTCTATAGAGGCTGCACACAAACTGTCTCTTTATGTCCCATAGTTAACCTTTTGATGTAAAGAGGCAAATTCCACCTCATTTTGATGCTAAAGCCCTGCCCCAAAGTAAATATGGGGTGTATGTTACATACATGCCCTTGACTCCCCTCATAAATATGTATAGCTTTTCCCCCAAACCTGTCAAATTTGTGTGATTCTGTTGTATAATACAGGCCCTGTGAGGCATAGACACCAACCTGCTCTCTCCCTCCTCAAAAACAGAGCACCTGCAGTACACACCAGATACTGCCCTTGGTTTGCAAACAGATATTACCAATAAAGGTCTCCGTTCTACTATTTAGCTATCCTGGTGTTTTTCTGGATGATACTTTTTCTCATACGATTCATAAATCTTTAAAAGACCTTTATGGTTAAGGGAACTCTATGGAAGATGTTTTAAAACTATTCTGTCTATTGTGCCTAGAAGTTACTCAAAGGAAATTACTTTATGTTCAATTACTTTAAAATTCTGCAAGCATTGTACAAGCAAATTAGCAGTGATGTTTTAATAATTTCAAATAAATTCTAAATAAACATCAAGTCTTTTCACTAGTATTAGCACACAGTTCTTAAGTGTGCTAAATAAAGGAAGATATAGGTAGTATATGTTAAAGTAATTCAGTAAATATTAATAATAATTTATATTAATAGCTGAACAACACTGTCCCAGCAATCATCATAGGCTATTTAATTTTGTCTCTTTCTTTCAAAGTTGTATCTTTTTCTTTATGTCCTATCTAGTCATTTTAAATCTAGGTATTGATAATTCCTAAGGATTGAAATAGACACAAGCAATCCAGGCCAAATCATGATTTCTGTGACCATCCCTAGAGTTTTATATACATTATGGGCCAGAGCTCATATCCTATTGGCGCAAGCATTGCATTTTGTAATTCCCAACTTCTCTATAAGAGATAGCCTAGTTTATGTTTGCTTTCAGAGGCATAACAACACCCTTGTACTTTAAGAATGTACTGACTAACAGTTGGGGGTGACCTTGATGTACTTGTTAGATGAACAAAGCCTTCTAATATTTTGGAATGAGTAATAGTCTTCCAAGTGAAAGAACATCAAGTATCTAGTTGTGATAGCCCATGAAACAATTTGAAATCCAGATTATTCTTGAATATTAGGATGGAAACTTGCATTATCATTGCAATTCAATATATGACTTCATTTTTAAGACTTTTTCTTATGGAGAATCTTAGAGACACACAAAAGGAAGCAGAATAGTATTTAAAATCCCCATGTATGTTCCCCAACTGCAGTAATTATAGCTAATCTTGGTTTATCTGTACCCTTGAAAGAAATAAAAATATTTTACCCCAAAATATATTTCTTTGCCATATTTTGCGATGGCTGTCAGTGAGCCAGCAGAAAGAAGTAGCCCTGCAAAGCTGTCTTTTGCAGGGGAAATTTGCATTTGTAGACAATCTGCATTAGTGCAGCCAGGTCTTCCCCTGTGGGGTCTAAGATTAACTGAAAGTCTGAAAGACCTTTAAAAGTCTGAAAGAAACATTTCCCATCTACCCTCTCTGATGGCTGCTACCTGTATGGTTTCATCTACATAACACTCTACTAGCCTCTACTAGCCAGGCCTCCTCTCCTCCCACTCCCATAAACCTTTTTTTGCCAAGGTCCAAGCCTCTATTTTCTATGTAACTTCAAGACAGTATATTAGCTTCTGCTCCCTGTAGGGGGTTGGGTCACTATGATCAAATAAATTTGTATGCTTTTCTTCCCGTTAATCTGCCTCTTAGTGATTTTTAGCAAATGGTCACAAGGTGAGGGGGATGATTTCCCTTGGCCCCTACACTCCCATCCACATTCCATTCTGTTGACAAAAAGAGTCAAGCTCTGTAAAATATTTGAAGAGATTTATTCTGAGCTCAATATGAGTGACCAATGGCCTCTGACGCAGCCCTCAGGAGATCCTGAGAACATGTGCCCAAGCATGGCTGAGCTACAACTAGGTTTTATAGATTTTAGGGAGACATAAGTCATCAATCAATACATGCAAGATATACATCAGTTCACCCAAGAAAGGCAGGGCAACTGGAAGTAGGGGCTTCTAGGTCATAGGCAGGTTCAAATATTTTCTGATTGGCAATTGGTTGAAAGAGTTATTATCAATAGAAAGGAATGTCTGGGTTAGGATAAGGGGTTGTGGAAACCAAGGTTTTATCATGCAGATGAAGCCTCTGGGTAGTGGGCTTCAGAGAGAATAGATTGTAAATGTTTCTTATCAAACATAGAGTTTGTTCTATCAGTAATTCCAAAAGGGAAGAGGGTATCACGAGGCATGTCCAGCTCCTTCTTCTCATCATGGCCTGAACTCGTGTTTTAGGTTAACTTTGGAATGCCCTTTCTGAGAAAAGGGGTCCATTTAGATGGCTGGGGGGCTTAGAATTTTATTTTTGGTTTAAAATTCCCGTATTATTTTGAAGCAAATCCCATACAAGTTTGCCTGTCATTTTTTCAGTATGTATTTCATCCATCAAATTTTCAGTTACGTTAAAAAAAAAAACTCATTTTTTAACATAACCACAATACCAATAACACAGCAAAAAAGTGACAATTATTCCTTAATATTGAAAGGAATAAAATATTTTACTCCAAAATATATTTCTTTCACTTATTTTGAAATAGCTGCCCCAAGGCCAGCAGATTGACGTGCCCTGGCAAAACTGTCTTTCGTGGGGGAGATTTGTATCTGCAGACAACCTCCCTCAATGCAATCAGACCATCTCTTTCTAGGTCTTTCCTGAATCTAGGAGAGATTAATTGAGAGTCTGACACCTTTAAATGTCTGAAAAAGAGATATTTACCATCCATTCTCTCTGACAGCTACCACCTGGAAAATTTCCTCTATATAACAAGGCCACTGTTGCTGCTTGTGAACAAGCCACTTCCTCTCTCCCTCTTATAACCTGTCTTGGCATTAAAACCTGCTTTTAGCCATGCCCTGAACCCTCATTCTTTCTGTAACCTCCAGGTGGCATAGAGGCTTCTGTACCTCATTGGCGGGTTGGGTCTTCATTCCAAAGGCCCCTGTGTATACACGTTAAATACATTTGTATGATTTCTCTCCTATTAATCAATCCGCCCCTTGTCAGTGATTTTCTAGTGAACCTTTAACAGGTCAAGGGCCTTAGGCCCTAAAATATCACCTTAGTGGGCCCTTGACCTGCTAAAACCTCACTAGAAAATAACTAAGGATTTTCAACAATCCATTGTTCAAATTCTTAATTATCTCATAAATATCATGTTTTTATAATTTGCTTAAATTAGAATCTAAATAATATCTATACATTACAACTGGTTATGCCACTCACATCTCTTTTATCTAAAATCTCTCTCCACCTCTCTTCTTTTCTTGCTACTTATTTGTTGGAGAAACCAAGCAGTGGGGCTTGTGGATTTTCCAATAGTCTGGATTTTGCTGATTGCATCCCCAAGGTATAGTTTAACAAGTTCCTTTCTCTTATCTTCTATAAATTGGAAGTTGGACCTAGAGGCTTCAACAAATTTAGTTCTTATTGTCATCGTTTTTTCCAAGAACATACGGTAAGTAATGGAGTATTCTTCCATCAGGAGGAACATAATGTCTGATTGTCTCCCTTTTCATGAAGTTAGCAGCCATTGATGGCCATTACCTAGATATATTAATACATTAAGCACTCTAAATTGTGTTATTCGAATCCTATCATTTCTTCTTAATTTCTTAGCTGGAATACTTCCATGATTCTTCATTGTAAAGCCAGCTTTAGGAATTCTAAAAAAGCCTTCCATTTACTTAAATGAATATGATTAACTCATGATGAAATTTTTAAAGTCTAATTTGAAATTCAAGAGCTGAGATTGAAATGCAAAACTAATCATCAACCCTCCCCTTCCCTGGAGCAATAAGCCTTAATCACTAGCCCTAGCCTTAGTAGAACAGAAAAGCTGCAAGAAGGAAACAAAACAACAAATGTTTGAGTAGTGTTAAATTCCAAAACTTTATTCCATACATTTATATTCAATTAGAGAGATTGGAATTTTATTTGGGCATTGTAAGTACTGTGGTATCCTGGTAGGAAGATGCGTTCTGGAGGCTTTGAAAAGCTCTGTGTCTATGTAGAGTGCTGGCTCTGCTATGGCAGAAGGTGAGAAATACTCCTTTGTCCATAGGGAAACAGGTACACAGGCCAGTAAGGCATTTTTTACTGTTGAAAAATTGGCTTATTTCTGTTGTCTCCATCTTTCTCTTAGCTCGCTTCTGACTGGAAGTTTAGAATTGGGTTTCGGTTTCAAAGTGAGGCATGTGTCAGTGGGCTGAGCTCTTTGACACGGTGTAGGAGTCAGTTTGGAGCTCACACATGGCCCTCCCAGAGCATCTTCCTGCCCAGGGAGACACCTACCAGAGGAGACAACCTTCCTGCATTTAGCTCATTAAGTCAGCAGGAGGTTCCTGTGGGAAGAGCTGGGGAAGCTAATTGCTGGCAGCTGGAGGGCCTGTGTCTGCTGGAACCACTTTTAACTTTTGCTTTGCCAGCAGCCCTAGGAAAAACGGAGGGCTTACAGGAGGGACACCAGGAGACAGAACCACCGCATGTGCATTGAGCTTGAAGATGTTAGATTCAACTCCATCCCCTGGTGTCTTAGCCAGAGTTCAGAGCTGCCCGCAACTGGGGCTACCCCAAGAACGGCTCCTGGGCTCTCTGCCCCAGGCAGAGGGCCACACAATACTAGTCACTGTATTTTATGCCATAAACATTGGGACACAAGGTCTGACAAAAGATGCTTGTTCCAACGTGTGAAAAAGTGTACAAATAAATCATGTTTATTCAAATAATCATCTTCAATAGTAAGAACAAAATTAAGAAACAGGAACCATAACAGAAATTCAGGAGGCAGAGAGAAGGCACATTTGAACAACTCTCACGCGTAAGAGTCCTCCATCCCCATTGCTCTGTGAACAGACCAGTCCATCAGCTCCTAATCAGTATGCTCCATCTCTGCACCTTTGGTCTCTCTTCTCAGTTATTTACACGCTTACCTGGAGAATAAATCAACCAGCAAGCATCTTGCCCACAGGCATGGTCTTATCTTTGGTAATTCTTCCTGTCACAGGCTCCTGAATGCAACTCACCAGCAGGGACCCAGCAGCTTCCCTGGTCTCTGCTGATCCTGGTGCAAACAGGAGAAGTCTCCTAGCCTGTGACAATTATAGGGCCTCGCACCATCAGGTCATGGGCCCAATTGTGGCAGGCCATGCCTCCCTAACGGGTGAACAGGCAGGCCTCCATAACAACTGTGTCAGTACTGACTGAGTAGTTAAGTTATATATTAAAATCTGATAAAGCCAATGTCCTTACACAAAGGCTGGAATGTAACAAAAGCCCACCAAGAGTTTTGCCTTTCCTGGGCCTCAAAGCATGACAAGACAATGAAAAACTTCTTAACAGGACCTGTTTAGGATTAAACAAGTTTTATTGAAGGTCTGAAGAAACTCCCTAGGCCTCCACAAACAAGTTTATTGGGGGTCTGAAGGAGCTCCCCAAATCTCCATAATGGTTAGAGAAGAGACAGCAAAACAATGCTCTAAAGCACTTAACCCATAAGAAAGCCTAACCTATGAGAAGTTCAAGTAGTATTATCATTTCCCATCCCCACAAGAGATGACTAAAAACATGGCCGGGTGTGGTGTCTCACATCTGTAATCCTAGCACTTTGGGAGGCCAAGGCAGGTGGATCACCTGAGGTCAGGAGTTGGAAACCAGCCTGGCCAAAATGGCGAAACCCCGTCTCTACTAAAAATACAAAAATTAGCCAGGCATGGTGGTGGGCTCCTGTAATTCCAGCTACTCTGGAGGCTGAGCCACAAGAATTGCTCGAACCCAGGAGGTGAAGATTGCAGTGAGTGGAGATCACACCACCTCACTCCAGCCTGGGTGACAGTGTGAGACTCTGTCTCCATCTCAAAACAAAACAAAACAAAACAAAAACCAACCTTTTGTCTGCTTTCTGCACAAACAGAAGCCAAGGTGTTGCTTGACCTCGATTAGCAATAGGAAAGGGCCTTGTTGGAGCATGCTGTGCCCTAGTGATTCTCCCCTGCCTCGGGACAACAGAGGACCAGTCCTCTCTTGGACACAGTGAGAGGAGCAACTGTGACTAACGGGCAAGTCTTCACTCATCTGGAGCCCTCTATGTATGGAACAGTTTCCTGCGAGATCTTGGATGTTATTTCCAGATTATTCTCTCCACTTTACAGCTACCACAAATTCCTGCCTCTGTCATGATCCATTCTGTATTCACCAGGGAGCCATTATCAAGCTGGGGAGACCATCTGGAAACTGGTGGATGGATGCTATAGTTTTCTTGGTGTTTTGCAAACGCTCCAGCAGCCCAGCCTCTGGGGAGGTAAGAGTGGGAGAACAGCCCAAGGGGCAGCTGCCTAGAGTGCTTGGAGAAAGCAGGTGCGTACATGTATTTTCCAAGCCTTGCTCCTTGGAAACTAGGATTTCCTTGCAAGCAGCAAAGCTAGGGTAGATTTGGAAAGATAACACAAGTATGGAAACACATGAGTTATCACTCAAGTCAACAGAGAAGCTCTGGGTCAGCAAGACCCAGAGGCTATCTTGAGTGTGCAGTCTCTAATTAATCTTTTTCCCAAAAGTTGTGTTTTGAGCCTTCATGACTTCATTTTCTTCTGCAGTGGCTACCTATCCCAAACCCCTCCCTAAACCTTGTTCTGTGTGAACTGACTAGAGCAGCACAGTCTTGGCCTATTTATTATACTACCCAACAGTATGTGTTTGTACGTGGGGTGTTTTGGTCATACTGGAACCACCTTTGCAAATATTATATGAGTGAGAAAATTATGGCAGTGGAGGAAATCTGATCTAGTCAACCCCACTCTCGCCTTTAGCCTTCAAGCTGTCTTAATTATTCCTGAGCTTAGGCTGGGCCAGTTTTGGGAGACACTTAGTTTATAGTTTAATGATAATAGCTCTTCCCCCAAATTTAACCACCTTTGTAAAGCTAATGAAAGACCACCAGGCTAGGAGGAAGACAGGAGCCTCAATTCTGCTAAGGTGTAGACACAAATGATTGCCAGCCATTACTCTGGAAGTCACAGCTTACCCAATTATTCCCGCAGATAACATCAGATAACATTTGGCTCAAAAGGCCAAAAGATTGGCCTTTTGAGATATATTTTCATGTTTATTGCATGTCTGACACCAGTGGCTTCACTTGGACCACCTTGTGGGTCCTGCTCCTGTGGCCCCACCCAGAAGTGACTCAGCACAAGAGAACAGCTTCAACTACCTATGATTTCATCTCCACCCCCATCAATCAGCTGTAAGCACCCATTGCCTAGCCAAATAACCTTTGAAAAACCCCTAATCTCCAAGCCTTCGATGAGATTGATTTGAATAATAACTCTGTCTCCCATGTGGCATGGCCAACCTCATGTCTATTAAACTCTTTCTTCACTGTAATGCTACGGTCTTTGTGTCTTTGTGAATTGATTTTGTTTGTGCAGTGAGCAGGAAGAACCCGTCGGGCAGTTACAATATTCTAATACAGCAGATTGTGATGCACTGACCAGGTCCTTTAACCCGACCTGGTGGCCTTTTTTCTTTTTGTGAGACAGAGTCTCGCTCTGTTGCCCAGACTGGAGTGCAGTGGCATGATCTCAGCTCACTGCAACCTCTGCCTCCTGGGTTCAAGCGATTTCCAGCTAATTTGTGTACTTTTAGTAGAGAGAGGGTTTCACCATGTTGGCCAGGCTGGTCTCGAACTCCTGACCTCAAGTGACCCGCCTGCCTCGGCCTCCCAAAGTGTTAGGATTATAGGCTTGAGCCACTGCGCCTGGCACTGGTGGCCTTTTCACCACACCTTAGCTATCCTTGTCCTTATAATTAAAGCAACTCAAACCATTTTACATTGTCTTCTCTCCTTCTTTGTTTCTCTCCCATCCTAAAGAGAGGCTGCCCTGAACAGTTTCCTCTAAGTTTGCTAAATTAACATCTTAGTTCTTCCAGGTAAATGCCGTATCTTTCCTCTCTTCCTAATCCATAGAGGTCCCTGCTGATGGCATTTCCCTCACCACACCTCTAATGAGCTCCCTGCCTTCTCACTGGTTGCTCAGCCTCTGAAGTGCCCTGTGCCTCACAAGCTGAGCCAGCCAGTCCCAGCTTAAGCCTGCACTTGTCTGCACTTCTCTGTGGCTTTGCCTGACTACCTGCCCCCCACAGCAGACCTGCAAGCTCGCCTTTGATTGGTTCCCTTAGGGCTCTGCACTCTTCTGTCCCAATCTACCTACTGTGGGACATGTCCAGACACATCAAAAAGCATATCGAGATGGAGAGCTTGTGCCCATTTATTATTATCACAATTTTCTACTCTACTAAGAACATATTTTTAATATTTAAATAAAATATCATGAGTGGTGGTCTTCCTACTCCATTCAGCCCATAGCTGCTTGCCTGTGCTCTTATTAAAGCAGGATCTAGTTCCATGCACCTAGCAACAACACATTCATAAATCCTAGATACTGTCCCACTGGACTGAGCAGAAGGAACCAAATTAATAATCTAGGTTACATCCTCATTATCTAAAATAAAAGCTTTAGAAGTAGGATAAAAGGCTGGGCACTGTGGCTCACACCTATAATCTCAGCACTTTGGGAGGCCAAGGCAAGTGGATCACCTGAGGTCTGGAGTTCAAGACCAGCTTGAACAATATGGTGAAACCCTGTCTCTACTAAAAATACAAAAATTAGCCGGGCATGGTGGCGTGTGATGTAGTCCCAGCTACATGGTAGGCTGAGATAGGATAATCACTTGAACTTGGGAAGCAGAGGTTGCAGTCAGCCAAGATCATGCCATTGCACTCCAGCCTGGGCAACAGAGCGAGACTGCATCTCAAAACGAAACAAAACAAAACACAAAAAGTAGAATAAAGGCCAAGAAGGGATCAGCCCTTTGCTCTGCTTTCTATGGGTTTGAACAGAAGCAGAGTCAACAAAGTATGGTTGCACTTCTAATCACAAACCAAAAATGATGGCAGGACATGAACATGGGGGCATGCAGAGGAAGCTGCACATTTGGATCAGAAGCTCCCATTCAAACTAAAGCCCAGAAAAGATAACACATATTTTCTTCTTCCATGTGTAACCGTGAGACTAGGTTGAAATTGTATTTCAGCCCCATGGAGTCACAGGTAAGTATAAAATGGGGAAAATCCAAGTCACAATGAGCGACACAGCCTCTGAGCAATAGCAAAGCCTTTCAGAAACTTTACCAGATGATTTGAAAATTCATTTTTAAATATTCTAAAGTAACTGTTGTGCACAGCAACCAAAATACATTTTTTGTTTTTTGTTTTTGTTTTTGTTTTTGTTTTTAATGAGAGATGAGAAAGAAAAGAGGCAAAATTTCCCAGAAATAGGAAAAGGTTGTTTTCACAGGTGTTCAAAGTTTTCAATAGTGCTTTTAAAAATCAGGCCAGATAAGATGCCTCTTTAACTTCATTTTTCCAGTGACCTCTTTTGCCTCCCAGTGTTCAGTTTTCTTATATTTATTTATTTATTTATTTACTTATTTATTTATTTAGAGACGGAGACTCCCTCTGTTGCCCAGGCTGGAGTGCAGTGGCACCATCTTGGCTCACTGCAAGCTCAGCCTCTTGGGTTCACGCCATTCTCCTGCCTCGGCCTCCCCAGAAGCTGGGACTACAGGTGCCTGACAGCACGCCTGGCTAATTTTTTGTATTTTTAGTAGAGATGGGGTTTCACCGTGTTAGCCAGGATGGTCTCGATCTCCTGACCTTGCGATCTGCCTGCCTCGGCCTCCCAATCAGTTTTATTTTTTAAGTGCCCTCAAAACTGTGACTAACCATGAGCTCCCTCACAATCCTTTAGACTGTAATGACAAATGTTGCATTCTTGATAATTTTCAGGAAATGTGAAAAAAAATTAAGTGGTATTTTTCCTAAATTTTACAAAAATTTTAGAGTATGATTCAAACACCACTTCAAATGTGATTCTTTTTCCATATGTCTCAGTTTAGAAGCCACGTTCCCAATTCCTTGGACATCTTCTCAAGCTGAAGTATCAACAACCAAGTCTGGAGAAATTTGCTCCCTGCAGGCACAGGGCCATGTGCAGCCACTTGGATGTGTGCTGGGTACAGAAGCAAGGGGGCTGGGGCCTGCTGTCTGCTGCCCTGCCCGGCCCATCACCAGGTGTGGATGGCCCTGGATGTGTGCTAATGTGTTTGATTGAACCTCAGATTCATCCCAGCATTTCTCAGTGTGCTCCGGTAATGACAGATGATGTTTTCCTTGAGTATCTTCAACTCTTACCATTTCAAAACATAATGCTCTCTGCTTTATTTTCCTGTCAGATCCTATGTTCCTTAAAGGCTGAGACCTTGTGAACCATTTTGTGTCCTCCTCCAACATCTGGCTGGAACAATGTTTTGTACCCAGTGAAATCTCAATGAAATTATTGAGTGATAAATGAATATATCAACATCTTCTCTTCCAAAGATTCTCCCCCCTCCATGCTTCCTTATTATCCTTAATTTTCTTCCACATGTCCTAAGCTCTGTTACTGTGTAGTAGCAAATCAGATCAGTTCCAGGCAACTGAGGGCCTGAAGGAACTTGCCAGATTCATCCCACTGTCTGTAGAACTCTGGAGAGGGCAGGCCTAAGGCGAGGATATTGGTGGGATGGCCACAGACGTGGTCATAGGAGGGGAGGAGAGGCAGTAGGTGAGAAGAGGAGATGGGAGGAAGTATTGTGAGGTGGTTAAGAACAGGCTTTGAAGCCACCTGCCTGGACTCACATCCCAAGCCTGCAAGAGGTAGGTCCTCTCCTGCTTCAGTTTCCTTGGGTGCAGAATAGAGATGAGACAGTACAGTCCTCACAGAGTTGCTATAAGGATTAAAAGTCTTAATATGGGTAAGTAACTTTGATAGTGTTTCTGGCATATGCTAAGCACTCATGTTTCTTGGTATTACTGGAGAGGGGCAATTAGAATTTAAAGGATACAGAAGTGGCCAGGCAAATGAGCTTGACATTTGTCTATCCATTTTTAGCTCTCAATTCATCAAATGTTGTCCTGATTCCCAAATAAATCTGTCTCGCACATGGCAGTGTAGACAGGAAGGGGAGAAAAGCATATGGAGTCAGACAGACCCGAGATCCAGTCCTGTCTTCTCTGCTGACTGGCTCTGAATCCTTGATGGAGCTCCACAAAGCCCGTCTGAGTCCCAAATTCCTCAACTGGAGAAGGCTGGGGATACTAGAGAAGAAAAGCAAAAACACACAGCATACAACACCAACCAGCTAAACAGCCTGAGGAAGTCAGCTCCTCTCTCTCTCTCTCTCTTCTCATATATGTTGAATAAAGAAGCTCTGCAATGATTTTGGAATTTAATGAACCAACGCCTTATATTTATTTCTCTAATCCAAGCATCCAAAAAAAATAGAAATACTAGAAATACTGAGAGTGCACTGACTTTGTTGAGATCACACCAAAAGTCAAGGCCCATCACATCCAGGTCAGGGCACTTGTCTCTAATGATATGAGAGGGCGTGTGGAAAAAGCACTGGTGCCTGGGGAACCTGACCCAGCACAGGAGGTGCTACTTGGCACGAGGCTCTTCCAGCACCACCAAAAGCATGGAGCATCACATACAAGCAGGTGTTCCTTTGTTTGTTTTTGCTTTTCAGTAGGAACTATAAGGACAGTGGTCTTTGCTCTGCTTGTTTGGTTTCGTGTTGCTTCTTTTTTTCCCAGATCACCCTGAGGGAACACACTTGTGACCACACATAATTGGTACTATTTCTGATGATGATGTTTGGAGATTATTCATGTACGAGGAATTTTTATTCCTGAGAATGTCATTGAAAAGACAAGCTGCTGTCAAAATGATAGAAAGGCAGGTAAATTCTCTGATTTCTCTTCAGATCACATAAACACATTGCCTTTTAAAAGGTAGTTAACTAATTGACTGAAAGCTGCAGTCTAATTGCTTCTGAATACTTTGAACTGCAGATGATGTGTGTCCAAAGCTCTGACTCTCCTGAGAGTTCAAAGGAAATTCCAGGAGGGCACAGGATACACAAACGCTCCTGTGTGTGACCAACAAGCACAGTGACTGCCAGATGTGGTCTACTGCCTGGTTGGCAGTGCTTGCCTTTCCTGGCAGAACACCATCAAGGAAGGAGACTGACATGAATGAACACATGTATTTCTCCAGAACACAGGTCACCTGTGTCATCTTGAACTTGAGAAAATGGTTTTTCCAATATATGGTAATTGAGTTTGTTTTGAAATAAAACCAGTATGAAAACAATGTGTCTTTTTCTTTTCTCTTCCCAGAGCTTAACCATAGTTACAAAACTAAGAATATTGCTCCTTGACTATTGATTAAGTAGACTATTACACGTAGTCAGCAAACCTAAGCCATGGAAGAAAGGGAATTGAATTTAGAATTTGGACTTCCTCATTATATCAAAAAGACACCTGCTCACATATGTTTACTGCAGCACAATTCACAATTGCACAGATATGGAACCAACCTAAGTGTCCATCAACCAATAAGTGGATAAAGAAATATGCTATATATACATCATGGAATGCTACTTGGCCAGGAAAAATAATGAAAAATGTCTTTTGCAGCAACTTGGATGGAACTGGAGGCCATTATTCTAAGTGAAGTAATGCAGGAATAGAAAACCAAATAGTGGGCCGGGCATGGTGGCTCACTCACACCTGTAATCCCAGCACTTTGGGAGGCTGAAGTGGGTGGATCACCTGAGGTCGGGAGTTCGAGACCAGCCTGACCAACATGGAGAAACCCTGTCTCTACTAAAAGTACAAAGTTAGCCGGGCATGGTGGCACATGCCTGTAATCCCAGCTACTCGGGAGGCTGAGGCAGGAGTATAGCTTGAACCCAGGAGGCAGAGGTTGCAGTGAGCCAAGATTGTGCCACTGCACTCCAGCCTGGGCAACAAGAGTGAAACTCTGTCTCAAAAAAAGAAAATCAAATAGTGTTTGTTCTCATTTATAAGTGGGAGCTAAGCTATGGACACACAAAGGCACACAGAGTGATATAAAGAACATAGGAGACTCAGAAGGTGGGAGGTTGGGAGGGGGGTGAGGGATTAACCAAACTACATAATTGGGTACAATGTGCACTACCTGGGTAATGGGCGCAGTCAGACTTCACCACTATCCGATTCATCCAGGTAACCAAAAACCTCTTGTACCCCTAAAGCAACTGAAGGAAAAAAAAAGAATTAGGACTTGCAGGCCGGGCACAGTGGTTCACACCCATAATACCAGCACTTTGGGAGGCCGAGGTGGGCAGATCACCTGAGGTCTGGAGTTCGAGACCAGCCTAACCAACATGGTGAAACCCCATCTCTACTAAAAATACAAAAATTAGCCAGGCATGGTGGCACAAGCCTGTAGTCCCAGCTACTCAGGAGGCTGAGGCAGGAGAATTCCTTGAACCCGGGAGGCGGAGGTTGCAGTGAGCAGAGATGGCACTAATGCACTCCAGCCTGGGCGACAAACCAAGACAGAAAAAGCAGCAAAGGAGTAAGTGGGACATTTGGGGATTTTTTTTTCTTCTATATAAAAAAGAAAAAGAAAGGAAGAAAGGGAGAAAGGGAGGAAGGGAAATCTTAGTTCTTCCTAAAAAGAATCAGAAAGAAACTGGGCTCTGTGAAGAGCTATAGGAAAATCTTAACTTGGTAGACAAAGATAATATAAGGGAAAAATCTGTGTGACTGAGAAATGGCTCAGGTGGACTTGCTCAGGATATTAAACATTTAAGGAAAATGAAAAGGAAGAAGCCATTCAAGATACGATGAAATTCCCAAGAAAATGTCCACTTTTCTGTGGTTGAGTGACCACATTTTGCCCTATTGTGATGACGATCTTCCTCGAGAAGCATTGTGGAATGTAAACAAAAGATAGTAGGTGAAAACATCAAGTTGTTGGCAAATTAAAAAAAAAAAACACCAGTAATTAATTACTACAAAAATCTCTGAAAACATATTTGTTCTTCTAGCTACTGTGCCCAAAGCTGCCTTTTTTATTTCACCAATAACTATAGACAGTATGTTCAGCCTCCTCCTCTGACATGGTTACTATTCACTGACTAGAGCTCAGCCTTGTGAGAGAATCTCAGGGAGAGGGGGAGGGCAGTATAAATGAAGTTGATAATCAATACTGTGAATCATTCTATGGCAGGCACTGTGCGGTTTTCATATAAACCTCTCAACAGCCCTACAAACTAGGTAATATATCTAATTCACAAATGGGGAAACTGAGTCTCAGAGCAGCTATGAAACTTATGTTTGTTTGCGCACTTGCTAATCAGCCTGTGCATTTTCCCCTTCATCGCACTGCCATTAGCTGGAGAAATAAAACTGACCCATGAAGCAATGAATAAGCCATATAAAGTAATACTATGCTGGAATAAACGAGGGAATAAATGGGAGGAATTCAGAAGAATACAGAGATTCGGAAGAGATAAAAGATGACTGAATCTTGGCAGAAGACAAATGCTTTTCAAAAGGCATTTGCTTTGACGGGGAACATGGGATATGGAGAGGCGGCTTGAGAAAGAGCGGCATGACTGCTCAAAGGATCCTCCAAGCAAAGGTGCTGTGGCGGTCAGTGGCCAGCATGGTGAGAAAACAGAAGTCCTGAAGTGGATCCGTGAATTGCTGGAAGGTCTGAGTCAGGTTAGAGGATATGTGAGCCCCTAAGGTCACTACAAAATTTATTATCCAAATAGGAAATTTTGAGGCTGAAAGGGAGCACTAACTGGATGAAACACCACGGTTCCAGGTACAAGGAAGGAATGGCACAGGAGAAATTGGACTGTGCGGTCATCCTACACTTGATCCACACACCAATAAGTCCAATCAATGTTAAGTAAATTAAACTAACCTCTGAACCCATTGTCACTGTGAGCAAAATTTTACGTGTCTTTTTGTGTATGCATTTCCTAGGGAGAAGATTCATGGTTTTCATAAGCTTTCCAAAGAGGTCTGTGCATCCCTTCCCCACCTGCCCCACCAAAAAGCTTAAAAACTGCCTGATCGAAGCCAGGCATGGTGGTTTACGCCTGTAATCCCAGCACTCTGGGAGGCCCAGGCGGGCGGATCACAAGGTCAGGAGATCGAGACGACCCTGGCTAATATGGTGAAACCCTGTCTCTACTGACAATATTAAAAATTAGCCGGGCATGGTGGCGGGTGCCTGTAGTCCCAGCTACTCCGCGGCTGAGGCAGGAGAATGGCGTGAACCCGGGAGACGGAGGTTGCAGTGAGCTGAGACTGCGCCACTGCACTCCAGCCTGGGCGACAGAGCGAGACTCCATCTCAAAAAAAAAAGAGAAAAAAAGAAAAAAAAATTGCCATTTGTTTGCCCCCTTGGTGCTTCAAACTCCACATGTGGAAAGATGCACTCAGGAACTATCCTTCAAACCTGCTTCTTCCTCACCTTTCCCTACAGTGGGAATGGCACCTCCATCCACCTAGTTGCTCAAGGTTGAAGCCTGGAAGTCTTGTTTTACTCCCTCTTTCTCGTAAGTACAACCTCCAGGCAAGCCCCAGTCTGGAACCTACTACTTCCTAACTGTCTCGCTCACCAACCCCCTTCTCCCTAACCTAACTGCCGGTACACTAGGCCACGCCGGCATCATCTCTGCCTGAAATCCTGTAATGGCCACCTAATTAAATAACCAGAAGCCCCTCCTGCCTCCTCCAGCCCACACTCCATGTGGCACCCAAAATGTTCTTTTTAAAAACCGAAATATTATTATGTTATTCACTGGCTTAAAATGTTTTCACTAATTCCCTTTGACCCTAGAAAAAGAAGTCCCACATCAACAAACAGCCTAGAAGTTCCTAAATAATCTGGTTCCTTCCTCAACTATGACATCCTTGTCCTCCCAGTCCCTCTCCCTAACGATAGGTTCCATGCTCATAGCATCCTACACATTCATTGTATAGTATGCATCACACATGTGATCACCTGTCCATACCTGTCTCTCCTGCTGGGTTAAAGCTGTCAAGCAAGGGCCCTTAAGAAGTCAGTATATCTCATGCCCTAATCAAGTGCCTGCACATAGAAACTGCTCTAGAAATGTTTGTTCAATGAATGAACGAATGAACAAATCATATATGACCGTCAGTCTTACATATATGCAGACACCCCTGTGATATGAACTCTAAGCACAGCCTCTAAAAACAAGTTGAAGCAGTGGTGGTAGAAACAATAGCGGGAGGCCACAGCAAGGGAAAGCCTGGCTACAATATTCCTTCTAGTGCCCTCATTCAGATCACCAGACCATGGTAACTTGCCACTCTCTCCATGCTCTCTGCTATACAGGTCCTCACCCTAAGAAATATTTACATCAACTCTGGGAACTTACACCTGGCCTATGCAAACACATTACTCAAAAAAGACACCTCTGGAGTTCAATAATTACTTACAGAACAAATGAATGGAAAGTCAGTGGCCCTTGTCAAAACTGTGAAATTTGAGTGTTATCTTCTTCTTTCACCATTTCCCCAATTGGTATGTGCCCTGTGAATGCTCCTATGAGCCACCCGGGTGCCCTTTAACTTTCCCCTCTCTGAGGAAATGATTGCAAATGAAATCAGTTTTAAAGGTATAAAAGACTGCAAAGGTGCAACGTTTTACCACCTAAGGGTCATTCTGCAAAATTAGGAAATAAAATTTTAAGCCAAATGAGTGTACTTTAATCTAAAATTCTAGGCATTCACGAGCTGAAGCTTTGTAAAATAGTGGCCTCCTCGATACCGCTGTCCACACAGCAAGTGAAACGGCTTTTTCTGCCCATTTCCAAAACCAGCTCTTTGGGCTCAATTGTTTCATTTTCTGCTGCTGTTTCCTGCTATTCAAAAGCTTAACTAATTAGCCGACAGCTGAGCCCAAGGTGCCTCCTTTATACGGTTCCTTTTGACATCTCACCCTCCCTTCCCATCATTCTATATCATACTCCAAAAAAATGCAGTTTTAAGGAGACCACCTCTTCCATGAAAACGAATAGCCGGGAATCACTTACTAAACAAATACTTGTGGAGTTTAACTGTGTATAAATTAGTAGACCTTAAAATTGGCCATGATTTTTTTCCTATTAATTGTTAAGTTTGACCGATTAAATTATTCAAAATTAAAGCATTTCCACTGTTTCAAAACCATGAGAAAAGTTTGGCAGTTTTACCACACCCTGGATTAGTTTCAAATTAAAACTTTGCCCTCATCATAAGTGGTCCCAATGATATCAGGATATTCTTTTTTTCCTTTTCTATACCTGTGATTATGTCTGAGCAAAGGACTAGGAAAACCATTGTCTTTCGTGCAGACCTCTTTGTTAACAACAACAACAACAAAAATCCTAGTTACAGTTGCTTCTCAGCAGAGTAAGCTGCGTAGTAATTGTATTTATCCTTTTGAGATGAATTCTGGGGAACTGCTTTGATTTTGAATAGTAAAAGAGTGCTGAGTCATGGAATACCTGCAATACTGTATTAGTGCAGGCAGTCCTGCTATAAAGAACTGCTCGACACTGGGTAATTTATAAAGAAGAGAAGTTTAATTGACTCACAGTTTCACATGGCTGGGGAGGCCTCAGGAAACTTACAATCATGGTGGAAGGGCAAGCAGACACGTCTTATGTGGCGGCAGGTGAGAGATAACGTGTATGTGCGCAGGAAAACCTACCATTTATAAAACCATCAGATCTCATGAAAATTCACTATCACAAGAACAGCATAGGGGAACCACCCCCATAATCCAATCACCTCCCACCAGTTCTCTCCCTCTATACCTGGGGATTACAATTCAAGATAAGATTTGGGTAGAGACACAAAGCCTAGCCATATCAAATACCAAGCTGGGAGTTCTTCATCATGCAATAACATATGAAAACTTATGAAGTTTCTAAGTCATTCAAGAAATTTTTTGAGTGCCCCAGACATGGTTTTCTGTGTTAGGAAGACAGCCGTGAACCAGAAAATAACAGCCCCTACCCTTGTAAGACTTCCAGTCTAGTGGTCATGCTTGTGAAAGATTCAAGTACATAGAATGGATTGAAGGTTTGAGGTGGAGGAGCAAGTAAGAGGCTTTCCAGCAGTGCAAGCTTTATGCACACATAAGACCAACACAAGGGTGGCAAAGATGACTCCAAGGTGTTGAGTCTGAGGAACCAAATAGCTGTTATTAGTATTAAGAGAAAGATAGGATTTTGAAAGAATTTGGAGAAAAAGCTGATGATGTTGATTTTATATACTTTCAGTTTGAGAAAACATTATAAAATCTAGATGGAGATGCCCAACTGGCAATGAAAATCCTGGACCTAAAGCTTAGGAAAGGAAGATGTGAGGCTCCAATGAACAAAGACATAGCAGGAATTATAGCAGTATCTGAGGTTGACCAGAAGAAGGTAGAAAAGAGAATAGGGACACTAAACTCATCTTTGTATCCAAAGTTGAACAAAAAAATCCTACATTGTTTGCATTTTATCATCCAAGTTTACACCCACAACTGTGGTGCCTGTGAAATATTATGATAAAGGCAGAGAGGAAATCTATATCAGTGCATTCTCTCCTCCTTAAATGAATGAAAGTCAGATGAGTCCACACCCTAGAAGGGAAGAGGCTGGCCAGCATTTCTGCCTGGGTCAGCTATTTGCCAGAGCCCTTGATGGTCTGGAATCCCTCAGAGCAGCAGGTCCCAAGCTCTTTGTGCCTTTAATTAATAAGAGAGATCACTATGTTTCAGGCCTATGTTGTTTGTGAGAGAGATGAGGTTAGACAGTTGCTGAATGTATTCCAAGGAAGGAATTCATGACAGAAGATGCCTGATCCAGATACTCAATTACTACTGCAAATCCCATGGAAAGACTAGCTTTGCTGGAGCAGAGAGGGGCCTGTATCAGGGACGTGGAAACTGATAAGCTGCTGTTCTCTCCAGAAATCATGTGAAACAAGGAGCAGCTTGGAAACTACAGGTTTGTAGGTATTTAGAAATCAAGATATGTTGAAAATAAGATCCTAAAAGAGTATGCTATGCAAAGATCAACTCCTAACCAACTGAAATGGTGTGTTATTTTTCTGACGTCAGGGAAGACTTAAATAATTGGGGAAGAAGGCTGCCCAGTGGTATGTATAGAGGAACTCTCTCAGTTTTAAAATTGTTTAAAGAGTAGTAATGTATTTATGTTCAGTTGTACTACTCAGAGATCACACACATCGGCTCCCAATATAAAATAAATAAGCAGGACATTTAAATAAAGCAATATAATTCAGGAAGGAAAACAGCAACTGGGAACGCAGTGGATTTGCATAAATCAAGCATCATGATAGTGTTAACTGCCATCAGATTCAGTCTACTCAGAAGTATACAAGTAAGACAAAATATTTTTAATGCATCACATAAATCAGCTATACAATGTTCTTACCAAATGCTAATGGTTGTTTCTGTCTCTACAATAAGGACATGATGGTCCCATTCTAAAACTGATCTGGTCAAGGTACATCTGGGGTATTGGTCAAATTTGAGTGCCCCATTGGAAGCTGTTCAAAGGAAGGCAACAACAACAACAAAAAAATCAAAAGCTTTCCAACAAAAGGAATTATTGAGGAGGCTTTAGATATTTACCTTAGGAAAAATAATATTTAAGAGGAGTGTGGTACTGCCAGTGGATATTTTAGTGGGTTGCACTTATTTTATATAACTATAGAGGGAAAAATAGCAACAAATGTTTTCACTTAACAATTATTTCTTGAGACTCTGCTATGTGCTAGATGTTTGGTATACAAAGTGAGTAAAAACCGTATCCTTGCCCTCTTGAAGCTTACAGTCTAGCACAGGAGGGAGTAACTAATCAAATACCCACATATACAGCGGTGACAAATTCTACAAAGAGGTGCAGGCCATAGGAAAGCCTGTAAAAGACGAATTCGATGAAACCAGTTGGCTGGAAATGACTTCCTTACAGAAGTGATTCAAAAAGGTACAGATGTGGGCTTACCACTAAGAAAATCATTTAAAGAATCATTCAAGAATGGTCAGCTTCCGGAGGAAGTGAGCCTCTTATCACTAGAGGCATTCAAATGGCTTTTGAATGGCTGGTTGCTGGTTGATTCATAAAGGAAGTCGCCCACTGGAAGGGTTATACTATTTAAGGTGAGAATCCATCTAACCCTGAGATTCTGGGAATCTACAAACAGTAACACCAAGCACCCCCAAGAAAGCCTTGCCAGCGGGTTTTTAAGATGTCTGATTAAATATAGCCCTTCAGTTACAAAAGTACGAAACTAAGCAACCTGAGACATTTGCATACATGTGTACATACACTTGTACACATACAAAGATTTATATTTTTATACATCTATGAGTATATATAGAGATATGTTTTTAATCGCAATAAGAAGCATTATTATTTTATCAAAGCAATGCCATCGCCCCTACCATTCACTCTACCTCTTCTCCATGATTGCCTCTTTTCCTTTTCTGACTAGTTAAATAGAAATACATTTTGGTAGGATCACGAGATAGAGCAAGGATTAAATACACTTAATGATGTGCATTTGCTAGGCATTTTTGTCTTAGTACACAGATTGTGATTATTTTAGAACAGGAGTCCACAAAAAATTGGCCTGTAGGGCTGTCTTTTTTAATTTATTTTTTATTTATTTATTTATTTATTTTGTATTTTTTAAAACCAGAACATTTATTGCATGACTAATCGTTGACATTAAGATGAACTGGATGCTGCAACAGCTGCCCTCTTGGGTTTAGGTGTTGTTCCTTCACGGAATCCATGCCTGAATCTATGGTATACAATTTTTAGGTGCCTCATTTGACCAGTTCTGGTGGTATTTCGTCTTTTAGCCTTGGTACTCCAGTTATACTTTCTCTTGCGCTTGGCAGTGTAGCCACATTTGCCATAGGTCGACTTCTGAAGGTGGTAGGCCTTAGAGCCACAGTGGTGGCATAACGTGTACGTCTTATTGCAATGCTTTCCAAATGATGACGTTCCCTTCATCATCTCGCTTCTGCGGCCAAGACTAGAAATAAACACAGCCACACTCATTTATTGACATACCATCTAATGGTAATTGCAACACAGACTTTACGACCTGCAAAGCCTAAAATTTTTACTATCTGGTCATAACAGCAAACATGGAAGCTATCACACTCCTAGGGTTGTTTCAAAGACACCTGCTAGATATAAATAGGTTGATTTGAGTAGCAATGAGGATAATAACTGAAATGTAACAAAACATTAAATATAATTAAATTAAACCTATACATTCATATGTATTAAACATGCACTGTGTTTGGAATACAGACAGAAACCACACATTATTTTGAAAACTACTAAACATTCATCCTGTCTTTTCTATACTCAGGTTAACCTAAGAATGGATAAGGGGAAGTTTCTCTCTATAGAAGTATTCTAGCTAATAAATGAAAAATAGGTAAAAAATTAGAATTTTGCCATTTTACAATTTCTAAGAAAGTGACAGATTTAGACAATAGTCATCAATGGCTGGTAGCCTGACAAGAGGCAGCCCAGAAATTGTATGACTCCTGAGGAGGGGAAACCCCACCACCTAGGAGGAAGTCTTCCTTTCAGCAGGGATCAACAGGACCAGGCATTGCTCCCCTGTCATCCCCGGAGAGCTTCTGTACTGGCTCCCGTTATCACCAATGTCCATCTGGACTCCAGAGAAGAATGAGAGGTTGGCATTCTGTCACTTCCTTTGTATCTCCTGAGAGAATCTCTTCCTTGCTACCCACAGAAACACCCTTTCTCATGTTGGTTCTCCAATACTACTGCTTCCAGGCTTGTTTGTGGCTCTTACCAAAGTAAAATTAAATTCTGATTTTGTTCAGTAGCTCTACAACCATAGCATAAGTGATACATGTGCAGTATTCACCAGTACCACAGCTGATCTCCTTAAGACAAGTAACAGATGGCTCCCCTTCTGAGTTAGGTGAGGATTCTGCATTTCCCCGGGTGCCTCCACAGAAGCACACACTGAAGCCCCATCTTCAGGCTGTTCCTCAAGCGGGTGTTTGTGTTTTTCCATCAAGCTGTCTGCAATGCAGAACAAGATGCTTGACACATAACAGGTGTTTGAGAACTCTTTATGGAATGTATTGAATGTATAAGTAATAAATCTATGAGCCCAGTAAATCAGCAGTAAGCTCAATTTACAGCCTGCCTGTTCTGTAAGTACAGAGCAGATATAAACAAAATATCCCTTGTAGTATCACAGTCATACCTGAGTTTATAGCCATGCACTATGTCACTGTTGTCATTTGGAGTAATATACAAAATTCAGCCGCATTGAATAATAGATCATTTTAACTGGTATCAATTATGCTTTATGGTAATTATCAAGATGTCATAAATTTAAGTGGGAAAAAAATGTTTGAAATTATTTAGGTGTCCCTTAGCATTGAGTCTTGTGCTCCCACAAAATATGAAAGAAAACAAATTTAACCAGGTGCAGCCAAAATGTTGGCTGCTTTCTGGAATAAGGCAGAAGCCTCACTAAATGGAGAATAAAGTAATTTGGGGTGGTAATCTACTCTTTAAGTTGAAAAGAAATTAAAACATAGAAATATAAACATTCTGAAAGCAAGTATTTTCTTTGTGTGTGGGTTTTTTTTTTTAGTATTTTAGAAGTTAGGTTTTTAAAAAGAGCACTTCGCTATTTCTTTTTATTTGAAAAACAGCTTTTCAAATCATTTATAGAGAATGGTCTGATTTTTTTCTTCTAAAGCAATTGCTTTAGCTGCCAGGGTATAAACAGGTCGTGGAATATAAAAGGAACAGCAAAGATCAGAGAACCTTAATATCCAGCTATCAAACTCAGAGCACTGTTTTCTTTTCAATAGGTTGACTCCTGGAACATTCTTGAGTTTCTATTTTTTTCCTTTTGAGATATTACTTACCCTAAAATCTAAGACCCATTTAGAGTTATGACTTAATAAATGTGATAACTTTCCAAGTTATCATGGAGTAACTTCAAAGAAATCTAATTGACATATTTCTGATTATAAAATTGGGAACTTAATTTAATGTACCTCATAAGATCTAATGTGAAACTTCAAACAAATTCTTCTAGTCATGAGAAAATTAACTTCTTTTTGCTTAATATCAAATCTATTAACAACCCAAATAAAGTTTGAGTGCAATTAACTTTGTATCAATTTAATCTTACCAAACTTTCATATTTTCTACAGAAGACAGTTTACGTAAGCTAACTTGGGAATAAAACTATAATTTAGATTGTTGAAATAAATTTACTTATCTGATTAAATGCATTTCTTGATGTCCTTCAGTAAGGAACTCAAGCTTTTGTTTGTAATCCCTAAGTAATAATTTTTAACTTTAGAAGCCTCTCATTGTTTTCTAAAACCCAAATGGTATAAATCTGATGTTTCTGAAAAAGAAATTACTTGGGTTGGGATTTTCTAAGGCTATGAATTAAAAACACTGGTAAAATAGTCTCTGAGACCCAAAAGGATTCCATCTGTTTGGGAAAATATGGTTGTCAGGCATGAGCTTTTAGTTTTCCACTTAACTTTATTTTGCTGATTTAAAATAAAAGACTTGTTTCTGTCACAATTAAGACTTTAAAGCAGCTGCATGACTTTGTTCTTCAGTGCTCTAAGGGGTTTGTTTTCTTTTAAATATGTAAACCTACCAAACTAAATAAATGGCCTTTATGTGCATCCAAGGTCTATTAGCTCATTAGGGACAAGAATTTAGCAAATACCACCAATAAAGGAAATAAACAAACTGGCTCTCTGGTGCCCTGGGCTCCAAGGGCTTTCTCCAAGGGGCTATTTTCACTGGGGAGAAGGGCTAATTGCTCATCCTGAGGGCTGTAATGATTTCTTCACACCGAAGCACTTTGCTCCCTATTCACTTGTGAGTTGAGAAACAGAGAAAAGCATGCTCACGGTCCCTAAAGACCCCTAGAAATCTGGTGTAAATAAGAACTTGCCTTCAGAACTGTGAACAAAGCAGGCATTCCACTTGCCTGATGAAAATGTAGAAGAAGATGAACCCCAATGCAAATGCTGGCCTGTGCTCCCTTCCTCCCAGGGGCTCTCTCTGAGCAGACTTATTGCAGCAACGCATTGTACCCTGATTCGCACCACTTCTGCCCTCAGCTTCCACTGGCTTCATGCTGCCTCTGGGCCTCCCCTCACACATGGCTTCATCTCCCAACCCCGCAAACAAGCATGCACACATGTGCACCCAGGGAATGTCCCTGACCTCTCCTATCAAGGTGCCCCATTAGCGTCCCAGGAAGGCCCGACACCGAGCCACCAGCTGACACCCACAGAGCTGAACGCAGCCAGTGGGGCCCCAGGAAAAGTGCCCGTAATTGGAAACCTAGTGCAAGCACCCAGAAATGGAAATGCGACTGTGATGTCTCAGCTCTGTTGCTAATTACTGGGTGTGATCACCCCTGTGGACAAATGATGTATGTCCTCTGGGTTTCAGTTTCCTCATCTGTGAAGTGAAGAATAAGTGGTAAATAATCTCCTAGTTGCTTTCAGTTCAAATATGATCTTAATTCCTACTGAGGTATCAGAGGCTGATAAGGGCTGATCATGTCCCCCCACTCTCAATCCTGGGGAATGCGTAATTAACAACAGCCTTAAAGCTTTGGTATCTTTCCGCAAAATAATAAAGCTTATCTATGAAAATATAAAGGAACCTAAATGGGGGCTTTAGAACACCCCACAAATCATACCTCTCCCTAGCATGTACTTCCGCCAAGCGTGAAGTCTCCCTCTGCACAGACAAGGGATATGCCTGGAACCTCTGTGCTGATTATTTAATCAATTGAGTCTATTTTTTTAATGATAGTTCATTCGATTTGATACTAGATATTTTAGAAAATTGTAAAAATCCCTGGGGAGAATTCTGAGACTGTGACTACCAAGTAGAGAATAGGCAGTTTTGTATGAAAATTTTGTCAAGATAAAAAACTAAATTATCTCAAAACAGACAAACTATTCAGGTAGGAAGCTACTGCATTTAGGTATTCTTTAGAACATTTTAACAAACTGGAAACTTTCAGTGGTGAAAATTTAACAGACTATATTCACACAACTAAATGGCTTTAAATGCCTGTTTTCTTTGGCAATTATGAAGCAAAAATGCCTATTATTACATGAACTCACTTTATATATTCTATAAACTGGTTAAAATCTGTCCATAACTTTTGAGTGTTTACCTCTTTTAGAATTGAGTAAAGAAACACTCTGAAAAAAACAGGTATCCATTAGTTGGGAGAAACAATGAACAATTAGAAACATTTAAATCAGCAAAGAATTGATGGGCTTATATGTCTTTTATTGTATTTATCCCATTTCCTTTGTGAGTTTCTTGGGGACAAGAACTGAGTTCTGTTTCACTTGCATCCCTCCATGGCAGAAAAGGCAAAAGATCCCGACAGACAAGGAGTCCCCAGGAGATCCTTAGGAACTGATCTTGCCTGACAACTGGAGGTGGAGGTTCAAGTGTTCCCAGACCAAACTGAGGGTTGGGCTGCTATTTCTCGTGGCCCAATAATGAAATGCAGATGAACTTGGTGGGGAAGAGAGTTTTATTTCCGCTACTGGTTACAGGGAGAAGGCCTGGAAGTTATTGCCAGACCAACTCAAAATTATGAAGTTTTCCAGAGCTTATATACTTTCTAAGCTATATGTCTACACGTAAGTTTGCACTCCTCTAAAAACATAAGTGATTAACTTCTTCTAATCTATAACTAAGATCTGAGTCCTGAAGACCTTCCTCTGGAGCCTCAGTAAATTTACTTAATCTAAATGGGTCCAGGTGCTGGGGTGATTACCCTTATCTTGTCTCCTGTTAAATCACGGAGGTTTGAGGAGTTCCTTCAGAACCCCAATAAACTTTTTGTGGAGGCCTGGGGAGTTTCTTCAGACCCCCCAGTAAAACTTGTTTAATCCTAAAAGGGGCCTGTTCAGAATTCCTTCATTATTTTGTCATACTTTAAGGCCCAGAAAAGGCCTAGGCAAAACTCTTGGTGGGCTTTTTTTACATTCCAGACTTTGTATAAGGACACTGGCTCTATCAGCTTTTAATATTTAACTTAACCACTGGGTCAGTACTGAAAGAGTTGTTATGGAGGCCTGCGTTAGTGAGACCTGGTCTGCCACATAAGGGCACCCTGACAAGGTCACACAGAGTGCCTAATGAGAGGTCATGGAGGTCACAATGCAGAGCTGAAGACATGCATATGCCAAGAAGCTGTCCCTGCTTCCAAATGTCATAGGGACAATCATAGAAAGATCTTCAGGTCTTTTCTGGGGACTTGAAAGACACTGTATAAGTGTGTTCTCACATTGCTATAAAGAACTACCTAAGACCAGGTAATTTATAAAGAAAAGAGGTTTAATCGACTCACAGTTCTGCAGGCTGTACAGGAAGCATGGCTGGGGAAACCTCGGGAAACTTAAAATCATGGCAGAAGGTGAAGGGGAAGAAGGCACATCCTACATGTCTGGCAGGAGGAAGAGAGCAAAGGTGGAGGTGCTACACACTTTAAACAACCAGTTCTCCTGAGAACTCTCTCACTATCACAAGAATGGCAAAAGGGAAATCCGCCAACATGATTCAATCACCTCCCACCAGGCTCCTCCTCCAACACTGGGGATTACAATTCAACATGAGGTTTGGGCAGCAACACAAATCCAAACCAAGTCAGGCAGGAAAGAGGAAACTCCCTTGGATCATCACGTATGGGGGCTCTGACAAGGAGGCCTCTCACAGCCCCGCCCCTCAGCCTTCCTGGGCCAGATGAAGAGGGAGGAAGAAGCCAGAATGAGCTGCAGTTTCCAGGCCCTCTTTCCTTAGAATGAGATTGTTCTTACAGTTAACAGAAAGAAAGGAGCCCTGAATTCAGTATAACAATTAAGCCTAAAAGGTATGAGGGTAACCAGAACCCAGAGAACACCAGCTGCTGCCTTCATACTGAGCCATCCCCTCTAAAAATGTTTCCACAGTTCCTCTATTACTTATGAAGGAAGCATACACATGCACCAGCGTGTCCACAGCACAATCACCACAGCCCTGGCAGCACAGGAAAAGCCCCATCCAGCTACACTTGGCTGGATCTTGGTATAAATTCTTTGGTTGATCAAGCACCCTCTATCTTTCCCTTCCATTTCCTATTCCTGATGAAACCTCCACTCAGTCCTGACAGCAGAATGGCGCATCTTCTCATGTCTGGTCTAAATGGGCAATGTTGAGGCAGTTTGCTCCTCTTTGAATGTTAAAGGATCAGTCTGTATTTTTCCATGTTCCATCCAGCCATACCCTGGCCACACAGGCCAGACATCCTGCCAGCCTCCTCTCTACTTTTGTAGGTCAACATGTGAGCCTTCTCTCTGGGACACGTAACCTCCTGACTATCTAAAAGTTTGTCTTTCCAGAAGCTCTGAGGACAGCCCTCCCCTTGCCTGCTCAAAAGCCTCCTGGGGGCTCTAGTGCACCCAGCTCCTCTCTGTGAGGGGGAGGAGAGACTGGCCTCAGGAGGTTGTCAAAAGGGCTGTGTGCTCCACAGGGTCCGACCAGAACTGGAAGAGCCAGCAGTGTTGGTCTCTTTCTCTGTGCAGCTGACATCCTCTCCTGGCCTGTTGACAAAAAGAGTCGAACTCTGTAAAATATTTGAAGAGATTTATTCTCAGCCAAATATGAGTGGCCATGGCCCGTGACACAGCCCTCAGGAGGTCCTGAGAACATGTGCCCAAGGTCGTCAGGGAGCAGCTTTGTTTTACACATTTTAGAGAGGCGTGAGACATCAACCAAATACGTTTAAGAAATACATTGGTTTGGTCCAGAAAGGCGGGACAACTCAAAGTGGAGAGCTTACAGGCTATAGGTGAATTTAAACATTTTCTGGTTGACAATTGGTTGAGTGTGTCTAAAGACCTGAGATTGATAGAAAGGGAATGTTCAGGGAATGTTCAGGTTGAGATAAAGACTGTGGAGACCAAAGTTCTTTTGAAGTCTTATAGTGGCTGCCCTTAGAGACAACAGATGACAAATGTTTCCTATTCAGATCTTAATTAATCTCTTTAGGATTGGGAAAGTGTGGAAGAAAAAGATCTAGCTATGTTAACAGAGATTCTTTACAGATGCAAATTTTCCCCCATGAAGAACAGCTTCACAGGGCCTTTTCAAAATATGACAAAGAAATATGTTTTGAGGTAAAATATTTTTATTTTCTTCCTTGTCTTATAATGTTATGCCAGAGTCAGGTTGGAAAGTGAGTCATGATATATAGAGTTAAATAAAACCCATATGGTGATAATTTATGATTTGTAGGGCATGACACTCAAGGAATTTGGGCAAGATTTAAAAAAAATCAGAATTTAGTCCTCAGGGCAAATAACATCTAGAAAACTCACAGCTTTTCTTGCAATCCATAAGCAAGTTTTCAGAGTTCATGAAGCCTCTACAATCTCTTGCTATTTCCAAGGTTGCAAGTGCAAACATGGAACATCTTGACTAGGACTCTGTTCTGTGAGATCACTGTGACCAAGTCTGGCATGCATTTTCCAGACGTTGCCCAGCATGGGCGTGTACACATCTCCCACAAGAGTCTTCCGGGTGGGGGAATTCAAGTTCAGCCTGGAACCTTCTCCTAGAAGGATATGAGAGCCAGCAGGAAGTACATTCCTTTTCTTTTTAAGTACTTTAGCCTTAGGTTTCAGGCAAATTTGAAACAATTGAGCATCTTACTGAAATGGGGAGGAGGTGTCTGAGCTTATAAATATTCTCTTCTTTCTCCGGAAAGAAGAACCTGTACTTTTTAGAGGAGAGGCAGAAAATCCAAGAGACCACAGATCTTTTCCAATTTGGTCACTACATTCAGTTTTCATAGGCTAGCCACTTTATGTTTGAAATCTCAAACTCTCTCTGATCTATCCAAATAATAATTACAAGAATAGAAGAAAACACTTACATAGTACAAATTATGTCTAAGCATGAATATTCCCAGCAACCTTAAGAAATACTATTCCCATATTACAGATTGGACAAGTGAGGCACAAAGAGGTTAAGTAACATACCCAAGATTGTACAGCTAAGGTATGATGAGCTGAGGTTCAAACCCAGTGTCTGATGCCAGATTCTATGACATTAACCACTTCACAAGGCACTAGTGAAACCTGAAGGTTTTGTGTTTCAAACTGAAAGGTATAAGGATTTGCTGGGAGATAAGAGACAAAGTGGTTTAAAAAAAAAAAAGGAGCCAAGAGTAGCAGGTACCTCTGCTCGCCGGCCCTCCCTGCCTGCTCGGGATGTTCCTGAGATCTTGTCTTAAACTCCCAAATTCCTCAGCATGTGATGTTTGAAACATCAGCCAAGATTTCCACAAATTTCTAGGTGCTCACACTATTATTTCATATTTTGCCTTTTGGTCTCATCTTTCTGTTACACCATATAATAAAATCTATTCTCACAAAATATTTTTGGACAAACAAAGCTATCAAGAGGAGAGAACTGTTCCTTAAGTGTCATCTGGTCACCCTGACTCTGGTATCTTACTGACTCCCCCTCACCTCAGCCTCTCTCCATTTCCCTCTGGCCCCTTCTTTCTCCTCCTCATTCTTCCCACCCCAATCACCCACCACCACCACACCCCAAATGGAACCAATCTTCCTTCAGGTCTTGTTCTTAGCAAAATCCTTTTGCTGTTTGGCCCTGCTCTTGAAGTCTCACCCTCTACCCTAAGGAGTGTCTTAAACAAAGACATTCTGGTGCCAGCTGTTCAGATAATAACATTTGTTCTCCCCCATTACAACATGGTAATAATGTGGTGAATGTGATAAAAGGGAGGAGGTGTGGTTGTATAGAAGAGATCAAGACTGACGATGCCAGGGAATGCCTCAGTCTGCTTTAGCCCTCTATTGGTGTTTATGCCTTTCCACGCAAAGCCAATAAAAAGTCTAGAGTGAAGCCCTTTGGAGGCAGGGCAGCGGATGCGAGGGAGACAGACCAAATGGCCCCTCGTGATGTTTACATTCTAGAAGCAGAGACGGACAACAGATACACAAATGAACATATGACAATGTCAGGCAGGGATAGTACCATGAAAGTAAGAAATAAAAATAAAATCCTAAGACCACCACTCAACTGAATGGATCCACTCTTAGCCAAGGAGGCCCCAGAGAAACTTTAAAAACTGAGTTCCTGGCCATGACAGAACAGGAGGCTGGAGACACCTCGGTATACCCCCTCCTTCGCTAACATCCAGTGAACTTTATTTCCTCAGGGAGAAACAGAAACCAGCCCTTTTAAGAAAGACTTGCTCCACTGCAGATTTCAAACACCTACCTGATGCTGTAGGCTTTTTGTGGTTTTGACACAACAACTGACAGCATTTCTTCCTGATAAAAGACCACTGACCCTGGAGTGGTTCTGGCCAGTTTACACAGGCTGTGCACAGAATGCCTTTGTCTCTTTTTCACCTTTTGATGTATACAGCCCAATGTTAATGCAGTTAAATGTTAAGTCTCCATGCCAAAGTAAACATGGGACATATGTAATATTCACTGTTGCTTATGTGTGTGCAAGTGTCCCTCCTTTATGAATATTCAAGGCTCCTCCTATAAACTGTTAAATATGTGTACTTAGCCAACTCCTTCAGTATAAACTCCTGTTTCACCCTTCCTCCTTTGAAATACGCACTTTCAGATTCTGCTGGCGGCTATGCTTCCCAACCTTCAGGCAGCAACCATTTATAAGAAATAAAGCTCTCCTCTCTAAATTTACAGCTATTGTGATTTTAAGTTGACAAAAGAAACTAGAGCTGATGAAAGGACCGAAAGTGAAGTACGTGTAGAGGGAGGTATACTGAACAGGTGGTCGAAGAAGACACCACTGAGAGGTTATTCGGGCAAAGACCAGAGTGAAGTGAGGAAGGGAGCCACGAATGTCTCTAGGGAAGAGCATTCCAAGCCAAGGGAGCAGCAAAAACGCGGTTGATTAAAATGGCAAGAGGATGTGACTATAGTGGAATGGTAATAGAGTTCAGGCCATTATGCTCCATTCATTGCAAATAGGAAGGGCAGGGTGTTGACTTCCATGCATAAAATTTTTTGTCTTTAATCAGCTAAATATTTTGAACATATGATTCTATAAAGACATATCTTCCCCTTTTAGACCTAAGTATAGAACTTTACATTAGTTTTCATATTTATTAATTTTTGCCAAACTTAACCCATAACAAAAATGTTCAAAACAATGGTTTGAATAGTGACAATCCTATTTCCTCAAATTATTTTGTTACTCAAGAATTCTATCAACTTTCTTCCCATACCACTTCATGAATAGATGCTTTCTTAATGGTCATGTAGCATAAAGTATAATTTATTTGGTCCAGGCCTCGTTGGTGGACATTTAGCTTCCTTCTTGAAATATGTGTGTGTGTGTGTGTGTGTGTGTGTGTGTGTGAAAGAGACAGAGAGAGAGAGACAGATTTGTGTTCTCCTGCTCATCATTCCCCTCTCCCACATTTCTGTCTACTTTTTCTCTTCTCTTTATAAGATTTCCTACTTCTATTCCCTTGAATGTTGATGTTGCCCAGGGCTCTGTCCCCTGCTTGCTGTTCTTGTTGCTCTACATACTCTCTGAAAGGCTCTAAAAAACTATGCATTCCTTTCCTATATTCCAGCAATGAACAAGTAAAATTTGAAATTAAAAACCCAATATCATTTACATTATCACCCTCAAAAGTGAAATGCTTAGGTGTCAAGCTAACAAAATATGTTTGAGATCTATATGAAGAAAGCTGTGAAATGTTGATGAAAGAAAAAAAAGAACTAAGTAAATAAAGAGATAATCCATGTTCATGGATAGGAAGACTCAATATTGTCAAGATGTCAGCTTTTTCCAATTTGATCTATAGATTCAATGCAATCTCAATCAAGATCTTAATAAATTACTTTGTGGACATCAACCAAGTCGTTCTAAAGTTTATGTGAAGAAGAAAAAAGACCTAGAATAGCCAATTCAATATTGAAGAAAAAGAACAAAGTCAGAGGACTGACATAACCTTGATACTTACCTAGGTACTTACATACTTATAGTATGACTTCAAGACATACTATAAAGCTACAGTAGTCAAGATAGTGTGGTATTGTTGAACTAATACACAAATAGGTCAATGGAAAAAATAGAAAGCTCAGAAATAGATATACATAAATATAGTCAACTGATCTTTGAGAAAGTAGTAAAGGCAATACAATAAAGCAAAGACAGTCTGTTCAACAAGTGGTATTGGAACAACTGGACATCCACATGCAAAAAAAAAAAAAGAATCTAGACAAAAACTTTACATCCTTTCCAAAAATTAATTCAAAGTGAATCACAGACCTAGATGTAAAACACAAAACTATGGCTGGGTGCGGTGGCTCACTCCTGTAATCCTAGCACTTTGGGAGGCCGAGGCGGGCAGATCACAAGGTCAGGAGATTGAGACCATCCTGGCTAACATGGTGAAACCCCGTCTCTACTAAAAATACAAAAGATTAGCTGGGCGTATCGGCGGGCACCTGTAGTCCCAGCTACTCGGGAGGCTGAGGCAGGAGAATGGCATGAACCCAGGAGGTGGAGCTTGCAGTGAGCGGGGATCCCGCCACTGCACTCCAGCCTGGGCAACAGAGTGAGACTCCGTCTCAAACAAACAAACAAACATAACACAAACTGTTAACTTCTAGAAGATAACAGAAGAGAAAACCTAGTTGACCTTAGATATAGAGATAACTTTTCAGATACAACACCAAAGGCACAATTCATGAAAGAAAGAATTGATAGTTGGACTTCATTAAAATTAAAAACTTCTGCTTTGCAAAAGACAATTTCAAGAGAGTTAGAAGACAAGCGACAAACTGGGAGAAAATATTTAAAAAGACACATCTGATAAGACTATTACCCAAAATATACAAAGACTGAAAGACAGATATTGTATGATATTTATATGTGGAATTTAAAATAGTCAAGCTTAGAGAGACAGAGAGTAGAATGGTGTTTGCCAGAGGTTGGGAGGCAAATAAACATATGAAAAGATGTTCCACATCATATGTCCTCAGGGAAGTAAAAATTAAAACAACCATGAGATGCCACTACACACCTGTCAAAAGACAAATTACAACACACTTAGTTTAAAGGTTTAATCAGCTTTATTTGTGAACCTAGAATCAGACACTTCATGTCATCAACTAGAATGAGTGCTCTGATAAGCTGAGTAGAGAAGGTTGGCTTTATAGGCAGGAAAAGAGTAAGGAAAGCAGAAACAAAAAAACAAAAAGCAGATTAGTCATTTTGAAGTTGCTTTTCTTATGAAGATTAAAGAAGAGGGGATGTCATTATCATGCTAGCTAAAATTGGCCAGTTTGGGATTTGGCTATTCTCTCTCTCTCAATTTTTCAGAAGTTTAGATAAAGAACTTAGTGTAAGCTAGGTGGCATGGAACTTCAGTATGAATAACTCCATTTTGGTTTGGTCCATTGGGCCCAGTTTAGGAGATCAGTCCAAACCAATGGCCTCCTATAAATTGTATTTAACACACCTATTAGAATGGCCCAAATCTAGAACACTGACAGCACCAAATTCTAGGAAGGATGTGGAGCAAGAGAAATCTTCATTCATTGCTGGTGGGAATGCAAAATGGTATAGCCACTTTAGAAGATGGTTTGGATATTAACCATGGGTCTTTTAATACGGATATAAGCTGGGTAAGTCTCAGTCCAGCGAATTTCATTCAGTAATTAACTAACTAGGCAAATATGGAGTTCCAGGCACTGGGAGGGTCTGGGAGTAAAATGAAAAGCAAAGCAGACACAGGGCCGCTTTATCTGGATTTGTCTGGCCTTTGTCGTCCATCCCTGGGAAGGAAGCTTTAAACCCTTAGAATTTCCCAAGTGATAAGAACGTCTCTGTTACTCATGGTGGGTCCCTCAGACCATAGCTGAGTTTATGCTAAAAGGTGACTCAGGATGGGGCAAGACCAACTATGTGATTAGAGGTTTCGGACTTGGAGCCACATACTACCAGCCTGCCCTCCAGGAAGGGGAGGAAGGCTGGAGACTGAGTTCAACCTCATGGCCAGTGATTCTATTGATCATACTCATGTAATGAAAACCCAATAAAAACTCTAGACTTTGAAGCTTAGGTGAGCTTCTCTGATCAACAGTACTCTATGTGTATTATCATGCATGGGTGTGCCAGGAGAATGTGCCTCACTCCACAGAGAGGTCAACAGTGGCTTCCCATTTGGGACCTTTCCAGGCCTCACCCTATGCATCTCATTTTTTAAAGCTGGTCTTAATTTGTATTATTTTGTGCTGTAATAAAATTGTATAATCATAAGTATAGTATTTTCTTGAATTCTGAGTCATTCTAGCAAATTATCAAAGGAGATAGTGGAAAATCTCTGGTTTATGGCCAGTTGGTCCAAAATGCAGGTGGCTGGGAGCCCCTGCAGTTGTGGCTGGCATCTGAAGTGAGAGAGATCTTGTGGGGGAACATGCCCTTCATCTGTGAAGTCTCTCAGAATTGCCTTGCAACCACCCGACTGTCATGGGTCTTGCCTAAGCTGGAGGGAACTTGTTGAACAACAACAGAAAATTAATTGTGGCCTTGCCTGTAGCCTAGAGTATGTTCCTTTGTTATTCCATCTCAGAGATAACATTTCTTCCCTTGTAGCACCTGCTTCAGTTTATTACACTTGATTAGGTGACCGCTAATTGAAGTTAACTTCCCTCCCTAGTGAAGCAGCCATGTGTCTGCTTTGCTTTCCATTTTACTCCTGGCACCTCCCAGTGCCTGGAACTTAATATTTGCCTAGTTATTTACAGTTACTTAGTGAAATTAATTAGAACGAGACTTACTCCTACCCCAATACACTCATATTCAGATTAAAAGATTCATGGCTAATATCTACAATTGATTTTCCTAACAGTGAAAAAAGTTATCTACATTTTTTTTTTGACACAGAGTTTCGCTCTTGTCACCCAGGTTGGAGTGCAGTGGTGCAATTTCAGCTCATTGCAAACTCTATCTCCCAGGTTCAAGCGATTCACCTGCCTCAGCCTCCCGAGTAGCTGGAATTACAGGTGTCTGCCACCACATCCAGCTAATTTTTGTATTTTTAGTAGAGGTGGAGTTTCACCATGTTGGCCAGGCTGGTCTCAATCTCTTCACCTCAGGTGATCCACCTACCTCTGCCTCCCAAGGTGCTGGGATTACAGCTGTGAGCCACCGTGCCCAGCCGTGATTGACATTTATAATTGTGAAAACAATTATTTTTCTAGGCTTTGTTCTAGGGCATCAGAAATGCAGATAGTAAGAGCTCTTAAGAAATTCACAGCTTTTATGGAAAACTGCAGATCAAGGAAATGTCACATCTGCTGTTATCATACAACAACTTGGGAGTTTCTTTCAGTGAGTTCCAATCCTGGGGTGCCCTGTACTCTTCCACATGAGAAAGTATGTGCACCTCCGACACTCCATTGCTTTGTGCACAACATTACCACATACAGAGAGTATGCTGTTTCTGTGGCTGGTGCCATCGTGTTTAATTACTACAGAAGAAATGAAGCCTATAACAAGACCAAAGAAGTCAAAGAAAAAAAATTAGTGAATGAAAATGGAAGACTGAAATATGAAGCTAGTAGGAAGGCAGGCACTGGCATAGTCTCATAAAAGGTCTTTCACTTGCCAAAAATTGTGCTAGGCACTGGGATACAAAGAGAACAAGCCATGATCCCTGCCCTCAGAGAGAACCAATCAATAAAGAACCATTACAAATTGATTAGGCCATAGTTTAAACAGATGTGCCTACCAAGTGCAGTGAGAGGAGAGGGGATGGGAGCATTGAGGCCAGCCTGAGGTTCAAAGAAGATATTGCGGAGAAGGAAGCATTGGAATTGCAGCTTGTGTAACGTGTAGGGATTTTCTAGTGGCTGGGTGACAGAAAGGTATTATGCCTGTGGAAGGAACCACACATTCAAAAGGGTGGAGAGTATGTACTTGTCTAAATACAAGTAATTGTATTTGGTTTAAATATAAAGTGTGTGTGTGAGAGAGGGTGATAAAGGAAGAGTGAAATAGAGGAGAAAGATTGTCTTAGGCCACAAACGAGGTTTGGCAGCTACAGAGACGCTGGATCACAAATACTAAACATGCAATGTAATACACTTTAGACTACAACTTCTAAAAGAATTTTTAAAAATTAGTAAACAGATGAACCAAAAAATGAACTGGAGTATGTTGAGGATGGGAGTCTGATGACCTTATTCAGAAGATGTGGACATTATAAAAATCATGCTGAGGGCAATATGTAATCACAGAGGGAAGTGAGGCAGCCAGTGAGTAATGAAGAAGAGGATCTTGTAGTGCAACTATATCAGGGACATGGGAGATAGAGGACAAGGGCAGGCAAAAGAAGTATTTGGGATCTGGCATCAATAGACTTGCAGATGGTTGAGAAATGGCAGACAGGGAGTCCATGAAGTCTCTAAGGTCTCTGGCTTGGATTGGTAATGGATCATAGAGTCATTATTTGACAGGAGAATACAAAAGGGAAGTGGCTGAGTTCAGCGTGGGAAAGCCGCATGGAGATATGTAAGAAACAGCTGGAGCTCAGAGGGAGTGTTTGCTGGAAGTGAAGCCTTGAGAACCACCAAGTCTAGGTTATGGTTGAGCTCACAGACTAAATAAGCTTGATCAGGAAGAGCTTATAAAGTGAGAAGAGAGGAGGCAAGGGCAGCCTGTTCTGAAGAGCTTGGGGCAAACATCCTGAACTTGACCATCATCTACAAAGAAGCTGTTCCAAGAAGAAAACTACCAGTTACTGGCACACAGTCTGGCTCTAAGAGTGTTCTTTAGATTTTTTTGTCCAGATTACTTTGCTCTCTTGATTTGCAACTTCTACCTGTGCATATCTGATGAATAAATGTATGAACCTACCTGCTATTTCCAGACCTAAGCAATACATTGACAGGTGCAACAGGAGCCACAAAAATGAAAAGAAAAAACAAGAGGAAAATTGTAAGTATAAAACAGAAGCAGTCTTATGTTATGTAAATAGAAGAGAAATAAATTGTTTAACAGCGATCAGTGCATTAGACTAGTAAACGTAACTAGTAATTAGTGATATTACCTGTAAAGGAACCAAAAACATAGAAATGAAAGATAAAGAATAGTTATGGAGATAAAGACATAGCGATCTATAAGAAAGAGCAAAAATTCAGAATTGAGATAATAACCCTTCCATAAAAACACAGAGAGACCACATGCCAAAAGATGAGGTTGGATGTTCACCTTATATCATATACAAAAATTAACTCAAAATGGATAAAAGGCCACTTGATTTAGCAAAGATTTTTTTGAAATGATGCCCAAAGCACAGGAAATAAAAAAGAAAAAACAGGTAAGTTAAACTTCAAAATTTGTGCATCAAAGGACACTACCAACAGAGTGAAAAGGCAACTCACATAATGGAAGAAAGCATTTGCAGATTATGCATCTGATAAGAGGTTAATATCCAGAACACATAAAGAACTCCTACAACTCAGCAAGAACAAAAAATGATTTAAAAATAAGCAAAGCACTTAAATAGACATTTCTCCAAATAAGGTTACAAATGATCAACAAGCACACGAAAAGATGCTAACATCACTAGCCATTAGGGAAATACAAATCAAACCACAATGAGATATTATTTCACACCCACTAGGATGCTATCATCCAAAAGTTAAAACTTAAGAAAATAGAAAATCACAAGTATTGACGAGCATGTGGAGACATTGGACCCCTGTGCATTAGTAGTGGGAATGTAAAATGCTGCAGCTGCTATAGAAAATGATGCAGCAATTTCTTAAAAAATTAAATAGAGGATTACCACATGATCCAGCAATTTCATTTCTGGGTAAATACCCAAAAGAAGTGAAATTACTGGTTTGCTAGAGTTATAACAACATACCACAACTGGATAGCTTAAGAAACAGGAATTTATTTTCTCACAATTCCGGTGGCTAGAAGTCCTAGATCAAGGTGTCAGAGAATTTGTGTCTCCTGGGGGTTTGTTTCTCTTTAAAAATTAAGTTAAAACTTTTACCACAATTTTTAACTAAAAATTAAGTTAATTGCTATAGATTTTTGTTTATAGCCTAACTGAGAAACATATTTTTTGCTACTCTCCAAGAAATGCTAAAGCATAATTTGATCAATGGGAAGTCTAATTTTAACCATAAATTCCACTATCAGAAGGGAGCATTGCAAGAACTGACCACTTTACATGCAAGAGGAGCTTTTTGTTTGTTTTGTTTTGCTTTGACATGGACTACCCTAGGGAATTGCTTGCACTTTTCTCTTGGCTGTAAATAAAAACCTGGATCTGTGTTCTTATTTGGATATAATATTTTAAATATAAAAATAAGACAGTTGGGTAATTAATTCATGAGAATATCCCATCCAATTAAACATCCTGACTGGACCATGGCCTTTGTGTGGCCTGCAGAGAGCTTGAAACAGCTTAAAATTTGTATGGTTAGAAGCACCCTTTTACCAGTTTTAGTCAGTTCTGGCTGCTATAACAAAGCATATAGGCTGGGTTGCTTGGAAACCACAGACATTTATTTCCCACAGTTCTGAAAGCTGGAAGTCTGAGACTAGGGTTCCAGCAGAGCTGGGTACTGGCGAGGGCCCTCTTCTGGATTGCAGACCGCTCTCTTCTCATTGTGTCCTCCTATGGCAGAAAGAGAAAGAGAGCTCTCCGGGATTCCTTTCAGAATAGCTTTAATCACATCCATGAGGACTCCACTCTCATGACCTAATCACCTTCCAAAAACCCCACCTCCTAATACCATCACCTTGCGTGTTAGAGCTTCAACATATGAATTTGGTGGGCGACATACACATTCAGTCCATTGCGCAGACTAAATATGAGACAAGTCATTCATTAAGTCAGTCTTTCTAGGACTATACAAAATGTCAAAATAACTAGGAGAAAAGAGAAAACTACTCAAGTGTGACATCAAGGGGAAAACGTTATCACAGAACTTGGTAGTTTCTTACAGACAGGACTGGCGATAGAATCTGCAGGGCCTAGTGAAAAATAAAAATGTGGGACCCCTTGTTCAAAATGCAGGCCCCAAAGTGCCATTGAAAGTACCAAAATATAAAACTTTTTCCTTTATTTTATGGTCTCTGACTTGGCTTGTGAAGATGTTTTTTATTTGCTATTTAATGTTGCTCTAAGTAAAGAAAATTAAAACATTAAATTATTAGCACAAATTTTATTATGCATTTTTATATTGTTTTAAATGCAAATATAAGAACAGCTTACTTGGATGCAGAATCACCAGAATTACACAATTCTCATTTTGTAGTTCATGCATGCATGTGCATTTTGTTCTTACCAGAACAAAGGAAACTACACAAAGTTAACTCAACTGTGTTCATTTCACCTCTTGGTGTGTATGTACTCTACCAACACTCTACCTTAGGCTATGGATAAGTAAGGAAGGATTGAAGGGGAAAAGAACAATATCATCACCCCATGTCATCCTTGTCAGCATAAGTGATGGCTAATACAAAGAAGTAACACCAGTAAAAAAGGATATCAAAGGGTCTGTTGGTCTTAGAAAACCATTTCCTTTTTTCTGCATTCGAAGGAAGTCCTGGTTCAAACAGAGACTGGCCTTTGGGGAGAGTCAATGCAAACCATTTGCTTCTTTCTGCATTCAAAGGAAGTCCTGGCTCAAACAGAGACTAGCCTTTGGGGAGAGTCAATGCCCCAGCTTACTTTGTCCTCACTCTAAGCTTCTCTGAAATCCTACCTGTCGTGGGTCCATGGGAATTCTGGACTCATGAGGCATCTCAAATGCTATATGCTAGTGGCGTAGCAAAAGAGCTTAAAAGAATTTCAAGACAGTGACAGCAGAGCATTAAAAAGCAGCATGAGTCACTCTGAATGTTTTCCCTTTGTGACTACAAATGTCAAACACCAATTTGCACATATTATTGAAATCTATTATATGTGGCCATCTAGGAAGGCTCAAGGTAGGCTAACAAGGCGGTGTTCAATGACATATCACTGTGGGATGGCTGTTTTCACCAATGCATTCACAGAGGGATGCTCGGAATGTTATCGGCTCTGGTATTCTAATATTGCCACATGAGATACTATTGCCATGCTCCTCAGTGGTATTTTCTTCCAAAAATAAGTACATTAATTAAAAATAAGAAAATACACGAATATAGTAAACAAATAATACTTAAGCAGGAGCTGGTAGGAATGAATGGAGGAACACTACCAAATCATCTAACAACAGCAGCACATCTCACTGGCAGAAATTCAGATGTGGAATTATGCTTCAAATGCTACTAATGGACTACGCTAAGGAGATACTGAATCTATGAAGGGTATTGAAATGCATACTTTTCTTCTACATATGATTCTACAGTGAATAAGTCTTATGAGACCTGATGGTTTTATAAAGGGGAGTTCCCCTGCACAAGCTCTCTTGCCTGCCACTATATAAGTAGAAATTACTCTACTTTTAATTACAGTGGCTCACGCCTGTAATCTCAGCACTTTGGGAGGCTGAGGCGGGTGGATCACGAGGTCAGGAGATCAAGACCATTCTGGCTAACACGGTGAAACCCCGTCTCTACTAAAATACCAAAAAAAAAAGTTAGCCAGGCGTGGTGGCGGGCGCCTGTAGTCCCAGCTACTCGGGAGGCTGAGGAAGGAGAATGGCGTGAACCCGGGAGGTGGAGCTTGCAGTGAGCCGAGATTGCACCGCTGCACTTCAGACAGAGCGAGACTCCATCTTAAAAAAAAAAAAAAAAGGAAAAAGAAAAAAAAAAGAAAAATCCCAGTTTTTCAGGCCACACAGAGTTGTTCACTAGCTGCACTCTGGACCATGAATCCAGCCATTCAGAATCACATCTTGGTGGGATTTACTATCTACTCTGGATTGGAATATTGCCATTATCAGCCTCCAATGAAATAATGGACTTAGGCAATCATGGTTTTTAGTTACTAAAACCATAAGATGAAAAGTTGATATGTAAGATCACAGTGGATGAATCAGGCTGATACACTAGGAACTCATTGATCAATCTTAACATTACCAAATATGACATTGTGTGCCTCCTCTCAGAAATACACACCACCACCTGGAAAGTATCAATGCCAAAAAAATTGAATAGAATCTGATTAGGCATCTAGATCTATCTACAATCTAGAAGAGCATGTTAATTGTATATTTGCATGATTTTACACTCATCATACTAATCATCAAAGTCTAGAATGTAGTGAATGCTACATGACAACCTATTTTCTTTCATAAATGAATTGCTGGGAACCAAAAATGTCAGGATGTGGACACCTGTAGATGAAAACAGATTAGAGCTACATATTCACCAGATATAATCAGTGAACCTTGTTTGGATCCTGTATTAGTCTGTTCTGACACTGCTAATAAAGACATACCCAAGACTGGGTAATAATTTATAAAGAAAAAGAGGTTTAATGGACTCACAGTTCCACATGGCTGGGGAGGCCTCACAATGGTGGCGGAAGGCAAAGGAGGACCAAAGGCACATCTTATAAAGTGGCAGGCAAGAGAGCTTGTGCAGGGGAACTCCCCTTTATAAAACCATCAGGTCTCATAAGACTTATTCACTATCAAGAGAAGAGCATGGGAAAGACCCACCCCCATGATTCAATTACCTCCCACAGGGTCCCTCCCATGACGTGTGGGAATTATGGAAGCTACAATTCAAGATGAGATTTGGGTGCAGACACAGCCAAACCATATCAGATCCTGATTCAAACTAAGCAACTGGAAAAAAAAAATGCATGTGACAATTTGAACACTAACTAGATAATCTGATAATATTTAGAACTCATTATTAATAATTCAGATAAGATAATGTTTGCATCTTATGGTTTTAGGAAAAAAAGAATTACCTTATAAAGATAAATACAAAGACATTTATAGCTGCAATTAATTCTATGATGTCTGGAATTCAAAATAATCCTGTGGTGGAGGAAGGGGAGTATGCATCAAATAAGACTGGTTGAAGTCAGATGATGAGCACTTGATGGGGGCAGAGTTATCTATTATTATACGAATACTATTAGACCTTAAACTATTCTCTCTACTTTTGCACCTATTTGAGATTGTCCATAATAAAAACTTTGAAACATAAAAATTTTTGAAAACAGTATTTAAACAATGGTTTCATACCACGAGCTGTAGTCTTTACTCATATTTCATCCCTCTTCATGGCCTCTTCCATGATGCCAGGTGTGTGTTACTCACTTTACGTATGTTCCTTTGTATAAGCCGTTCCTCTGTGCCCTCAAATGTCCAACTTACAGAATCCCCACGTTGCCCACACCCTTTCTTCTGTTTCTTGCATTGAAACAGAGATACTTCAATACAAATAAAACATATTTAACCCATTAATTGTTTTCTCCGGTGAACTTAGTCTTTCAGAAGTTAGTCTTCATTCATCTTTATCTTCCTCTCAAATGTTTAAATAGACAGATGCCAAGTATGTAACACTCTTTGGTATAAATAAATGAAACCATGTAATCATCATTTTCATCTATGTTTTCTGACTTCCTTAAGCAAAGTTCCTCCTCCATGATCTTGTGAAGCTCTTCAAACTTCTGCCAGCATGCTTACTAAGTCTATCGCGAGTGTCATTTTGCATATACCTACACTTATCTGTCTCTTCCTCCAGAAGAAAGTGAGAGCTTTGAAGTTGCCAAGTGTTTCTTATTCCTCCATCTCCAGTTTGACACACACTAAGAATTCAATAAAAATTTTTTTTACGTAAAGGAAGAGAGGTAAGAGAAGCAGGGGCAGGAGGGAGAAAGAAATGTTTAAATAAATACATTAGAAACTGTGAATATTAATAGTTTAAATGTTTGACTCCTATATTTTTCCAATCTTGTTTGACTGGTAAGTCTGCAGGGTTCATACCTTAAACTTGAGTCATGCTTACTACTTATAACCAGCCTCCACTAATTCTCCGATTGTATAAGAAGTCAAGAACTATGAAAATCCACAAATATAATATCTGAAAAATCACAAAGTACAAGGTTAATCACACAAGATTAGGATTGCATCCCAAATTAGAAAATAAAATTGTTAACAAAAAAGCATATTATTTTTGAATAATAAATTAGGTAAAAAATTTTGCAAAGAATCAAAATTTCCATCAAAGAAGAAAGGAGAAAATATGTACATGATTACAAACTTAATCAAAATGGACATTATTTAAAGAGGATTTGGCTTGAAAGCTTCTAGGTATTAGTTTGTTTTAATTCTGTATGTTCAAAAGTTGTGAAATACATAGTTTCTAGGATAGAGTGACCAAATATGTTTTATTTAATCATTCCACATGCCTTCCACCTGTTGGGAATAGACCGTCTCTGTCAGGTCCTGTCTGCTTTAAGTCAACATCACTCTATTCATCAAGCTGACAATCTTAAATGGAAGTCAGTGTTCTATTTGATTTTCTGCCATCATAATGTGCCTTCAGCCACAACCACTTTCAAATTGCTTTTTCCTGGGGAAGATTGTGAGCTTATCATTAAGCTCACAGCCAAAAAGCCTTAATACATCAAATGGAATGGAGAATAAATGTAAAAAATGCACTAACAGAGGATGTCAGATCTCATTTATTTTTCATTTTACTCTTTCAGTACACATATATCTTTTTTATGTTGAAATATTATCTCTAAATCATCCATTCAAAAAGGGATTTTCAAATTAATTTAATTTTCATAACATGTGCAAGCAAACACAATAAGCAAACAAACAAAACAATCTCTCAATGGCCAAGCTGTGCTTTTCCTTTCTCCATGCAACACCTGCAAGCTGCATTGACTTCTGGGAGAACTGATGCACTGTCTCAGAACTTGCAGGTTTTTAACATGAACTTATACCACAGCAACTACAAGAAATTGTTCTGGGGCCTACCAAAAGTTAGGGATACCTGTCGTTTTAGTCTATTTTCTGCTGCTATAACAAAATACCTCAGACTGGGTAATTTATAAAGAAAAGATATTTACTTGGCTCACAGTTCTGGAGGCCAGGAAGTCCAGGATTAAGGGGCTGCATCTGGTGAGGGCCTTCTAGCTGCATCATACCATGACAGAAGGCATCACATGGTGAGAGAGCCCGAAGCGAGAGTGCATGAGTCAGAGAGAGGTTGGGGGCTGGAACTTCATCCATTTTTATCAGGAACCCAGCCTCACAATAATGGCATTAATCCATTCACAAAAACAGAGTCCCTCATGACCTAATCACTTCTTAAAGGTCCCACCTTTCAACACTGTTACAATGGCAATTACATTTCAACATGAGTTTTGGAGGGGACATTAAAACTATAGCACCTGTGCATCAGTTAGGATCTGTTCCTCGGCAAATAATGGCACACAACAGGGCTTAACACACCATTTACTTAATATGGATTCAGAGGCAGGCAGTGCTAGGGTTGGGCAGGCACACCAACAATGCCACCAAGGACTCCACACTTTCACCCTTCCTCATGATCCATAGCGTGTGGGCTTTTGTCCTTGGGCTTTTATTTTTTTTTCTTTTTTGACGGAGTCTCACTCTGTCACCCAGGCTGGAGTGCAGTGGTGCAATCTTGGCTCACTGCAATCTCCGCCTGCCAGGTTCAAGCAATTCCCTTGCCTCAGCCTCCCAAGTAGCTGGGACTACAGGCGTGCGTCACCTCGCCCAGCTAATTTTTGTATTTTTAGTAGAGACGGTGTTTCACCATGTTGGCCAGGATGGTCTCAACATCCTGACCTGTGATCCGCCCACCTCAACCTCCCAAAGTGCTGGGATTACAGGCGTGTGCCACTGCACCCAGCAGGGCTTGTTTCTTTATAGTCATCATATGCTCACATAGCAGTTGTCCAAAGGGAGGGAGGAAAGAAGGCAAAAAGAGCTTTCTCTTTGCCCCACTCTCTCTTCTGTCAAGGAGAAAAATCTTTCCCAGAATCCCCAATAGAGTTCCCATTTGGACTCATTGGCCAGAACTGGGTCACATGCACAAACCTGGAAAAAAATCACTGGCAAAACAAATGGGGTTAATATGATTAGCCTGAATCAATTACAGTTCAACCCCTGAGGCCTCACACTGTTCAAACAAAGGAAGACTTCACTGCTAAATGAGGAAGACTTCACTATTAGCAAATGTCTTCAATCTGCCAAAAATTATATATTTATCCCTAAAGACACCTATAATTCCATTTTTAGCAAGTTAATACACTGAACATGGACATGCAGTGAAGTAGAATGGAAATCAAAATACAAAAGATTGATAAAATATTAGCCTTGATAGTTGGAGCTTTAATAAAAGGCCAAACAAGCGTTATTCTTACTTTGAAGATAATTCTAAGTGTGTGATATTTACCATAAATCCTTCATTAGTGAATATTAGAGATTTATCATTTTCCTTTCATGTAATGACCTTTACCATTAGTAAATGACATTTTTTAAATTAAATCAACAAGTCCTCCAAGAAGAAACATGAAATTGTAGAGAAGTGTCTAAATGTTAATGTTGCAAGACCATGAATAACCTTTAAGTTGTCTCTGCAGAAGCAAATTCATCATTAAATTTAACCAGTTCACTAGCACTGAGGATACCAGGAGCACCTGTTTTCTATGAGATCATCACCATTATTCAGATTCTACACAAGAATTTTTCAACAACCTATTTATGAGTCTACCTAACCATATCATCAAAAAGGATTTACCAAGTTCTTACTTAAACACAGCTATACTATTTCCCTGCTGTACCAAACCACAATCATATATATACATATACACACATACACATATGTTTATTCTGGAAAGATTTTTTTTTTTGAGATGGAGTTTTGCTCTTGTCGCCCAGGCTGAAGTGCAGTGGCACGATCTCCACTCACTGCAACCTCCACCTCGTGGGTTCAAGTGATTCTCTTGCCTCAGCCTCCCGAGTAGCTGGGATTATAGGCATGCACCAACACGCCCGGCTAATTTTCGTATTTTTAATAGAGATGGGGTTTCATCATGTTGGCCAGGCTGGTCTCGAACTCCTGACCTAAGGTGATCCACCTGTCGCAGCCTCCCATAGTGCTGGGATTACAGGCATGAGCCACCGCGCCCAGCCTGGAAAGATTTTTTTTCTGAGACAACTGGTGCTGACTCCCAGCAATCAGTTTTTCCTCTTCTAGGTTCCTGCTAATCGTTCATTTGTTAACTGCCCATGGCGCTGCCTTCACTGAGCTCTGTGCCATCAGTTACAGGGGGTTCTCCTTAGAGAGGAGCATAGCTGTCCCTCTGTGCTTTCCTGGAGCAGCCACATTCTCCACAGTCCTCAAATATCACATAGACTGTGGTTCACTTGGGTGTATTAAGTCGTTCTTGCATTGCTATAAAGAAATACCTGAGACTGGTTAATTTATAAAGAAAAGGGGTTTAATTGGCTCATGGTTCTGCAGGCTGTACAGGAAGCACGATGCTGGCATCTGCTCAGCTCCTGGGGAGGCCTTGGGAAGTATAATCACAGCAGAAGGCCAAGAGGGAGCAGGCACATCACATGGCCAGAGCAGGAGCAAGAGAGAGAGTGAGGGGGCAGGTGCCACACACTTTTAAACAACCAGATCTCACAAAAACTCACTCTCAGGAAGACAGCACCAAGCCATGAGAGATCTGCCCCCATGATCCCAACGGCTCCCACCACGCCCCACCTCCAGCATTGGAGATTACATTTCAACATGAGATTTAGAGGGGACACAGATCAAAACTATATCACTGAGCCATCTCTGTTTGGGTCTGTCCTCAGAAAAAATGCTTCTGGAAAAGGAGCTCAGATCCTTTGTGTCCATATTTGTTTCACTCTGAAATATCCTTAGACTTGCCACAAAGCAATGGAAGCAAATGAGGGCTGTGTTGTCTCTTTCTGATGCCTCAGCTGATACGGCCTGCCCAGAGAATGAAACTCTACATTTCTTGTACATTTTCTTGATACAAATATAATATTGAAAAGAACAATAATTTATTTGTTTTCTTTTATTCAGAAAATGAAACACCTCTGACAAATCTGTAATGACCCTGAATTCTGGGTGGTGCAACTGTGTGGTCTCATATTCCACGCACTACTCTCCTGTGCTTTCACAAGCTTTTAATATAAACAGGGCCTCTGGAGTCTTTTAAGTTTTTTTTGTTCCAGTGGAAAACTAGTAGTTTTGAATTCCCACTATTCATTCAGAAAATATTTAAGCACTTACTATCTGCCAGGTGTTGAACAAGACACTCAACAAATGCCATCTCTAACCTGTTGGTAATGATTGCTAACCATTTAGGTGTTTTCTGCATTTTTCTGTTCAGGGAATGAATGCACAGAGAGCTTATTGAAACTGCTCAGGGTCCCACAGACAATAACTAGAGGTGCCAGAGACCCATATTACTGCCCAGTTTGGGTTTTATTGTACTAACACTACTTCTAAGAATTGTGTCACTTTGTTCCTATGAAGAGCCCAAGAATACTAAATGGGGAAAGGAGAGCCTCTTCAACAAATGACAATGGGAAAGCTGGATACCCACATGCAAAAGAATAAAACTGGATCCTTATCTTCCATCATACACAAACCTCAAATCAAAATGGATTAAAGACTTAAACCTAAGACCAGAATCTGTAAAACTACCTAGAAGAAATCAGAAGGGCAAAGCTCTATGATACTGGTCTGGGCAATGATTTTTGGGAATGACCAAGAAAGCACAGGCAATAAAAAAGCAAAACTAGACAAACAGGATCACATCAAACTAAAAAGATTCAGCAAAGTAAAGGAAACAATCAACATAATTAAGAAACAACCTATAGAATGGGAGAAAATATTTGAAAACCATGTATCAGATAAAGGGTTAACATTGAAAATACGTAAGAAACACAAACAACTCAATAGCAAGAAAACAACCTGATTTTTAAGTGGGCAAAGGATGAGAAAAGACATTTCTTAACATAAGAGATACAAATGATCAATGAGTACATGAGAAATGCTTAACATCACTAATCATCAGAGAAATGTACATTAAAACCACAATGAGATACCCTCTCACACCTGTTAGAATGGTTGTATCAAAAAGATGAATGATAACAAGTGTTGGTGAGGATGTAGTGGAAAGGGAACCATTGTATACAGTTGGTAGGAATGTAAATTCATACAGCCAGCATGGAAAACTATACAGAAGTTACTGAAAAAAATAGAAATAGAACTACCATGTGATCCAGCAATCCCTTTACTGGGTATCTATCCAAAAAAATTAAAATCAGTGTATCAAAGAGACACCCGCACTCCTATGTTCAATGCAGTATTATTCACAATAGCTAAAATGTGAAATCAACCTAAGTATCTCTCAACAGATGAATGAATAGAGAAAATGTGGCATATATACACAATGGATTATTATTTAACCTTAAAAAGAGGGAAATCCTGTCACTTGTGACAACATGGATGAGCCTGGAGGACATTATGCCAACTGAAATCAGCCAGGACAGAAACACAAATACTGCATGACCTCACTTATGTGTGGAATCTAAGAAAGTCTAACTCCAAGAAGTAGAGAATAGAATGGTGCTTACCAGGGACAGGGATGGGAGAGTTAGGAGGATGTTGGTCAAAGAATATAAAATATCTGTTAGACAGGAGTAGTAAATTCAAGAGAGCTATTATACAACATGGTAATATAACTAACAACAATGTATTGTATTCTTAAAATTTTTAAACAAAAATATATAACAATTAAAAAAAAATTGTGCCTCTTGGTAATACTTTGCCTTGCTTATGTGTCCCTTGCCTACAGTTAACACATATCATTTTTATTCTCGAGCTCAGCAATACATTTGGTGTTTATAGAGTGGTGGCTTCAGGCTTCAGACACTTCCTGGTTACCGTCTTCATCAGGATCATTCATAACTGAGGTGACATTTCACTTTCAGTGTGCTTCAGTTTCCTCCAAGAGCACATCTCTGAGGCATAGCCACCCCCAAATTCAGAAAGGCAAAAAGCCCGGGAGGCATGGGGTAGCTAATCCCAGTTGAGAGATGACAGCAGCCTTCCCTCTGGCCCCAGCACTGCCTTATCCGAGGCTCTTTCCTCCCTCTCCCTCCTTGTTCTCAGCCCTGTGCTTTGCTCAGGATGACAATGGTAAACTCCACAATGATCCCGTAAGCCCAACCAATAGTCCCTCTTTTGCTCTACTACTTCAGCTCTGACATTTGTAAATTTCCTGTCCCCTGCTCCAGTTCCTCTTTCATTTTCTGTGTTCAGAACTCTCCCAACTCCTCTGTGCTACCAACAAAATAAAAACAACAAAACCATCCTCAAAAATCTGTCATTCTCTTGGACCAGCATTACCCTTAGTGTTTTGGATGATGAAAGCACAACTGTTCGTTGCACCTCTTTTTGTTTTTATTTTATTTTTAATTGGCAAATAAAAGTTGTATGTGTTTATGGTGGGGAAGTCGGGGAAAGGGGAGATGTTTGCCAAAGAGTGCAAAGTTTCAGTTACATGGGAGGAATCAGTTCTGGTGGTTTATTGCAAAACATGGTGACTATAGTTAATGTACTATGTATTTCAAAACATCTAAAAGAAAAGATTTTAAGTGTTCTCACTACAAAGCAATGATAAATATTTGAGATGCTGAACTTTTTAATACTTACATTCTTAAGTTTTTCAAGGCTTTTCTAATAAGTCTGGCATTCCTGCCCTTGGCAGTGTGAGATGGAAGATGATGTCGCAAGGGTGGCCGAGAAGCAGCTGGGCTGAGCTGCTAAAAGCACAGAGACCGGGGCCAGACTCCTCAGCCTGAAATCCTGCTTCCACTAAGTACCAGCTGGGTAACTTCAGGTAAGTTACTAAGCCCTTCTCTGCTTTGGTTTCTGTTTTATATAAAATTGGATTAGATATAGGAAGATAAAATGACTTAATACTTGTAAAGTGCTTAGAACAGTGTCTGGCACATAGCAAGTACTACATAGTGTTTGTCAAATACATTTTTAAAAGAAGAAAAAAGAGAGAGAGAGCTTTGAACTGTTCCAGAACCAAAAGAAAACTGAGTTATTAACTCCAGAGTTGGGGGTTGCTGAAGTGTTACTTTCTGTTATATGTGGAAGGGGGAAGTTACTCCCCTTATCATGACATCAGGCTGTGAGGACGAAGAAAGGTAGCTGTGGTTGGACAGAGGGAGACAAGATTGGAGGAACAAAGCCCCAGTGGTCTCACAGAGACACAAGGCAGCCACAAAAGGAAAAAATGAGGAAGAGCAGCCAGAAACCAAACCAGAAATGAGAAAAGAAAGAAGGTGTCGATAGATCGCTTCTGCCGACGACTGGTTTCTAGGAAGAAGCCATGTAACTGATGTATCTTTTCAAATGGTTTATTTACATACTCATTCCCTTTTCATTTACAACTTGTGTAAAATTAAACTATTTTTTATTCATACTATGGGTAAGTGCAGCTTAACAATGGGTCATGCCAGCACTTATTAGTGCTAAGCTACCACAGGCACAGTAAGATGCATTTCAAACACATAATCTCATTTAAATACAGCAATATTGCAACAGAAACGTTGTGGTCTGCATTTTGCCCATGAAACACTGGAGACCCAGGAAGGTCATAACCTCTCTCAAAGTCACAGGGCTAGTCAGAGCACAGCTGAAATCCAAACTCAAAGCCACCTGCCTCCACAGTGCACTCGCAACTGCTCTGTGAGACCTCCATCTTACTTATGTGGCAAGTGCTGCGAAGTGGGAAGAGCTCTAGATTAGGAGGTAGGTGGGTCGCCCTTGGCTCCTGCTGGGCCATAAACCAGCTGCTCACTTTGTATTTGAATCAGAGTAAGAAAATCCCGAGACTGTGCCTGTTATATTCAAGATAGAATTTGTGCAACTCTGGTAAGGATGAGCAAGAGTTTCGACTTATTTTAATCATATTTTGTTTAGTATCTGATTTTGTCAAGTAAGGAAAACTTTAACCTGGAGGCGAGTGGGTGTTATTTACGAGAGGAAAATAAGGAATTGACTCAATCAGAAATGATAAAGTAGTTCAGTGGAGATCTATAAGAAACAAATTCTCATTTTCTCATGGCTACACAGAGAATACTGTTTCAAAGTCAATTAAGATGAAAATTAAACATGGGACTTCCCAGGAAACTGTCTCATGAATTACCAAAGGAGATAGAGCAGGAGGGCGGTGGGTCTGTGGCTGTTGTCGCCTGTGTGCACCGGAGCCCTCCGCTAGGGGGCAGCACCCCACCCTCACTGCCCTAGGTGCAGTCCCGCGCAGTGTACGGAATTGACTTCAGTTCATAGGGGAGAAATTAGTATCCCCTTTGGCCCACACATAAAACCCTATTCTCCTATCTGGCTTTGATAAGCCATAAAGCCGGTATTTTGATCTCTAACTCTCAGTCTTCTATACGTCTCTTAATTGGCTCTGACCCCAGGAAAAAAAGAGAAGGCTGTTAACAGTAGCAACAACTAACACATGATATCTGCTAAATTGTGCCCTCGAACTTGGCTTCTTGCAGCGTGCATATTGATTTAAGTATATGTTAGGAAAACTAATTTTATTGGCTATTTTAAATCCAAAAGAGAATGTAAAATGTGTCAATTTTTCACTCCCTGAGTAATCCCAAGGAATATTCTGAAACCTTACAACATTTATACTGCTGTTCATCAACATTAGTAGCTCATCTCATCACTCGGTTCTAATGAAGGTCTAGGTCCCTGTGCTGATTTTTATTTCTGTGAATTTTAGAAGTTCCTGTGCCCTTTCTTTTTCCCAGTAATGTGTTGGTATTCTGCTGATGTCTAATTATCCTTTCAGCCTTCTTCTTTGAGAGAAGCAATGTTGCTGTAGTTTTTCTAACAGACCATTTAAATCATAATCTCTTTTAAAACTGACATTTTTATTACTCTCTTGATTTAAATGCAAATATTTGAATATACTTTGAGAAGACATCATTGCAGACTCAGCGGGCTTGTGTGCCAGCTGGGGATGATCACAAACAGCAGAGTAAGGCCTCCCCATAAGACCTCAACCCTGCTTTGGGAATGGTTGTGATGATAAACCATTCTGGGCATTCTCACTCTGCCTAATTATGAATTCATATTTATTTATTACAGACACTGGTCCCAACTGCTCTCAAGTGTCCTTCCTACTAAGCACAAATTAGTTGAATGGGGCAACCTTATCAAGACCACATGCAAAACGGGAAGTGGGAATGGGCCACTAAGTAGCATCTAGAAAAAGATTTATTGGGTTATGCTGTTTTTTAAAAAGAAATCAATCTATTTAATACCTGACAAAAATCTTCAAAAAATCAAATAGGAAGCACAAATGCTACTGGGAAAAGTAGCAACCATAGAACCATAAACTATTGATGATCATGAAGGTAGTAAGTAGCTACCAAAACAGACTTTCTAACTATTTCTGAGATTCTTTGATATGAATAGAATTCTGGCAAACTAAACTTTCTTATTAGTTAGACAGCGCTCCCTGCTATTTGCATACTTAGCATCACCAACTCAAGCCAGTTTTGCAAGATGTTTCTGTTTTAAGCAGAGAATACATAGTTCCTGTCCAGGAGAAACTAGATGGATCTTAAACAGAAAGTGGAGACGTAGAAATATTGAATACAGAGCATTTTAAAGCAATATGCATATAAGCTCAATGTGTATACAATGATTGCAAGACACATATGTCTCCCTTACCAGAATTCATCAAATAAACATAGGCACAAAAGTAGTCTTGCAGAACTTATTCTCTTTTTATTTCCCTTCTTTCAATAACAATTTCTTCCTCGTTACAGGTAACATTAGTTCAATGACATTTAATTCCTTAGATATATCAATAACACATTTTTTAAATGAGTATTCAATTATTAGACAAAAACAAAAAAGGAGGGAAAAAATTAAAAGCCTAAGTGACTTTAAAGAATTTAATTCTTTCTTGAGTCTATTTGATTACATTCAATCATATAGTCCCTGTGCAGAAATAATTCTGAGGAAGTAATCCAGGCAATGTTTCCCAGCTGATTCAATTTAGTTAATAACTGGAGTTGTCAATCAATCAATCAAATACCAATTAATTCATAAAGCTGCTGGAAAGAAACTTTAGGGAAAAATTTATATTCTACCCTAGGAAGTACATTTACATTATCAATGTTTGTATTAGTCTCATGCATGTTTCCTGTTGTTTTTTTAATCTCCGCCTTTGATTAATTTCTTATTTAAACTGCCTCCTAATCTCATCAGTTGCACAAATCAATATCCAGTGTTGACTAGTGTTTAATGACCCCAACTTCAGGATAGCTACTGCTCTGCTGTGTTTCATGTCTTAAGAGAAACAAGATCTATTGCTCATCAGAACTGCAACCAGACAGAATTCTTCACAGAGTACTCATTGGAAAACTCTATGTAGCATGATGAATAATGTTTTTAACAATGTTTTTATAACCATAAACCCAAATTTCATAATGTTGCTTCTTGTAGGGTCTGTCAATTCAAGCTTTACATTCCAAGTTCACTACAAGAAAAACAAATGTACTAAAAGACAAAAACAAGGCAGTTCAGGCTCTCTGTAACTGACCAGGGGTAAGCTCTCAGGTACTTTGTATCTTTACATTCTCTCATTTCATAAGTCTTACCATATATATTTCACATAAATATTTGGAAAAGTGTTTCTCCTACTAGCAGAGTTAGCCACTTACTCACGCTCAGCTCCAAATTCACCCTTTTTGCTTGCTCTGTGAAAATGGTTCTGAGCCACTAAAGTATTTTCGCTTTGCTAAATGTTATGATATTAAGCTTTGTCAGTAAAGGCCACTGGTGAGATACTGCACAAGTGTTTTGCTTCCTGTTCTAGACAGGTTCCTGCAGGGCAGACAGCTCCCCCATACTCCCAGGCTCCTGCAGGGCAAGGCAGCCAGGGGTGCCTGGCACCCAGCAGCTGCCTCCTACAGTCTCTCTTGGGCACTGGGTGCAAAGGCTCAGTGCCTCCTGGGAAATACATTCCCACAAACAGCTTCCCTTGTCACCTTAGAAGGAATATCTCCAGTGAGTTCCAGAGGGTGGATTTCCAGCAAGTCCTGCCAGTGCCTCGGGGAATGGCAGCTCCTTCCAGCTGCTATGCCAATATTCCTCTAGTTCTTATTAGCCAAACACTCCTTACTCCAGTCTCCTGTTACAGTTAATAATTCTTTATGTTCATCTTTCCCTGTTCAAATTTCTGGATGATTTCTCTCCCCTAACTGATACATAGAATAACCAATAATGAGTAATGCTAAAGTCATATCACACTAACACCACTTAAAATTAACCGAAGTTAACCAAAGGACAATCCTTACCTGTTATCTTTTTATTAATGTCACTATAATTTTATCTTAACACAAGGAAAAAAATTAAATGTTTGAAAATTTTAATTACATGTCAAATATTAGTGGTAAATACTTGTTAGTTGAGTAATATAAAAAGGTAAACACTTAAGAATTTTTATTTTGTCAGAAACTGCAGCATGAGTTACACAAATATTAACTTACTTAGTTCTATTTTTTTTTAAAACTTCAAGGTATTTTGTTGGTGCCCACTTTATAGACAAGGTAACTGAACCTAGAGGTTAAGTAATATGCTTAAATTCATATAATCCATAAATGGTGAAGCCTAGATTCAAAGCCAGACTCTCTTGAGCTCCAGAGTTTTTTCTTAACACAACTCAAAGAATTGTGGCAGCTTCTGCAGAAAGTCTGTGAGCCAGTCATTTTCTGCATCAACACAACAGCAGTTGTGCTCCAGGTCCAGAGTTGCTTTCTCTCCTCCTTTGTTAATTTAATCTCATTCCCTGAATATATATGCAAATTAATAGGAACTCAAGTTTACAGCTATCTTGGACAACTCTAATCTCTTTTTTGGGGTGGGGGAGTTACAGAAGTGGCAACTTATATTTAAAAATAATTCTTCTTCACATTTTTCCTTTTCACATTTACATCTCTGTACCAACATACTGCCTAGTGAACCCTAGTTGATACTGAAAAACAGATTTTATATTTTATCCATACTTCCCTGTGGAAACAAACATTTCCTTTGATTACCTATAAATAAAACATTCCCCTTAGGAAAAAACTGAGGAATCATCTTTTGGGTTGCTAAAATGTTCATAGGCCTTCCCATCTCTTACTGAGAAGATAAGCATTGAAAACTTGTTTGTTTAAAAATGGGAAAATCCATAAAAATCAAAGACAAATATCCATAACTTGAAATTAAAATGAGAATTCTGTATTGCTGGGTTTGAATCTGACTTAGTTCTTGGTCATTATTAAATGCTTACTCACATGCCTCATAGCATTGTCACTGAAAACTCAATACAGGACTCAAGGTAACATCACAATGCCCCCCGAGAACAAAGAAAGGGTAAAGAGTGCATATTTCCTATTACCTTTCACTTTCCTAAGAGAACAATGAGAAAACCATAGGAACTAGAGGATGGTTCAAGGAATTAAAAATCTTTACACAGAAGGAAGAAAATAAACAAAACAAACACCTACTTGGCAAGGCCATCTCATCAAAACAGTCTAATATGTATAAAAACATCAATCCATAAATAGCTCTTATTATTTTGAGATATGTCCCATCAATACCTAATTTATTGAGAGTTTTTAGCATGAAGGGCTGTTGAATTTTGTCAAAGGCCTTTTCTGCATCTATTGAGATAATCATGTGGTTTTTGTCTTTGGTTCTGCTTATATGCTGGATTACGTTTATTGATTTGCGTGTGTTGAACCAGCCTTGCATCCCAGGGATGAAGCCCACTTGATCATGCTTTTTTTTGATGGGCTGCTGGATTCAGCTTGCCAGTATTTTATTGAGGATTTTTGCATCAATGTTCCTCAAGGATATTGATCTAAAATTTTCTTTTTTTGTTGTGTCTCTGCCAGGCTTTGGTATGAGGATGATGCTGGCCTCATAAAATGAGTTAGGGAGGATTCCCTCTTTTTCTATTGATTGGAATAGTTTCAGAAGGAATGATACCAGCTCCTCCTTGTAACTCTGGTAGAATTCAGCTGTGAATCTCTCTGGTCCTGGACTTTTTTTGGTTGGTAGGCTATAAATTATAGCCTCAATTTCAGAGCCTGTTATTAGTCTATTCAGGGATTCAACTTCTTCCTAGTTTAGACTTGGGAGGGTGTATGTGTCAAAGAATTTATCCATTTCTTCTAGATTTTCCAGTTTATTTGTGTAGAGGTGTTTATAGTATTCTCTAATGGTAGTTGTATTTCTGTGGGATCGGTGGTGATATCCCCTTTATCATGTTTTATTGTGTCTATTTGATTCTTCTCTCTTTTCTTCTTTATTAGTCTTGCTGGTGGTCTATCAATTTTGTTGATCTTTTCAAAAACCCAGCTCCTGGATTCATTGATTTTTTGAAGGATTTTTTTCTGTCTCTATCTCCTTCAGTTCTGCTCTGATGTTAGTTATTTCTTGCCTTCTGCTAGCTTTTGAATGTGTTTGCTCTTGCTTCTCTAGTTCTTTCAATTGTGATGTTAGGGTGTCAAATTTAGATCTTTCCTGCTTTCACTTGTGGGCATTTAGTGCTATAAATTTCCCTCTACACACTGCTTTAAATGTGTCCCAGAGATTCTGGTATGTTGTGTCTTTGTTCTTATTGGTTTCTAAGAACATCTTTATTTCTGCCTTCATTTCTTTATGTACCCAGTAGTCACTGAGGAGCAGGTTGTTTGGTTTCCATGTAGTTGAGCAGTTTTGAGTGAGTTTCTCAATCCTGAGTTCTAGTTTGATTGCACTTGGTCTGAGAGACAGTTTGTTATAATTTCTGTTCTTTTACATTTGCTGAGGAGTGCTTTACTTCCAACTATGTGGTCAATTTTGGAATAAGTGTGGTGTGGTGCTGAGAATAATGTATACTCTGTTGATTTGGGGTGGAGAGTTCTGTAGATGTCTATTAGGTCCGCTTGGTGCAGAGCTGAGTTCAATTCCTGGATATCCTTGTTAACTTTGTGTCTTGTTGATCAGTCTAAT